>NC_000013.11:55908106-57158106 GCF_000001405.40 Homo sapiens | reverse complement strand
TCCTGGGCTCAAAGGATTCTCCCGCCTCAGCCTCCCGAGCAGCTGGGACTACAGTGGCCCACCACCATGCCTGGCTAATTTTCCTATTTTTATTAGGGCGAGACATGAGAATCGCTTCAGTCCCGGGAATGGAGTTCTCAGTGAGCCGAAGCCACCGCGCTCCAGCCTGGGTGAAAGAGTGAGAGTCTGTTTCAAAATAAATAAATAAATAAATGAACGAATAAATAAACCAGGAGGAATTACCAAGGGCTCTTGGTGCCTGCCTGCAGTCTGAGCTACTTGGCAACCTGATGTTGGAGGATCACCCGAGCTGAGGAGGCGCAGGCTGCGCTGAGCTGTGATTGCACCACTGCACTCCAGCCTGGATGACGGAATGAGACCCTGTCTTACTCCACGTACCAATGTTTAGTGAAGCATTCTGGTGGTAGAAATATCCTGGAAGTAGCGTATCAGCAGACCACCACCTGCATAATGTAAAAGCTGTGCATCTTTCCAGACAGATATACAGCAAGAAGATAGTGGCACATGTGCGTAGGATGACTGCAAGGGGGCTTTCTGGCTTATGGATGACAGACCCCAATGGCAAGCCAAGAAGCAGCTCCCACTGCACAGTGCTCATTGTGCTCCATGCCATGCTTCAATACGAAGTCGCCTGTTCCTAGTTTGGAGACGCACGGACTCCACAGAGGCTCTGGTCCTGACCACACCTGTGTTGCCTGCCTGGACCTTATAGTCACTTCAGCAGGACCCCTGGCGCATGGCACGCCAGGTGTTTGTAAAAGCGAGCCACAAACGATGCTCTCAATGTACACGTTTGTTGGTGTAGACTTGTGTGACTATGGGGAAAGATGCGATATGAATGGAGAACAGAGACTGGAGCCATTTTTCTACCTTCCTTTCTGCTTTTAGTAAACACATTTTGTATTTGCGATTTGTGAAAGTTTAGTGAAAGAACTGTTCTATAAAATAAGTCTGAAGAGAAAGGTTTATTTAGAAGGATTGAGTACACAAGAGAAAAATCTTTGATGTAAAAAGTTATCTGTATTTTATTTGGACGTTTACAAAGGAGTGAAAACCAGCCAACAACAGCCTACCTAATAAAATACAAAATACAAAAGTTCATAATACAACATTTATCAAACTCTGAAAAGATGGGAACTAACTCAACTTAAACATCTAAGAGACACCTACAGCCAACATCTTGGTTAATGGTGAAACATTCAAAATATTCCCATTAAAGCCAGGAGGAAGCCAAGGACACTGCCGTCAAATTACTGATTCCTGGTTTAGCGGTTCCAGTGAGTCATGCACTCTCCTTGCTTCCGTTAACCGCCCCCCCCCCCACCCCAACACCTTTTGTCTGATTCGTCACATGTCCTTTGATCCCCTTTTTCCTCAATCTGTTTGAAATTTTACCTTCTATTCCAATTCATTTAGTGGTTCCCAAAGGGTACCCACGTTGAGACTTAAAAATGTGTCAGTCTAGATTTTTATTGCTCTTATATTCAGCCAGTCTATCGTCTCCAGGCACTAGAGAAGCACTTTAGTAACTTCTAGCTCCTTCTGAGTTTTCGCATGTCCCACATGTCTATATGAGTGTCTTCTGGAATTTTAATTCTAGGTCATCAATCCTTTTTCCAGAATCGTACTTCTCTGGACTTAAGAATACAGTTTCCTAATTTCCATGCTTAGTGATCCTTGTTGCATCCCACTTCTTCCAGGTTGTCTGGGTTGGCTTCTTCTTGGCTGAAAAACGTGACGTGTACTTTCACTGTACATGACAGTTCCATTCCAATCGCCTTGTACAGAAAGGGTGTTTGGCAGCTTGCATGTTGTAAGTTGCGTACTCCAAGTTCAGGGGAAGCTCAGGCTTCAGGTCCAGTCGGGGGAGGAGTGGAGCAGAAGTGGGGCTGGGGGGAACGTCCAGGTGGAAGGAAGGGAGGCTGGGAACAACGTGGGTGGCAGATAGTGGTCAATACGCAATGTCGGTGAGGAACACTGGGACCCCTTGCACGTAGGTGCCCTGGGGGGTTTGAATGACTTGTAAAACCGCTGAGTCACCCAGAGCCCTAAACCCGATGCAGGGATAGAGGGTCAAGACGGGTTGCCAGTCAACAGCCTGAGGCCCAGGAGCAGCGGGCGGCTCCTGAAACCCCAGCTCAGGTTGCGCCACGTCGGGGCCAGGGCCTTCCTGCACAGTTCCAGGCGGAGGACCTGTTTCAGAAAGGGAGAAGGCTGCGGTCTCCGTGATTTCCGGTTCCCCCTGGTGGCCTGGCTCTCCATGGTGGTCCAGTTGGATGTGCACGTCCGGTGCCATCAAGCCTTCTGCCCCCTGTCTCTGGCCAGCGTCCCCGCGGGGCCCAGCCCTTCTGCCACGGCCTCGCCCTGGCCGCCGGCTTCCTCCCCGGCGCCGGCCTCTCTCTGCAGGAGGGGGTGACTCTGGGCGAGCTGGGGGCTGCCGTCTGAAGGGTTTCACGTAAGCGATGGGTTTTGCGGGTTGGGCTGGCTGTGCGGGCCCATCTGCTTCCACGGAGCCTTCAGGGTCCGCAACACAGCAGCCTGGCTCTGGAGGAGGCCCACCTGAGGCTAAAAGAGAAGCGGAGCGTGAGCAGAGAGAGACAGAAGGAACTTCACCCGTCAAGCAGTTATAGGATACTTTTACAAATAAATACTCAGAGAAAAGAGGGATTTCTGAAGTTAAAATTGTGAGAGAAGAAACAAAACTCTCCACGGAAGTTGGAGAATGAAGTTGAGAAGGTCTCCCACAGAACAAAGCAAAAACCTAAAATGATGGAAAGAAGGATGAAATATAAGAGAATTAGAGGTATGCTGTGGCTGAGACATTTCACCAGAAAATTTCAGAGTGCTGAGGAAAAAGAGAAGATTCTAACAGATTCTAGAGAGCGGGAGACAGAGAAAGGAAAAGTCACATGGAAAGGGCTAGGATTCCACATGTCTCAAAAGTCAGACATCTCAAAAGCAGCAGTTCAGTCTAGAACATAACAGAAAATGTCTTCGAAATTTCAAGGGAAATGAATTTCCCACCTAAAATTTCCTGTCCAACCGAAGTTTCGCTGAAGAATCTGGGAGGGGAGAATGAAGATGTTTCAGACAAGCAAGATGTTAAAGAATTTCCTTTCAGTGGATGCTTTATTGTTATGCATCTGTCAAACTAGACAAGATTAAAAGATTTAGGACACTCAGCGTATGAAGGGAAAAGTTTTGGAGAACAACGTGGCAACAGCCGGAAAATTCCAACTCCTCCGGGAAAGAACAAGGTGGAAGTACCGGTTTATCATAGATCAAGACGTAGCGTGAGGACTCGCTCTGCTACGGAGAAACAGTAATACAAAACTAAACAGAAGGAAACAGCGACAACAACAGCAAATCTCAGATTTGGGAAATGGGATTACGGTTCGGAAGAGGGAAAGGAATTTCCCAGATGATGTGGAACCCGGGAGCTGACTTCCAACAAGCAGCCCAGGTTGAGGCAGGCTAGGAGAAGGTGAAACAGAGAATGCTTGATTGAGTTTGAGTGTCAACCATTGGGGAAGAATTGGGGAACAGACGAAATTAAAAAGAGAGGAGTGGCAGGCGTTTGATGTACCTTGATTAGGGGCCATGGAGCGAAGTCGCTTCGAAGGCCTTGGTTCCTCCATGAGCAATCGGCGGGAGGGGCTGGGGAGAAAAACAAGAGAGCAAGAACGGATTTAGGAAGACAGAGGTGACAAGGCAGGGGGATGGCCGTGGCCTTTCTAGGGGAATGAGGATTCTGTCCCCAACTGCACCCACCCGAGATCCGTCCACGCCTCCGGGACCCCCAGACACACACCTGATCTTCCCACAGCTGGCTCCGGAGATCTGAAAATTAGGAGACTCTTCGACGAAGAGAGGCCCGAGGAGTCGGAGGTGTCCACAGGTTCACCGCTGTAGCTCTGAGGTAGTCCACCCGCAGCCAGGGAGTCTGGAGGGAGCACGCAGCAGGTTCTGGCTCCGAGCCCAGCAGAAAGCCGACTGCTGGAGGCCGAGCGCCGTCCCTCTTATATGGCAGCAAGGCAGTCGCGTAAGGGACAGGCGTCGTCAGAGGGGGGCCGGCTGGGGCGGGCCTGGCTGGGCTTGCGAGGCGCATTGGGCCAGTCCCCTGCCAGTCAAATGGGGGCCCTTCTGAGATGCCGCCATTTCTAGACGTCCGTGGTTGATTGATTAATCTAATCATCGAGGAAAAAAAATTGCATAATGACCTCTGAGTGTCAGCACAATGAGGTGTGGTGCCCTGAAAGCGGCTGACAGGAAGATGCGATTAGCTTAGATCTGAGCATGGTCAAGGAAAGCATCCAAAGCGGGGATATCTGGGCTGAAATCTGGAACATAACGTTTGAAATTAGTCATCCTGAACCGGGTTGGGAGAGGCAGGGAGGGAGGAAGGGGAGTGAAGAGAGTGTGCTGAGGCCCGGACTGGAAGGGAGCCCGGCACATTCTGGGAATGGACGGGAGGCCAAGTCCAGGCCCGGAGGTGGTGCGAGGTGGAGGCAGGGTCCGCGCAGGAGCTGGTCTTGTTCCAAGGCAGCGGAAAACCGTGGAACGGTGTCCGGCAGCGGGTTAACATTTCAGAAACGACCAGCCTGGCTGTGAAGGAGCGCCAACCCAGGGTCCGCAGAATAAGTCAGGAGAGGCAAGAAGGCTATTGCAGCCCTCGGGGTTGGGCGCAGGGTGCTGTTAGACTGAGACTCAGGGAGGTAGAGGAGGAGAAAGTTCCCTGGTGGGAGAGAAATTTCCAAGAGAAAGCGAGACCCAGTGTGGACAGCCCTTGAGGAAGAGACTGCGGCCTTGGTAGCCCGCCGGTTCATTCAGGCAGAGGTGGACCGAGAACCTGCTCTGAACGGGAAGTTGCGGAGCTTGGCTTGCGCACATCTGGTTGAAGGGGCTTTTGAACTGCCAAGTGAGGATGTCAAGTGGCCTTTTGTAAAAAGAGTCGAGCTCAGCGCGATGGCGACGGGGCTGGAGATGCGTGTGAGACCCACACCGCTGGCTTTTATTGCTGTGGGTGCACTCACGGGTGGAGGAAGACAGCGGGAAACACAGCAGGACGCTGGAGGGGATCCCACAGTGGGTTATTTGGTTGGTTTGCATCCTTGTGTCTTTTACAGAGACGGGTTCTCGCTCTGTAGCCCAGGCTGGAGTGCAGCGGTGCCATCTCGGCTCGCTGCGGCTACTTGGGGGGGGGGGGGGGGGGGGCGGGGCGGGCTGAGATAGGAGAATCAGTTCAAGTGATTCTCCTGTCTCGGCCTCCGGAGTAGCTGGACTACAGGTGAGCGCCACCACATCGGGATAATTTTCGGATTTTTTTGGAGAGACGAGGTTTCGCTATGTGCCCAGGCTTGTTTGGAAGGCCTGAGCTCAAGCCGTCCGTCCCGCTCAACCTCCCGAGTCGCTGGGACCCCAGGCGCAAGCCACCATGCCGGGCCAATTATTTTTTTGGGTTGTATTTCCTGTTGAAGTGAGGTTTTGCTATGCTTTCACCTCACATACCTTTTCTGTCCCAAGACCCCATCCAGGGTACCACCTTACAACTCGTCACGGTTCCCCTTGGCTGCGACGGTTTCTCACACTTGCCTTGTTTTTGATGACCCTGACACTTTGAATACTGATCAGATATATTGTGGGATGTCCTCTCCTGAAGTTCGTGTGATGTATTCCTTGTGATCTGACTGGAATTATATGTTTTTGTCAGGAAGATTGCAGCGGGAAAGCGCCATTCCCATCCCATCCTGTCTAGAGTACACACCATCAAGCCGGCTTATCACTGCTGCTATTAGTCCTGGTCACCGGGCTGGGGCAGTGTTGATTAGGTTTCTCCACCATAAAGTGATTTTCCCACCTCTTTCTCTACTGTGCTTTCTGGAAGTCGCTACCTGTAGCCTATACGTAAAGAAAAGGGAAGTTTTGCTTTATCTCCTTGCAGGGGAATAGCTACCTAAGTTCTGTGGAGTTCTCCTGTGTGGAGGATTTTCCCATTCTCCCCCACATGTTTGTTTATTTAATCACTTATTTATATCCGTATGGACTTATGGACACCTATTGTATGCTTTGGTTTACACTCCAGTACTTCGGGGGATGAATTATTTAATAATTGAACTAATTATTTTGTCAAATATTTTACTTAACTATTTAATTATTAATTATTTAGCTAATTACTTTGTTACTCAACGTTTCCAGCTTTGGCCACCGGGAGCTCCTTTAGTTGGCTTCCGTGTCCCTTTGTCAACCTCCCATCGCTGTGGCTTTTGGCTTTGTTTGGTTTTGGGCGGCTCCTTTCTCCCTGGCACCACAGGATGCTCCATGCTTATTTGCATATTCTCATCCTTATTGGGATTTCGTGTGCTCACTGACCGAACCCATAGATTCTTCTGTGAAGTTTCTCTTCAAAACTTTTATCTTTCTTATTGGGATAACTTCTCTCTCTCTTTTTTCCATTTTGAGACAAAGTTTTGCTCTTGTCACCCAGGCTGGAGTGCAATAGCATGATCTCGGATCACTGCAATGGCGCAGTCTGGGCTCACTGCAACCTCCGCCTCCTGGGCTCAAAGGATTCTCCCGCCTCAGCCTCCCGAGCAGCTGGGACTACAGTGGCCCACCACCATGCCTGGCTAATTTTCCTATTTTTATTAGGGCGAGACATGAGAATCGCTTCAGTCCCGGGAATGGAGTTCTCAGTGAGCCGAAGCCACCGCGCTCCAGCCTGGGTGAAAGAGTGAGAGTCTGTTTCAAAATAAATAAATAAATAAATGAACGAATAAATAAACCAGGAGGAATTACCAAGGGCTCTTGGTGCCTGCCTGCAGTCTGAGCTACTTGGCAACCTGATGTTGGAGGATCACCCGAGCTGAGGAGGCGCAGGCTGCGCTGAGCTGTGATTGCACCACTGCACTCCAGCCTGGATGACGGAATGAGACCCTGTCTTACTCCACGTACCAATGTTTAGTGAAGCATTCTGGTGGTAGAAATATCCTGGAAGTAGCGTATCAGCAGACCACCACCTGCATAATGTAAAAGCTGTGCATCTTTCCAGACAGATATACAGCAAGAAGATAGTGGCACATGTGCGTAGGATGACTGCAAGGGGGCTTTCTGGCTTATGGATGACAGACCCCAATGGCAAGCCAAGAAGCAGCTCCCACTGCACAGTGCTCATTGTGCTCCATGCCATGCTTCAATACGAAGTCGCCTGTTCCTAGTTTGGAGACGCACGGACTCCACAGAGGCTCTGGTCCTGACCACACCTGTGTTGCCTGCCTGGACCTTATAGTCACTTCAGCAGGACCCCTGGCGCATGGCACGCCAGGTGTTTGTAAAAGCGAGCCACAAACGATGCTCTCAATGTACACGTTTGTTGGTGTAGACTTGTGTGACTATGGGGAAAGATGCGATATGAATGGAGAACAGAGACTGGAGCCATTTTTCTACCTTCCTTTCTGCTTTTAGTAAACACATTTTGTATTTGCGATTTGTGAAAGTTTAGTGAAAGAACTGTTCTATAAAATAAGTCTGAAGAGAAAGGTTTATTTAGAAGGATTGAGTACACAAGAGAAAAATCTTTGATGTAAAAAGTTATCTGTATTTTATTTGGACGTTTACAAAGGAGTGAAAACCAGCCAACAACAGCCTACCTAATAAAATACAAAATACAAAAGTTCATAATACAACATTTATCAAACTCTGAAAAGATGGGAACTAACTCAACTTAAACATCTAAGAGACACCTACAGCCAACATCTTGGTTAATGGTGAAACATTCAAAATATTCCCATTAAAGCCAGGAGGAAGCCAAGGACACTGCCGTCAAATTACTGATTCCTGGTTTAGCGGTTCCAGTGAGTCATGCACTCTCCTTGCTTCCGTTAACCGCCCCCCCCCCCACCCCAACACCTTTTGTCTGATTCGTCACATGTCCTTTGATCCCCTTTTTCCTCAATCTGTTTGAAATTTTACCTTCTATTCCAATTCATTTAGTGGTTCCCAAAGGGTACCCACGTTGAGACTTAAAAATGTGTCAGTCTAGATTTTTATTGCTCTTATATTCAGCCAGTCTATCGTCTCCAGGCACTAGAGAAGCACTTTAGTAACTTCTAGCTCCTTCTGAGTTTTCGCATGTCCCACATGTCTATATGAGTGTCTTCTGGAATTTTAATTCTAGGTCATCAATCCTTTTTCCAGAATCGTACTTCTCTGGACTTAAGAATACAGTTTCCTAATTTCCATGCTTAGTGATCCTTGTTGCATCCCACTTCTTCCAGGTTGTCTGGGTTGGCTTCTTCTTGGCTGAAAAACGTGACGTGTACTTTCACTGTACATGACAGTTCCATTCCAATCGCCTTGTACAGAAAGGGTGTTTGGCAGCTTGCATGTTGTAAGTTGCGTACTCCAAGTTCAGGGGAAGCTCAGGCTTCAGGTCCAGTCGGGGGAGGAGTGGAGCAGAAGTGGGGCTGGGGGGAACGTCCAGGTGGAAGGAAGGGAGGCTGGGAACAACGTGGGTGGCAGATAGTGGTCAATACGCAATGTCGGTGAGGAACACTGGGACCCCTTGCACGTAGGTGCCCTGGGGGGTTTGAATGACTTGTAAAACCGCTGAGTCACCCAGAGCCCTAAACCCGATGCAGGGATAGAGGGTCAAGACGGGTTGCCAGTCAACAGCCTGAGGCCCAGGAGCAGCGGGCGGCTCCTGAAACCCCAGCTCAGGTTGCGCCACGTCGGGGCCAGGGCCTTCCTGCACAGTTCCAGGCGGAGGACCTGTTTCAGAAAGGGAGAAGGCTGCGGTCTCCGTGATTTCCGGTTCCCCCTGGTGGCCTGGCTCTCCATGGTGGTCCAGTTGGATGTGCACGTCCGGTGCCATCAAGCCTTCTGCCCCCTGTCTCTGGCCAGCGTCCCCGCGGGGCCCAGCCCTTCTGCCACGGCCTCGCCCTGGCCGCCGGCTTCCTCCCCGGCGCCGGCCTCTCTCTGCAGGAGGGGGTGACTCTGGGCGAGCTGGGGGCTGCCGTCTGAAGGGTTTCACGTAAGCGATGGGTTTTGCGGGTTGGGCTGGCTGTGCGGGCCCATCTGCTTCCACGGAGCCTTCAGGGTCCGCAACACAGCAGCCTGGCTCTGGAGGAGGCCCACCTGAGGCTAAAAGAGAAGCGGAGCGTGAGCAGAGAGAGACAGAAGGAACTTCACCCGTCAAGCAGTTATAGGATACTTTTACAAATAAATACTCAGAGAAAAGAGGGATTTCTGAAGTTAAAATTGTGAGAGAAGAAACAAAACTCTCCACGGAAGTTGGAGAATGAAGTTGAGAAGGTCTCCCACAGAACAAAGCAAAAACCTAAAATGATGGAAAGAAGGATGAAATATAAGAGAATTAGAGGTATGCTGTGGCTGAGACATTTCACCAGAAAATTTCAGAGTGCTGAGGAAAAAGAGAAGATTCTAACAGATTCTAGAGAGCGGGAGACAGAGAAAGGAAAAGTCACATGGAAAGGGCTAGGATTCCACATGTCTCAAAAGTCAGACATCTCAAAAGCAGCAGTTCAGTCTAGAACATAACAGAAAATGTCTTCGAAATTTCAAGGGAAATGAATTTCCCACCTAAAATTTCCTGTCCAACCGAAGTTTCGCTGAAGAATCTGGGAGGGGAGAATGAAGATGTTTCAGACAAGCAAGATGTTAAAGAATTTCCTTTCAGTGGATGCTTTATTGTTATGCATCTGTCAAACTAGACAAGATTAAAAGATTTAGGACACTCAGCGTATGAAGGGAAATGTTTTGGAGAACAACGTGGCAACAGCCGGAAAATTCCAACTCCTCCGGGAAAGAACAAGGTGGAAGTACCGGTTTATCATAGATCAAGACGTAGCGTGAGGACTCGCTCTGCTACGGAGAAACAGTAATACAAAACTAAACAGAAGGAAACAGCGACAACAACAGCAAATCTCAGATTTGGGAAATGGGATTACGGTTCGGAAGAGGGAAAGGAATTTCCCAGATGATGTGGAACCCGGGAGCTGACTTCCAACAAGCAGCCCAGGTTGAGGCAGGCTAGGAGAAGGTGAAACAGAGAATGCTTGATTGAGTTTGAGTGTCAACCATTGGGGAAGAATTGGGGAACAGACGAAATTAAAAAGAGAGGAGTGGCAGGCGTTTGATGTACCTTGATTAGGGGCCATGGAGCGAAGTCGCTTCGAAGGCCTTGGTTCCTCCATGAGCAATCGGCGGGAGGGGCTGGGGAGAAAAACAAGAGAGCAAGAACGGATTTAGGAAGACAGAGGTGACAAGGCAGGGGGATGGCCGTGGCCTTTCTAGGGGAATGAGGATTCTGTCCCCAACTGCACCCACCCGAGATCCGTCCACGCCTCCGGGACCCCCAGACACACACCTGATCTTCCCACAGCTGGCTCCGGAGATCTGAAAATTAGGAGACTCTTCGACGAAGAGAGGCCCGAGGAGTCGGAGGTGTCCACAGGTTCACCGCTGTAGCTCTGAGGTAGTCCACCCGCAGCCAGGGAGTCTGGAGGGAGCACGCAGCAGGTTCTGGCTCCGAGCCCAGCAGAAAGCCGACTGCTGGAGGCCGAGCGCCGTCCCTCTTATATGGCAGCAAGGCAGTCGCGTAAGGGACAGGCGTCGTCAGAGGGGGGCCGGCTGGGGCGGGCCTGGCTGGGCTTGCGAGGCGCATTGGGCCAGTCCCCTGCCAGTCAAATGGGGGCCCTTCTGAGATGCCGCCATTTCTAGACGTCCGTGGTTGATTGATTAATCTAATCATCGAGGAAAAAAAATTGCATAATGACCTCTGAGTGTCAGCACAATGAGGTGTGGTGCCCTGAAAGCGGCTGACAGGAAGATGCGATTAGCTTAGATCTGAGCATGGTCAAGGAAAGCATCCAAAGCGGGGATATCTGGGCTGAAATCTGGAACATAACGTTTGAAATTAGTCATCCTGAACCGGGTTGGGAGAGGCAGGGAGGGAGGAAGGGGAGTGAAGAGAGTGTGCTGAGGCCCGGACTGGAAGGGAGCCCGGCACATTCTGGGAATGGACGGGAGGCCAAGTCCAGGCCCGGAGGTGGTGCGAGGTGGAGGCAGGGTCCGCGCAGGAGCTGGTCTTGTTCCAAGGCAGCGGAAAACCGTGGAACGGTGTCCGGCAGCGGGTTAACATTTCAGAAACGACCAGCCTGGCTGTGAAGGAGCGCCAACCCAGGGTCCGCAGAATAAGTCAGGAGAGGCAAGAAGGCTATTGCAGCCCTCGGGGTTGGGCGCAGGGTGCTGTTAGACTGAGACTCAGGGAGGTAGAGGAGGAGAAAGTTCCCTGGTGGGAGAGAAATTTCCAAGAGAAAGCGAGACCCAGTGTGGACAGCCCTTGAGGAAGAGACTGCGGCCTTGGTAGCCCGCCGGTTCATTCAGGCAGAGGTGGACCGAGAACCTGCTCTGAACGGGAAGTTGCGGAGCTTGGCTTGCGCACATCTGGTTGAAGGGGCTTTTGAACTGCCAAGTGAGGATGTCAAGTGGCCTTTTGTAAAAAGAGTCGAGCTCAGCGCGATGGCGACGGGGCTGGAGATGCGTGTGAGACCCACACCGCTGGCTTTTATTGCTGTGGGTGCACTCACGGGTGGAGGAAGACAGCGGGAAACACAGCAGGACGCTGGAGGGGATCCCACAGTGGGTTATTTGGTTGGTTTGCATCCTTGTGTCTTTTACAGAGACGGGTTCTCGCTCTGTAGCCCAGGCTGGAGTGCAGCGGTGCCATCTCGGCTCGCTGCGGCTACTTGGGGTGGGGCGGGGGGGGGGGGGGGGCTGAGATAGGAGAATCAGTTCAAGTGATTCTCCTGTCTCGGCCTCCGGAGTAGCTGGACTACAGGTGAGCGCCACCACATCGGGATAATTTTCGGATTTTTTTGGAGAGACGAGGTTTCGCTATGTGCCCAGGCTTGTTTGGAAGGCCTGAGCTCAAGCCGTCCGTCCCGCTCAACCTCCCGAGTCGCTGGGACCCCAGGCGCAAGCCACCATGCCCGGCCAATTATTTTTTTGGGTTGTATTTCCTGTTGAAGTGAGGTTTTGCTATGCTTTCACCTCACATACCTTTTCTGTCCCAAGACCCCATCCAGGGTACCACCTTACAACTCGTCACGGTTCCCCTTGGCTGCGACGGTTTCTCACACTTGCCTTGTTTTTGATGACCCTGACACTTTGAATACTGATCAGATATATTGTGGGATGTCCTCTCCTGAAGTTCGTGTGATGTATTCCTTGTGATCTGACTGGAATTATATGTTTTTGTCAGGAAGATTGCAGCGGGAAAGCGCCATTCCCATCCCATCCTGTCTAGAGTACACACCATCAAGCCGGCTTATCACTGCTGCTATTAGTCCTGGTCACCGGGCTGGGGCAGTGTTGATTAGGTTTCTCCACCATAAAGTGATTTTCCCACCTCTTTCTCTACTGTGCTTTCTGGAAGTCGCTACCTGTAGCCTATACGTAAAGAAAAGGGAAGTTTTGCTTTATCTCCTTGCAGGGGAATAGCTACCTAAGTTCTGTGGAGTTCTCCTGTGTGGAGGATTTTCCCATTCTCCCCCACATGTTTGTTTATTTAATCACTTATTTATATCCGTATGGACTTATGGACACCTATTGTATGCTTTGGTTTACACTCCAGTACTTCGGGGGATGAATTATTTAATAATTGAACTAATTATTTTGTCAAATATTTTACTTAACTATTTAATTATTAATTATTTAGCTAATTACTTTGTTACTCAACGTTTCCAGCTTTGGCCACCGGGAGCTCCTTTAGTTGGCTTCCGTGTCCCTTTGTCAACCTCCCATCGCTGTGGCTTTTGGCTTTGTTTGGTTTTGGGCGGCTCCTTTCTCCCTGGCACCACAGGATGCTCCATGCTTATTTGCATATTCTCATCCTTATTGGGATTTCGTGTGCTCACTGACCGAACCCATAGATTCTTCTGTGAAGTTTCTCTTCAAAACTTTTATCTTTCTTATTGGGATAACTTCTCTCTCTCTTTTTTCCATTTTGAGACAAAGTTTTGCTCTTGTCACCCAGGCTGGAGTGCAATAGCATGATCTCGGATCACTGCAATGGCGCAGTCTGGGCTCACTGCAACCTCCGCCTCCTGGGCTCAAAGGATTCTCCCGCCTCAGCCTCCCGAGCAGCTGGGACTACAGTGGCCCACCACCATGCCTGGCTAATTTTCCTATTTTTATTAGGGCGAGACATGAGAATCGCTTCAGTCCCGGGAATGGAGTTCTCAGTGAGCCGAAGCCACCGCGCTCCAGCCTGGGTGAAAGAGTGAGAGTCTGTTTCAAAATAAATAAATAAATAAATGAACGAATAAATAAACCAGGAGGAATTACCAAGGGCTCTTGGTGCCTGCCTGCAGTCTGAGCTACTTGGCAACCTGATGTTGGAGGATCACCCGAGCTGAGGAGGCGCAGGCTGCGCTGAGCTGTGATTGCACCACTGCACTCCAGCCTGGATGACGGAATGAGACCCTGTCTTACTCCACGTACCAATGTTTAGTGAAGCATTCTGGTGGTAGAAATATCCTGGAAGTAGCGTATCAGCAGACCACCACCTGCATAATGTAAAAGCTGTGCATCTTTCCAGACAGATATACAGCAAGAAGATAGTGGCACATGTGCGTAGGATGACTGCAAGGGGGCTTTCTGGCTTATGGATGACAGACCCCAATGGCAAGCCAAGAAGCAGCTCCCACTGCACAGTGCTCATTGTGCTCCATGCCATGCTTCAATACGAAGTCGCCTGTTCCTAGTTTGGAGACGCACGGACTCCACAGAGGCTCTGGTCCTGACCACACCTGTGTTGCCTGCCTGGACCTTATAGTCACTTCAGCAGGACCCCTGGCGCATGGCACGCCAGGTGTTTGTAAAAGCGAGCCACAAACGATGCTCTCAATGTACACGTTTGTTGGTGTAGACTTGTGTGACTATGGGGAAAGATGCGATATGAATGGAGAACAGAGACTGGAGCCATTTTTCTACCTTCCTTTCTGCTTTTAGTAAACACATTTTGTATTTGCGATTTGTGAAAGTTTAGTGAAAGAACTGTTCTATAAAATAAGTCTGAAGAGAAAGGTTTATTTAGAAGGATTGAGTACACAAGAGAAAAATCTTTGATGTAAAAAGTTATCTGTATTTTATTTGGACGTTTACAAAGGAGTGAAAACCAGCCAACAACAGCCTACCTAATAAAATACAAAATACAAAAGTTCATAATACAACATTTATCAAACTCTGAAAAGATGGGAACTAACTCAACTTAAACATCTAAGAGACACCTACAGCCAACATCTTGGTTAATGGTGAAACATTCAAAATATTCCCATTAAAGCCAGGAGGAAGCCAAGGACACTGCCGTCAAATTACTGATTCCTGGTTTAGCGGTTCCAGTGAGTCATGCACTCTCCTTGCTTCCGTTAACCGCCCCCCCCCCCACCCCAACACCTTTTGTCTGATTCGTCACATGTCCTTTGATCCCCTTTTTCCTCAATCTGTTTGAAATTTTACCTTCTATTCCAATTCATTTAGTGGTTCCCAAAGGGTACCCACGTTGAGACTTAAAAATGTGTCAGTCTAGATTTTTATTGCTCTTATATTCAGCCAGTCTATCGTCTCCAGGCACTAGAGAAGCACTTTAGTAACTTCTAGCTCCTTCTGAGTTTTCGCATGTCCCACATGTCTATATGAGTGTCTTCTGGAATTTTAATTCTAGGTCATCAATCCTTTTTCCAGAATCGTACTTCTCTGGACTTAAGAATACAGTTTCCTAATTTCCATGCTTAGTGATCCTTGTTGCATCCCACTTCTTCCAGGTTGTCTGGGTTGGCTTCTTCTTGGCTGAAAAACGTGACGTGTACTTTCACTGTACATGACAGTTCCATTCCAATCGCCTTGTACAGAAAGGGTGTTTGGCAGCTTGCATGTTGTAAGTTGCGTACTCCAAGTTCAGGGGAAGCTCAGGCTTCAGGTCCAGTCGGGGGAGGAGTGGAGCAGAAGTGGGGCTGGGGGGAACGTCCAGGTGGAAGGAAGGGAGGCTGGGAACAACGTGGGTGGCAGATAGTGGTCAATACGCAATGTCGGTGAGGAACACTGGGACCCCTTGCACGTAGGTGCCCTGGGGGGTTTGAATGACTTGTAAAACCGCTGAGTCACCCAGAGCCCTAAACCCGATGCAGGGATAGAGGGTCAAGACGGGTTGCCAGTCAACAGCCTGAGGCCCAGGAGCAGCGGGCGGCTCCTGAAACCCCAGCTCAGGTTGCGCCACGTCGGGGCCAGGGCCTTCCTGCACAGTTCCAGGCGGAGGACCTGTTTCAGAAAGGGAGAAGGCTGCGGTCTCCGTGATTTCCGGTTCCCCCTGGTGGCCTGGCTCTCCATGGTGGTCCAGTTGGATGTGCACGTCCGGTGCCATCAAGCCTTCTGCCCCCTGTCTCTGGCCAGCGTCCCCGCGGGGCCCAGCCCTTCTGCCACGGCCTCGCCCTGGCCGCCGGCTTCCTCCCCGGCGCCGGCCTCTCTCTGCAGGAGGGGGTGACTCTGGGCGAGCTGGGGGCTGCCGTCTGAAGGGTTTCACGTAAGCGATGGGTTTTGCGGGTTGGGCTGGCTGTGCGGGCCCATCTGCTTCCACGGAGCCTTCAGGGTCCGCAACACAGCAGCCTGGCTCTGGAGGAGGCCCACCTGAGGCTAAAAGAGAAGCGGAGCGTGAGCAGAGAGAGACAGAAGGAACTTCACCCGTCAAGCAGTTATAGGATACTTTTACAAATAAATACTCAGAGAAAAGAGGGATTTCTGAAGTTAAAATTGTGAGAGAAGAAACAAAACTCTCCACGGAAGTTGGAGAATGAAGTTGAGAAGGTCTCCCACAGAACAAAGCAAAAACCTAAAATGATGGAAAGAAGGATGAAATATAAGAGAATTAGAGGTATGCTGTGGCTGAGACATTTCACCAGAAAATTTCAGAGTGCTGAGGAAAAAGAGAAGATTCTAACAGATTCTAGAGAGCGGGAGACAGAGAAAGGAAAAGTCACATGGAAAGGGCTAGGATTCCACATGTCTCAAAAGTCAGACATCTCAAAAGCAGCAGTTCAGTCTAGAACATAACAGAAAATGTCTTCGAAATTTCAAGGGAAATGAATTTCCCACCTAAAATTTCCTGTCCAACCGAAGTTTCGCTGAAGAATCTGGGAGGGGAGAATGAAGATGTTTCAGACAAGCAAGATGTTAAAGAATTTCCTTTCAGTGGATGCTTTATTGTTATGCATCTGTCAAACTAGACAAGATTAAAAGATTTAGGACACTCAGCGTATGAAGGGAAAAGTTTTGGAGAACAACGTGGCAACAGCCGGAAAATTCCAACTCCTCCGGGAAAGAACAAGGTGGAAGTACCGGTTTATCATAGATCAAGACGTAGCGTGAGGACTCGCTCTGCTACGGAGAAACAGTAATACAAAACTAAACAGAAGGAAACAGCGACAACAACAGCAAATCTCAGATTTGGGAAATGGGATTACGGTTCGGAAGAGGGAAAGGAATTTCCCAGATGATGTGGAACCCGGGAGCTGACTTCCAACAAGCAGCCCAGGTTGAGGCAGGCTAGGAGAAGGTGAAACAGAGAATGCTTGATTGAGTTTGAGTGTCAACCATTGGGGAAGAATTGGGGAACAGACGAAATTAAAAAGAGAGGAGTGGCAGGCGTTTGATGTACCTTGATTAGGGGCCATGGAGCGAAGTCGCTTCGAAGGCCTTGGTTCCTCCATGAGCAATCGGCGGGAGGGGCTGGGGAGAAAAACAAGAGAGCAAGAACGGATTTAGGAAGACAGAGGTGACAAGGCAGGGGGATGGCCGTGGCCTTTCTAGGGGAATGAGGATTCTGTCCCCAACTGCACCCACCCGAGATCCGTCCACGCCTCCGGGACCCCCAGACACACACCTGATCTTCCCACAGCTGGCTCCGGAGATCTGAAAATTAGGAGACTCTTCGACGAAGAGAGGCCCGAGGAGTCGGAGGTGTCCACAGGTTCACCGCTGTAGCTCTGAGGTAGTCCACCCGCAGCCAGGGAGTCTGGAGGGAGCACGCAGCAGGTTCTGGCTCCGAGCCCAGCAGAAAGCCGACTGCTGGAGGCCGAGCGCCGTCCCTCTTATATGGCAGCAAGGCAGTCGCGTAAGGGACAGGCGTCGTCAGAGGGGGGCCGGCTGGGGCGGGCCTGGCTGGGCTTGCGAGGCGCATTGGGCCAGTCCCCTGCCAGTCAAATGGGGGCCCTTCTGAGATGCCGCCATTTCTAGACGTCCGTGGTTGATTGATTAATCTAATCATCGAGGAAAAAAAATTGCATAATGACCTCTGAGTGTCAGCACAATGAGGTGTGGTGCCCTGAAAGCGGCTGACAGGAAGATGCGATTAGCTTAGATCTGAGCATGGTCAAGGAAAGCATCCAAAGCGGGGATATCTGGGCTGAAATCTGGAACATAACGTTTGAAATTAGTCATCCTGAACCGGGTTGGGAGAGGCAGGGAGGGAGGAAGGGGAGTGAAGAGAGTGTGCTGAGGCCCGGACTGGAAGGGAGCCCGGCACATTCTGGGAATGGACGGGAGGCCAAGTCCAGGCCCGGAGGTGGTGCGTGTGAGACGGGGCTGGAGATGCGTGTGAGACCCACACCGCTGGCTTTTATTGCTGTGGGTGCACTCACGGGTGGAGGAAGACAGCGGGAAACACAGCAGGACGCTGGAGGGGATCCCACAGTGGGTTATTTGGTTGGTTTGCATCCTTGTGTTTTTTACAGAGACTGGTTCTCGCTCTGTAGCCCAGGCTGGAGTGCAGCGGTGCCATCTCGGCTCGCTGCGGCTACTTGGGGGGGTTGGGGGGGGGTGGCTGAGATAGGAGAATCAGTTCAAGTGATTCTCCTGTCTCGGCCTCCGGAGTAGCTGGACTACAGGTGAGCGCCACCACATCGGGATAATTTTCGGATTTTTTTGGAGAGACGAGTTTTCGCTATGTGCCCAGGCTTGTTTGGAAGGCCTGAGCTCAAGCCGTCCGTCCCGCTCAACCTCCCGAGTCGCTGGGACCCCAGGCGCAAGCCACCATGCCGGGCCAATTACTTTTTTGGGTTGTATTTCCTGTTGAAGTGAGGTTTTGCTATGCTTTCACCTCACATACCTTTTCTGTCCCAAGACCCCATCCAGGGTACCACCTTACAACTCGTCACGGTTCCCCTTGGCTGCGACGGTTTCTCACACTTGCCTTGTTTTTGATGACTCTGACACTTTGAATACTGATCAGATATATTGTGGGATGTCCTCTCCTGAAGTTCGTGTGATGTATTCCTTGTGATCTGACTGGAATTATATGTTTTTGTCAGGAAGATTGCAGCGGGAAAGCGCCATTCCCATCCCATCCTGTCTAGAGTACACACCATCAAGCCGGCTTATCACTGCTGCTATTAGTCCTGGTCACCGGGCTGGGGCAGTGTTGATTAGGTTTCTCCACCATAAAGTGATTTTCCCACCTCTTTCTCTACTGTGCTTTCTGGAAGTCGCTACCTGTAGCCTATACGTAAAGAAAAGGGAAGTTTTGCTTTATCTCCTTGCAGGGGAATAGCTACCTAAGTTCTGTGGAGTTCTCCTGTGTGGAGGATTTTCCCATTCTCCCCCACATGTTTGTTTATTTAATCACTTATTTATATCCGTATGGACTTATGGACACCTATTGTATGCTTTGGTTTACACTCCAGTACTTCAGGGGATGAATTATTTAATAATTGAACTAATTATTTTGTCAAGTATTTTACTTAACTATTTAATTATTAATTATTTAGGTAATTACTTTGTTACTCAATGTTTCCAGCTTTGGCCACCGGGAGCTCCTTTAGTTGGCTTCCGTGTCCCTTTGTCAACCTCCCATCTCAGCAAACTAACACAGGAAAAGAAAACCAAATATCACATGTGCTCACTCATAAGTGGGCGTCGAACAATGTGAATACATAGACACAGGGAGGGGAATATCACACACTGGGGTCTGTGAGGGACTGGGAATCTAGGGGAGGGAGACTATTAGGAGAAATACCTAATGTAGATGATGGGTTAATGGGTGCAGCAAAACATCATGGCACCTTTATACCTATGTAACAAAGCTGCACGTTCTGCACATGTATCCCAGAACTTAAAGCATAATTTAAACAAAAATTAAAGAAAAAAATTCCCTCACCCCTGCTCCACCCATCCCACAATCCTTCAACTTTTGTATCAGTGGCGAGAAGTGTTCCTCATGCAACATTCAGTTTCCTGCTTGGAAGGAATCCTCTATCCTGTGAATATCCCTCCAGAGATAGCACGTTCTTAATTCAGGGGATGCAAGGGCACACACAGAGTTGGGAGGTGGAAGACATGATGGATAAGGTGGATGGGGTAGTGAAGATGGCATGGAAGACTATACGGTATTTCATATATACTTGATAAATCTATATATTTTGTGTCTGAATTAAGATCCCAAGAATTTTAACAAGTTCTTAATTTCATGCAGGTCAAAGAGAAAATGAGCAATAGTACCTAATGTTGAGACTTGTAAATTTTCTTTCTGTGTTTTTAGAAGTGTTAGACATGATTGTATTAATTGACTGACAACCCAATATCTAACCTGGCTCATCCTCACCTTTCTGCTTTCCTTCTTTCCTCCTTCTTCTTCTTCCTCTTTTTTTTTTTTTTTTTTTTTTTTGTTGTTGTTGTTGTTGGTGTCCTTCCACTGATGTCCCTTTAATGACTACAGGCTAAGCAGTGTCTAGGGACTAGGGGTAAAATATTGAGCAAAACACATACTATTCTGCTTCACATTGGGTTTATGATCTAGAAACAATGTTGCACTTGGGGACACCTTAGTTTTTAGCAATCATCACTGTCTGAATAGAAAAATTATGAAGTAATAAACAATTTTGGGAAACACATATACTTGGTTCAAAATGTTGTAGAATCCCCCAATTTAGGTTAATGTTCCTGATACATAGTAAACCAAAAACTGACACCTCAGCTCCTAGGAGCAGAGAGAGTTTTATTCAATTTGGCCAAAACAAGAGGGCAGGAGAGAGAAATCTCTCAAATCCTACCTGTCTTTGAACATATTTGGTGGATTTTATGAGTAAGGTATGTATGTGAGGGGTGAGATGCCCTTATAATCAAAGCTGTTTGCGTCCTTTGGCCTGATCCGACTTCTAGTTGCCATCAAAGAGGTCTGCATGGTCTAAGGTTCATTGTTCTTTGAAAGACAAACAAGTTTATGAATCCTATGGGCTGTGCTTGGAGGTTGGGATGTGAAGTTAATCAATTGCTAGTGACTACTCCCTACTGAAACTACTACATGCAAGCAAGCATGCATGGAGAAAGAAAAGAACGAAGAGAAAGAAAGTAAGTAAAACAAAGTCTTGTGATTTTTATGAAATACAGGCTTCGTTACAAAAACACAGAAGAGATAAAATAAATGTACAAATAAATAGAATTACAGACACTTTTATTGAGATATATTTGCTTGAATAGGCATTAGCTGTTAGATATATTTACTCAGGTAAATGCATTTAAATGATTGTAACTGTTTAACAAGATTTTAAAATGCAACTAACTAGCATTGTTTCTGATAAGAATGTGAAAATGTTATACTACAAAAATTTGTTTGATGTTAATGCTAGCAATATTCACTACACTGATTTACATTACGAGATCTTGGAGAAGCATAAAATTATAGTAAAATGAATATGAAAGGCAAGCCAAAGGCAATAATTGCCTTATAAAGGCCTTTCAATAAATATCAAAATGCTGAGTTGGCCAATACCGTGATTCAGAAAGCAAAAGCCAAATTTTTAAAAAAGGAAGTATTTCTTAAGACATTTTTTTTTTCTAGGACTCAACTTTGAAGGATAGGAGAAACTCCATAATGAAGACAAATTCTCAACTCCATGAGAAAAGAGTAAAACTTTAATTGATGTGTTAAGAGATTTATTGCATTTCTTCTTATTGTCAGAAGATTCTAATTTTAAAATTGACTTCTTTTTCAGGAAACATGACAGATGATATTTTGTTTACTATCACATTAAGAGCAGTGTATCAATGTTGTTTATATGTGTTCATTATGTAATTTATAATGAAGATAAATAATCTGATAAATAATTGGAGGAAAACTCAAGTCAATATCAAAAAAAAGCAAATTCTCCAAAGTAACATAACCCAGTTGTGAAATAAATAATAATATATTCAAGTTGATAAAACAAATATATAACTTAAACTCTTTATTATTCTCTACAGTAAAGACCAGATTATAATCAAGTATAAACCATTAAAAAATTTACCAGATATAATTTTTTGATTATTTCAGTTTTTCAAATGGCATTTATTGTCTAAAAGATTAATTTATTTTATTTTACCTCCATATATGAATACCCCTTAAAGGTCTTTTGAAATATTGGCCAAAAACAACAACAACAACAAAAATGTATGGGCATAATTTCAGGTTGTTCAAGCTTTTAAATAGAACTGAACATTCAGTGCTTGTATTGTAATATTATGGTATTACTCAGTTTTGTTTCATTAACAAAGAAGTCTCAAATCTCAGTGATTTAAACAAAACATTTATTTTCAGATTATATTAATCATGAGCAATTCAAGTTCAGCTATTTAATTTGCTCCACACTTCTTTTTCTGAAATTGATGTTGAAATTTGAGCCCTTATTTGGAACTTGTTGCCCTTGAGGACACGTGAAAAGGGCAAGGGGCAAAAACATGAGATTCCTTTAAAAGTCTCAGCTTAGAACTAGCACCTTGTCACTTCTGCTCACATTGGTTCCAGAAAGCCACATGACAATGCCAGAAAATGAGGTAAGGAAGGATGCTCTGCGTATGTGTGACATTGGGAGGGGATGCTTGATCTTCTAACAGAGAAGAGAATGAATTAGTTGCTGAGAAAAATCATATAATCCATTATTGAAGTATTTTTAATTTCCTGCTTCCATTCCAGTATATTTTTGAAAATATTTATGATCTTTTAATTATCCTAATAACTTTCCTTCTCCACTAGCATTAATAGTGCTTTTAAAATATATATGCTTGGGAAACACTTGTAAGTTGAATTAAAAGGGAAAGTAATTATGAATAAGCTATAGGGTCTATCTCTGCCTAATTCAGTTATTGCTCTTACTCTTTCCACTTGTCCTTTGATACTGAATACAAAGAAAAAAAGTAAAGGAAGAGAAAAACAACCAGCTTGATGTTCTAGGAAACGTTGATCATTTTCTAAAACAATATAAGCCTGTATGTTCACAACTGATGGACACAATAATGTTCTCGCCATGTGAGCAGAAAGGATGAGATTTGTAGGGTCACAATTTATAAAAGCTCTGCGTCCTGTTGACAGAGTCTAGAGGGACATTCAAATATGAAATTGGGAGTCTTAGTAGTCCCAGGGTGGAAAATTTCTATAATTGGGACTCGCACTGAGAATATAAAGAACATTAAAATGCCATTAACTTCAACTATTCGCACTCTGATAACACATTGAAACTAATTATTATGACATTATAGAAATATGTGTAGTATCCAAATGCTCTCTAAGTTATTTACGAAAGTGAATATAAAAGTGCATTTGGTAGCAGAGAGCACGTTAACTTTATTGTAGAATAAAAAGCCACCTTACTCCATGTAGAGAAAATTCAGTATAATGTATTTGATCTATATTCATTATTCTAACGAATATCATGGCCAACTGAATTTATTGAAAGTGAATGACTTTCAAATGGACTGATTTCAGAGGACTAAAAACTGGAGTAGAAGCATGAGAAGAAATTGAGAGTAGTATACCTCAGTTACTTATTACTTGTTTTATTTTCTTCAATTACCATTTGTCGCTGTGTTTTTTCTCTTTATATGTTGCCTTTTGACTGGCATTGCTTTGATATCCTGAACAGACAGCTGCTGCCAAGTTTACCAAAAGTGAAATGTTGCAAACTGCCAATTGAGTTTTTAATGTTTTGTTTTCTGTTAGTGTTGTTAAAATCATGAAATTATTTTCTAACAAATCACACCAGTGGGTTATAGTTTTTTGTCCTGCAAAACAATCTGCCTGAGCGAAGATCTCCCTGTTCTGATAATAACCTGAAACAGGTAGGCATTTAAAGGTAAATATTCTAAGTTTATGCTTAAAGCTAGATGTAAAGCAAAAAAAGGAATAATTAATTACTTAAAAGCGATTCAACTGGAAAGGATTGAAGTCTGTCTCTGTGTGTGTGTGTGTGTGTGTGTGTGTGTGTGTGTGTGTGTGTGTCTGTGTCTCTCTTGCTCCCAAACATTTCAGTCTTTTTACGAAGAGTCCAACCATCGAGTGAAAAGAATATCCTCCAACGAATGTGCAGGCAACGTTCTATTTCCTGTTGTGTACATGTAAAAGAGAGATTGGTTTAGAAGCAAACAAAAAAGTGGACCTGTGTTATTTACTAATATCATTAAAACAGAAGCCAATGAAATCTCCCCAATTTATAATCAGACTCACAATTTAAAATTGCTCATTTATATCTCATATCCAGAAACTGATAAAACTTTACTGTCTCCATAAAGTGTATATATAAAGCAACTTAAAAAAAAACTTGTTTGTCAATCAAAACAATTTTTTTTTCTTTTCTTTTTTTTTTTTTTTTTTTGAGACAGAGTCTCGCTGTGTCTCCCAGGCTGGAGTGCAGTGGCGCGATCTCGGCTCCCTGCAAGCTCCGCCTCCCGAGTTCATTCCATTCTCCTGCCTCAGCCTCCCGAGTAGCTGGGACTACAGGTGCCCGTCACCACGCCCAGCTAATTTTTTTGCATTTTTAGTAGACACAGGGTTTCACCGTGTTCGCCAGGATGGTCTCGATCTCCTGACCTCGTGATCCGCCCGCCTCGGCCTCCTAAAGTGCTGGGATTACTGGCGTGAGCCACCGCGCCCGGCCTCAAAACAATTTTTTTTACACCATTTGGATAGATCACTGGGATGAAAGTTTAATTATAAGTCAGCATAAATATAAAATGTATTTTGCTTCCTGTATAACTAGAATGTATAGTTCTATAAGCAAGATAATATTCTAAATTGTCCATGGTTTTACATACATAAATAGACCTTCTAACATATGTGACAATTCTATATTTTGGGGGACATATATATATATATATATATATATGCACATATATTTATATTTATGTGTATATAATATATATAATTGTTCAATCCTGGAGATTTTTTTAAACTTGAGGAAAATAGTAGTCTTTTATATTTGCATAGCTATTCACTATTTCTGTTACTTCTTCTGCATTTTGGAAGATGCACGTTTCCCTCAAGTATCATTTACCTTCAGCCTGTAGTGTTTCCTAGAGACCAGTTTTATTGGCAATATTTTCTAATTGTTTTCTGTCATTTGAGAATCTCTTTCTTTCACACTAATTCCTAAACAATATCTTTAAAGATATTAAACTTGGATTTGACAGTTCTTTTCTTTCAGAGTTTTATGTATATTTTCCAAATGTCTTTGCCTTATGTGATTTATATTGCGAAATTGGGTGTTAATTGAATCATTTTCCCCTTGTCGACACTGTTTAGCTCTATGTTTCACTCTATATGCTTTCAAATTATTTTCTTTATCTTTGGTGTTCAGCCATTTTATAATGATTTGTCTCGTCACGATTTTCTTTTAGATTATCCTATTGGAGGTTATATGAGTTTTTTCTGTAAATCTTTAAATTTATGAGTTATGCCAAATCTAGGAATTATTTCTCCAAGTATTTTTCTCTGCCCAAATTTTATTCTCTCCATTTGATGTTTCAGTGACATATGTTATGCCCTTGGATATCAGAAACTCAAGTCCCTGGAGTTCTAACTTATTTTTCTTTTAAAAATATTATCTGGTCTTCAGATTGGGTAATTTCCATTGTTTTGCCTTTAATTTAACTGAGTTGTCTTCTATGGTTTCCATTCTACTATTATGCCCATTTAGTTTATTTTTTAATTTTAAATTGTCTCCTTTTCCATTGGATAATTTCCATATGGTACACTTTTAATATATGTTATTTGTTGAAAACCTTTTTTTCTATTCATTCCAAATGTGCTTATCTTAATTTCACAGATCATAGTTATAATAATATTCATTTTATAATATTTATCTGATAATCCATTTTCTGTATAATATCAAGGTTTAATTTCTGTTGATTTTTTTTCTCTTGAGATTTTGTTACATTTTCTTATTCTTTATATGGCAGGTTATTTAGGAGTATATTCTGGACATGATAAGCAATGTGTAATAAAATGCTTTATTTGCATTTTCAACATATAAAAGGAATAAATAGAAAATGCAAGGAAATACTGCAAGACAACAAAAAATTTCAGGAAAATAACGAACACATACAAGGGATATGAATGGCCATTTCTCAAAATAAAACTTTAATGCAAATAATTAAAGGTAAATACACATGGTAGTTAGATATGGGCAAATTTAAAAGCAGTAAAATATCACAAAATTTGTAAAAAATCAAAATTCAATAATAGCAAATATGAGTAACTGTGCACTACTTGTGGAAGTAAAAATCGATGCAAGCATTCTTAAGAAAAATCTGGTAGGAATTATTGAAGTCAGATAATAATTTCCTGTTATCCAATATTCTACTTTTGGATATATATTTTTTTGAGGAAAACTCATGCAAATGTGCAATAGGTCTTGAGTTACAATGGTCTTTCACCATTTATTGTTTTGTCAGTTAGATGGAAAGAATCTTGTTGTCTAGCATAAAAAATCAATATATAACATGTTATGTGTATTTGCTATGAAGTACTATGAATCACTTAGAAGTGATTAAATTACCATCATATGGCATACAGATAGATGTTTAAAGCATATTATACAAGCACAATAGATAACTATGTAATGGAGAATACTGGTAAAAAATCTGGAAGATTATAGCTATCTCTGCTGGTGTCTCAACCATATTATGTCAGCATTCATATTTCTGTACAAGGCAATAGCTTCTCAGTGAAAACACCTGAATTTCTGCTCAAGGACTTCAGTAGTTTTATTAATGTGCATAGTTCATGTTCAGGGAAAGTCAAAGGGAGAGGGAGTTAAACTTCTAAAAGCCACTTTCAACCCATAATTACTAAACATTGGTGAATACATACTACAGTGTCCTTGTTCCTTGGGAAAGACAACCCAGCCAACTACCTTTTTCAGGAGGACCCAAAGGAAACTACCTTCATAAATGGATAACTAATAGAATAGTGAAGTGGGATCAATGACATCTCTGAGAAATTCAGTGGTGGCTCTGCTCAGCAGGCCAGGTGGTAGACAACAGGTGCCACTAGAAGTTGGTGGCTTAAGTGCAAATTGGTATAATGGCATTATGGAATTACAGAGGTGGCAACAATGGCACTTAATTGTTGTCAACCTGTTGGATATAATTCTCTTATTAATCTGCGAACTAGAAATGGTTAATAGGAGCATTGATGCAGAAGGATCTGTAACAATGGCTACTTGAACACAGTTTTCCTAAAAGGCATAGATCGACAGCCAATGAGAAAGTTATTTTATTTACATAGCCAAGAAAGTTCAAGACATGATCAAATATTAGATTCGTCAATAAAGAGTTCAAATTTCCTTGTGCAATACCCAATCTTGAACCAGTTCTTAGATCCAGAAGTTTACCATGGAATGGAAGGTTGTAACATCTGGAGGTCTACATATAGCATTCATTGATCCAATCCTTCCCTAGAGGGGCATATGGTCATTTATCAGATTACCATACACTGTAAACAGGAGGAAAGGGCAGACAAATATATTTGGTCGATGTTGTTCTTGGCTGACATTAATTGCAGGAAACCACAAATAACATCATGCACCTACCTTAATAGTAGGACCACATGGAGACAAAATGGTAAATGGAGCCCGGAACCAGTTTCCTTTCCTAATGGGTCCAATGGATGGGGAGCACCCTTGCCCCAAACCATTTGCTTGGTTCCCTAAGTACATACTTAGAATGTATATGTAATATATGAATCTTACATTGATCCCTGATTGTTTAGTAAGAGCTGTTATGAAAGAAAATGCTGGGGGAAGACCTCCAAAACTCTCACCCAGCACAGCTAAGAAAGTAAATCCAAAACACAATCAATCCTGGCTGAAATGGCCAAATTAGTCCCCCTTTCAAAGACTCACGGAATGCAAGGGCATTAGTCCCTATAAAATCACAATTTAATCCAGTCTCGTTCCTGCAAAATTTCAGATGGATCTTACACAGAATCACAGGCCACAATTGTAACTACTGACATCTTTATTAGAATAATAGCAATAGATCAGCAACTTGGTATGTGACTCTCATATGTGATGAATCAGTTTGTTTTAATTTTAATCAGAAAGAGACATTAAAGACTACTGTCCTCATGTTTTTATCCAAAGCTCTATTAACCCACATATGTATATACTATATAATTCAAAGAAACTTTAATTACCTTTACCTGGTCCAGTTCATCACACTATATGGATAATGCATTGTTCACATTTCTCCATAATATTTTAGTAAATATTCTAGATAACAGAAATAGGACATTACATAGGAGCAATACTCTGTAGATTTTCTATTCTTCTTTTTTTTTTTGAGATGGAGTTTCACTCTTGTTGCCCAGGCTGGAGTGCAGTGATGTGATCTCAGCTCACTGCAACCTCCGCCTCCTGGATTCAAGTGATTCTCCTGCCTCAGCCTCCTGAGTAGCTGGGATTACAGACATCTGCCACCACACCCAGCTAATTTTTTGTATTTGTAGTAGAGACAGGGTTTCACTATGTTGGCCAGGCTGTTTTTGAACTTCTGATCTCAAGCGATCTGCCCGCCTCAGCCTCTCAAACTGCTGGGATTACAGGCGTGAGCCACTGTGCCCAGCCTACTCTCTAGATTTTCAACAATTGATCACTTTATCTTGACTTTTCTTTCCTAACTACTCCAGGAAAAAGTGGAACTGATATTACTTTCACCATATATTGTATTACTTTTGTTTGCATGTATTTACCCTATTAAATCAGGGTGTACTAATGAACAAAACCACTTTATTTCATTTTCGTCTTGATATTATTAAAATTAGGAAGCATATCTATATATGGTAGGCCACAACAATTGTTATTGAATTTTATTTTATTTAGGTTATAATATCAATTTTCAAAGTGTTCTATACAATTTTAGCTAAAGTCATACATTAAATAGCAAGTTGTTTTTTCTTTCTTTGTTTAATAAAAAGATTCTCATTGTCTTAGCCCATTTTGCGTTGCTCTAATAGAAGATCAGAGGCTAGATAATTTATAAAGGTAATTTTTTTAGCTAAAAATCTTGCAGGTGGGGAAGTTCTGATCTGACCAGCTGCTGGTGGAACCTAGTGCTGGGTGAAAACATGGTAACACTTTTTTTTTTTTTTTTTTGAGACGGAGTCTCACTCTGTTGCCCAGGCTGGAGTGCAGTGGCGCGATCTCGGCTCACTGCAAGCTCCGCCTCCCGGGTTCATGCCATTCTCCTGCCTCCACCTCCTGAGTAGCTGGGACTTCAGGCGCCCGCCACCATGCCCTGCTAACTTTTTGTATTCTTAGTAGAGACGGGGTTTCACCGTGTTAGCCAGGATGGTCTCGATCTCTTGACCTCGTGATGCGCCCGCCTTGGCCTCCCAAAGTGCTGGGATTACAGGCGTGAGCCACCGTGCCCGGCCCAAATTTGTTCTTTTTTTTTTTGGCTAAATAATACTCCATTGTGTCTATAAAACCAGAAAACCAAGAGGACATGTGCACAGAGATCACATGGTGAGAGAGGAAGCAAGCATGAATCTGGGAAGCTTGGCTCGCTTTTATAACAACCCACTGTCATTGTAACTAATCTAGTCCTCAGCCAGCAAGAACTCACTCCTAAATAAGCGAGACTTTAATTCCACCAGAGGGCATTAATCTGTTCATGAAGGATCTGGCCCCATGACTCAAACTCCTCGCTCTGGGCCCCACCTCCCAGCACTGCTGCATAGGCAATTACAGTTCTACTTGAGTTTTGGCAGGGACATACCACATCCAAACAGTAGCTCTCATCGATTTGAAAATTCTTCCCCCGAATCAAAAAGATAACCGTTTGTTCTCAAAATTACATTTCTAAGAAGTTTGTGGGAAATTTTGTAGTGACCGTTCTCACAAAAAGGAAGATAGTTCTATTGAGATACTGCAAATATCAAATAGCAAATGCAATAGATTAACAGCTGTTCAAAGAATTTAAAGAAGGAGATGACTCCTTTCATAGTAAAAAGCCATTAAAATATTAAATCAATAATAAATTGTGGAAATAACCAAGGAAAAGTTTTGTTTAAAAAAATCAATGTTTTTTCATTATGCATAATGAAGTAACCTATTAAGAATTTGTGGATATCCGCTGTGAATAGTAGTTCAGAAGCAGACAGTATAGAGGCTTCAGTATTTTTTAAATTGTTGTTTTGGTGGCAATACTATAAATCAAATAAGAAATGAAGATACATACATATCTATACATCATGTACACACATGCATGTTATAGCCATATATTAAATAACACATATGTATAACAAAATGAGCAGCAAAATATTTTGGATCATCATGAATTCCTGTCCCAAATAATAGAAATTCTCTGAGTTAAAAAAAATGGCAAAATTTTCCTCCTTAACTGACATCACTATATTGTTTCCCATTCTTCATATAAAAAGATGTATTTTTATACAATTACAGAAATGAAAATGTTTATTGCAGTGTTTTTCCCCTGTGTCTTGAGGTTGTGTTGTGGATGAGATAACAGTAGGTGTAGTTAAATTTATAAGCTAGAAAGGAGAGAGGTATACGTACGTGGCATCTTAGCTGTTTCTTCGGTATAGGATATAAAGCCATTAGTCCAAGAAAGCATGTAAAGGATCTTCGAACTATGCCAAAATTGAGATGCTATAAGTTTATAAAGGTGATAGTAGCATAATAAACCAAGTTATTTCAAATATTATAGATTGTCTAGATGTATTAATATACTTAGAATGGAAAAACATGAGCTACTTCATTTTTCTTACAGATACTTTAATAAAACTCAAACACAATGTATATGAAATTGATAATCACATAGGATGGCTAAAATACAAGAGTCTTCCATTAAAAACTATCAATTATATAAAGAAATAAACATGCGGGAGACAAAAGTTTTCATATGATGATCCTTACAATCCTCTTCCCTACCCCTCCTGCCAACCAACTAAAAGTTAAATAGATACAAAGCACATCTAGACTAGGTAGAATCAGGAACTTGCTTTGCTTGGATGAAAAACAGTTATACATTGCACATAAGATTTATATATTCCTTAGAAACTTGGGTTTGATGGGATGGAAAGAACATATGCCTCAATTTTATTCTTCAGGCAGAGACTGCCTCATGTTTGCCTCAGTAACATTTACAAGCATGTCATATTATTCCTTTCAAGGATCCATAAAAACTAGCACCATCATTTAAGAATTTTATTTTTTCTTAAAGTAGGCTCTCTTCTCAGATTTTGAAACATCCCTTTTCACTGCATGTGGAACACAAATAACTTTGGCTTTAAAACTACTAAATCCCATGTAGGTTCAATGCATTGCACAACGTATCCATTTATTTTATCACATTTGTAAGTGAACATCATATGATGCTATCTCCAAATAGAAATGTTTATAAAGCTCATGAAAAAATACAATGTAGACAGTTGGTAAACTACCAATTAACAGAACCAAAATACAGGAAATATAAGACTCCAAGAGAAAAAGAGTGATGACATGGCTAAAAATAAGTGCACTATTATGTGGTATCAGGCATATAATTTTAAATCAATATAGAATTCTATATCATGTTTAGTAATTTATATTTAAACATGTATTCATTATTTTAAATGAACATACTAAAATATTAGATTTGTATGCTAACATTCCTGTTAGTATTTAATTATTGGAGTTATTAAATTCTAAGGATTGACAAAGTAAAATGAACAATAAAATTTAATTGTTATAATCTCTTCCTCATCTTCACTGGTTTGTTCAGGGTGCTGGCCATTGACATATTTGGTGGTTAGTTTGAAAATTCCAATATTTTTATTATTTCTTGAAATTATTATAAAATATATTATTTGCTAGTAGGAAAATACTTTTATTTATTTTAAAATCAGAACTTTAAACCCTGCAATTCTAGTTTTTCTACTAGTCTCAAGATAGAGATGAGAATTTTTTAAATTTTAGTACACTAATACTAGATTCATAACAGAAAGGATCTATTTCTTTGGTCATGCTTCTTCTGGTATATCCTGATATGAGAGAAGCATCATAATCATGCCTTACATAATTGGGATGTTAAATATGAACAATTTCTCTAGTGATTTATCATTTCTCATCATCTGTTGCTATTATTTCTCTTCATCATAAATTGCTAGTCCCAAATCCTCAAAACTTCTTGTTCATAAGTAGCATATTTGCCTACTTCTCCCTGAGTTGACGTTTAAGAATTTTGATACCTCTGTTGCTAAGTTTGATGCTTTTCTAATATATGTATTTTCACATACTTTGTTTAGTCTTCTTTAAAGTGCCATTTAGAAACAACCCTCTCTTCTTAGCAAACACTTTTGCCAACTCAAAATTTCTCTGTAAATCTCCTTCTACGTGCTAATTAAAAGTCACCATTCCTCAGATGACACCATATTCAGAAATCATTACTTCAAATAGGATAGTCTTACTCCCTTTCAGAGAAACTCACCCAAAAGGTCTAAAATACATATACTTTAGTAGTTTTTATAACTTAAAAAAATCAGCATCGTAATATCTTTGTTATTAATTAAAAACAATACACTTTTGCAACTTTTGCTGCAAATCAGTCCTGAACCTACTTAGAATTTTGGAACATTTTGATCTCTTTTTTCTTCCTGTCGGTTATCAACCCTACATCAAATTAAAACAAAATATGTTTGAAAAGCTGTCCTTGTAAAACATGAGGTTTAATTGGATAGCTAAGTCCCAATTCTTTCAAATTCAAAATAATTAGAGTTTTTCATACAAAAATAATAACAAACTGCCTAAATTTTATTAGTTTGCCTGTAGCTTGAAAACTACCTAATCATACAAACAAATAGAAAAATGATAAACAAGTAAGTAGATAGATAAACTAAATTACATAAAATAGCAGTCAGTAACAGAAACACCTCAGATTCTAATATTCAGTTTACATTAAATCACCCTAATTAAACATGAGAAGTATATATATATATATATATATGAGTTATATATGGGGTGTATATATATATATGTATACACACACATATGTATATATAAGTGTATATACCTATACTGACATATTATATATGTTCAACACAAGGGTCTTCCCTATACATAGAGACTATTATATAAGTCCTTTTATGTCAATTGCTTTTTTCCTATACATACTATACTTATGTATTATTATGTAATACATTTATAAATACCTTATATTAAGTATATAATACCATATTATTGTAGCATTCTAATTATATACTAACTATATTGTAATCTTGATATTATATTAATTATATAATGTGTAAGGTATGTATATATTATGTAATATATTTATAGTATATGAGGGTATATATGAGGTATATATAAGATATATATAAAGTTATTATATAAAGGTATAAAGGTATTATAAGGTATGCCTTATAAGGCATATAATACCTTTTTATGTATATACCTTATATATTACTTAATATTTTATAATTATATTGTTATTTAATACATTTATATATACCTTATGTATTAGGTTAATATATGTAAGTTTATATATGCTCATATGTAGGTATGTATAAATATAGCTGTGTGTGTGTGTGCATATATAGGTATATATATAGTGTGTGTGTATGTTTCTATGCATATAGATATATATATGTAATGCTTTTAATTGACAAAAATTCCATACATTTATCATGTACATTTTTCATGAAACATGTATACATTGTGTCATGTCCAAATTGAGCTAACGAACATATGCATTACTTCACATAATTTACATCCCTAAATTCAAATCTCTTTGATACTATATTTTTTTCTACTTCTATTTTCTAAATTATTAAATCCATCAAAAGAACTAAGAGCTAGATTCAAGTGAATTTCTGGAATTGTCTGAGGACATCAATTACCGTCGTGAACTATTAAGGATGCAGAATCCTAGTAATATTTTCTTCAGTGCTAGACTCATCTAACTGATGGTAAATTTTATTTTTCCTTTCCATCATTTTTCATCATCTTTAAAATCACTTCTGAAATAATCTAATTCTTATCAGGCAAATAGAGCTGTGGTTATTAGAAAAATATTGGCTACTTTGTTTAAGACATCATTACATTTGTAAAAGCTAAAAAAGATAACTTTCTATTATGTTGTTGGAGATAAACATTGAGGTAGATTAATGATTGACGAGACATGATAACAATTAAACTTTTGCTTGTGTGGTAGCCCCAATTATTTTTGATGCACTGTGATTACCTAAATTGGAGCCAATAGTAAACCAGATACTGGGAGATGTGACTGTTGACCAAATATATCTTGTATATGAGAATGACAACTCTATATACCTGCTTGCAATGCAGGTATTTGCATTTTGTCATCAAGTTTCTCTTCTATTTAATTATGCCAGTGACTACCAATACATCTATTTGAACTTAGATGCTATCCTTAGATTTAGATCTGAAGACTGTAAGTAGGTAATCTTTTAACTACCATTAGTATTTGCAATTTCTGGCCTTATTATAAAATATTTTGAGATGAATTGACTGTTATTGCCTTTAGTCTTGTTTTCTGCTACTTCAATTTGGGGAACCAATTGCCTCCTCACTCATATTTCCCACAGACTATTAATTCAATTGGTCATAAAGTAATTATTCCAAATGTAAAATCGTTTCCATCCTGTCTGCACATAAGAAGCAGCAGGATCCCTTTTTGAATAATTTTCCAACTAGAAGTGGAGTTCAATTAATATAATATGTAATTATATAGGAGAAAAAATTAAAATCTCCACAGATTTCTCTCAAATTCTGGCTCCTTGCCTTCAGTGCAGGGTTGAGTGAAAAATATGGCAGTAAGCCAGCCTGCCCTTCTTCCAAAATCAGCCACAGTATAATCTGCTGGATTGAAATAGAACATTAGGAGTTTAGTTTGGCACTCAGTGTATTCAACCATTACTATATTTGTGACATGATTCACTGGGCCAGCAGCCCAGAGGAACTCTGTGTCTGGCTGCCCAGTTTTGAAATATGGAGAAGAGTTCATGACCACCGTGCTTTGTAAACCCACATTTCTGAAAATTATATTTCTCTATTTAAAAAGGCTATGAGATAGCCAGATGTGTGTATTGGGAAAAATCAACCATTTTATGAAAAGGCTTTTGTGTATAATTTCTAAAAACTCATTGGTATCACTTGAATTGGTTACACGTTGTTTTCTGGCAGAATAATTTCTGTATTTCTATAGTTGGCTAAAAATGATCAGCATTCAAATTTCATTCAGAGATTCTACAAATATATCATTAGAGATATTGTGCTTTATTAAATATGATGTTAGGAAAACTATATCGCATAGTGGAAAGATCATGAACTTTGTATCAAAGAAACCTGGATAGGAATTCAAATTTATTCACTTGCTATGAAAGCATGGGCAAATTTATTAACTAAATTTCCCAAGATTTAGTTTTCCACTTATCTGAAAAATTGCCTCAATGGGAGGTGGTAAGGATTACATGAATTAACGTATGCAAACCCTGTTAACAACCTCCCTAATGTGCAGGTTTGTTACATATGTATACATGTGCCATGTTGGTGTGCTGCACCCATCAACTCATCATTTACCTTAGGTATTTCTCCGTAATGCTATCCCTTCCCCAGGCCCCAACCCCAACAGGCCCCAGTGTGTGATGTTCCCCTCCCTGTGTCCATGTGTTCTCATTGTTCAACTCCCACTTAGGAGTGAGAACATGCAGTGTTTGGTTTTTCTTTTCTTGTGTTATTATTTTTAATGTCATTGACATCATTTTCTCATGGTTATTACATTCTTCCAATTGATTATTACACCACAATCAGTAGCAGCAGCATTATAAATGCAAGTTATAGAACTTAAAGCCCAGTTAATGTTGCAGCTTGACAATTTCTTAGTCATATAAATGTGGACAAATCATAAGTTTTCTAGATTTTGGTGTTCTCATTTCCAAATTGGGGGCTATATTTTTACTTTCATTATAATATCACTGTAAACTTTAAGTGAAAATTTTTGAGTCAAATATTTAGAACAATGAGTAGATACAGTGATTGTAAAACGTGATTATAAAAACAATTTGAATAATTGTTGTTTTTGTTTAGATGAAGTATGACCCTTGAAGAGTGTTTGGCCTCAGCAGGTGCCCAATAGTGACAGTGTTTAGTAGGTTCATTTATACTCATTTTAAGTTTATTGCCAAACTAAAAACACATCAAGTTTAAGCTAGTATCTGTGATTTATAATGAAATCTATGAAAAGTCAAACAATTGTGAGTTATGTCTTAAGATTGTCATTAATGAATCACACGATCATTTGTAAAAGCTGTAATCAATTGAGGCCTTATCTTCATCACCAAAATCTTTCAGAGTGACAAATGGAATCTTACATACTTACCTTCAAGAAGAGTGAAAATTGTTACATTACATCATCAATAATGTGAATTAAAATCCAATATTTAGGTAATATTATTTAAATTGTTAATCATTTCCAATAGCTATTGTCCTAACTAACTTTTTGGATTGGAGTAAGAAAGATGACTAGGCATATCTCTTGATCAAATCATGTGATTGATGAATTTGATTAATTTGGGCACAAAAGTAATTAATTTTTTGGATTTTCAAAGAAATACAAATAGAAATATGGCCATAAATTTTACCACAAATATCAGTGTTCTTTTGTCACACATCAGAAAGCAATCTAAGAGAAATAGTAATAGTTTTCTCTGTATATGAATAAACAAACTATTAATAATGTTAATAATTAGAATTCACAAAGTACAACAGACTATATGGATGAAATAATATACTTCTTTTACTCTAGAAAGTATTTAGTCTTCATTTTTTCAAATGATTCTAATGAGGACAGTGCTGATTGAGTATTTTGACCCTTTGCACATGACTTTTTTCCAAGGCAAAATTTTACTTGGTCTTTTTCTCATTAAGCTTGTGTTTGAAATTGATTCATATTCAGAACTGAAGGTGAAGAGACCTGGGCATTCATTAAGATGATTAATTAGGAAGAAAAAATTTATTCAGTCTGAAAAAATGATACACAACCCTATTAGCCACTCAACTTTGGCTGAGAATGATATGTGATTCCCAGAAGTATGATTCGTTTTCCAGGGGATAATGAAATTACTATCAGGATTAGACTTCTACAAACTGAGTTGACTTCACCACACTGGCAAGACATTCCAAATGTGCTCATGACATTGACTTACAAGTACTTTGCTTATTTAAAGCACAAAATTTGAACTGTGGAACGGATTTAGTCACATCCTTCATATTTACGTTAAAAGATGGAATAAACATATTCTAAAACAGAATAGTGATATATAATTGGATCTTGCTTAAGGTTTAGTATTTTTTTTCTACCATAAAGCTTAATAGGCTATATCTTAGATATATATATCCCATAGGTATCTGTGGTTTTTTTTCATCTATAGATTCAATTTCCATTTAATATACTTTACTCACTACAATAGCCACAGGTAATGAAGAAGTCTAACTTACATATTTTAATTACATTTAACAATATATAATATAGTCCTACTTTGTGCTGCATGGTTTTCTCAGGTGCTGATGGTTTTCAAATAAGAAATTGAAATAAATTTCATGGATTCTAATTTCATAGAATTAGCATTTTCACTAGCCTATTTATTTCTAGATTTTATATCAGGTATATATATCTGAAACAATTAAGGAAGTAAATCTTTGTTTTGACAAATAACATAAGCCATCACTGGATCATTTAAATACATTTTTTTCTAAGTAAAAATAAAATCTGTTGCTATAATACTAAGGTAATGCTGCAGGATGTTTACTTGGAACAAAGTGTTTCAAATGCAGGATATTTAAAGATGAAGGGAGACATAACAAAGGAAATAAATGACATTTGTAGTTTAAGAATATTGTAAACTGAGCTAAAACAATTTTTGTAATAATATCTATTATTACTTTCTTTTGTCATATATAAATAAAATTGAATAATTATAGTCAAGTGAGGATAAAGGTCTTCTATTTCCCCCTCTACTCGAACCTGCTACTAACCGGAAGCAAGTCTAAAATGATATTTGACACACACAAACACATTAGCAAGTAAGTGTGTAACTCAAATGGCCTATAATTTTGAAAAAGCCTCAGCTGTGTCATTTTACCATTCTGAAAATCACCTTGAATGAAAGGTTTAGTTCAGATTATTGTAAAAATATCCTAGAGGCCGATTTTCATTTATATTTTAACTTGACTATGTGAGACTATTCTTATTGGCAAAACACAGGACAGGATGGGGGTACATACAGGTCCAGGGCATCATTCTGAAGGGTCACCTTCTGATTTGTACAGGATCTTAAACTTTAGTGATGGAAAGTGAGGGTGCTTGAACAATATTTCCCTCCAAACCACATCTTGAATACCATTTCAGTGGAGTAAAAATGTATAATATATATTATATATTATGCAAATTAAGAAACTCTTATACTGATGGTCAGAAATAATAATAGCTGAAATATCTCTGACTCAAGCCTTTTAATCTTAACTAAACATAACAATAATGTGGGTGTATATATATGCATGTGTGTGTGCAAGTGTGTGTGTATGTGTATTTTAGACTTCTTCAAATATAAACGACTCAACTCAAGGTTGTATACTAAAACTAATTTAGGGGCGGAGCAAGATGGCAGAATAGAAGACTCCACCAATCATCCCTCTGACAAGAGCACTAAGTTAACAATCTACACAAAAATAAGAACAAAAATCAGTTGAGCACTGGTTTTTACTTCATATTACTGAAAGAGGCACTGAAGAGGTGCAAAAATAGCCTTGAATCACTGATGCCAGCCCTCCCACATGCCCCAGCAGTGGTGATGTGGTGCAGAGAGCAATTCTGTGTGCTGGGGAGATGGGGAGAGCAGCAACTGTGAGCCTTGGAACTCAGTGCTGCCCTGTTATAGCAGAAAGCAAACCTGGACCAAAGTCAGGGGATGCCCACATGTGAAGGGAATATTTAAACCAGTCTCAGCAAGAGGGGAATTGCTGATCCCAGTGGCTGGAATTTGAGTTCCTGCAAGCCTTGCCACCAGAGGCTAAATTGCTCTGGGGCCATAAATAAACTTGAATTGCAGTCTAGGCCACAAGGATTGCAACTCCTAGGTGAGTCTTGTGCTGAACTGGACCCAGAGCCACTGGACTGGGAGCATGTAACCTATTGAGACATCAGACTAGGTGGCTAAGAGAGTTCTGGCATCACCTCTCCCCTAACCCCAGGCTGCCCAGCTAGTGGCTTCAAAAGAGACCCCTTCCTGATGCTTGAGGAGAAGAGAGGAAAGAGTGAGGAGGACTTTGTCTTGTACTTGGATACCAGCTCAACCACAGCCGGACAGGGCTCCAGTTAGAGTTGTGAAGCCCCTTTTCTAGGCCTTATCTCCTGGTCAACATTTTAGATATACCATGGGCCAGAAGGAAGCCCACTGCTTTGAAGGGAAGGAACCAGTCCTGGCCGGATTCACCACCTTCTAACTGAACAGGTGTTGGACGCTGAATAGCCAGCAGTGATACCCAGGTAGTATCATGACCTGAGACTTGCTGGCTTCAGATGAGACTCAGCACATTATTATCTGTGGTTGCTAGGGGGCAAGACTCCTTCCATTTAAGAAAAGAGGAGGGACAAGTAAAGTGGACTTTGTTTTGGACCTCAGGTACCAGCTCAGCCACAGGGATGCAGAGCACTAAGTCGGCTCTTGGGGTCCTTGATTCCAGGACTTTAGTGGAACATTAGTGGTAGTCTGGCAGTACAACTCATTGTCGTGGTGGCCACAGCCTGAGACTCCTCTGCCTTTGGAAAAAGAAGGGAAGGGTGGGAAGAAATATGCTTTGTAGTTTGAGTGCCAGATGAGCTGCAGTACAATAAAACACCAAGCTGATGCCTAAGGTTTTTGACTCTAATCATCTCTGGCTTCTGGACAGCACCTCTGGACCTGCCTGGGGTCTGGTGGAACTCATTGCCCTAAAGGAAGGACACAGGCCTGGCTGTCTTTTCTTTCTTTCTTTTTTTTTTTTTATTATACTTTAAGTTCTAGGGCACATGTGCACAACATGCAGATTCGTTACATATGTATACATGTGCCTGGCTGTCTTTTCTAACTGCTGATAATAGAGCCCCAGGGCCCTGAGCAAACATGAGCAGTAGCCGGAGAGTAGCTACAGGGGGCTTTGGATGAGACTCAATGCTGTACTGGCTTCAGGTCTGACCCAGCACAGTCCTAGTGGAGACCCCTTCCTTTTGCTTGAGGAGAGGAGAGGAAAGAGACCACAAGAGTGCTTGTGTCAAGCTACTCCCAGCCTCAGGTGGTTCAGAATAGAGACTTCATTTTAGAGGGAGATATTAAGGGAAGAGAACAAGAGTCTCCACCTGGTAATATAGAAATTCTGGATCTTGTCCAAGGCCATCACGGTGGTACTTATATAAGTCTTCAAGAACCACAGCATTACCCTGGGCTCAGGGTGCCCCATATAACAGATACAGCTTAGATTACAGCTCTTAAGTCCTTTTTAATATCTGGAAAGCCTTCCTTGAAGGACAGGTGCAAACAAGCCCAAACTGCAAAATCTACAATAAATACCTAACTTTTCAATGTCCAGACACAGAAGAACATCTGCAAGTATCAAGACCATCAAGGAAAACATGACATCACTAATTGAACTAAATACATCACCAGGGAACAATCCTAGAGAAACAGATATGTGACCATTCAGACAGAGAAGTCAAAATAGCTGTTTTGAGGAAATGCAAAGAAATTCAAGATAACAGAGAGAAGGAACTCAGAACTCCACCAGATAAATTTAACAAAGAGATTGAAATAATTACTATAAAAAGAATAAAGCAGAATTCTGTGTTTCAAAATGTAATGGGCATAATGAGGGATACATCGGAATCTTTTAATAGCAGAATTTATGAGGCAGGAATAAAAATCGTGAGCTTGAAGGCAGGCTATTTGAAAATACTGTCAGAGGAGACAAAAGTAAAAGAAATAAGAAAGAAGCACACTTACAGGATATAGAAAAATAACCTGAAAAGAGTAAATCTCAGAGTTGTTGGTCTTAAAGAGGAGGTAGAGAAAGAGATAAGGGTAGAAAGTTTATTCAAAGGGATAATAACACGAAACTTCCCAAACCTATAGAAAGATAGCTATATCTAGGTAAAAGAAGGTTATAGAACACCAAGCAGATTTAACCCAAAGAAGACTACCTCAAGGAATTTAATAATCAAACTCCTAAAATTGAAGGATAAACAAACAATCCTGAAGGCAGTAAGAGAAAAGAAATGAATAACATGCAATGGAGCTCCAACATGTCTGGAGGCAGACTTTTCAGTGGAAACCTTACAGTCAAGGAGAGAGTGGCATGACATATTTACAATGCTGATGAAAAAAAAATATATCCTAGACTAGTATCTGGTAAAAATATCCTTTAAACGTGAAGGAGAAATAAAGACTTTCCCAGACAAACGGAGGCTGAAGGATTTCATCAATACCAGTTCTAGGCTACAGGAAATGCTAAAGAGTGTACTTCAATAAGAAAGAAAATGTCATTAATGTGCAAGAAGAGTCATGTGAAGGTTTAAAACCCACTGGTAATAGTAATTACACAAAAACACAGAATATTGTCAAACTGTAACTATGGTGTATAAACTACCCTTATATTAAATGGAAAAATTGAACAAAGAACTAATCAAGTATAACTTACTGAGACATGGACAGTATAATAACATAAATAAAAACAACAAAAAGTTAAAAAGTGGGGGTAGGAAGTTAAGGTGTAGAATTTTTATTATTGTGTGCTTATGGAAACAATGTTATGTTTTTATCAGATTAAAATAATGTGTTGTTATAACATAGTATTTACAAGCCTCATGGTAACCTCAAACCAAAAAACATACAACAGATACATAAACAATAAAAATCAAGAAACCAAATCATATTACCAGAGAAAAACATCTTCACTAAAAGCAAGACAGGAAAAAAAGAATGACAGTATAAAAGACCACAAAACAATCAAAAACAAGTAACAGATTGGCAGCAGTCAGTCTTTACTTATCAATAATAATATTGAATATATTGGATTAAACTCTCCAATTAAAAGACATAGAGTGGTTAAATGGAGCATAAAAACAATATCCAAACATCTGTTGCCTTCAAAAAATGCACTTCACCTTTAAAAACACATAGACTGAAAATAAGGGGATAGAAAAAGATATTCTACTCTAATAAAATTAAAAGAAAACAATATCTTAAAAATATCATTTATCATAATCAAGTAAGATTTATCCCCGGGATGCAAGGATGGTTCAACAAATGCAAATCAATTAATATGATACACCATATCAACAGAATGAAGGAAAAACACTATATGATTATTTCAATTGATGCCGAAAAATCATTTGATAAAATTCAATATTCCTTCCTAATAAAACCCAGACTGAACAATATAAAAGTCATATATGAGAGACCCACAGCTCATATCATACTAAATGGGGAGAAACTGAAAAGCCTTTCTCTAAGATCTGAAACACAGCAAGGATGCCCACTTTCATCACTGTTTTCCAACATATCCTGGAAGTGCTAGCAAGAGCAACTGGACAACATAAATAAGTAAAGGGCCCCCAAACTGGAAACAAATAGTCAGATTATCCTTGTTTGCAGATTATATGATCACATATTTGGGAAAACCTAAAGACTCCACCGAAAAACTATTAGAACTGATAAGTACATTCAGTAAATTTGCAGGATGCAAAATCCACATATACAATTAAGTAGCATTTCTAAATACAAACAGTGAAAAACTTGAAAAAAAAGAAATCCCATTTACAGTAGCCACACATAAAATTAAATACATAGAAATTAACTTATCCAAAGAGTGTAGAGTTCTCTATAATGAAAACTATAAAGAACCAATGAAAGAAATTGAAGAGGACATAAAATAAATAGAAATATATTTTACCTTCATAGACTGAAAGAATCAATATTGTTAAAATGTCCGTGCTGCTCAAAGCAATCTACAGATTCAATGCAATTCCTATCAAGATACCAATGACATTTTTCACAGAAATAGAAAAAGAAATCCTAACATTTATATGGGACCTCAAAACACTCAGAATAACCAAAGCCATCTTAAGAAAAAAAAAAAAAAAAAAAAAAAACCCAAAAAAAAAAGGCTGGAGAAATTACATTATTTGACTTCAAATTATACTACAGAGTGATAGCAGCGAAAACTGAATGGTACTGGCATAAAAATAGACATATAGACCAATATAAGAGAATAGAGGATGCAGAAACAAATCCACAACATATAGTGAACTCATTTTCAACAAAGGTTTCAAGAATATACACTGGGGAAAAGACAAGGTCTTCAATAAATGACACTAGGAAACTGGATATCTATATGCAGAAGACTGAAACTAAACATCTAACTCTCGCTGTATGCAAAAATAAGGTGAAAATGAATTAAAGCCTAAATCTAAGACCTCAAACTATGAAATTGCCAAAAGAATACATTCAGGAAACTCTCTAGGACTTTGGGCAAAAAATTCTTGAGCAATACCCCACACACGCAGGCAACCAAAGCAACAGCAATGATAACGCAATGGAAGCAATTAACAAAGTGAAGAGACTACCCACAGAATGGGAGAAAATATTATCAAACTATCCATCTGAAAGGGATTAATAATCAAGATATATAAGGAGCCTGAACAATGATATGGGGGAAAAAACCTAATAATCTGACTCAAAAATGGGCTAAAGTTTTGAATAGACGTTTCTCATAAAAAGACAAACAAACAGCAAACAGGCATATGAAAAGGTGCTAAACATCATTAATCATCAGAGAAATACAAATCAAAATTATAATGAGACATCATCTCCCTCTAGTTAAAATGGCTTATATCCAAAAGACAGACAATAATAAATGCTGACAGGGTTGTGGAGAAAAGGAAATTTTCATATACTGTTCCTTCCTTCCTTCCTTCCTTCCTTCCTTCCTTCCTTCCTTCCTTCCTTCCTTCCTTCCTTCCTTTCGACTCAGTCTCACTCTGTTCCCCAGGCTAGAGTGCAGTGGCATGATCTCCACTCACTGCTACCTCTGCCTCCTGGGTTCAAGTGATTCTCGTGCCTCAGCCTCCCGAGTAGCTGGGATTATAGGTGCCTGCCACTATGCAAGGCTAATTTTTGTATTTTTTAATAGTGATGGGATTTCACCATGTTGGCAAGGCTGGTCTTGAACTCCTGACCTCAAGTGATCCACCCACCTCGGCCTCCCAAAGTGCAAAGTGCTGGGAATACAGGCATGAGCCACCGCGCCAAGCCCCATTATTTCTTATGTTGAATTCTTACCAGTGTTTTTCTTGCCTGAATTTCTTTAGCAAATTACTCAGAAAGGACCCATAAGAACACTATCCTGAGACAGTGTTCATATTTAAGTACATTTGTTATGTTTTAAGATAATTTCATCCTTATAAAAAATCTGACAAATATTTTCCTTTCCTGAGTATCTACTATGCATATTCCACTTTCTTCAAGCATGAATAATTCCTGGCAAAACCTCTGATGATGATTTAATTTACTGTCAGTGAAAAGTGACTTGATTTTTTTTTTCACCTGGATACTTTAGAGAGTTTTTCAAAACGTAAGTTTTCTACTGTAAATTGTCCCAGGGTTTTCCATTCTCAGTTGACTTTTTTCCCAGGGATATAGTGACATGACCTTGTATAGTTTACAGTTCATTTTTATTTTGTTAGTAAACTTTTCTTGTAATGTTGTTATTCGTATTTGTTATATTTCATTCATTTCTGTTTTTTTCTCAAATGTTTTTGTATGTTTTATCATTTTTCCTATCTACCAAAACTCTCACTTCTTTTTAATATTTTTATTTCTTTTTTCACTCCTTTTAATGTTTAACATTGTACTACTTTTCAGTTTTGTTTCTCTTGAGTCATGTATTGAATTTATTTACTCCTAGGTTGTTCTGGAGTTGTCTTTATATTTATTATAATTTTTTACACATTATTTTATTTTATTGAGTTTTAACACTTCTATCTTAAAATTTTGTAATCTTTTCAATTGATTTATAAGTTTTTCTGATATTTATTTTTGTTTTTTACTGGTTTTATATTTTTAAATTTTATTTTATTGTATTAAAAATATTAAATTATTTTAAATCTGTTGTATATCAATGTCTTTCTGGCATTCTTTCATGAACTGTAGGGGCATTATTTTTTCTTAATTTCATTTTTCCTTTGGTAACTTTACATCAGAATATCAAATATATCAAAATACTTTCGCTTACTTTTAGTGTGAAAACAGTTTTCTTGTTATTTTAAAGAAAGAAGTGAGTCAATATTACTTTTCTAGTTTCATGGGTTTTTTTTTCTTTTTCTTTTTCTTTTAAGTTCTGGAGTACATGTGCAGGATGTGCAGGTATGTTACATAGGTAAACATGTGCCATGGTGGTTTGCTGCACTTATCAACCAACATTTTAAGCCCAGCATGCATTAGCTATTTTTCCTAATGCTCAACAGGCTCCAGGGTATGTTGTTCCCCTCCCTGTGTCCACATGTTCTCATTGTTCAGTTCCCACTTCTAAGTGAGAACATGTGATGTTTGGTTTTCTGTTCCTGCGTTAGTTTGCCGAGGATAATGGCTTCCAGCTCCATCCATGTACCTGCAAAAGACATGATCTTGTTCCTTTTAATGGCTCCATAGTATTCCATGATGTATATGTACCACATTTTCTTTATCCAGTCTATCATTGATGGGCATTTGGATTGATTCCATGTCTTTGCTAGTGTGAATAGTGCTGCAGTGAACATATGTGTGCATGTATCTTTGTAACATAATGATTTATATTTCTTTGGATATCTACCCAGTAATGAAATTCCTGGATCAAATGGTGTTTCTGGTTCTAGATCTCGAGGAATCACCACACTGTCTTCCACAATGATTGAACGAATTTACATTCCCACTAACAGTGTAAAAGTGTTACTATTTCTCCATAGCCTCACCAGTATCTGTTATTTCTTAACTTTTTTAATAATCACCATTCTGACCAGCATGAGATCATATCTCATTGCGGTTTTGATTTGCATTTCTTTAATGTTCAGTGATGTTGAGCTTTTTTTTATATGTTTGTTGACCACATAAATGCCTTCTTCTGAGAAGTATTTTTTTTCTTGTAAATTTGTTCCTTGTAAATGACTTCCTAAAGAACAAAGCTGGAGGTATCACGCTACCAGACTTCGAACTACACTACAAGGCTACAATAACCAAAACAGCATGGTACTGGTACAAAAACAGACATATAGACCAATAGAACAGAATAGAGAACTCAGAAATAAGACCACACAACTACAACCATCTAGTCTTCAACAAACCCAACAAAAGCAAGCAATGGGAAAGTGATTCCCTATTTAACAAATGGTGCTGGCTGAGAGAACTGGCTAGCCATATGCAGAAAATTGCAACTGGACCCCTTCCTCATACCTTATACAAAAATTAACTCAAGGTGGATTAAAGACTTAAATGTAAAATCCAAAACTATAAAAACTGTAGAAGAAAATCTAGGCAATACTATCCAGGACATAGGTACAGGCAAAGATTTCATGATGAAATTGCCAAAAGCAATTGCAGCAAAAGCAAAAATGGACAAATAGGATCTAATTAAACTAAAGAGCTTCTGAACAGCAAAAGAAACTATCATCAGAGTGAACAGGCAACCTATAAATTGGGAGAACGTTTTTGCAATTTATACATCTGACAAAGGTCTAATATCCAGAATTGTCAAGGAAAGAGCTTCATGGTTTTCAAATGTCATCTCTTGTTGTTTTTGAAGAGTAATAAAATAAATGACCTCCTATTTTCTAAGCCATTATCTTGCCCAACCTTCTAGAATTCTTTTTTAGCTCTTAGTTATTTTTCTCTCATGTCCTTGCTCTGATCAATTTGAATTTACTATTAGCAGTTTCTCTTTACTTCTAGGTTTTGTATTAAAAGAGAAAGATTGTATGGCTTAGAATTCTGTAGTTATAAAACACATCCTTGTGTCACAATCTTTCTTGAAATCACTTATGTACATGCACAACCACATTCCACTTTCATTTGCACATCCTTGTGTCACAATCTTTCTTGAAATCACTTATGTCCATGCACAACCACATTCCACTTTCATTTGCTGTTCTCACCTTCACTTGCATGATTTCTAGTTAGTATGAAACCATATGGCTTCTGATGGTTCTTGAGTAGGAGAAACCCTACTTCATTAACTATAACCCAGATCCATTGATAACTATAAAAGGATAAACCAGAAAGAAGCTAGTATATTTCTTTTTGGTTTCCCTTCTTATGGTTATCAATGGTGTAGCTATCATATCTCATCTACTCATATTTGACAAGTGGTGTAAATTATGCATTTCTTTGTTAATGAGTCTAATAGGCTAATTGCTCTACATTCTCTCTCTCTCTCTCTCTTTAGCGGGTAGGAAAGGAGATTCACAAATCATGCTACTACTACCATTTCCAAGACTTCTTCAATCCGCTTATATTTAAATGCAGGAAACACTATTAAAATCATTTATGAACTCAATACTCAACAAAGTAAATACTAGCCTAAAATGCTCAGAATATTTTCTAGTCAATGGTGAGTTTGTGTGTCACTTGCTGAATTGTGTAACTCATTTGTTTATTAGGTAAGATCTTCCTATAAAATTTCTAAAAGGTTTCTAGATGCATCTCCCATTGCTTATTAGTTCAACTACTAAGTACATATGAATTAATGCTGCTTTTTCCTAAAGGTTATATTTAAGGAGCAGGAAAGCATCATATAACAATATTTTCATAATGCCCCAAATTTCTCCAACATGTTGTTTTCATTATTTTTGTAAAATAATGTCAAAATTATTTGACAAAATTCATTTCTCTGCAAGTTTATGAAACTGACTAGTGAGCTGGGCATGGTGGCTCATGCCTGTAATTCCATCACTTTGGGAGGCTCAGGTAGGAAGATCGCCTGAGCCCACGAGTTCCAGACAAGCCTGGGAAACAAAGTGAGACCCTGTTTCTAAAAAAAAAAAAAAAAAAAAAAAAAAAAAAAAAAAAAAATTGGCGAGGCACAGTGACACACACTTGTGGTCCCAGCTACATGAGAGGCTGAAGTGCAGGGATACCTTAAGTCCAGGAGGTAGAGACTGCAGTGAGCCATGTTTACACCACTGCACTCCAGCCTGGCTAACAGTCAGTGTGAGACATTGTCCAAATTAAAAAGAAAGAAAGAAAGAAAGAAAAACCGACTATTGATGTCCATGTGAAGTCCCTTAACAAAGCAGTTGCCATTAATTGACCTCTCTACTCTCTGAGACAGATAAATGTAACTACAACTGTAAAATTTGAAAAATTGATAATGTCAGAATATAAACACTGAACTATTTTTATCCTTTTTAGTTGTGCCATAAGACTAGAACTCTGATCAAGTCCATATTTTCCTGTGAACAAGAATTTCTATTTCATCACCCAAATAGAAGATTATCTGAGTCCTAAAATATAGTATTGACACCTACCTATAATATTGTTACAAATAATGTAGACCCTGAAAATTATTTCTTAGAAATCTGTAGTTTTATCAAGGCTATAGGAAAAAGTGACATAATTATTTCCTGTGTAAAATTGTCAATACCTGCTTTTATTTGTGACAAAGTTTAATAGTAGGTTTGCTAATTCACCATCTCAGTTGTGAGGAAAGGGAGCCATGCCCTCACCTACCTTTTACTCTTCAAAACTATTGATATCTGCCAAAAGAATCCAACAATAGTGAATGACCAAATTAGATTAGTTTTGTTAGTAACAGAGAATGCCAAAATATTAACATTAGTAATGCAGAGATAAGGTTGAATAATACTACTGGAAGGTTTCAACTGCTCACATCTAAAAGATTGTGCTAAATTTTAAAAGAATAACATCGCATTAAATTGAACAGGCTGCCTGAGTATTTTTAAAGTTTTATAGCCCTCTCATCTGACCAACAGTGCATCGTATCAGAGATAAACAGATAATTTGAGAAAAGTATTTAGACATTCTCAGTCACCATTTATTTGAAGCAATAACAGGAATTTCAAAGAGAATAGTCTTTTATAAAGTATTTCAGTTTAGATGCAAATGTAGAAATTATATCACTAAATTTTCTGGAAGATCTTTAATCCTGGATGCTGAGATAATACTGCTCCATTGATAAAAATGAGATGTAATATGAATAAATTTACTTAGGCAAAGCTTAATTACACATATGAAGATCTTTATTTATTTTTAAAATGAAAACCTTAAATAATCACATGGCAATACTTTAAAGACTTTATCACCAGGTTTAGGAGTACTAATACAACATACTAAAATTATCTTTAGGAGAGTTATAAGACATCTATTATACATAATAGTGACTAGAGTTAATAACAGTATATTGTATACTTTAAAATTTCTGAGAATATATTTTGTGTTCTTACCACACAAAAAGTATGTGAAATAATGCATATATTAAATAGCTTGATTTAATCATTTCACAACGTATACATATATGAAAACAAAATGCTGTACACCATGAATATATACATTTTTAAATTGTCAATTAAAAATTAACTTTAAAATGGTAAAATGAATGAAACATTTTAACAGAAAGCTCATAAACAACATAGCAGGGAAGCACTGAAAAAATATTTAACAAATGTTACACTTAATGTTATTACATAGTAGGTTCCAGTCATTCCTTTTTTTTGTATTAAGTCTAATTTTATTAGTAATTTAGATAATCTTTGTATTTTTTATTTAAATTTTGGTAGTTTTTGGAGATCAGGTGGTTTTTGGTTACATGGATAAGTTCTTTAGTGATTTCTGAGATGTTGGTGCACCCATCACCCGAGCAGTGTACATTACCCAATATGTAGTCTTCTGTCCCTTATACCCCCAACCCTTCCTTCTGAATCCCCAAAGTCCATTATATCATTTTTGTGCATTTTTGGTCCGCATGGCTTATCTCCCACTTATAAGTGAGAACTTAGAATAATGGCCTCCAACTCCACCCAAGTTGCTGCAAAGGCCATTATTTCATTCTATTTTATGGCTGAGTAGTATTCCATGGTGAATATATACCACATTTTCTTTATCCACTCATTAATTGATGGGTGCCTAGACTGGTTCTATGTTTTTGCAATTGTGAATTATGCTGCTATAAACATGTGCGTGCAAGTGTCTTTTTCGTATAATGACTTCTTTCACTTTGGGTAAATACCCAGCAGTAGGATTGCTGGACCAAATAGTAGTTCTAGTTTTAGTTCTTTAAGGAATCTCCATACTGTTTTCCATAGTGGTTGTACCAGTTTACATTCTCACCAGCAGTGTAAAAGTTTAAAAGTGTTCCCATTTCACCACATCTATGCCAACATTTATTGTTTTATATTTTTAAATTATGGCTATTCTTGCAGGAGTAAGGTAGTATTTCATTGTGGTCTTAATTTACATTTCTCTGATAGTGAGGTTGAGCATTTTTTCTTATGTTTGTTTGTTGGCTGTTTGTATATCTTCTTTTGACAATTCATGTCCTTTGCCCACTTTTTGATGGGATTTTTTTTTTTGGCTTTTTTTTCTTGCTGAGTTGAGTTCCTTGTAGATTCTGGATATTAGTCATTTGCTAGATGCATAGTTTGTGAAGATTTTCTCCTGCTCTGTGGGTTGTCTGTTTACTCTGCTGATTATTTCATTTGCTGTGCAAAAGCTTTTTAGTTTCATTAGGTCTCATTTATTTATTTTTGTTTCTGTATAATTTGCTTTTGACTTCTTGGTCACGAAATCTTTGCCTAAGCCAATGTCTAGAAGAGATTTTCCAATGCTATCTTCTAGAATTTTTACAGTTTCAGGTCTTAGATTTAAATATCTGATCCATCTTGAGTTGATTTTTATATAAGGTGAGAGATGAGGATCCAGTTTCATTCTTCTATATGTGGCTTGCCAATTATCCCAGCACCATTTATTGAATAGGGCACCCTTTCCCCACTTTATGCAAAACATCATAAGCAAAGATAAACTAAAGATGCCTAAGGACTGCTCAACCTGTACCAGTTTGTTTATACAAGCAGTGATATAAGAAATGAAAAAGGATGCTATATATTCCTCTTTAAATACTATTTTTAGAGCAAGTTTAGAATGTTTTTATTACTAACATAAATCAATATTGAAAAAAGAAATCATGTGACTATCAAGTTTCTTCAGGAGAAACAATACAGACCACTGCTTCAATTACCACATTTATCAAATCTAACATACATTTAATAATAAAATGCATTCTTTTATAAATTTATTAGAATTTAAGAAAAGAATAATTAATCCACATTAAGCTATATTCCAATGTTTTCTTTTCTTTCAAGAAAGCTAATGATATGATTGTCATGTCTTCCTGCTGTAATTCAAAAAACATAGATGCCAGGCTTGTGATCATGCAGGAGAGAAGCTGGTATTTCTTCAACAAAGAGTGTCGGAATTTTTGTGTAAAACCGGAGCCATGTTTATGCCACATCATATATTATTAAATTTCATGAGCTGATTTTGGGGGAGAGAGAGTAATGCTTCCTTAGCCATGCAGCTGAAAAGCTGTAATGTCTGATTCTTTCCTGCTCTCCGATATCTATCTAGGTTGGTGAGATTAGTAGGTTCTCCTCCAAGATGCAACAGGTCATGGAGAGCCTACATTTCTGCTACTGCTCCTATGTCTGTGAAATTTCACAAATAAATGCTTCACCAGCAGTGTTTGTATACATGTGTTTTCACTTACTCATTTGGATGGAGATTTTATACTTACTGAATGAACTATTTTAAATTTCGTAGAGTTTAAAAAATATCAATTTGGGGCACATATAAAAACAGAATAAATATACATGAAAAACTGAGTAAGAAATATCTAAACCTCCCCTCTTATTCATAGTCTAAATCTTCTATATTTTTCCAATAATAATCAACAATCTTTTGTTTCTACACAATATGGTATTGTATACGATCAAGAATATTGTTTATCCAGCATTTTTAGATATGTATTTAATTATTGTGTCCAAAGTTTTCTTGCAGTCAATGAAACCCATTTTTTTCAAGTTGTAATGCTTGTATTACAACAGTATATTTTATTTGACTATGTTTATTTTCCTCAAGGTAATTACATGTTTCTGAAAGTTAAGCTGGTTCAGTACAGTCTCTGGGAAGTTATCAGATAACATACTAGATATCAAACTGATAACCTAAATATATAAATTGTTTACAATAGCCTCTCTCTGTTTCTATTTTTTTGTCTTGTTCAAATATTACTAGGAATGGGACAATTTTCTCTGCCTCATTTTTTTCCCATGGCCAGTGATTGAAAATACTTTTGCATGTTTTAGGGTAATAAAACAGGATAACCTCTCTACTTGGAAGTGTCTTCTTTTTTCATGTCCCATAAAGGCATTGCTTTTTATTTTCAAGGAAATTTAAAATTGTGGCCATTCCTTCACCAGTAAATATTTGCTTCACTAATGTCACATTTATGCCCCGGGGTTCTGCTTCTCTGTCTCTGCATACACAATAACATTTTGTGTTTCAATGCTAAAACAGAGTTGGACATTTTAAAATTCATTTTAAATGTTATCAAACTTGACGTGTAGTTTCCACAATGTACAAGATTCAATTGAAGTAATTACAATATGAATAGCTAAGATCAAGGTCATACATGGCAGGTAATGACAGCTCTGTTATAACTGTTAATAGTCTTACAGTGATTGTAAAACAACAACAATTGTCAGATGCATTCCAGTATTTAAAATAGTACAATGTACAAAATATGATTCTTAACATGAACAAAATATGACTTACAATGTATAAGATTGAACACATTTTATGCAATGGTTTTGTCCTAAATTGTAGTTATAATGACTTCCATTTTTAAATTGACTTTTTTCTACTAAAATCATGGTGATTATCATTATTGGAATATAATGACTCCTAAGTATTATATACTAGTGGTAAATATATAGCATTTATACTTTCAAATCTATACCAATAAATTTCATGAATATTTCAAAAAATCTAAAAATGTCTTTTTGAATATATTTAATTAGTAAAACAGATAAATTAGGGATTTTGAAAATCTTTTAGGTAAATATCAATTATTCATAGAAATAGTCAACTCATTGCTGAAGATATTAATGCACTGCTAAAAAATTTCAAAAATATGCAGCTTTACAATGGAAGGGGAAACATGCCTATATATTACCCATGTTGATACAAGAAGTTTTGAATAAAATGTCATTAAAACTTTGTAAGCAGCCTGATGCTGTGGCTCAGGCCTCTATTCCCAGGACTTTGGGAGTTCAAGGCGGGTGAATCACCTGAGGTCAGGAGTTTGAGACCAGCCTGACCAACATTTTGTCTTTACTAAAAACATTTTGTCTTTACTAAAAAGACAAAAATTAGCCAGGCGTGGTGGCAGGCGCCTGTTGTTCCAGCTACTCTGGAGGTTGAGGCAGTAGAGTCACTTGACCTGGGAGGTGGAGGTTGCAGTGAGCCGAAATCGCCCCATTACACTCCAGCCTGGGGAACAAGAGCCAAACTGTGTCTAAAAACAGAAACAAAAACAAACACAAAAACAAACACAAAAACAAAAAACCCTAAAATAAAAAACTTTGTAAGCAATAAACTCTACCAGAAGTAAAAAATTTTAATTTGAAATGTGGGCTGAGACATTTACCTGGAAAATAAAAAATGTGTATAGTTTCTATCAATGGAATATGAGATAGGAAAAAGATTTATTTGATAAAGAAAGCCATTGTCACATGGCAGCATGTAAAATTGAAAAAGAATCGATACAGATATTATAGCCATGTATGTGACTATCACAATTTTAAATATTATTTATATTAGTGAAAAAAGGAAATGGGGAGTTTTTTGTCTTACTATTTTTTAGTTTTGGCTTTTTCTTAATTCCATTCATTTTTCCACTGTTTAAATATCAGTCTCTCTTTTTCATTCCCTCCTTTCTTCATCTCTCCCTTTCTGATTTCTCTCCTTCTTCCTCTCTTTTCCACTTATCCATCAATTGTTATGTTCACTTTAGAAGAATGTAATAACAGAGGCAAATCTATATGGATTTTTATAGAGGCTTTGTTTCTTTTCAGTGAAAAATATTTTGATGGTTTATTCTATTAATACTCATTTAAACTTGTTTGCTATAGCAGTAAGTCATTCTTATTTTCATTGAAGGCAAGAGAAATAGGAAGGCAGGGAAGTATATGTTGATGTCAATAATAAAAGGAAACAAAAGAGAGAAAAGTATTTTTAAAGTAAGTTTTAATGCTAAGTAAAACTTACAAATAAAAAGTGAAAAATTATAAATATATTCTCAATGAATTTATTTCAAATTCAATATATGTTGGAACATCATCAAGTTTAAATAAATAAGATATCCCTGGGACTCAATATTCCTCTATATTTCCTCCCAGTCACTCTACTTCTTACTTCTTAAAGTTAACTCTTAATGTAATTTAAGGAACTATTCATTAATTGTGCTTGTTTTTAAATTTATAATAATGAGATTGTGCGCTATGTCATTTTTGGGGTGAGTTATTTTGTTTAATATACATAAGTTCACCTATGCTGTCACATGTAGGAGTTCTCTGTTCATTGCCATTGCTTTATATTATTTAGTTCTAAAATATACCATATATTACTTATCCATATATATTTTCAAGAGCTTTGGATTGCTTCCAGTTTTGGGCTGCTGTAAAAGAACATTCTTAAGAATGTCTTTACACACACACACACATACACACACACAGAGTTTTGCATTCTGGTTCAAAACCACTAAGTATATGTTCAACTTTAGGACATACAGTAGGGTTTTCCAATATGACCCCCCCAATTTAAACTCCCAACAGCAATGTTCAGACATGTAGTTACTCCGCATCCTGTATCTTTCTGATGACTAAGGGTTATATACACTTCATATGTTTCTTAGTCATTTTATATAGCTTTTTGTGAAGTTCCTATACATGTATTCTGCCTATTTTTACTGTTTTTGTGTTTGTATTGATTTTAGGAGCACCACGTTAGTAGGTTGAGGTCTAGGAAAGTATTTTCTTTTCAAAATGGGTAAATGTCAACAATTTAATGAATTTGACCTAATATATTCTAGGTAGAAATCCTTTGCTAATGAGAGCAGTTGAAAATGCTTTCCTCAAATCTGTGGCTTTTAGAAGTCGCATATTTAGATATTTAACCAGTCTGAATAATATTTTGTACTTTTTATCTCATAGGAATTTTCATTTCCTTTGTTTACTTTTTGCCCTTGATTTTCTTTGTTCTCTCATTCTCTCTTTGTTCCCTAACTCTATATTATTAAATATGGAGAAGTGTATTTATCTTTCAGCTTTTATAATACATTCATTAGAATCTACGGATTTTTCTTTAAGCACAGATTTAGCTTCCTTCCACACCTTTTAATATGTTAAATTTCATTTTTATAATAGTTGAAAATGTTTTATAATAAATTCTCCATTTGTAATTAGGCCAACTTTTAGCATTTTTTTAATTATATAGACATTTTTAAAGTTATCTCATGTTACTGAGGTCAGGAGAAATGTTTCTTATTATTCTATCCTTTTGGAATTTGTGGAGACTTTTCTTCAGTTCTCCTTTTTATGAGTTTTGTTAAATTTTCCATGAGATATTGCAAAAAATGTCTATTCTCTCATTTTTTGCATAGTTTTATTTATGGCATTTATGCAAGTTTTCTTAATTGGGTTGTTCAAATATTTTATTTTTTTAAACTTTTTAGTTTTTTTTTTTTTCAATCTGTGACTGGGAGTGCTGGTTTTATGAATTTTATTTCTCCTCTAATATCTGTCAGTTTTCCATTTATACATTTAGTATCCATAGTGCTAGCTACATGCAGACTTATTATTGTTTAAAAGATAATAGGGTTACACTTTTAATCATTTCATATATGCATCTTTTTTTCTATACACCATTCCTGCCTTAAATTATACTTGCCATATTGGTAATAGAGCTAAATTAACTTATTTTTGTTAGATTTTTGATGATATATCTTCAGCTATGATTTTGCTTTAAAACTTCTTTAGTTCTCTATCTTATCTTACAATAGATAAGATATTACAACTTATCTATTGTAAGTTGTATGTGCTAGGGTTCTCTTTAAATTTTGATCCAGACAATATTTATAATTAATGCCATGACCATTTTATGTAATTGTTAATATTTCAGTTTATAGCTTTAGTCGAAGCATGTGTTTTCTGTTTTTTCCCCCGTTCTATATTTTGTAGCTCCCCTTTAGAACACATTTGGATTAAGCATTTTTACAATAAATTTTCCCTTACCACAGCTCCTTTTTGTTCATTCTTCTCCTTTTTATTAGTTCATTCTAATGCAGCAATGTAAATTCTTACTTATTAGCAGTTTTTCCACATTTCTATTCAATACAAGGGTCTTATAAGAACAGAAGTTCCATTAACCTTTTTTTTTTGTACTCTGAGGGTTTTTTCTCATGACTTTTAGTTATCTATATATTTTAGTCCCTTAAAAGAGCATTAGTATTATCTTTGTACATCATATTTATGTAGATATACTGACATATTTTCCCTTTAACTTACTCTTTAACTCATTTTATCTGGGAATAATTTCCACTGGATAAAACATTCTATCCATAATATATTATATTATGATTCTTCTTGAGATGAATTCTTGCTGATTTTTTTCCTGCTTTCTCTTTCAATGGTCTGGAAATATTTTATTTAACTTTGATAGTTTAAAATATTTTCCTAGTTATAGAATTATAAATTCCAGTATATTTTCTTTCAATACTGTGAAAATGACATGTGTGCATTTGTGTGCTGTTATGTTTCTTCTCGCCAGAAACATCATTTCTGGGAAGAAAAAATTTGTCTTATTGTTGCTTTTTTAAAAATAATGACTCCCTTCCATCATCTGTTCTACTGTTCTCAATATTTTTATTCTATCTTTGGAGTTCAGTAGTTTTGCTTTGACATGCCTAGGTGTGATTTTCATTCCATTCGTCTTTCTTGGTATGTGTAGAACTACTTAAATCTGTGGTTTAAAGTCTTTCAAAATTTGGGGGAAATTCCTAACGATTATCTCTTCAAAGTTTGCATATATTCCATTTTCGCACTCTTCCTCTCTTACTAGTTTAAATACACATAAGTTAGACATTTCACCATATCCCACACATCTCTTACACCCTTTTCTGTATTTCAATTTCTCAAATTCTGTCTTTCGGATTGTAATTTTCTATGCACCTGTCTTCTCATTCACTAATTCTCTTTTCATGCTGTTTCCAATTACACTGTTCTTGATTTCAAATATAGATTGGCCATTTGATTCTTAGTTATAGATTTCAGCTCTCTGATGAGATTCTCTATCTTGTCATCTCCATCTGGAATGTATTAATCACACTATTTTAAATTATATATATGAAAACTCCACTATAGGTGTCATTTCTGACTGTTTCTATTCCCTCCTTTTTTCCTTTTGTGGTATTCTCTCTTGGAAGGGCTGTTAGATTTCTGATTAGATGTCAACCATTAGATGTAAAAAACTATTGAGCTTTTGGATAGTGTCATCTGCCCTTAATGAGAATTTACCCTACTCTACGCCAGAGAGCCAAATTAGGGGAAAAATCACCTAAATCCAGTAAGAAACTTAGTTGACCTGAGGCTAAGTGTCAATCTTGGTTTGGCTCCCAATTTTAAGTATAATTCTGAAGAAATTTCAACTAAACTACTTGGATGTTAGCACAAACATCTCTTTGGTGGATTTTTTGTTGCAATTTTTGTTTCTTAAGTCTGTGAGTCTCTTGAATAAAAATGTTCAGTTTCACAATCAGGTTTTGCTCAATTTTTTAACAATCTTGGCTTTAAAATGCTCTAAGACTAAAAAGTTCCGCGTTGGTCTCCTTTCTCTCCAATTATCTTTCCTTCAGGATCTTAATCCCTAAAGTTGTAGCCGCCTTAGAATTACTTCAATATCCCTAGAAGAGATGTTTATTAAATTCTAGGCAAAATTTCCTCTAGCTCTTAACAGAATTGTTTATATGTTTTAAGCCACTATATTATTGGGGGAATGGTATTTGGAGTAATGTTATATCTACTCATCCTTCTGATTCTTTACAGTGTAAAGTAGCCAAATTAAGTATGATTAATGTTTAATTCTTCACATTTCTAAAAATATTTTGGCATTGTTAAACAACAGGAGTGGTAAAAATGTTGCCAATAGTAAATATCAGTACACTTTTTAAATGATAAAAACTATATTGTTGAATATTTTCACACAAAATTATTTTGTTCTTGACTCTTCAATTCAATAATTTATAAAAGACTTGGCATAAAAAGCATGCCTTTCCCTTTTGGCCACAATGGAGTAACTGAAACCAGCTCAATCTTCCTGCATCAAGCAAATAAAAAAGTTATGAAAAATGTAAAAAACAATAATTTTCAAGAAATTAGATATCAGAAAAAGAAGAATAAATGATAAGTAGAAAATAAAGAAGTGAGCTCTACAATTTCCTCCATGTTACTGCATTGAATGAGTTTTCAGGCTGTCGGACAGAGAGGAGGAAATCAAGATAGAGCTTGGAAGACTTCTGAGGTGAAGACCAATCACTCAAAACTCACCGAGAATTGATAGTTTTTAGAATTAGTGAACAGAGGAATAGAAATAATTATTACAACTGAAATCTGTTAAGTTGGGAAATAAATGTAAAAGGGATCCAAAGTGAATCTACTGAAATGAAAACAACAATATCTGAGATTTAAAAAAAATTTGATTTCATAAACCAAAAATGAAATTGAAGAATAAATTACTAAGATTAGTAAACATGAAAATAGCAACAAACTATCTGAAAACAGAAAAAGAAAAGGTTTTTTTTAGAAAAACAATCACATCATCAGTGAGCCATTAGAGCATCTTCAAATGATCTAACACATGTGTTACTTGAATCTCTGCAAAAAAGGAAACATTGAAGCAGAAAACTTAAAAATTAATGCCTAAAATATTTTTAAATATGATGATAATTACATACCCAATGGATTCAAGAAGTGCAACAACAATCCTCCATCATACTTCACAAACAAACATTAAGAAAAGTACATCAAAGCTCATCATAATCAAATTTCTCAAAATCAATGACAAAGTGAAAAGTTTTTAAAAAGTCAGAGATGAAAGATATGTTGTATGTAGAGGAACAACATTAAATAAATTAATGTGTTCATTGGAAACAATGAAAACAAAAAATAGTAGAACACCTTTAAATTAACAGAGAAAAGCCTGACAATACAAAATTCCATACTCAATGAAAGTATTGTTCAAATTCAAAGGTGAAATATTTATTGAGACATGTAAAAGCTGAAACATTTCATTAACATTAGAATTACAGTTAAAAAGTTATTAAGGGAATCTCTTAAAGCAGAATGAAAATAATAACAGATAGAAATGTGGGTTTACAAAATAAATGAAGACCACCATAAGTAATAAATATATAAATAAATTTTAAAATAATTAAATTTATTTTAAAACAACTGCTTAAATACAAATAAATAATATGATATATGGAAGACCAAAATATGTGGAATTAAAATATATAACCACAGTAGCACAAAGTCCAGGAGGTGAGAAACAAAAATAATATTGTAAGGATTTTACATTATACATGAAGGAGTTTAATATAGAATCAAGATGATCATACAGTAAATCTGTATATTATAAACTCAAAAGCAACCACTAAATTTAAAAAGCAAGTAGTTATGACAAATAGGCTAACAAATAAGATAGATTAGAATATTTTAACATTCTCAGTTAATCCAAAACTAATTAGAAAAGAGAAACAAGGAACAAATGAGAAAAACACGAAAGCAAGTTGATAAATTTAAAATAAATCATATCAATAAACATTCTAAATATAAATGATTCAAAGATCCCATTAAATGACAGAAATTAACAAGTGGATAAAAAACAAAGCAATATACAACTATGTGCTACCAAATAAGAAGCCTTAAATATACAGATAAAATAGAATAAAAGTAATGGAATAAGATATGTCATGTCAACAATAATTTTTAAAAATATGTGGAGTGATATTAGAATAAGACAACATGGATTTCAGAGCAAAGAATATTAGCATAGATAAATATGATCATTTAATAATGATAAATATGTCAATTAATCAAGAGGACATGATAATTGAGTTTGTATCTAAAAACATAAATTAAAAATACATGAAGCAAAAAACAATAGAACTGCATATATAAATAAATTATCAATTATAGAGGCAATTTTACATCAGTCTCTTACTAATAGATAAAAGAAGCAGTTAGGAAATCAGTAGTGATATGCAGTACTAAAACAGTCCTATTAGCCATCTTGATCTAATTGACATTTATAGAACACTCCACTCAACACCATCAAAATACACCTTATTTGCAAGTGTACTTGGAATATTTTACAAAACAGACCATATTATGGGTACATAATATGGGTACATAATTTAGGATGTGCAAAACTTTGTACATCCTAAAAATTAATTCTTGGCTGGGTGCAGTGGCTCACACCTGAAATCCCAGCACTTTAGGAGGCCAAGGCAGGTAGATCACCTGAGGTCAGGAGTTTGAGACCAGCCTGACCAACATGGAAAAACCCCATCTTTACTAAAAATACAAAATTAGCCAGATGTGTTGGCACATGCCTGTTATCCCAGATACTTGGGAGGCTGAGGCAGGAGAATCGCTTGAGCCCGGGTGGCGGAATTTGTGGTGAGCTAAGATCACACCATTGCACTCCAGCCTGGGCAACAAGAGTGAAACTCCATCTCAAATAATAATAATAATAACAATAATAATAATAATAATTCTTAAAGCATGTTCTTTGATCACAATGAAATTCAATTGGAAATCAACCCCTGCAAATCTAGAAAAACACCAAATATTTGAAACCAAATAACATAGTTTTTCAGTCCTAGGTATTTACCTGAAGGAAATAAAACATACGACCATACAAAGAATTTATAAATTTATTTACACCATGTGTGTTTGTAAATCTGCAGTAGCACAAATATCTGTTAACAGATGAATAGAGAAATAAATTTTGAATAGTATGTACAATGAAATACTATTCAGTAAGAAAAAAGGAATAAAATATTGATGCATGCAACAACATGCTTATGTCTCAAAATAATTATGCAGAGTGAAAAATAACAGAATAAAGTACGACCTGTATGATTCCATTGATTTGTAATTCTATGTAATAAAAATTAAGCTATGGTGGCATTAAACAGATAGTGATTTCTTAGGAAATGTGGGCATGGAAGATATAAGGAGAGTCAGAACAGATGAATTGCAAAGGGCAGAATAATTTGGGGGTGATGTGTATGTTCTTTACTATTTTGATGATGAATTAATGGGTATATATTGATGCTAAAACATAGCAAACAATAGATTTTACATTATACAATTTAGTGTATGTCAAATATAACTCAGAGCTGTAGAAATAAAATTTCAGAAGAAAGATATAATTTCAATACATGGTTTATTTCATTATATTCCATTTTATTCTTAATTTTGAAAGAATGGCAGCTAAAATATGTAGATTTATTCTATCTTTGTAACATCCTAGCATATTGGTGATTTCTGTTTAACATAGGTCACACAGTGTCTGACAAGTAAAATAAATAACACAAGTGTATTTGTGTCAGATTAACATTTATGTTAGCAGCTATTTGAAGGTTTAGTATGTTTGCTTAGCTTTTACTTCTTGATTCTAGCATATTTGCATAACATTTACTTAAAAACAACGTAAATGTCTGAAATTGCTTATTAATCATTGTAGTTAAGTATCTACCTGTATAATTTAGCTTTGTTATTCTGACAGTACTGCATAAATTTGCATGGTTGCATAAAATGTCAGCATTATAGATGTTCATACACAATTATTAGCAAATTACTATTGTGTGCATAACAATAATGCACCTGTGAAGTTTTCTTTATGTCATTAAGATGTATTGCTAAGGTCTAGGGCATTTTGTAACTCATCATAATGAAAATCTGTTATAGAATGCCCTATTCAGATTCCTTTCTTCCAAAAGAACATTCTATTTGTAAACAGTATTGTAAATCAAGGAGTCTGTGTAGCATATTTCTGCATTTCTTTTTGGCTATATAAAAACAATTTAGTAGTTTAAGCCCCAGTTCCTAAAAATTAATTTCATATAGCCCAATAGCAGGACATATCCAAATGAGTAAAAATGGATATTCTGATGAGTAACAATACAGTAATTCATGTAAAATATGCTTTCATTTTAAAAGTTCATTAAATTTCACAGCATTATGTGTGTTGTGAGGTTTAATGTGTGCATATATATGTATATGTGTAAGCACAAACACACACATGATCACACACATGTATGGATATGCTTTAAATATATGTATTTTGTTTTAAAGACACACACTCGTATATAAAAATACAAACATTTTGATAACTAAACTTTTGTAACTATAGTATTTTGTGAGTCTGTTGGTGTTTATTACATAAAAAATTCTGCTATTATAACTATCAACCCAGTTGTATTTAATTTACATGTATTTAGGCCTATCTCAATGAAGTTGTGTTCTGTTCTACTTAAATTGTATGTTTACTAAAATATAAGCAAAAAGGGCAGTTATTGGAATTGTGGCTACTTCCCTTAATATTTGAAAAATATGTTCTTTTAGAAGAAAAAATACTTAATAAAGCTAAATAAATTTAGCAGTATAATTATCAAGTGTTTTTTTTAAAGATTCTTTTAGTTATTGAACAATTAAGTTTGACAATTGTCCCTTAAATGGCAACCTTAAATATAGTTACTTTGCTGTTATTGAAAGCTATTTTTGTTTGTCTGAGATCATTAAATTTTATTTATTTTTACTTTTATGTATATGATTATTTAAATATTTACTACTTTAATAAATGCTTTAGTGTCTTAGTTAATTTAATGCTGATTCACAGGATATATAAAATTATGTAATTTATAAAGAACAGATATTTATTTCTTACATTTCCTGAGACCGAGAAGTTCAAGATTAATGGGCCAGCATCTGGTGAAGGCCTTCTTTCTGTGTTCTCACATGGCAAAATATGGAATGGGAGTGAACCTCCTTCCACAGTTCCTTTGTTTGTTTGAGACCAAGTCTTGCTCTGTCGCCAGGCTGGAGTGCAGTGGCACAATCTCGGCTCACTCATTGCAACCTATGCCTCCCAGTTCAAGCCATTCTCCTGCCTCCGCCTCCTGAGTAGCTGGGACTACAGGCACATGCTACCATGCCTGGTTACTTTTCTTTTTTTTTTTTTTTTTTTAAGATGGAGTTTGGCTCTTGTTGCCCAGGCTGGAGTACAATGGTGTGATCTTGACACACTGCAACCTCAGCCTCCCGGGTTCAAGTGATTTTCCTGCCTCAGCCTCCAGAGTAGCTGGGATTATGGGTGCCCACCACCATGTCCAGCTAATTTTTTGGCCAAGCTGGTCTCGAACTCCTGACCTCAAGTGATCCACCCACCTTGGCCTCCCAAAGTGCTGGGATTACAGGTGTGAGCCACCGTGCCTGGCATGGCCAGCTAATTTCCCGTATTTTTAGTAGAGACTGGGTTTCACCCTGTTGGCCAGGCTGGTCTCTAACTCCTGACCTCAAGTGATCCACCCACCTTGGCCTCCCAAAGTGCTGGGATTACAGGTGTGAGCCACCGTGCCTGGCATGGCCAGCTAATTTTCCGTATTTTTAGTAGAGACTGGGTTTCACCCTGTTGGCCAGGCTGGTCTCGAACTCCTGAACTCAGATGACCCACCTGCCTCGGCCTCTCAAAGTGCTGGGATTATAGGCATGAGCCACCGCACCCAACCCATAATTCCTTGTTATAGTGACATTAAGCTATTCATGAGAATGAAGCCCTTATGACATAAGCACCTTCCAGCAGGCCTCACCTCTCAACACTTGTAATAGGAATTGTTTCCAATACATAAATTTTGGGTGACATTTACCCCACAGAACTACACTCCCCCTTGATTCCCACATTCATCTCCTTCTCACAAACAAAATACATTCACTCCATTCCAGTAGCCCAGGAGTCTTAACTTGTTCCAGCATCAAATTTTTCTCCAACTGTGAACTTGTGAAGTCAAACAAGTTATGTGCTCCTAAAATACAATGGTGGAACAGACAGAGGATAAACATTCTCATTTCAAAAGAGAGACATAGGAAAAAAGACAAGTGAAGTAAGATATCCCAAGTAAGTCTAAAACCCAACAGGTCAAACAACATTAAATCTTAAGGCTTGACAATAATCCCTGAATTCATGTTCCAATTTCCAGAAAAACAGGGGTAGGGGTGGAATCCCCATGGCCTTGGGCAATTTTTCCTTCATGGCTTTGTTGAGTGCAGCCCATGCTTCAGCTATCACATATTGAAATAAATACCTGGAGCTCTCACAGGCTGGTGCTGCATGCCGGTGTCTCTACAGTACTGAAGGCTTGGGGTGGCCATTAGACACTGACCTAGGAAGGACTCTGTACAATTGCCTGACCTCACAGTTCTAATTCTGCTGGACATTGCTCTAGTGAAGGCTCTCTGTGGAGGCTCCACCCAGTGGCACATTTCTGCCTAATTCCAGAGGATGTGGGAGACATACTTGGAAATCTAGGTGGAGGCAATCATATCTTCACAGCTCTTGCATTCTGAATACCTGCAAAATTAGCACCACACAGACAATGCTAAGGCTCACAGCTTGCACCATCCAGAGAGGCAGTCTAATTAGCACCAGGGTTTACTTCATCCATAGCTGGAATGGCTGAGGAGTGCTGTATCAGAATATGGGCAGCAGAAACCAAGAAATCTCTGGGCAGTGATCCCTGATGTCCCATGGGTAACATGGGTTCATCTCCAAAATTATTCTGTCCTCAAGGCCCTAGCACTCTGGGTCTGTGGTGGGCATAAAAGCCCTGAATATTTTAGAAATGTTTTCAAGGTCATTCTTTTAATATCTTGATGAATAGTACCTTCATTACTTATATCCATATTAACCTCTTTATTAAATGGTTACTTGGCCACATCCTTGATTTTCTCTACTAAACATGCTTTTATATTCTTTGCATGGCCAGGCTGAGAATTATTCTGCTTACTTCTTTAAATGTGCAGATAACAATTCAAGACCATGAAGATCAAGGATAATGAGGAAAACTCTACACCACCAAAAGAAAAAATAATAAAACACAAGTAACTGTCTCTAAATAAATGGAGGTTTATGAATTGTCCTATTAAGAATTCAAAAGAAGCTTAATGAGCTATAATACAACACACATAGAAAAGTAAATAAAATCAGGAAAGCAATACATTAACAAAACTAGAAGTTCAGCAATGAGAGAGAAACCATACAAATAAACCAAACAGAAATTCTGGAGCTGAAGAACGTAATGACTAAACTGAAAATTTCATAGACAGCTTCAACAGCAGACTCAAGCAGAAAAAGGAATCAGCAAGTGATTACCCAATTAGAAAAACAAAAAGTACAAAGAACAGAAAAAAAGTGAAGACAGCCTTGGGGAATGTGACCTACCTTCAACTGAACCAATATATAATTATGACTGTTCCAGAAGAAACAGCAAAAGAGAAAGAAAACTTATGCAAAGATATGATCACTGAAAACTTTCCAAATCTGGAGAGAAAAATGAACATCCATGTATATGAAGTCCAAAGAACGTCTTATAGATTAACCATAAAGAGATCTTCACTGAGACACTTTATAAAACAAATTCTCAAAACTCAAAGGCAAAGACAACTTTGAAAGTAGCAAGAGAAAAGTGACTCATCTTTTCTCTTCATGGGATATTTATGGGGACGTAAGACTCACTGCACTTATCTTCTCAATAGAAATAAGTGGATTTCTCAGCAGAAACCTTGCAGGCAAGGGAAACAGTGGGGTGATATATTTAAAATGCTTAAAAATACCAAAAAACCCTGCCAATACATGATATTACACCAGAAAATGCTCTCCTTCAAATATAAAGGAAAGATAACCATTTTCCCAGACAAACAAAAGCAAAGGGAGAATATTACCAGTAGACCTGCATTTTAAAAAAATGCAACAAGGAGTTCTTCAAATTAAAACAAAGATCACTTCTAATAACATGAAAATATAAAAGTATAAAACTAACTCTAAAAGTAATAACACAGTCAAATTCACACAATTCTAATACTGTCATGGTGTTGTATAAATCATTTTAAATAAAGAATAATATTTAAAAGACAAAACATTAAGAATAGCTATAATAATTTACTAAACACACAATATAAAAAGATGCAAATTATGACATAAATAACAAAGCATAGGGGAGGAAAGGTTAAGTTGTAGAGTTTTGTATGCAGTTGAAGTTAAGTTGTTAACAGCTTATAAAATATTTTTATAGCTATTAGATTTTTTTTTTTTTTTTTTTTTTGAGATGGAGTCTTGCTCTGTCTCCCAGTCTGGAGTGCAGTGGCGCAATCTTGGCTCACTGCAACCTCCACCTCCCAGTTTCAAGCGATTCTCCTACCTCAGCCTCTCGAGTAGCTGGGATTACTGGTGCACACCACCACACCCAGCTAATTTTTGTATTTTTAGTACAGATGGGTTTTCGCCATGTTGGCCAGGCTAGCCTCGAACTCCTGACCTCAGGTGATTCACCTGCCTCGGCCTACCAAAGTTCTGGAATTAAAGGCATGAACCACCATGCCTGGTCCATAACTATTAGATTTTTAATGTAATCTTCATGGTAACCACAAAGAAGCACGTAGTAGATACATAAAAGATAAAGGATTCAAAGCATACACCTACAAATTATAATCAAATCACAAAAGAAAAGCAGGAGAGAAAGAAACCAGGACACTACAAAATAGTTCCAAAACAATTAACAAAAAGGCTATAGTAAGTTCTTACCTACGAATAATTATTTTAAATTTAAATGGATTAAATTCTCCAATCAAAAAACAGTGGCAGAATGGATTTTTAAAAATAGGATCTAATAATCATAGCCTGGACTCATTTTATCTTGAAGGCTGCACATAGACTAAAAGTGAACAAATGAAAGAAAAAAAGATATTTCATGTAAATGGTAATTCAAAAGACTGAGAGGAGAGAATTCTTCCAAACTTATTTTATAATACTACCAGCACTATCCTGATATCAAAACCAGAGAAAGATACTAGAAGAAGTTAGAATTACCAGCCCAAATCTCTGAGAATATAGATACAAAATATTTTAAGAAAATACTAACAAATCAAATTTAATAGCCCATTGTAGAGATTATATACCACAATAAATCTGGGTTTATTCAAGGCATGCAAGTATGGTTCAACATATGAAGATCAATAAATGTGATATACCACATTAACAGAATAAACAATGGAAATCTGTGATCATCTCAATAGATGCATTAAAGCATTTTGTTGTAGTTAATAACAGTGTATTGTATACTTAAAATTTCCTAAGAGTAGATCTTAAATCTTTTAACTAAGAAAAAAAGAGATAGCTATGTGAGTGATAATATGTTAATATTTTATTGCCATATTCATTTCACAAAGTATATATCTACCAAAACATCATGTTGTATACCTTAAATATATAACATTTTTGTCAGTTATATCTCAATAAAGCTGGAAAATGCCATCCAAAGACATTAAACCATACAAAATTATTAATTACAGTAGCGACCTTTTTATCTGATAATTCCAACCTTAAAACATGGTGAATTGAGTCTATTATTGTTTTGTTTTCATTCCAATGCTTCTCTGTCTCTTGTAACTATATGTTACAACTGTATGTTGCAAACTGTTCACAACCTTTGTTACACATTCTGTTTCTAGAACTCTATCCATTTGCATACAGACACATTTAAAAACAGGGTGCAAACAAGAACTAGTGCTCTACTTGCATCAGTGGACTGAACATCCACATCTGTTCCCTGTCTCTTTCATGCTATTTTTGAAATTAGAAAAACTACACTTCTTTGAAAGAAACCATAACTCCACTGGAATATACAAAGCAGGAACATAGATTCAAATTCACCATAGATATTCTAGGAAGAACAAAGGAAACTAAATATATGAAGAAAACAGTACATGTTATAATTTAAAATATTTAAAATATTGCACCTCTCTGAGAAAACTCAGGTGGTGCTCCTGACTCTGAGTCCATAGATAGAGAAGGGTGGGCGGAATAATCATTGGAGCATAATTGAAAAGACTACAGTTGGGACTGCTGGGTTGGGTTCTCCATTCCCACTTTCCTCCCCCTTCTCCATTGTCTCCATTCTCCTTCCCCTTTACAATGCACCTCTCACTGTTCTTATAGATTGTATACATTGTAAAGAAAATGCATTTATTTGGCTCATAGAAGAAAAACAAGAACTGTCTATAATTAAACCATTGCCTGAGAAAGGCTTCTGGTGTGAACATAAGAATCTGGATGGAGAGCAGAATCAATTTTCAGGAAGCTCTCTTTCACTCCAAAAGACATGGAGATGGCAAAAGGAAAAAAAGAAAAAGTAAAGCAACTAAATGTTACATACATATGCACATAAAGAGTGATACACATAAAAGAGAAGAAAGCTACTAAGGATGAAAGATATTTTGATTTTAATCAACATAGATAGTTTTACAACCTTGTGTTTGACTTGACTGACATCATAAGGACAATTCTTTATTTTTATTTTTATAATTTTATATTACTGAAATATGATTTAAGATGTATACCAGTTTACTTCTTCTAGTACTTTTTAAGACATCTTTAGTCTACTCCTCCACACATATATGCAACAAAATTTATTTTAAAATAAATAATAAACTATGAGTCTCCTCCGCTAAAAAATTTCTCCAGTATTGTCTTACCAACTTAAACTAAAATCTAAAGTTCTTAAAATGACCAACAAGTTCATCCTGGACCTTCCACAACTCCCTTTTATTTCTGACTTTATTTCCACTATCCCCACAATGGCATCTTTTATTTTTATTCATGTTTGTTATAAATAAACCTGTGACTCTCATACCTTCTTCTAGCTAATTTTCAGCACTGTCTTCAACCTGCGATATCAAAGTATACCTAAAACAGACATGCTAAATGAGAATAGTGCATAGAAAGCTCCCAGGTCTATTAAATTATACCTCTGCATGTAAAAACAGATGCACATTTGTTCTTATTTATGCAGCCATGAAGAGAGACAGAGATCGATTTAATAACAGAAAAATTTTAAAATATCTTTAAAACATTTTATGATTTTCAATAGTGCTTGAATTATTAAATAAGATTATATCATCTTCATGAAAAACATTTCATTTTGATAATTATTTTTAAAAAAGATTGGTTTCAGAAGTTTTTTACACTTTCAAAAATAGTCTTCTTTATTACTCTCTTTTTCTCTGAATATCTTTCTCTTGTTCACTTTCTCTCCCTTCCCTCACACAAAATATGCCTAATAATTCCATAATAAGCATAATTAGCAATAAATTAAAGCAGTTATTTAAGTTTAATCAAAGATTCATCCTAACTTAATATTATCTACAGCAAACATTAATACATGCTGAATCATGAGTTATGTTAGGTCCAGATAAATGAGGAAATATAAAACCACACATTGTCTGCAGTGTTTTACAATCTAATTGTGAAAATAAGTCCTGTACAAAAAAAATTGAATGTAACAAGGCAGTTACTTGAAGAATAAAGTCTAACTTTGGTTGAATAAGCTATTAAAGGGAAATTAGAAATTGATTTGAGCTACGAAGAAAACGTAAATTTTAATTAAAAAAGAAAGAAGAGACATGCAAGCCAAGGGGCCAGTATAAGCAAGAGAATGAGATTGTGAGAATCACAGCAACTTAAAACTGTTTTGTATTTATTTGAATAAATAACAGGTTTAACTAAAACAGGAGTTTTCTACAGTTTGCTTTTCAGTAATAACAATTATTGGCAAACTTAGGACGTCCCTTTAATTATTTAAAAATCATTTCATTTTTTTTCCTAATAGAGACAAAGACTCACTCTGTCTCCCAGGGTGGAATGTGATGGGGAGATTATAGTATATGACCTCAAACTACTGTACTCAAGCGATTCTCCCACCTCAGCCTCCTAAGTAGCTAGGGCTATGGACACATATCATCATGGATGGCTAATTTTATTTTAACTTGTTATAGATTTGGGGGGTCTCACTATGTTGCCCAGTCTGGTCTCCAATTCCTAACTAAAGCAATCCTCCTGCCTTGACCTCCCAAAGTGCTGAGATTACAGGGATAAGCCACTGCAGCAGGTCACCAAAATCATTTCTATGCTAATTGTTTTTTTAAAAAAGTACTCTTAAGATATCCAGATTGAATTGTAATTCATAAGAAATTTTGCTTCTCAAAAATATGTTCTAAGAAAAAGGTAAAGTAATCATAAAAATTTTTATTAACTCTGGCTTGGTTCCAGAATAAATTAGTCTGATTTTTTGGTCATTTTAGACCTTTAACGTATATTTTATCTGCAATGCTAATTTTTGTACAACATGATACTGCTTAAAATTCCAGACAGTCTGAGCCAAAGCAGTGTAAATAGAAAAAATTACTTTTCATTTCACCACTCCCATCCCCAACCTCAGCCTCTGTGCTCTGTATCTCTTTCCCTCACTTATGTAGCACAGAGTATCTCCCATTCTCTTGCAGTAAGGTATAAGAAGTTGAGTAAATTGTAATTTGTTGTGTCCCTTGAAGCTATTTTTTTAAAAATAAACTAAAAACTAAAACTAACAACTAAATAAAAAGACTTGACCTTGAAAGCCAGCTTCTATAAGGCTTTTTTTATAGAGGCAAATGGGCCTTATTTTTTACTGTTAAACATCATGAAATTCAATCAAAATTTATGGGACAGAAGGTTAGACAAGATAAACAGATAGAAAAGAGTCACATAGGTATTTTCAATGATAATGTGAGATATGCAATCAATTTTATTAGTCCTTTTTTCACAGTGGATATATATATATTTGTGTATGTGTAATAACCTTTATATTTTTACATAAGTCAAATACACTATTATGTAATAAAAATTTTCAAATGAATGTTTTTTTTTCTCTAGCTTATTCAATTACTTTTCTTTCATGATAGACATTATTTTAGTAGCTAAAAAATAGATGTCAGTAGCTGCCATTAACTCCTACCTTCCCATGAATAGTAAGAAAGTGAGAAAAACATAACTAATGAATTTGTTTCTTTCTCTCTTTGGTTTTGGGGCTATTAGACCCACTTTCAAGCTAGATTCTGCCTGTTATTTGAGTAATTTCAATAACTCTTTTAGGTATAATGCTTTAGAGTTTGTATCAAGAATATTAACAATGCGACTTAAGCAATAATGAGGTCAAAAGACATAAACTTCAGTAGTTTTCATGGTATTCTTTAACCAGAAATGAGGCAATCTGTTATGCAATTCTCCCTGAAGGCTCCAGATCAATCTGTGCATCTGTAGAATCCAGGAGGCCCATGGAGATTCAGCGAGAAAACAGATTTGGTGGCTATATATCACTGAGTTGAAAGTCTGCTAATTAAATCTAACATAAAAGAACAACTATTAGGCTTTTGTAGAGTGCTATCATTTTTAAGAAATTGCCATTTGTGTGCAATAAAAGTACATCAATAATTTATTATCTATGAATTTTGAACACACAAATTTTGAATTAAAATTAACTTACACTTTTAAAACACAAAAGCAAATTTCACTGCATTTGAAATGGCATTTAAACATCTATAAACTTTTCACTTAGAAAATATTAATCTAGTAATTATCTGCTAAGACTTTATAATTTTATGTATCAAAGAAAAATATGTAAAACTGTTGAAGTACTTTATCTAAAAATTAAAGTCCTAACACTTTCAGACTGTCCTCTGTGAAAATATTGAAGTATGCAAATCCATGTAAACTAAGCTATTCCAATGATGCATGTGATACTGAGTAATTGGTACAAGTGTCTATTTCTTTTGCCTATGCTGCATGGTGTATCATTCAAGTATAGACCATAGATAAAAATCTAAGGACAAAATTATATAACTCTTCTTTAAGATCTACTCCAATTTTCTTGTGACCTTGATTTAGCCTATAATGAAAAGATCCAAGAAATGTAACCACCTAAAAATCAGACACACCTAAATTCAACTTTGAAACAGTTTATTTTTTTACTTCAATGTAATTTGAAGGATGCTATGTACTCTATCTCTTCTTTCTTAGCTACAGAAGCTGCTAACGTGCAGAAAAAGAACCCTTCTAAAGTACCTGAAAGACACCATATTTTCTTGCTTGAATTCTCTGGCATTTTTGTCTGCTTCTAAGAAAAGAAATGCTTTGTCTCTGCATATAGCATACGGAGCACAGTGCAGCTCAGCAGTGATTTTTCTAACTTTGATAACATTCTGCATCCTATGCAGATAATTTCGATTTTCTGTATCATCATTCAGAATATGCCACAGTCTCTCTGTATATTGAGTACATACACATAAAGCATGTGAGAGAATACTGCCCTTTATTAAGAAGGAAAGCAAATAGAAAATCCTGAATGGAATGCATTATGTTCTATCTTAAATTGGAACACTATCTTCCTTATCAGGTACTATGTACTAAGTATCCATATTATAGGATGTTTTGTCTGTAGCTTACTAAAGGAATTGAACAGAAATTCTACCTAATTCTCTGAGTTGATAATGTAAACTAAATATATTAAAAGGTGTATAAAACTATACATTCATAGTGAATTCTACAAAGCGTGAGAGATGATTGACTTCATGGTTTGATATTTCATATCCTTTACACAAAATAAAGAAGAAAGTAAAAGACAGCACAAAGTTTTCTTGTTAATCTTTTTCCTATTGTGTGTGTGTGTGTGTGTGTGTGTGTGTGTGTGTGTGTGTGTGTGTGTTGGAAGCCTAACTTGTCTCAACGGGAATAAGTTCCATGTTGTTTCAATGTTTTAAACTTTATTTTATTTTTATTTATTTTTTTTTTTTTGAGACGGAGTCTCGATCTGTCACCCAGGCTGGAGTGCAGTGGCGCGATCTCAGCTCACTGCAAGCTCCGCCTCCCGGGTTCACGCCATTCTCCTGCCTCAGCCTCCCGAGTAGCTGGGACTGCAGGCGCTCACCACCACGCCCGGCTAATTTTTTTTTGTAATTTTAATAGAGACGGGGTTTCACCGTGGTCTGGATCTCCTGACCTCGTGATCCGCTCGCCTCGACCTCCCAAAGTGCTGGGATTACAGGCGTGAGCCACCGCGCCTGGCCTCTTTCCTTTCATACACACAAAAAAATACTATCATCATCTATTACTTTGAACTACACATTTTAAAGCCTACATTTTACAGGGAGTGCATTGTGTCATACAAAATTTGACAAATTACTCAATTTGTAAGCATATTAAAATAATGTTATACTTTATGCGTAATTTGTCAAAAAATTCAATTACTTGGAAGAACAAAGATGTCATTATGACTGCAACAAGTTTTGTGTGTTCTTCAAAGAAATCAGGAAGAAGAAACTTCCCTTTCTTATTCCCTACATATTCATACAATGCCTGAATATTTCTTGAATATAATTTGCAAACTCTTGAAGTTTAAATAGAGAAGTATCTCAGTGGTATGGAATTTTAGACTGAATTCTGGGCCTAAAGAGGGTTCCTTTTTTATTATGTGCATTAAAATGCTAACCTCTTCATTTATTAATATAAATATTTTACAGCTTTGAAACAGATTCATGATCAATTTAATGATATTCATACAATTAAAAATATTTTGCCATTTTCATGAACTTAAAATTTAAAATATAACCAGTAACTTTATTTCTAATTTACATGCCATTGTTTAGGAATCTCAATCTCCCGGTTTTAATATGTGAGTATAATGAGTATAGAATTTAAAAAGTATCAAGGGGTCCAGTTCTGCTAAAAAATCCCTCCTACTTTTTATGAAGAAATTTTACCTTGGAAAATACTTGACATCTGGATAACACGAATTCTTGCCCTTTGTCATTTTTTTTCTATTTGAATAAAGAAAATGTATCTGTGCTGACTTTTTTCTTCTATCCTAATATAGTCTAAATTAAAGTTGCAGGGTTTCCAGAAGAAGAGATAATAGCCCAGAAATTCAGGGGAAACACAAAATGGGGTAATTGAGTTGATTGATACACTTACTGGGGCTAGGGCATTGTTGGGTACCTGGCCTTCCTGCTCTAAACAACCTTTATCTATCACTACATCAATCAATTCCTGATGCCCCTCAATCTTGAATGTCCTGTGTGAGGTTTCCTAAAGGAGAAGATGCTCAGTTAGAAAACAATGCCTGGCCTGCTTGGCAGAGACACAACAAAAAAAGAGAATTTTAGACCAATATCCCTGATGAACATCGATGCAAAAATCCTCAATAAAATACTGGCAAACCAAATCCAGCAGCACATCAAAAAGCTTATCCACCAAGATCAAGTGGGCTTCATCCCTTGGATGCAAGGCTGGTTCAACATATGCAAATCAATAAGCGTAATCCAGCATGTAAACAGAACCAAAGACAAAAACCACGTGATTATCTCAATAGATGCAGAAAAGGCCTTTGACAAAATTCAACAGCCCTTCATGCTAAAAACTCTCAATAAATTAGGTGTTGATGGGACATATCTCAAAATAATAAGAGCTATTTATGACAAACCCACAGCCAATATTATACTGAATGGGCAAAAACTGGAAGCATTCTCTTTGAAAACTGGCACAAGACGGGATGCCCTCTCCCAAAACTTTGGAACATGTTTGTTTCTCTCTGCCTGGTTCCTCTAAAACTCAAAAACTGGTTGTAAGTATTCTTAACTTATAACAATATGGTTGTTTGCGTGAATGCAATAAAAATTCATTTTATTTTGCAGCAGGACACGATTGGAAAAACTGGTTGTTTTACCAAGGATTTAACTGGAAGGGTGTTTCTCTTTAAGGAATCAAGCTTAACTTGCAGAGCCATTAAAATCCCCTTGGGAAAACTGGCCTCATACCTTGTCTACGCAGTCTCTGTACACGGTTCCTGACCCATTGTAAGTAAAGAATGTCACTGTCTGTCAGGCCCATGCTCTGGGAACCTCAAGAAGAAAAAAGTTTACCCAACTCACAGGTATTTGAGGGTACAAGCCCATGGCTGAGCTTGACTTTAAAAAGTCCTATCTGAGATTCCCCGCCTGAGCATTCTGGAAAGTCACATGAGGCATTAATAAGAGGCTCCTGTGGATAAAAGATCTCTTGACTTTTTTCAGGATGTGACTACAATTTCAAATTTCTTTGTTTATAGTAAGTTAGTTGTGTTTTCTTTACTTCATTTTGTACTTAAAGGAAACATTGATCCTTTAAAAGATTTGGGGAAGGAAAAACTTTTTTTTCAAAACACTCTGCCATTGAGGTGGGAGACTGGTTCAGGTTTGAATGGTACAGTGCTGTTTGGTGCTTTCATTAGTGTCTCTCAGGATTTTTCCAGTCTGAAAACTCCAAGGCGAGAGATGTCATCCCGAGTGGTAGACAGTGATCCTTACAAGATGCCAGGGAGGCCAACAGTGCATAACGTATAGGGATGGACGGGACAAAAGAGGAGGGTAGAAGAAGAGTGGCTTATTTCCTAGTCATGGGGTGGATTGTTCACTTTGTGTTAATCTTATGTAATGACCAAAATGCTTTTTTAACGTAACAAGAAGCCAAAAAAAAAAAAAAAAGAAAAGAAAAGAAAAGAAAAAAGAGGGAATCCTCCCTAACTCATTTTATGAGACCAGCATCACCCTGGTACCAAAACCTGGCAGAGACACAACAAAAATGAAAATTTCAGGCCAATATCCCTGAGGAACATCAATGAGAAAATCTTCAATAAAATACTGGCAAACCGAATCCAGCAGCACATCAAAAAGCTTATCCATCACGATCAAGTCAGCTTCATCCCTGGGATGCAAGGCTTGTTCAACATATGCAAATCAATAAACGTAATCCATCACATAAACAGAACCAATGGCAAAAACCACGTGATTATCTCAGCAGATCCAGAAAAGACCTTTGACAAAATTCAACACCTCTTCATGCTAAAAACTCTCAATAAACCAGTTATTGATGGAACGTATCTCAAAATAATAAGAACTATTTATGACAAACCCACAGCCAATATCATACTGAATGGGCAAAAATTGGAAGACTTCTCTTGAAAACCAACACAAGACAAGGCTGCCCTTTCTTACCAGGCCTATTCAACATAGTATTGGAAGTTCTGGCCAGGGCAATCAGGCAAGAGAAAGCAATAAAGGTATTCAAATAGGAAGAGAGGACATCAAATTGTCTCTGCTTTCAGATGACATGATAGTATATTTAGAAAACCCCATCCTCTTAGCCCAAAACTTTCTTAACCTGATAAGCAACTTTGGCAAAGTCTCAGGATACAAAATCAATTTGCAAAATTCACAAGAATTGCTATACATCAATAACAGACAAACTGAGAGCCAAATCATGAGTGAAATCTCATTCACAATTGCTACAAAGAGAATAAAATACCTACAAATACTACTTACAAAGGATGTGAAGGACCTCTTCAAAGAGAAATACAAACCATTGCTCAAGGAAGTAAGAGAGGACACAAACAAATGGAGAAACATTTAATGCTCATTGATAGGAAGAATCAATATTGTGAAAATGGCAATACTACGCAAAGTAATTTATAGATTAAATGCTATCCCCATCTAGCTACCAATGACTTTCTTCACAGAATTGGAAAAAAAACTAATTTAAATTTCATATGGAACCAAAAAAAGAGCCCGCATAGCCAAGACAATCCTAAGCAAAAAGAACAAAGCTGGAGGCATCACGCTACCTGACTTCAAACTATACTACAAGGCTACAGTAACCAAAACAGCATAATACTGGTACCAAAAGAGATATATACACCAATGGAACAGAACAGAGACCTCAGAAATAATGCCACACATCTACAACCATCTGATCTTTGACAAACCTGACAAAAACAAGCAATGGGGAAAGGATTCCCTATTTAATAAATGATGTTGGGAAAACTGGCTACCTATATGCCAAAAAAAAAAACAATGGCAACTGGGCCTCTTTCTTAGACTTTATACAAAAGTTAACTCAAGATGCATTAAAGACTTAAATGTAAGACCTAAAACCATAAAAATCCTAGAAGAAAACCTAGGCAATACCATTCAGGACATAGGCATGGCCAAAGACTTCATGACTAAAACATCACAAGCAATGTCAACAAAAGGCAAAATTAACAAATGAGATCTAATTAAACTAAAGAGCTCTGCACAGCAAAAGAAACTAACATCAGAGTGAACAGGCAACCTACAGAATTGGAGAAAATTTTTGCAATCTATTTATCTGACAAAGAGCTAATATGCAGAATCTACAAATAACTTCAACAAATTTACAAGAAAAAAACAACCCCATCAAAAAGTGGGTGAAGGATATGAACAGACACTTCTCGAAAGAGGACATTTATGCAGCCAACAAACATGAAAAAAAGCTCATCATCACTGGTCATTAGACAAATGCAACTCAAAACCACAATGAGATACCATGTCACACCAGTCAGAATGGCTATCATTAAAAAGTCAAGAAACAACAGATACTGGAGAGGATGTGGAGAAATAGGAATGCTTTTATGCTGTCAGTGGGAGTGTAAATTAGTTCAACCATTGTGGGAGAAAGTATGGTGATTCCTCAAGGATTTAGAACCAGAAATACTATTTGACCTAGCAATCCCATTACTGGGTATATACCCAAAGGATTATGTATAATTCTATTATGAAGACACAAGCACACATATGTTTATTGAGGCACTATTCACAATAGCAAATACTTGTAACCAACCCAAATGCCCATCAATGAGAGACTGGATAAAGAAAATGTGGCACATATACACCATGGAATACTATGCAGCCATAAAAAAGGATGAGTTCATGTCCTTTGCAGGGACATGGATGAAGCTGGAAACCATCCTTCTCAACAAACTATCACAAGAACACACAAACGAACACCACATATTATCACTCATAAGTGGGAGTTAAATAATGAGAACACAGGGAGGGGATCTTCTCACACCATGGCCTGTCAGGGGGTGGGGGGCTAGGGGAGGGAAAGCATTAGGAGAAATATCTAATGTAGATGATGGGTTGATGGGTGCAGCAAACTACCATGGCACGTGTATACTTATGTAACAAACCTGCACATTCTGTAGATGTACCCCAGAACGTAAAGTATATACTTAAAAAAAGTTTACTTTTAGGTAGCCAATTAAAGATCTGTTCTAACAAAATCTGTGTATTATGACAATTTGATCGAAATTAAAATAAGTTCTATGGCAAATGTAAATGATAGCCATGTGTCATATCAAAAAATAAGAAATGATTTGATCTCATTAATCAAAATTATCAAGAATAACTCATGTATATAATGAAGGTTCTGATTTTCCTTTTGATTTACTAATTGTTAAGGAGTAATAAACTACACTATTATTAGTTTTAAAAATTTACTACATTTAATGCTTTATATTTCAATTTATTTAACTTCATATTTATATACTAAATTTAGAAGGGTATTGATGAGTTCACAATTTTATTGTAAGTCCCTACATAACGACTAATATTCATCACTAGTAGCCCATAAAATGCTAAATACATATATAAGGTAAAATACTTCATAATTATAGGATATTTAAATTTAGATTAGGAAAATTTCTCAGAAAGTAATTAGTTGCTGGTAAATTGTAGTGTCTTGTTATATACTCAATATTTTAAAATTCTACAAATTCTAAGCTGAACTTCTAAGGTATAATATAATTTTCTTCATGTGTAGGAAAAAAATTTACAACAATAAGATAACAGAAACAGAAAGCTATTTGAAAAGAAATTGAAATAAAATAATACTGATTATTGAATGCATTTTTGTAGAAATTAGATGGAATGTGAGGAAAAAGAGTAAAAAACATGAGAGCTATTAATGTCAGCAGAACATAGTACACATATATCACTGTTAATGCAAGATATGAATTTATTAATCTTTGTCAAGTAAAAATGGTGAATTTCAAAAAATAGGAGATTAAAATATTTAATATTTCATTAAATCAACCATACTATCTATCATTTCTAGCTACTTAGCAACATAATTTAATAATAAACATCTGGGTAATCTTGTTGAAAATAATATATCATATAAAAATAAAAATTTCGAAAATGTTTGTAAGTAAAGAATTTTCAAAGATTTACTAATATGAATCCTTTCAAATGGAGAAAATGCTGCTAAATTATCATTACTGTATCTTACCTCAAAGGTTTATTTGGATTATGGAAATAAAATCGAAAAAAGAATTGGTGCATACCTGTATCATATGCTTAAAAGCAATGAATAAAGTGAAATGCTCATTAATAATAGTAATGAATATTCAGAAGCAAAGTTTGTCCTGAAAAATTTTACTTTATTTATAGTACTGAATCTAAATAAACTTCCTTTGATTTTTGGTGAGACTATGCCATGGACCCAGAGGATTGACCAAGAACCTTTATAAACACCAGTGAGAATTTATTACTTTGGTGAAATCACAGCAATATTTTCTAAATTTTTTTTTTCATATTTGTGCAAATATCAATACTAAATGATGTTAAATACTCACAGGGATAAAATTCAAAAATAATTTACATTATTACATAAAATGAATTAATGTTTAGGCAATAAAAACTTAGCATCACAAGATTGTGTAAGTACAGTGCTCAATATAAGCCATGCAGAATTATAAACAAATATTGTTAAATCTGTGTATTTCCATTACAAATATATTTCTATTGCAAAATATTATTTGAAATATTTTTTAGAAGTTAAAAATTGGGCCAGACACGGTGGCTCACACCTGTAATCCCAGCACTTTGGGAGGCCGAGGCGGGCGGATCACGAGGTCAGGAGATCGAGACCATCTTGGCTAACATGGTGAAACCCTGTCTCTACTAAAAACAGAAAAAATTAGCCGGGCGTGGTGGTGGGTGGCTGTAGTCCCAGCTACTCGAGAGGCTGAGGCAGGAGAATGGCATGAACCCGGGAGGTGGAGCTTGCAGTGAGCCGAGATAGCGCCACTGCACTCCAGCCTGGGCAACAGAGCGAGACTCTGTTTCAAAAAAAAAAAAAAAAAAAAAAAAGAGAGAGAGAGAGAAGTTAAAAAAATGAAGAAGAATATACATATTTTAATTGCCCACTTACAGAAAGTGAGCCTGGGCTAAAGAATTTAGATAATACTCTTTTACAAATGTGCAACAAAATTAGGGTGGGAAGAAAATAAGTGTCTCTTCACAAATCTTAGGACAAAAATTTAATAATTTTTTCATTATCTTACCTTGTTAGGTAACAATGCACAAAAACTGTCTCAAACACTATTGATTCTGTATAACAGTTTCCAAATAATATTTGGTAAAATTTTAGAGTGAATTGCAAAAATATGTATTGATTTATTAATTTTTCTTGCTTTTGTTTAATTTTTCTTAAAAATCCCATATCTGGAATTATTTATTCATTAAACATAATTTTGGAAACATTATTGAATTCATAGTGGGGAAGTTGACTTTATTTTATTATTTTAAAAATCTCAGTTAAATATGCAACATGCACACTCTTTTGCATAACTTCTTGATATTGATGCCAAGTTCTCCACATATGAAGTGTTAAGATTGACAAAGACAATTTATTTTAACTATGAATATCATCATCAACTTGTCTGTAATCAAAAATTAAGTTTCAAAATCTATTTTATTTGCTATCGTATGCAAATATATTATAGATTTAATGAAAGAATTTTATCAGTATTGTTGATTACATATTTAAATGAAAACTTACAATAATTATGTATTTCTCCAACCAAGTAAAATTGTAAAACTGAAATGAACTGCTGGATATTTACTATTGGTCATATATTAATGTATTACAAACTAAAGAAATTACTCTTTGATATAATATTATCATATATATTAATGAATACATATTTATTTGAATACTTTGTGCATTTCAGAATGTATTTAAATTTGCCAGTATTGGTCTATGTGGAAAACATTGATTCTAATAATTAAAATTTATCAAAAACTCATAAAGTTTTAATGTCACAAAAAATCTTTAGAATCTAGTGATAGTTTCTATAGAAATAAAGATATTGAGTAGCACTGAAAATTTCATGCTAAATATTTTCAAGAACAGAAAATATACAATTATTGATAAAAATATATCTCCTAGTGGCTTTGAATTCTTAATAAAGTTGATTAAATTTGATTTTTTAGTGTTCAATTTTTTCTTATAACTTATATGGCGTAAATTTGCATTTGACATACATTTTATTCAGCAATAATATTTCATTTAGAATCACTTTAACCAAGAAAATATGCTTTTCTTGTTCTAATTCATGTAAAAGTTCTGTATAGGCCTGAGAAGCCCTTAGCTCCTGCTTTGACCAGCTGTACAACCTTACCATGGGTGGCATGATTTAAATTTCACTGTGCTTGCGTGGCATTTTTTTTCTTTTTTTTTGAGATGGAGCCTCGCTCTGTTGCCCAGGCTGGAGTGCTATCTTGGTTCACTACAACCTCCACCTCTCGGGTTCAAGTGATTCTCCTGGCTAAGCCTGGTGAGTTGCTGAGATTACAGGTGCGTGCCACCACGCTCGGCTAATTTTTGTATTTTTAGTAGAGACAGGGTTTCACCATGTTGGTCAGGCTGGTCTCGAACTCCTGACCTCATGATACGCCCGCCTTGGCCTCCCAAAGTGCTGGGATTAGAGGCGTGAGCCACCGCGCCTGGCCGCTTCTGTGGCTTTACAGGCAAAATGTGAAAAAGAATGTAACTTTGCTTACAGAGGTGTTGCAGGAACTAGGTGCATTATTACATGAAAAGGAGATTGAAAAACACCTGAAAAATAGTGTACCATTAATGTCAACAATATTCTATTATCTCTATCTGCCCTCAATAAAACAATGTGGGCATAATACTTGAGATTGTTTTAGCATGAATGTATCCTTAGAAATGCTCTTATTCATGAGGATATCCCAAATAATTTCCAGGGTACTGAAAACATTCCCTCTTCTCACCATGGTTCCTAACTTATTAACAGACACTTCATAAAATTGCAATAAATACTACGTTACAATTGGAGATTTTCCTTTATAATATTATTCGTTAAAAAAATAAAATTTTGTAGTAACTTTCTATGGGAAGAAATTGTGTCTGATATAAGCATTCTGAAATGTTCTCTTCTTAATGATCTATACTGTGCATTTTGTGTTTTTTATTTGCAGTATTATTTGTGGAAATAAGTAAAGGACAAAAAACTGTGAAGATAATGCTGTATACATTCATTCATGTTAGAAACCTTAAATATTTAATTTATCATTTTGAGAAAAAATTTATAGTGCAAATGACATAATCAGCTGCCAACACATAATAGAATTTGTCTAAAAACTAATAATTTATATCCTAATATTGTGATTTTTATGTTTGTCTTAGGAATTGTCTCTATCATTTTAATATTTTAAGCTTTTGCAGAAGTATTTCAAGGATGTCTGAAAATACATGACTAAAGAGTGCGATGTAGGAAAATAGCAGCAGTGGAGACTATTCTGGAATGAATAATTCAGAAAAGATGTAGATTTCCAACATGGGCAAAAATAGAGAGATTTTATTATGTCAAGCCTTATTGCAACTACTTTTGAAGGGACACATATCAAATGTAAATTGTGAAAGTATTGCAGACTATTAACAAGTTAATATTTAAACCCATCGATTAGTATGTGTCAAGTCCCTTCTATTTGTAACACCATGCTGATGGATAGAGAGGATGCCATCACATTCTGTACCACCGTATAATAATTTAAAAACACATTGGCAAACTTAAGGCAAATTTAATGTTAGTAGATGTCAAGACATCTATCTTATTCCAGAAATTGCTGTGACATATGAAGATATATAGAAGTAATTTGTTCTAATTTATTCAGGAAAATTATTTGATGACATTTTGTAGCATGATGACAACTGGAGAGAAGAAAGCCACTGGTTTTAAAATCAATGAATCCGCCAGCAGCTTGGTGGGATGGAACATTAAAATAAACATACATTACATTAATTGAAATTGATGTAAGAAAGACATACAACACATTGTTGGTTGTTGCTCTTATTCCTGACTTACTGTACCTGGCAAGTGACCATGTTCTTCAGCAGGCAGGTTGCCTTGAAAGTCTCAAAAGCTCATCATTTTAGCTTCATTGCTGTTATTCATAGTAGGCTCACCTCTCTCACCAAGCGATTTGTTCAGGCAGGAATATATTACAACTCTGTTCATTAAGACTGAGTGAAAGGCTACTGGATGCTTCTTATACCTTTTATCTTACTTTTGAAGAGAGAGGCACATAGCCCAGTGATATTCCTTTTTTGCCACTCTGCCATTTTATGAGGCAGGAGGCCTGGGATCATCATGAAACACCTAGAACTAGGATATTTGTGACAAGCTATGTATCAGTCAATCTCTAAAGTGTCTGACCTTTGATTTATATGAAATAATATAGCTCCTTATTATTTTATCTAATTTAGTTGTCTTTCTCTTAAGATAAAAATAATAAATCAAATGTTAAATAATGGTCTCAGGATGCTCTTCAGTAAGCAACATTTTTTCTTGAATATTGCTCTGAATTCAAATAAACACTTTAGTTAATAATAAGGTATCTGTGTTGTTTCATTAGTTATGGAAAATGTACCATACTTACACTGTTATGAATATAAGACATTCATAACAGTGGAAACTGAGTGTGAGGTACATGGAAACTCTCTTTACTACTTTTGGTTATTTTTCTTTTTTTTTTTCAGTAAATCAAATATTTTTCTAAAACAAGTTTATTAAAAATAGCTATATTTTTTGAAAACATCAAACAGCATACTCTTTTTTTTTTTTTTTTTTGAGACCAGAGTCTCGGTCTGTCACCTAGGCTAGAGTGCAGTGGCACAATCTCGGCTCACTGCAATCTCCGCCTCCCGGGTTCAAGTGATTCTCCTGGCTCAGCCTCCTGAGTAACTGGGATTACAGGCATGTGCCACCACTTCAGCTAATTTTTGTGCTTTTGGTAGAGACTGGGTTTCACCATGTTGGCCAGGCTGGTCTCGAACTCCTGACCCCAAGTGATCCACCCCCCTCAGCCTCCCAAAATACAGGTGTGAGCAACCACACCCGGCCCCAAAAGCATACTCTTATAGGGATATGTGGTATGTGAAGTTATGAAATAGGCTTTCACAAGCTTGGATAGCAGGGTGCACTGACATGACCAATGATTCAGTCTAAGGTTCTGGATTTGAATTCTATCTACCCATTCTGAACTTTGCCACTTGTCTTTGAAAGTGGTCTTTCTTTTGTTGCTCTATATAGACTAGTAACACATGATCTGTTTTATTTTTCTGAAATGTTTATTCTTACGTGGCAAACACTTTGTTTACCTAAATCAAAGTCTAATATTGCAGTCTCATAACAAAGTCCAAATGTGCTAGGACCTATGTTTGGTGTTGGAAAATCAATTAACTTATTTGAATTTCCTATATATAATGTTTTAAATAAATGTGCTAATGGCTGGGTGCCTTAATATTATTTCAGTTTATGCTTTACTTATCAGCTTATTTTTTAAAATAACAGCCTAAAATAGATAAAGCAAATGTCCAAAATGTTATGTTAATGAAGTTACATTAAGTAAGGCAACCAGATATTTTTTGAGAGTCAGCTCATACAGACCACTTTCAGTTTTCTTTACGTATTTTTCTAATTTCAGTGTGGGTTAATTGTTCCCCTGTGTGCAAATGCAGCCCAACCTATTGTAATATTTAATTCACTATAGTTGTTCTTTTCTTACCTCTACCTCTCTCACAAGAGAGTATATATCATGTTTAAAAATACTGACTGAACATAAAAATATATTTTAAAAGAATATTATTAATCAGAGAAAAGGGCTAATCTTACCAAATTAGTCTACCTATTAAAGATGATGATTTTATTACAATTTTAGTTGAAAAATTTAGCCAATGTGTCTTGGAGCTTATGAAAGATATGTGGATGACTGATCAGAGTGTGGCATAAAGACAGATGACCGTAAAGAAAGCCAATGAAAACAGAAGAAAAAAAAGATAGAAGAAAAGATAAATTAATGCAGTAGAAAGTAGGGGAAAAACAGAAAAATTAGCCAAGTTTAGTAAAAAGTATGTATTTTTCAAAGAAGCTAATAACAGAGCCTGCCTAGCAGAAAAACACTGGAAGCATTCAGCCAGATATTTGAGTTTATAGTTTACGCTCAGTTTATGCATAGAAGCTGAGCTCTTGTTTTCAGTATTTCAGAGCTTGATCAACAATAAAGAAGTTTATAAGTTATAAACTTCATTCAGCAAAGAATATGCATTGATTATATGCTTGTATAAGTAAGATATATGTAAAGGTTAATAGATTAAATTTATAGTTTAATCAGCAAATTATGTAAATGAGCACAAATAAAATACACCCTACAACTTATGATCATTAAAACATGCAATTCCATTAGCTATGAGTAGGTACATTTAAGCGAGTTAAATATGCATTTAAATCAGCAAAATTGAACAACAACAGGAAAGTATAAAACTTCAGATGTGGAGCCTGGACTTTATATTGAACATTCAAAATGTGTCAGATTGGCTTTTGATTATGGAGGAACTGCCCTTTTCAAACCAGCCCTCCTTTGGATAACTGTAAACTGGGAAAAATTTTAAAGAGAAAGCACAAGAAAACAAAAACCACTTGAAACCACTGAAAACCAACATAGGTAAAAACACTTGGCACTTTTCCTGTTTGTTTGTTCGTTTGTTTTTATGTCTTTATACCTGAGAAGTGCCTGTTGACACCACGAACAGCTAAAACTTAGGAAGAAATCAAGAGTCCTACTGGTTTGCAGAACCAGAACATATAATTCTGGCTTCCCAAAGCCGCTAGAGAATAAAAGAAGAAATACCTTAAAGAATAGAGCCAATCAAGGGAAGTCCAAATTCTGTGTTTAAACTGAGTATAAACGATAAACCCAAATATGTGGCTGAATCTGAAACATCCTGCATGTGGGATAGGTTCCCAGAAGATTTTTTTTTAGCTGGCTAAGAGTAGAATAACTGAATGGAAATTTTAGCTGATGACAACTGAAAAGATAATTACAGAGTTTGGAGTTTGAATTCAGACTGCTATCTCTATTTTCTCATTCTTATTTGGTCCATATTTCTAGTTCCTTTAACTTATACAATAATTCTACACAACAAAAAAGTTTACTTTTGTATATGTTTAGTATTTGTATATCGGTATATATTTTTATCCCTATTTTGGAAGGAATATGAAATAACCATTTCTGAATAACATGAGAAAGTCTATGAATGAAAAAAATGTTAACAGGTTAACTTGTCAGGTGGCAGACGGTGAATAAATATTGTTTAAAAATTTTGTGTCTAGAAATACACATCTAGTGATGTCTAGGTTAACCTTGTATTAAATAGTTGTTTATGTAGAAACATAAGCCGTGTTCTAACAAAAATAAACCAAAATGTTGAGAAAATATAAAACAACTGAAAATTTGTAAGATTATGCCCAAATCAGTAACTATAAATAAGCACAACATACTTATTTTTGTTTTCCACATCTTTATTTACCCATAAGATATGTAAATTTCAATGAGATTCTCAGTCACTGACAATCTGACAAAGTCGTATATCTCAACCTGCAAAAAAAGTTATCCACATAAAACAAAATTGTCTAAAAGTTGGTCCTTACCGACACTGCCTGTAATAAAAGTTACAAACTGGTAAATTTTTCTATACATACTTATTAAACATGAGTCACAGATTTTCCCTTTATATTGTTTTATATTTTATTTTTACATATGTAAAAATGATATAAATATATGCTTCTGTTACTTTTTGTTATACTCATTCTCAAGCAATAATATATTTTCTTTAAAGAAAAATACTGTATTTGAAATCAATCACATTAGAATAGTAGGTTTTATTTCATCCATATAATGATTCTCAAGTGGAGGCAATTTTGTTTAAAGACTTATTTGCTTGTCAAATCTAGTTGTAGGGTGCGACTGGCATCTAATAACAGAGATACCACTAAACATCATACAATGTAGGTCTTCCACCTAGAAATAATTACTTGATCCACAATGTCAATAAGTGCCTATTCATAGAGTTGAGAAACTCTAGAATGCACTAAAACTAAGTCACAGTATTTTGCTTCTTAAAGCTTTTTAAAATTTGGGAAATAACATATTTTATTGATTCAGTCACCACCGGTTCCTCTAAAGACAAATTGCTTTAGTTTAACTTTTCATACACTTAACAAGTGACCTAAATTGGATTAAATTCATTTTCCTTCTCTATAAAATGGGATAGTAGAGCAGAACCTATATAATAGTTTGAGGTAAGGACATTCTGCATAAAATGGGTTGCAATATTGATTATGGTGAAATTGCCATGAATCCTAAACTTTTGTTGTACTTGGAATCTACATGGACAAACCTATGGGCCAGAGTCTTTTCATAAAAATTTTTTGACAACGGTCTTCGGGATTACTTTCTTCAAATAAATCTTTCTTGCCATGATCTAATTAAATATGCTTCAAACTCCTAGCCATTTGAAATATGCAATTATTACAGTTTCAGGTTGGGATATATGGATATAGAACTCACTTACCAAGCTGCAGGGATCCTGGTAGCTGTTCAAATATAGATTGAAAGTTGCCTTAGGCTACAAATGCCAAGCAATGGCAGTTTCCTATCAACTTCCTGCATGTAACTCTGAGTACTGTCTCTTTAATAAGATGTTATGAAATGGCAACAAAACAGTAACAGGAGATCTAAATGAAAGTACTGACAATGGCTTGTCAAGAACAGTTGGGCCTTAAAGAAAGAAAGACAGAAGTACTTTGGGCAACTCTGGAAGCAATGAGACAGATAGAAGGCACATTGGGACTTATTATGCCTTAAAAAAATCATATTGAAGAGTAGTTTTTGTAGGCAATTTGTTGGTAAAGTTATCTAGTTGACCAATAGATATCAATAAAGATTTAAAACAAATATAATTAAACATTCAACTAGGGTTCAATTGGTTTACTAAAAAGTATTTTTAAATGGAAGTTCAGAGTAACAAGCGAAATGTGAAACTGGAAATATTGTTCTTCTAATAAGATTTTTTGTTATTTTTGACAAGTGTTCTGTACACTGTACTTGACATTGCATATAAATCAAAATCAATATTGAAATCAATATTAAAATTTGTGTCTTATAGCCTTATAACAATTCATGGACCTCACAGCTTTATTGATGTAGAGCCAGAATGTTGTTTGATACACTATTGATATTCACTATTGGATTCATTATTAATAACAGATTTTAAACATTTTTAAACCTTAGCCACATGCTGTGTATGTACATGCTATGTATGTACATTACCCCTTTATTCTTGGTATTTTTAGCATTTGTTGATCAGGTTTTAAATCTAAGCTGTTCTATTTCTTTAACCTGAGACATTAAAGAAATCACTGTAAATGACTTACTTTTAGCAAGTTAGTCATAGATTTGATTTTCTCACCTGATCTGTATTTTAACTCACATGATTTTAATCATTGAATTAAATTAATTGAAAAACTTTTCAATATAAAATGTATATAACTATTAGTCACAATACTACTGCAGATAATATTGCCATTGTCCTCACTACAACCAGTAATACTGAATTCTCAATTTTGGGCAGGCACATTATTTAGTGCCTCATAAATGATAAAGACAACAAGTTCTTACAGGAAAAAGCAATCGACGTACATACAATTGTCTTTCATTAAAGATAAAATAATTAAATTTATTCAGTTTAAGTAAATTGTCCAAGATTACAAAACAGGTTTTACAGAGTTAGGATTCTAAATGCAATCTTCCTTTCTCAATGCCATAATCTAACCATAAAGTACAACAATATATGTGTAAATTTTTACATCAAATACTTTCTTAAATATCTATGGATTATGTAAATCAGTAATTTTACCTCCTAACTGCAATATTCAAGTACAACAGTGGGGTAATCATTATTGTTATTTGCCAAATATTCCAGGTTTTTCTCCTTCTCTACACATAGAAAAATTTTGCCTCCTAGCCTCTGTGTGGTTAAGTGGGGTCAGGAGGTTACACACAAGTAGTTGTAAACATAACCATAGTATATTACTTCCAGAGCAGAGTATTCAATGGCCATTGCAAGACCCCTGCAACTTTCTTTTCTTGTAGACAAGAAACTACTGTTTAAGGTAGTAGTTTTTCTATCAGTCTGCATTTTATGTCTCCAACTAAGCAGAAGCCTATGATAATTCTCATGGGGACATTTAGCATGAATTAATAAAAATTCTTTGTTATTTTAGGATGCTAACATTTTTGAATTGTTGTTTATTCATAACCTCTCCTGATGATTACAAACACATGATATTTACATAGTACCACACTGTGCAACATTCGAAAGTACTGGTTGTAATTCCACTAGTTTCTCTCACATGCAAAAACACAAAACTAAATCAATGTGAGGATTAGGAACATTGCATTAGAAAACCTAAAACATAATCTAATTTTAAATATATATCTCTCTCAAAATTATTCTTTTGTAAGAATACCAACTCTTTGTGAGAAGCTTCAAAACTAATTAGGATAAACCAAAATTTTGCAGCTGAGAAAAGTTTCCATGTAAAATAGTATTTTTGCTTTCTTTTTCAACAGCTTTTATATGAAGGTACCACATAAATATGATGTCATTATGAAGAACCAAGCAAAATATTAAAATTCAAAACAAAAAATAAAGTTTCTCATTCATTCCCTTTCCATTCACCTTCTTCTTTTCAGTCCTTTTCCTGTGAATTTTAATGCATGTATTTTTACAGATATCCATAATTATCTTTCTTTATACAAATGCTATCATTTTACAAGTGCTTCTATTTCTCAAAATATGCCTGATAATTATTCCATGTTATTATTTATAGTTATCAATCATTCTGTTGAACATCGTTATAGTAGTCCATAGTTTGGATGTACCATATTTTATTTAACTACTGTCATATTGATGAAATTAAGGGGTTTTTATATTTAACAATATAAACAAAGCAACACAGGATTGCACATCCTCTAAATATATAGTTGTGTAATTTAGCTGAGGATTTTACCTAATGAGTCCTGTGAGTTTTCAGGTTTTCTTCTGTTTTTCTTTATCCTCTGCAAAATTCTTATGTAACATAGAATTTATAACTCAGTTGCTTGCAGATTTGCCATATCCCCTTAGATTCTCTGGACCCTTCTGATATTTTTTAAAAAACTAGGATGATTATGTTCAATTTATTTTATGGTTATTGAATTACTTACATTTTTTTCCAGTTGAGGCAAATTTGGCAACATTTTTTTCCCTAGTAAATTGTCCATATGTTAAAATTCTTAAAATTGTTGGCACAAAGTTGCGCATCCTATACAAATCCTATACAAATGTATTTAATTTTCACTCTATATGAAAGTATATGCTCTTTATTATTCCCACTTCTCACTTTCTTTTCTGTCTATTTTTAACTATTTAAAAATTTTAAGTATAGTTTGTGGACAAAATCTTAGAGTTTTATTGATGCTGTTCAACTAGTTTTGTTTGAAGTTTTTTTTTTTGTTAATTTTTGACCTTTGAACTGTGGCTGGATGCTTTTAACTGAGAGTGTTAAATACTTTCTGACATCTATGTCTTTATAAAAGTTCTTCATACATAAATAAAAACTTGACTTTTCAATAAATATCTTTAAATCACAATTGTTTGACTTCAAAATTCTATAGATACCACCACATTAACTTATTGTGTTTAATTTATCAGAGAAAGTTACTTGATCTGGTATCATTTTTAACCCTGGGTAAGGCACTTAATTTTTCTCTCCAGAAATTACATTTAATTTTATTTCTTCATTTACAGCGATATGATACTTATTTAATTATCTGTACCTAAAAGAGTCAGTTCTTTTAATTTTCAAAATCAGGATTGATTTTTTAGCCCAAGTTCAATTTAATAGATTTTGATTTAGATTATTTCTTTGGCTTCAATGTTCTAATTTTAAACCATGAAAGGGTCTTGTTTTTCTGGTTTGAATACACATTTAAAATTGTTCATGTATTTATAACCCATTTTAATCACTTTTTTATGTAGTTTTTTTTATTTCTTTCCTGTCTGGGAGGGCAACTGAAGTTGAACTATCATAGTAATTATTTGATTTTCTCTTTTGCTGCTTCTATACTTCACTAATGAAAATGCCAATTTTCTTTCTATTATTCTAATTTTCCTTGTACTTTACGCTTTTCTAATTCAATTTTCTTTTCATTTTTGTCTGTCTCTCTTTCTAATTCTTTTACTGTTTGTAATTGGAACTCAACTTTCTTATTCTTATACAGAATGTCAAATATTTTCTCCAAACTTTTATTCTAGAATCTACAGTAAATCAAGTCCATAGGTCTACCCTTTGAGGCTTTAGTATAATGTTCATTTTATAGAAAAACAACCATCTATATTACAGTTAAATAAACGTAATAAATCTATTATGATTACTATAACATAATGAATATCAAAAAGACTTTCAAAGTGATATGCAAACTATTTTTATCTTGGTAAATATTTTTGTGTCATAACTTCCATTTTACCAAGAACTACAATAGGCACTTGTGGATAATTATACTTCATTAAACATTAAAAATGGTGTGTATGTATTTTATTTTCCTTAGGTTATAGGAAACAAAATTGTGGTTCAGAAAACTTAAGTGACTTGTTAAGGGTCACTTAGCCTATATAAGAAAAAGTTAAGATTCATAAAACAACTTCTAATTCCAAGTGTTTTTCCCATTATATTTCATAAACCTATTAAATGAGAATAATTTAATAAATTATTGTAACTAAAAATGGGTAGATACAAAGTTAATATTTTTCTGTTATTTCAAGACACTATTAGCATTTGCATAAACATTAAAATTAGTATTTTATTTTGAATTTTTACTTTTATTTCTATAATTTTTAAAATTATATTAAAATGTGAATATATGGCGAGAAATATTTTTCTTGGGCCTGAATTTATTGACTTGAAAAGAAATACTGCCAATAAAATTTGACTTCAATATTTTATAAATAATTTTAAGGGTGATTTTTATTTTTTACCTAAAATCTAAAGAAAGAAATGTAGAGAATAATCTCGAAAAGCCAAACTTGAGAGATGAAATTGTGTTTATAAGCAAAGCTGTGTCAATTACTTTAAGAATATTTTAAAGATAAATATTCATAAAATGAGTCTTTACATATAGTTCAAATGTTGTAGTAAAACAAACTGCCTTCAAATTTTTTGAATACAAAACAAAAAACGTTCACATATTTTAGTGTATAGTCCCTGATTTTCATTTTTCTTGTCTGTGAAATGGAAATAGTAATGAAAATACTAATCTCTGCTTTATGATGTATTGTGAGAATTAACTGAGGGCTCAGCGAATGGATTATATCATTAATTTAAGTAGGACCACTGAATGAGTAGTTAAAAATTTCTTAACTAATTTATGAGGCAATAGCATAAAAATTTGTTGAATGTAGGCAAAAACATGGTATGCTAAAATACTAGTTAGGCAAAGTGTGGTTATATGTTTATTTTTCATGTTTCCATTTAAAAGAGAATGATGTAATAAATAACACTAAACTGTTAGCTTTTAGAATATTAAATTAGTAGATTTTTTTATTTGTCCTAGAATATAATGCAGAGAGGAATAAATTATACCTTTAAAATATTATACCTTAAAATATATTTATCTTAATATAATAAAATAATCAGTCGAAACAATTCATATTTTATTGTATCACAATTATTTTATTGACATATAAATAAAATTATCTGAAAGTCATAAAAAATAGCAAAGTAAATATCATCATATTTTGCAAACAGTTATTAAGAAATTCAAAATATATTTGTAAAATATGTTGACAATTTGTTATGATATGGAAATATCTTGAGATAGCAGAAGAGATGCTTAAGATGATTTTTTTCTTGAATGACATAAAACACTTTCAGGGAGAAAAGGTGAAATTTCTCTCTAGAACCAAGGAACAAAACATTTTGCATGGAGCAAAAAAGATAAAATCACTTGAATTTATAGCTGGTCAAGGTTAGATTTGGAAATCTAATTCTCCAAAGAGCTAAACTTAGGTCAATCTAATTTTTTATGTATAAAGTTAAAGGAAAAAATTATATGAGATCTTGAAATGACTTTAAGCCATTAAACAATCCAAACAGTCTTCCACCCTCCCCTCATAGAGCACACCCTGGAGATAGTTGCAAAGGCATTGCTTGAAGTTGGCATCTTGGAAAGCTAAATGCAATTTCCAGAATGATTTCTATCTCAAAGAATTCTAAATGAGATCTTAATAGGCCAGGGAGGAATTAAAATCTACCAGTTTTCATAGATGCTGTTCTATTGCATATGTCTTGCCATCAACAGTTAGAGAATTGCAAATTACTTGAATTTGAGTTAGGATTTGACCACCACTATTGTTCTAGTGTGTTTGTTAAATCACAAGTCTTAATAAAGTCAATGTTTTTCATGAGGTCAGGAGACTTATATTGTGGTTTAAAATAAGCATATTATTTAAAGTATTCCAGACTGAACAAAATATATCCCATTTTACTAACTTTCAGGTTTTATTATGAGTGAGAAGGGAAACCAATGGAATATTTTGAACACAGTATGGGCTTTGGTGAATGTATTTGTTATATCAATAGCTGCATAATAAACCATGTCTGAATTCAATGACTTAAGTCAATAATAATTAATTATTTCCTATAAATCTGGGGCTAACTGTGCTTACTGTGGCTGTTATTGAACTCCACACCTATGTAAGGTGGCATTACTTAGAGAATGTCCACCTTCTCCATGTGACCTCTAAATCAGTAATCTGGCATGGACTTCCTTACTAGGTGACATCTAGGCTTCCAGATGGAGGAGGGACAGAAGCTGCTAGTTCTCTTACAGCTTGGACTCAGATATTCTAAAACGTCACTTTTATTTTATTCAACATAAGACTAGCCTAGACTCTACCTCTTGTTGTGAATTCTAATATGCATTTTGAGATGGGAAGGATTCTTGCTTACCTTATTTGAACATTATCTGCTAGAATAAGGAAGGACAAAAACAGCAAGAAAAGTTATCTTGTGCTTAGTGCTAAATTTTATTTTTCTTTGGAAGACTGACATTAAACATGAGAAAAACAAAGGATAACAAAAATTATCTTTATTTTCAAAATAACTTTAATAAACTATACTGATTAAAAATAATGCAGTCTAATGAAAACAAAGCCACTTAAAAAAGTTTAAAGAAAACATGTATGTGTAATTTTCTCATGTAATTAGCACTATAAATTATTTTACAGAGTGTCATTTTAGAAATGGGGTGATACTATTTTAAATTATAGAATTAAAGTATGATCAGCATCTAATACAAAAACATACAATTAGATATTTTCTATTTTTCTGCTTTTAACTATTATTTAAGAATTTAATCTTTTTAGATTAGCCATCAGGGAAAATATATAGAATCACGGTATTCATTTATTATGTATATGAGGAAATTAACACCTTTATAATAACTCTCATGCTTTTTTCCTGAAAATTTTCTATGAAACTTTATGAGCTGGACCATTGTTTTATTCCATTTTTAACTTAAAAAAAGTAACTATCATCAGTTTTAAAATGTGAATATTCAAAATACAGACATTTTGGTCTACAACTTTAATTATTTGTTTGTCTATAGATCGCTTCTGTAAATTGAAATTTAATAGCAGCATGTATAGTACTTTTGTAAAAACAAAATTGTTTGGACCAATTGGCAGCAAACTCAATTGTGAGCATTACTTCTATATAGGTTAAAAGAAAATGATCCAAGCCACAAGCTTAAAGTTTCTTAGTGAATCAAAATCTCACTACATGTTAGTCGGCTTTATTAGTTGACAATCTTTTCTGCATTTCTGCTTGTTTCCTCATATTTTTCTAACTTGTTTTTTTCTTTTTGTAGACGATAGGACAAGAGTACCACCATCTTACCGAGACTCCACCACCTTAAAGTATCAAGTTTCCATTTCTAGAAACTGTCCATTTCCACCTGAGCAAACTGCAAAAGTCAGCCCCATCTATACCTTCAACTGAGCATAAGCATAACCAAGCTTATCAAAGTCCCCAACAGTCCCAACCAGCCAGCACTCCCCTAACCCCTCCCGGATAGGAACCTCCCTCAGAGCACACTTCCCTGACCTGACCCTTCTTAAAAGCCTCAGGCTGTAAGAGAAGTTTGCTCCTGACCCTGCCGGCCAGAAGCCTTTCTCAGGTTTACTCTCAAACCCGACTCAGCTGTTGAGCTGCTCTCTCGTTTTGTCTTCCTTCTCATCTCTCCCTGTGCTCTAGCAGTAGATAGGAAAAATACGTACCTTTATCATACCTTTAATATCTTCCAGGTTTATTATTGTAGCATATTTAGGTGATATACTTTCTTCTGAATAAATTTTTTATAGAATTCAGTAACCTCTTTCAGTTTGAACCTTGGCTTTTTTTAGCCTAATGTCCAGCTGTCATTCTGGAATTTCTATTCAGTGTAAAGAACAGTTATATAATTTGTTAAGCTGCTTATCTTATTTGGATTTTGCAGGCTTCTTTTCTATTTTGCCAGATTATGTCCTCAGGCAATTATTTTCTTTTTTCTCCAGGAAGTATGTGCATGAAGTAAATGTTCTGATCTCTTTTGCTTTTTAAAATGTTTTCATTTTAATGCAACATCTTTTTGTTAGGTTGTCTGGGCAAAGAAATAAAAGTTTTAAACCATTTTGTCTCATCTTTGAAAATTTTGCACCACAATAGTGAATGATAAATTAACTATTGCTGATTAAATTGCTGATTTCAATCTCATGTATTTTTTCATGCTGACCCTGTGTAAGTCTTTGATCTCATTAATAGGTAGGATGTCCTTTATTGAGTATATATGTAAAGCACTCAAGCCTCAAACATACAGTCTAAGGAAGACTTCTTGTCAAAAGTTTGTGATTTTGGATCTATTTTAAGAGTAAATCTCATAGTGTTTCCTGACAAATTGGATACAGGGTGCGAGAGTGCAAGAATTGGCACCCTTGGCATTATGCCTTTGGGCATGAATAGCTGGAAGAATCTTTGCCTTTTATTGTTATGCGGATGACTAAAAACAAACCAGCATACAAACAAAACCAAACAGGTTATAATGAGTTATTTATTCACAAGATATTTGTTGAACACTTGCTATGGGCTAAGCATTTTTTGTTCTAGGGTCAAGTTTGTTATTATTGGATTGTCTCTTAGACCTCCAAGAGCAGTTGTTGAGAGACCTTAGTTGAAAATATAAATTTGAAAGACATCATCATACATATTATATTAAGACCTATGGTGGAACATCATTAACAAAATTTTGAATATAATAGAAATGAGAAAAGGCCCAAGGGCAAAGCCATAGGTCATCAGGGTTATGACCTAGAAACAGAAAAGCAGTTGGTCCAGTGCTGGAAGGAAAATCAGGACTGTTTTGTGAGGTCTTAAAAGCGAAATATTTGGCCCAGCGTGGTGGCTCACACCTGTAATTCCAGCACTTTGGGAGGGCCAGGTGGGTGGATCATGAGGTCAGGAGTTTGAGACCAGCGTGGCCAATATGGTGAAACCCTGTCTCTACTAAAATTAGAAAAAATTGCCAGGCGTGCTGGCGTGTGCCTGTAATCCCAGCTACTCAGGAGGCTGAGGCAGCAGAATCGCTTGAACCCAGGAGGTGGAAGTTGCAGTGAGCCAAGATGGCGCCACTGCACTCCAGCCTGGGCGACCGAGCGAGACTCCATCTCAAAAAAAAAGCCAAACATTTGGTCAAGTAGTATGAATGTTGAGAATTGTTTATTAGATTTAGCAACAGAGAGGTATTGAGAGATTGATAAGAACAGTTTTGATGTAAAGATGGAATGAAAGTATTATTTAGAAAGTACAAAAATAATGTAAGATGAGAAATTGGAGATAGTATATTCAGATAACCATTTCAATAAAATCTGTCAAGGAATAATAATACTAACAGATGTATCCTTTAACTAAACAATTTTGTCTGAAAATTTGTTATAATCCTAGTGGAATATATATGTATATGTATCAGAAAAAGAAACATATTTCTCAGTAAATGAGCTTGTGCAATTTGAGGAGAACAAAATAAAAATTGATATTTAAAGTCCCTTGGAGCTAAGTATCCAGAGAAAGAAATCTAAAAAATAAATAATGATGCAAGATAATCTCCATCAACTTAACAATATTTCTGTCAACTTCGGCAAGCTGATTTTTATCAGAAGCCAATGATATGGTAAGGCTGTGAATAAATTTCTTGGCAGTGAAGGAATTAAATTGATGGGGATAAAAACTGGCATATAACTTAACCAGACAAATAAATAATCTTTTTGAATGAACAAATTTTATTTTGCCAAATGTTATGCAACATTTGCCTAAACTAACATTTCTCTTGGGAATATTTTATAATTGTAACCTCATAAATGAACATTAGCAGCAGAACTAGAATGAATGCAACTTGGATTGAGGTATACGAAGCAAATTGTCTGAATTGAATTCGTAGGGGCAAGAGATTACTGATAGTTGTTTTATCTGTACTTTTAAAGACTTGAGTACAAAAGTAACAAATTAAAAACAATTTATGAAGTGAATTTACATTAAAGTGTGGTGAGATTATAAGAAATACATAATATATACTACAGCATAATGTTTGAAAAGGCATTTTTCTGGAGATTGTACAAATCCCCTTCAGACCACCTATGGAATACAACAGTGATTTGAGGGATGTGGTCTCACAAAGGGATCCAACTATCATTGCAGTTTATTAGATTTCACATTAAGCTACGGTTGAAGAAATACTTACATGGTCAAATATAGTACAAAAATCACAGATTTGAAGCAACAGTAAATAAGCAATTGTTGCATTTAAATGATAAAAATTCACACAGTTTAGGCTTAAAAGATGCAGAGGCCACCTCCAGTGCAAAGGCACTAAAGTTTCTGTTCTAAGAGAAAGAAGGTCTGGGGTATAGTGAGTGTGGGGTTGGAGATGATAAGAACAATTGTAAGGGGTAGTCAAAGGAGCAGTTGATAAGCACACTCTTCACCCTTTCCTTACTGGTGATGTGTCTAGATTTTTCCCAAGCGCAAGGATTTGGACGTGAGAAATTTCAAAATCTGAATGACAATTGAAAAAGAGCAGTCTGACCTCTCCATCTATGGATAGCTATGGACAACAGACTCAAATAAGAACAAAGATTAGTTAGGAGGCTATTCTTTTTCTCCCTCGGAAGATAATAATGGCTTGGATCAACACTAAAGAATTTCTTTTCTAGTGTGAAGTGGATGTCCCCCCTATATTAAGGCAGAGTTCTCACTTTGTGCTCAAGGAAAAACAATGCCAGGACAAATGAGAAAACTCTTAAATAGCAAGAGAAAACCTGGCCACATATAGTGAATTTCTGAAGTGATACAAACATGAAATGGAGAAAGCAGACAGGTTTATTTCCCCCATAAATTTGCAAGGAGAAGACAGGGTAGAATTCTCACTTAGACTTCAGGGATGGTGTCTAAGACTTAAGACAAAGGTAGGATGGTCCCTCATTGGCAGTTTTTCTTAGGAGAAATAGGAGAGTTTACACAAGTGGTGTGAAAAGTTTTCTTCAAACTGATAATGATGAACTATTTGATGGGTCATGATCAGCATTATACAATTAAAAAAGAAGCTGCAAAGGCAAGACTTCATTGCATTTTGAAGACATAATGCTATGAGTTATGAACACTTATCTGATAATATTTACTTATATGTGAGAGATTATTTTCCTTTTCCTCTACCAAATTCAACACTATCCTGCCCATCTAAAAGCAACTTTGCCCTGAACAAACACAATAACATTCTGATAAACGATATGCCAGAGAAGCAGGGCAAAGATGGACCACAGCTAAACATTCTTTGCTCATTTGCTCCCTTTACAAACTTCCCAAGGAAAATTTGTCTTCAACATGATTGCATCCGTCTCTGACAGTTGAATAAATTCACTTCAGGTACTCATTTTGTCATCCTTTCTAACCTTCTCATTATTTCTCTGTTTTGCCCTCAGGATAATAATGAGCCAAAAACTTACTTAATTGCGTCTGATAAGTAAAAGAACAGTAAAAATGGGAGCTGCCTATACAGTAAGGAAAAAATAATCCATAAACTCTCAAGTAAAATTGGACATAATAATCAAACTGTAAACTTTTAGGGCAGCGTCTTATTTTAAAATCTAAGATATCCATCTACTTCCTGTATAAACATATCTTGTTGTTCTTGAAACATTGAGGATATGTTTTTTAAAATCTATCTGCTTTAATTCAATATATTCTGATTGCTCTAGAAATAATTAACGATAGTTAATGCCTCTTGATGAAGCAGCAATATTTTAATAAATGCATTTATTACACTAAAAAACACAAGTATATACTTTAGCTATATGATTATTTTGTTTGCACGACTAGCCTTCATCTGTTAGAGTGTTTGTATGGAAGACAGAATACACAGTTGGACAAAAATAATCTCAAAGTACACTTTTTGTTTTTTGTCATTATTTTATTATTTTTTATATGTACAGTATATAAAATTGTATGCCTTATGTTTGATTTCTTAATGATACAAATTCTGTGAGACAGTAAGAGTTTAACTGTAGAAGAACAGAGAAAACATATGGTTTGACACTTTCATGTTGGGAAAAGGACAATTTAACCCTGTGAGGAAAAGAAAGGATAAAAAGTTTGAACTGTGGTTTGCCTAGAGTTTTAGAGGTGATGTGAAGAGACTGACTGAATACAAATTATTGAGAAGAAACCAGTTAAGTTTGTGCAGAGGAAATGCACCATTTTAACCATTTGCCAGTCAGACTTTTTCCATTATTTCAACTAATTTTGTGAAATGAGTCAGCGTTTTCAGAAGCACATCAATTTCTTCAAAACACTGTCATATTTTTGAAAATATTTCAGAGTACTTTGATAATTACACTGAGATTTCTGTGGTTGATATTCTTCTTGGGGAATAAAGTTAACACTTGGAGGCAACTTTATATTGTAATTATTATATTTAAAAGTATATCATATTAGCTATTTTCTAATAGGAATAAGTGATAATGTATATTAATGTATAAAATAATAATTGTATGAAATTGTAAAAGTACATATACTTATTGAAAAAATATTGACGCAAATTTATATTGAGCAAGATTTAAGTAATTAAACAAGGGTTAAGTTACTCATCAAACATCTGTGGAGTAGGTTTCATACATATTTTGTATTTAATTATCATATTTAATCCAAACAGTACATATTAATCACCTCAGGTTTTTTTTAAGTAAGAAAGCTGTAGCTAAATGAGATCAAATGCCTTATTCCAAGTCACAGAGTAACTAAACAGAAGAAATGGTAACAAATTTAGAACAAAACCCAAATTTTACCGATTTTTCTCTAAGTGACTGTGTTAATTAGATCCCTGTGTTGTCTGAGGGGAAGTTGCCATGACAGTTTTTGAAGGTAATGGCTGTAAAATTATATATATATATATATATATATATGCTATATATATTGAGTTATGAAAAATATACATATTGTTTTATAAGCTATGTTTCTAACAGTGTATTAGAAATGACTACTTTATTTTAGAGAATGGAATACTTACTTATGAGGATGAAAGTTCCTTGCATGGTGAACAAAATATCCTAATTGTATTATTTTCTTTATCTCAATAGTATCTTACTATAGTATACAATAAAATAATAGGCAATAAAACAACAGTATGATGATAATTGTATATAGAATTAGATACTAGAATATTTACATTGATTAGCCTTTATGTATATATTGGCAATTCATTTATGTAAACAAATTATCATCAATACCTTGTCACAGAAAAATTTAATAACACTTGGCATGTGACTTATTCAATGTTAAGAATTTGGTTTGCTTAATTTTCTTGGTCATTGTTTTCTAATCCTTTTTTCTTGACACGTTGTAGAATAAAGTGAACATAATTAATTAATTGGCCCCAAAAAACCATTTGTAAGTAAAAAGTTTGTATCTGGATAATTAATTTGACAGTGAAGCCCATTTTCTATAAAGCGAGAATAATTTTCTCCTCTACGTTCTCAAATGATTTGACAAAGACTGGCAGATGAACAATGGGATAGACCAGAAAATTATCCCATTATTTTCTCCCTCATATGCAAACACTTGAGAAACCTATTTAAAATCTCCAGTTAAAGACAGAAACAATGTCAATTGTAATGAATGTGAACACTGAGATCTTTACTTCAAAAAGATTAAGAATCTGTCAAAGGTAATTCTGATAGTTCATGTTGGTAGAGCACTGCTTAGAATGCAGTATATTTCCCTAAAGTTAGAAGAGTGAGACATAAAGGCAGCATCAAGAATCATGGAGCAAATGTCAAGGGTGGACGGGTCATGGCATCATCGAATTTCTTCCATGGCCTTTAACAAAGTGCTAACAAAGCCTTGACATCCCTACGGAGTAGCAAACAGACAGCGTTTGCGGCCTGAAAACTGAGAAGCCTATTTCAGCAGCATGTTGTCTGTTCCATAGAGCTGTGCCCTGATGAGACACTGATGAGAGCTGGCAAGAGAAAGCAGCAGGCAGTGTAGATAAGCAGATTATAACAGGCTGGCATAGAACAATTACCAAAAATGTGCTAATCATTCCCTCTTTATTCTTTCTCACAGTCTTGTGCAGCCCACAGAAATTAATGCACCAGTATTAGGAGAGATAATCTAGTTTCAGAAGCACCTAATTTACTACTAGCCTGTGGGATAATTTGCCTTAACACTGCACCCAATCCTCCACCTTTTCTTGGGAGGTGTTATTATTACCACTGAAATATTGGGGAAAACTGCAGCACAAAGAGTTGTCCTGCTATATTAATAATCAAAATTGAATTCAGGCTCTATTGTCTGACTTAGAAAATATTACAAGAATAATGTTGACTCATACCAAAATGTTAACTATTTCCTCTACTCGAGCCCCAAATATTCTTTTTCTAATAGGACACATTATCTAATCTCTATCTAGATATATAGGGAGTCAAGATTGTATAAAATCTCTCTCCTTTCTCCCAGCCTATCCCCAGAAGGATTGAACTCTCTTAATGTGATGACTCAGATAGTTTACCAATTTCTACAACTTTTCAAAGGAAATTTCTTTCCCTATAAAATAACAGCTAACACTTAACACTTCCAGTTTGTCAAGTGTTGTTTTAAGCTGTATTTTGACTCCTATAATTTCCCATATGAGATTAATATTACCTCCATATCACAAATAAAAAAATAACTTACACACATGGTAGCATGCCCAAGATCACATAGAGAGTAAATTGGGATGTTGCACATAAAATCAAGCCATTCAGAATCTGAAGTCTGTGATCTTAACTGTTGTACCATGTTAGTCTTGGTCATATGTTAGCCAAATGTTAGATGTATTTTTTGTCTTAGCGTTTGCATAGATTTTGTCAGTAGTAAGCTCTCTATTATTCAACTCGTACTTGCCCTTCCCGTGTTAATGTATGTTAAATTAATTCCAAAAAAGATACAGTAATTAATTTTATAGTCAGCTTTCATATTTAAATTTATACAAAGGTTGTGCTTCAAAATTTTGTTTATAATCAATTCCATGAATCACTTTTAATTCTTGCCTAAATATCTCCTCCTCAATATGGCTACCAGCACTTCCAACCCATGGCAATCTGTATTCACCTTTACTCATTGTACTAGTTTTCTAGGATTGCCATAATAAATTCACATAAACTTGGTGGCTTACAGGAACAAATTTAAATTCTCTCATCGGTGTGAAGGCTAGAAGTCTAATATCAGTGTCTTCAGGGATATGCTCTACCTGGAGGCTATAGTGGACAACCCTTCTTTGTCCCTTGGTTCATGGGGGCTTCAGGCAGTCCTTGGTTTATGGCTGCAAGACACTAATCCCTGCCTCCAACCTCACATGGCTTTCTCCACTATGTATCTGTGTGTCTCAAATCTCCCTCTGCTTTTCTCTTATAAAGGCACCTGTTATTGTATTTAGAGTTCAATCTAAGTCCAAGATGATCTCATCTGTATATTTTTATCTTAATTACATCTAGAAAGACCCTTTTTCCAAAGGTCATGTTCACAGGTTTGGGGTTTAGAACTTCAGTGTATCTTTTTAGGGGTCATTATTCAACTGACTATACTCATCTTGTTTTTTTAATTATTTTATCAAACCACTTACTATTTCCTATTAAAATGTATAATTGAATTATTCATGAAATTTATTGTTTGTCTTCCCTTCATATAATGTAAACTACATAAGTGAAGAAACTGCTTATTTTGTACACTGAAGAATCCAAGTTTGTAGAATAAAATGTCCCTAGAATAACATCTTTAGAAAATAGAATAATGTTCTATACAACAGGTTGAATCAATATATAGGCGTGTAAAACCTCATTGAATATCTGTTTGGGGGTTAGATTAGTTCTGTTAGTTTGGTAAGCTTTTCTTTTCCAACACTTGTTTTGCATCATCATCATATAAATCTGTGTATTCTTAATATAATCACAAAGTTTCTGTTATGCTTTGTCTTTCCCACCAAAAATGTTCATAGTAGTGAGAACTCAGTCATGAATCAGGAGCTAAAACTAGGATTGGACAGAATATTTAGACAGTTTCTAAGACAGAACTTCCGCATTTATTGATTCTACAAATGTTATGGAGAACCTGTTGTGTACTAAATCTTATGCTTTGTTTGAGAACAAGTCAGAGAATCAATGCAAGCCTGTCATAAGGATAGCATACACCATTGAAGATAAAAAGAATTAAATGGAGGATTTCAAAGTGGTTTTAAAAGTGTTTTGGCTAAAAATCAAACAAAGTTAATATAGAAACCCTGGCAGGAGGCCTGGAAAAGCTCTGGTCCTTCCCCATGCTAGGATCATTCTTCATTCTAACATGAAAGGAGTCAATCATGAGAAGACAAAAATGACAAGAAAAATTAAATAAAGTATCAGTAATTAGAGGTAATGATAAATACTGAGGAGAAATAAAAAGAACTGGGAAAGAATAAGAAGTATGAATACGAGGCAAGAATGTTGCGATCTTAGGAGACAGGGAAGTCAGACATTTTCTCTTAACAACCCTTCAAAAATATGTAATATAAGGATTTTTCACTAATTTTGTGAAAACTCAAAATGCTACTTGCAGGCTATGAAAATAAAATAGTCTGAGCTATAATTAATTATTCAACACAAAAGACTGAAATTGAGGATGCTATCTAGTTTCAAATCATATTATCCTGCAACGTTTACCATGGCACAACAAATGTTTCAACATGTTGCTGTAGTGTGTTCCTGAATGAATAACTGGAATCAAGATAGTTAATGCTTGCTTCCTGAAATCATAAGACTGTAGTGTCATTTGTATTAATTCACAGATGAGATTATGAATGCAGATGAACTTATTTCAAAGTGATTTAATGTTATATCCTCTATTAACAAGAATGAAAATCTCTCTTAAAAGAAGAAAAATTAGAAGCATGTATCAAATAAAAAATTTTCAGTCCTCAATTTTATCCATCTAAAATACTTTAAAGGTGTTTGCTGATTGTTTTAAACAAGAGTGACCAAAAAGAGATGATGGATACTGCTTTTTCAAATAGAAAATGGCAGTTACTTCCTATTTAAAATTTGTCAAAATAACTTACAATTTTTTCCAAAAGGCAAATATATCTGTTATTTTCCAAAGTCTCTATTGATATGAAATTGTCATGTACAAAACAAGCATTCATTGAAGACTGAATGTAAGGGTTATACTGATGGCTTGAGGACAGACAGGAAATAGAAAATGATGTAGTTTTGTTTCAGTAAACAACTAATCTAGTTGAAGTGACAAAAATATGTTCACGCATAATGTTTGCTTAGTTTTTTAAAACATTTTGTTGATGTAAAAAACCCATACAGAAAAATGCAGTTATTGTAAGTGTACAGCCATATTAATTTTCTTCACAAATTGAAAATGCTATTCTTACCAGAATACATAAAGAAAGACAGAGTTACTAACACCCCAAAGACCACCCCAAAGACCCTCCTGTCTCTTTCCAGTCATTAAATTCTCAATTTCAAGCTCAGGTTATCAAAATGTCATGACACCATTTATCAGTTTTGCCTATTTTGTTATATAGATTAAATCATGCAATATATATTCATTTGTATTTATTGCCATTGCTTTAACACACTGTGAAATTTAGACATATTACTGCATATAGTTCCACATTTTTCATTCTTAGTGTTTCGTGGTCCCTTGTATGAACACACCTAAAATTATGTATATAATTTATTACATTTTGGTATTTGTGTAATTTCCAGTCAAAAATATTGCAAAGGGCACCACTAAGATGATTCTTGTACATGTCTTTGATGAACATATTAACACATTTCCCATGAGTTTGTAAATAAAGAGAAATTGCTGGCTATTTGAATGAATGTATACAGCTTCAGTAGATACTGTCAAACAATTTTCCTAAAGTAGATATCCTAATTTACACTTCCACCTGTGTCATACTAGACAATCAGTTGTTCCATGCCCCTGCCAATTCTAAAAGTGTCCTTTCTTTTTAAATCTTACCATTCTCATATAACAAATTGGGACTTTACTTTGAATAATCCAAGGCATGATTTTTGAATCCTGTTTTATTCTACTGGTTTTTGAAGCACCCTTTAATCCAAAAGAGGAAGCATAAAATAACGGAGCAGTTGGGGAGTGATTCCCATTTACGCTATTGTTAAGGAAGTATTTCTATGTCCAATACAGATTTGAACACCACAGATTTATAGTAATGGAGAAAAAACAAGTTTTTGTTCTAAACAAGACAAAATCAAATGTAAGTATGCTTTATTTTATTGATATTTTCTTGTCTTGTAGGGCATACTTCTCTCCTAGTTTTTAATTTGTATGCTCTTACTTTCTCTTCTGATTCTTTTTCAGTTATTCCTCTCTACTTAGTATTTGGAAGGCAGTCCAATCTTGGATTGCATGCTTATCTATTTTTGTTTCTTCCTCTAAGCTCCAACTGCCCATGCATTGTATCATCTCTAGCATTTATCGCAGGGCTTGAAGCACAATGTGTGGCACAGATATTCATGGTATAAATAAATAAGAGAGAAATGCATGAATGAATGATAGTATCCATATACCTGGCCTTATTTACTACCTGTAAACGGATACCCAAGGGTCCATTTCTATACTGGTTTTCTGAATATAGAAGTGTTATGTCATTTATGTTTTTCTCTTGCTTGATTGCTCATAGGACTTCCAATACTATGTTGAATAGGAGTTGTAAGAGAGGGTATCCTTGTCTTCTGTCAGTTTTCAAGAGGAATGCTTCCAGGTTTTGCCCATTCAGTATAATGTTGGCTGTGTGTTTATCATATATGGCTCTTATTATTTTGAGGTATGTTCCTTCAATACCTAGCTTACTGAGGGTTTTTAACCTGAATGGGTGTTGACCTTTATCAAAAGACTTTTCTGTGTCTATTGAGATAATTATGTGTGTTTTTGTGTTTAGTTCTGTTTATGCGGTGAATCACATTTATTGATTTGCGTATATGAACCAATCATGCATCTTTGGGTGAAGCATACTTGATTATGGTGGATTAGCTTTTTGACATTCTGTTGGACTCATTATGTAAGTATTTTGTTGAGAATTTTTTGCATCAATATTTATCAAGGATATTGGCCTGAAGTTTTCTCTTTTTGTTGTGTCTCTGCCAGGTTTTACTATCAAGGTGATGCTGACCTCATAGAATGAGTTGGGGAGGAGTCCCTCCTCCTAAATATTTTTGAATAGTTTTAGCAGGAATGATACCAGCATTTCTTTGTACATTTTGTAGAATTCAGCTATGAATCCATCAGATCCCAGGCTTTTTTTGGTTGGTAAGCTATTTATTACTGATTCCCATTTTGGAACTCATTATTGGTCTCTTCAGGAAATCAATTTCTTCCTGGCTCAGTCTTGAGAAGGTGTATGTGTTCAGGAATTTATCCATCTTTTCTAGGTTTTCTAGTTTGTGTTTGTAGAGGTATTTGTAGTAGTTTGTGATGGCTCTTTTTATTTCTGTGTGGTCAGTAGTAACATTTTCTTTGCCATTTCTAACTGTGTTTATTTGGAATTTCTCTCTTTTGTTCTGTATTAGTCTATTTAGTGGCCTACTTTATTAATTTTTTCAAAAAAAACTCCTGGATTTGTTGATCTTTTGAATGGTTTTTCATGTCTCATTTCTTCTAGTTCAGCTCTGATTTTGTTATTTATTGTCTTCTGCTAGCTTTGGAGTTGATTTGTTCTTGCTTCTCTAATTCTTTCAGTTGTGAAGTTAGGTTGTTAATTTGAGATCTTTCCAACTTTCAGATGTGGGAATTTAGTGCTATGAGTTTCCCTCTTAACACTGCCTTAGCTATGTCCCAGAGATTCTGGATATTGTATCTTTGTTCTCATTATTTTCAAATAACTTCTTTATTTCTGCCTTAATTTCATTATTTACCCAAAAGTCATTCAGCAACATGTTGTTTAATTTCCATGTAATTTCATGGCACTGAGTGATTTTCATAGTCCTGACTTCTGCTTTTATTGCACTTTGATCCAAGAATGTGTTTGGTATGGTTTGAGTTCTTTTACATTTGTTAAGGATTGTTTTATATCCAATTCTGTGGTTAGTTTTAGAGTATGTGACATGTGGCGATGAGAAGAATGCATATTCTATTTTTAAGGGATGGAGAGTTCTGTAAAGGTCTATTAGATCCATTTCATCCAATGTTGAGTTTAGGTCTTGAATATCTTTGCTAATTTTCTGCCTTGATGATCTAATACATTCAGTGGATTGTTGAAGTCTCCCACTATTATTATGTGGAAGTTTATGTCTCTTTTTAGGTCTCCAAGAACTTGCTTTATGAATCTGCTGTTCCTGTGTTGGGTGAATACATACTTAGGATAGTTAGGTCTTCTTGTTGAGTTGAAACCTTTACCATTATGTAATGCCCTTTATTGTCTTTTTTGATCTTTGTTGTTTTGAAATCTGTTTTGTCTGAAATTAAAATGGCAACCCCTGCGTTTTTCCATTTGCTTGGTAGATTTTCCTCCATTCCTTTGTTTCAAGACTATGAGTATCATTACCTGTGAGACTGGTCTCTTGAAGACAGCATACCAGTGAGTCTTGCTTTTTCATCCAGCTTGCTATTCTATGCCTGCTAAGTGGGGCATTTAGCCCATTTACATTAAAGGTTAGTAGTGATATGTGTGGATTTGATTCTGCCATTGTGCTGTTAGCTGGTTGTTATGTTGGCTTGTTTGTGTGGTTGCTTTACAATGACAGTAGTCTGTGTTTAAGTGTATTTTTGTATTAGCTCATCTTTCCTTTCTACATTTAGTGTGGTCTTTCCTTTCTACATTTAATGCTCCTTTCAAAATCTCTTGTAAGGCAGGTCTAATGGTAATGAATTACCTCAAAAATTGCTTATCTGAAAAGGATCTTATTTCTCCTTCACTTAAGAAGCTCAGTTTGTCTGGATATAAAATAATTGGTTGAAGATTCTTTTATTTAATAATGTTGCATATAGACCCCCAATCTCTTCTGGCCTATAAGGTTTCAGCTGAGAGCTCCACTGTTAGCCTGATGGTGTTGCCTTTGTAGGTGACCTGTCCTTTCTCTCTGGCATACAAATAAGAAGAGAGGAAGACAAACTATGTCTGTTTGCAGATGACATGATTCTGTATCTAGAAAACTCCATAGTCTCAGCCAAAAATCTCCTCCAGCTGATAAACAACTTCAGAAAAGTTGAAGAATACAAAATCAATGTACAAAAATCACTAGCATTACTATACACCAACCAGCAGCCAAATCGATAACCAAATCAGAAAGGCAATCCTATTCACAGTTGCCACAAAAAGAATAAAATACATAGAAATACAACTAACCAGGGAGGTGAAAGAGCTCTACAATGAGAGTTATACAACACTGCTCAAAGAAATCAGAGAAGACACAAATAAACGGAAAAAAATCTCATTGTAATGGATAGGAAGAATCAATATTATTAAAATGGCTATACTGCCCCAAGCAATGTACAGATCCAATGCTATTCCTGCCAAACTACCAATGACATTTTTCACAGAACTAGAAAAAAAACTATTTTAAAGTTTATATGGAATCAAACAAGAGACTAAATAATCAAGGCAATCCTAATTGAAAAGAACAAATTTGGAGGCATCCTGTTACCTGACTTTAAACTGTACTGCAGGGCTACAGTAACCAAACAGCATGGTACTGGTACAAAAACTGACACATAGGCCAATGGAACAGAATAAACAGCCCATAAATAAAGCCACACGCCCAGGATCATTTGACAAAGCTGATAAAAACAAGCAATGAGGAAAGGACTCTCTATTCAATAAATGGTGCTGGGATAACTGGCTAGCAATATGTAGAAGATTGAAGCTGGCCCCCTTCCTTACACCATATACAAAAATCAACTCAAGATGAAATAAAGACTTAAATGTAAAACTCAAAACTATAAAAACCCTGGAAGACAACTTAAGCAATACCATCTTGGACATAGGGATTGGCAAAGATTTCATGACAAAGACATCAAAAACAATTGCAACAAGAGCAAAAATTGACAAGTGGGATCTAATTAAATTTAAGAGCTTCTGCAAAATGAAAGAAACTATCAGTAGAGTAAACAGACAATCTACAGAATAGGAGAAAATATTTGCAAACCATGCATCTGACAAAGATCTAACACCCAGCATCTATAAGGAACTTAAACAAATTTACTAGGGAAAAACAAATGACCTCATTAAAAAGTAGGCAAAAGACATGAGCAGACACTTCTTAAAAGAAGACATACGTATGGCCAACAAGCATATGAAAAACAGCTCAATATCACTGATCATTAGAGAAATGCAAATCAAAACCAAAGTGAGATAACATCTCATGCCAGTCAGAATGGCAATTATTAAAAAGGCAGAAATAACAGATGCTGGTGAGGTTGCAGAGAAAAGGATATTCTTATACTGTTGTTGGGAATGTAATTACTTCAGCCATTATGAAAGCAGTAAGGTGTTTCCTCAAAGAGCTAAAAGAAGAGCTACCATGCAAGCCAGCGATCCCATTAGTGGATATGTACCTAAAGGAATATAAATCATTCTACCATAAAGACATATGCATGTCTATGTTCATTACAGCACTATTCACAGTAGCAAAGACATGGAATCAATGTAAATGTCCATCAATGACAGATTGGATAAAGAAAATGTGGTACATACACACAATGGAATACTATGCGGCCACAAAAAAGAATGAGATTGTGTTTGTTGTGGGAACATGGATGGAGCTGCAGACTATTATCCTTAGAAAACTAATAGAGGAACAGAAAACCAAATACTGCATGTTTCACTTGCAAGTGGGAGCTAAGTGATAAAAACTTATAAACACAAAGATGGAAACAACAGACACTGAGGTCTTTTTGATGGGGGAGGAAAGGAAAGGGAGAGGAGCAGAAAAGATAACTATTGGGTACTAGGCTTAATACTTGGGTGATAAAATAATATATACAAAGCCCCATGACACATGTTTACCTACATAACAAACCTTTGCATTTAGGCCCAAACCTAAAATAAAAATTAAAAAAAAAAAAGAAATGCTATGAAATGCCATTTTTCACTTTGGTGCCTTAAAGTGTCCTCAACTATAAAATAGTTTAGTTTTCTATACACTCTCAATTTAGCTATTTCAATGTTATCTCAAATATGACAATTTATTTTCCCATTAAAATAATTTCTAAGGTGTATGCATATGTCCAACTCATAAATTGTATAAATTAAAATATGTGCAGTTTATTTGTATATCCATGATACCTCAATAAAGCTGTTTAAAAATGAATGGATTCTATATGACATATATATATGTATCACTCATATACATTTATAAAGTTATATACATGTAATTCATATGCATTACATATATATTAATGATACAAATCTTTCACGCACACACACACACGATATGAAAGTCTTCAAGAACTCTTTCATACTAATGTCAGAAATCTCGGTATAAGGCTTCATACTTTATCTTGAGGCATTGAAATATATTGTTTTCACATGTGATATAAATTTTAAGAATAAAGTCAAATGTTAATAGATTTGGTTTCTAGTATTAAATTGCTACAAGATATATGTCCTCAGATAATTCAATTAAACTTCATCAATTTCATTTTTCTCATCTATAAAATAACTATATTTGACTACATGAACTCTAAATTTTTTTGTCCTAAAAACACAAACAAACCAACATTCCTAAATATGTCATTACAATATTTCATACCGGTATTATTATTGTCTTCAATATGATGGAAGCAGAGGGACTTGAAAATATAAGGTACCTAGTTTATGGAGAAGACTGAAGAAGAAAGGAGTTTCCTGGAAGGCAAGATTGGTATTATTTTGAGGAGTGGGAATGAAAGATATTCTTTTCTTTTTTTTATTTTTCTGTGGAGACTACTTTCAACGCCAAGATATTTGAGGTCAAGTTTTCTTCAATGATTTTTAGATTTGAATTATGACTTTGGTTAAATTTGCTACTTTTGCTTAAGTAAAAACTGTGTTATTCATTCAATCAAGACTTCTGTTTCTCTTTTATGGCAATGAATATAATCCACCACCCCTACCTTAGGTTTAGAAAATCACGAATATGTTTAGAGATTATGTTATAAGTAACATAACACTCATTTCTACTTTATAAGTAACACTCATTTCTACTTAATCTTGAACAAGTTCATCTTTAGACAGAGACTGAGTTTGAGGAGTGATGAGTTGTTTGGAGGAATCTGACCCAATACAAGAATATCAAGGCAAACAAAACAGAAACTAAGTAAACCAGAAAACCCTGAACTCTAACGCTTTGCACTAAATTTGGAGCTTAGCCACATTTTGCTTTTTAAATTTCTGGTCTACAATTGTTGCTTAGAGACAGAATACGGGAAACAAATTTTTTTAGAAATCTGTGACAAAACATTTACAACCGCCAGTGTCTGACAACTCCATGCAATGAACCTCTCTGCTTGTCTGAATCACTCTGCAATGAACTTTGACCGTGCTAATCTCATTGTTTATGGCTGAGTTCAGTAAATCCCAGAGGACTACCTCATTTAAAAAAAAAAAAAAAAAAAAAGAAGCAGCAGAAGTATAAATTTCTCCTAGTGGAATACAGATTGCCAAATGACATTCTTATATATATTTTTTAATGTGGTGACAATTTGGGCCTTTTTTAGGTCTGCTAGGGCTCTTCCACTGAATGACTGTCACTATCACTGTGGCAGCCAGATTGACTGAGCAGCCGCTGCATAGAAAAGAGATACCATAACAAAGCAAGCACTGGCTGTTGAAGTTTCTGCCTGGAAATCACATTTTCACTTATATTTCATTAATCAAAAAAAGGCAGAACTGAGAACTAAGGTATTGGAAAACATATAAGAAGATGTAGTAAAATAAGTGTGAAAATAATTGACAACAGAAATCTAGCTCTCTAGTATTTCACAGCCTTCTATTTCTCTGATAATATTTAGAAACGTCTTACTATTTGTTCCATCTTTTGCATACTTTTTTCCCGGCAACATTATGAAACTTCTCTCTTCTACTTCTTTAGCTTTGATATCTACACTTAGGTGACGGAGAACTTTCAGCAGTTTTCACAAGTCTCTGAACTTCCATTTGCCTCTAATCCTTAATAATTCTGATTTACATGGATTGGACACCCAATCTTACCTGGTCAACTATTCATCTAATCAATGATACTTAAGATAGCGTTTAACTATCTGTTCATGAAAAATTGCACACATTCTTCATTTTACTTAAGTGCCTTCTACTTCATAATTATATTGTCTGTAGATACAAGTACTAGGTGGAGACAAGTCCTCTGATCATAGAGCACAAGTATTAGATTCTGCAGGAAAATGTTCTGATAACAGAAACAATGATGAGTAGAAGAAAAAAAATCAATGAGGAAAGTAAGTGCTGGAGCTGATATAACTATAAACAAAAGACACACAAATCATAAGATCACAACTCAATTTTACCAGCACAAAGATACTGAAAAAGAACATTAAGAGAACCACAGAAGTATACTTGTGTCCTCCTTCCACCCTTCTCCAGGTGTAACTGTCATGATGACTTCTATTGCCACTTAGTTTGCCTTTTCAGAACATTACATTAAAAGAATCATAAAGTGTGTAATTGCGTATGTCTGACAACCTTCATGTAACATTGTTTTATTGTGTCATGTCACTCTGTATACTTGTAGATGTCTTATTGCAATATAACATCTGATTGCATGAATAACCCACAAATTTATGTATCTCTTCTCCTGATGATGAATATTTAGGTTGTTTACATTTTGGTAATATTCTGAATAGTACTGCCAGAAACATTTTTGTACAAACCTGTCAGTTAATATATGCCTGCATTTTTGTATATGTAAAGCCTGAAGTAAGATTGTTGGGTTGTAGTGTATGTCTATGTAGTGTATATCTATGTACCCATGGAGAGTTCTCCAAGAGGTAAACCAATTCATGCTCCCTCCATTAATACCTAATAGATCCAATTGCTCCCTATCCTCACCAACACCTATCTCTTCCATTTTAGCTAATCTGTTCTATGTGCAATTGTATTGCATTTGTTTTCTTTTCTGTATAAATTTAAGGAGTACAAGTGCAATTTTGTTACATGGTTATATTGCATAGGAAAGTCAGAGCTTTTATTGTATCTGTCACCTGAATAATGTACATTATATCCATTAAGTAAGTTTTCATCATCCACCTACCTCCCAACCCTCAATTCTTCTGAATTTCTACGTCTACACTCTATGTCTATGTGTATACATTATTTAGCTCCCACTTATAAGTGAGAATATGCAGTATTTGCCTTTCTGTTTCTGAGTCATTCCACTTAAGATGAAATTCCCTGATGAAAAATGATTTTAAGCAGCTTTCCAAATGTATATTTTTTAATGAAGTGTCTTTTAAAATCTTTTGTCTTGATTTATATTGGAATGTTTGTTTTGCATGTATAGGATTTCCTTTCATACTGTTTATAATCAAGTACAGTATCATATAATCATATCTCTTCACATTTTGTATGTATTTATATCAACATATTTGTATACAGAATACATATTCTCATATATAGTATCACAAAAGTGCTATCCAAATTTGTAGTTTCATTTTAACCATTTTAATTATGTATTTTTATTAACATAGTGTTCTTTTTTGATGTAGTTTGATTAATTATTTTCCTTTGTGGTTAATGGTTTTCATCTTGTTTAAAAGATTGTTGTGTATAGTAAATCAAGAAAATATTTATTTGAATTCTACGAATTTTATTGCTTTTTACTTCAACATTTTGTTTGAATTCCAGATATAATTGATTTTTTGTGTGTATGGTATGAAATAGGACTGAAGATTCACTTTTTTCCATATAGATATAAAATTAGTGTAGCACCAGTTACAGAATATATCCTCCTTGCCACACTTTAAAGTGGTAATAATTGGTCATAAAATAGCTAATAATATATTAGCTAATAATATATTTATAGCCTATTTACAAATTTTAATTATGTTTGATTGGTCTATTAGGTCCTTATGTCACTAATAACTCATGGTCTTAATATTTAAGACCATATTTCATAGTTTTTAAGTCTCTAACTTTATTTTTCCTCATCAATAGTGTTTTAAATATTCTTAGATGTTGGCTGGGCTTGGTTGCTCATGTCTGTAATCCCAGAACTTTGGGAGGCCTAGGTGGATGGACCACCTGAGCTCAGGAGTTTGAGACCAGCCTGAACAACATGACAAAATCCCGTCTCTACTAAAAATACAAAAATTAGTCAGGAGCGGTGGTGCGTGCCTGTAGTCCCAGCTACTGGGGAGGCTGAGGCAGGAGAATCACTTGAACCTGGGAGGCAGCAGTTACAGTGAGCCAAGATTGGGCCATTGCGCTGCAGCCTGGGCAACATAGCGAGACTTCATCTCAAGAAAATATATATATCTATATAGATATATATAGATACGTATATATATATATCTATATAGATATATATAGATACGTATCTATATATATCTATATAGATATATATAGATATGTATATATATATATTCTTAGATGTTTACAGTTATATTAAACTTTAGAACAGCTTTTCAATTTTCACAAAATAATTTGTTTGAGGTTTTTAAGGTTCTATTTTGTATTTAATTGACACATAATATTTGTAAATATTTATGGAGTACAGCTTGGTATTTTAAATACGTGTATCCATTGTGTAATAATAAAATCAAGATAATTATCAAATTCATCAACTTAAACATTTATTATTTCTTTTTGGAGAGAGAATAAAAATTCCTCTCCTCTAGCTATTTTGATATATGCAATACATTTTTTTTCATTATTTTTACCCTACTGTAGAATAGAAAACCAGAGTTTATTCCTTCTATCTAACTGTAACTTTGATTGGAATTGTATAGACTCTATAGCTGAACTGGTCTCTAAAAAATTATTTTATATTCTATAGGACGTTTCTTTTTGCATATAGAAGTTTATATTGATGGTTAAATTCTTCCAACTCTAAAAGATGCGATTCATTGTTTTCTAACAAATTCTTTCTCCTGAGAATTTAGCTGTTAGCCTTATTGTTGCTTCATTGAATATAATGTATCATCATTTCTCTTTAGTTCCTTTTGGGATCTTTGTCTTTGCCCTTCCTTGGGTTTTAGCAGATTGACTATGATGGGACTAGTAATCTTCCTTTGTATGTATCTTGCTTTTTGTGTACTGATGTTCTCAAGCATGAGGATATTCATTATCTGAAAGATTTTCATCCATTACTTTCTAAGATTCCATCCCATTCTCATTTATTCCTCTCCATCTGGGATTCCAATCACTTTTATATCAGATATGTTACTTATTCACTTTGCTTTTTCTCACCTCCCCCTTTTTCTTTTTGAAATTGGGGTATTGCTCTGTCAACCAGACTGGAGTGCAGTGGCACTATCAGAGCTTACTGTATCCTTGAACTCCTGGGCTCAAGACATTCTTCTGCCTTAACCTTCCAAGTAGCTGGGAATACTGGCATAAGCAACAAAGACCCAATAATTTAAAAATTTTTTTTAGAGGCAGGGTCTTGCTATATTGTCCACGCTGGTGTTGAACTCCTGGGATCAAGTGATTCTTCCACCTCAGCCTCCCAAAGTGCTGGGATGACAAACATAAGTCACTGTGCCCCATCTCTCACTATTTTTTCTCTGCATTTCAGTTCAGTAATTGTGTCTGCTGCTATTTCTGTGGAAATTTATTAATTTCTTAATTATATATTTTCCATAATTTCTGTATAGTTTTCAGATTCTAATTGGGTAATAAAATTATTCAGCTTTTCATATATTTTCTATCTCCATGTCTAGAATCTTTACTTACAATTAAAGTTATTTAAAAATTACTGTCTCCTTGCATTCATTTACAGGTATGTACATTGGTAAGTCCAGAATTGTAAATCTGAGAATTTCTTCTGATTACTCTTGCTTTTGGTGTGATAAGATAAAAAATTAATAGCTAAGTTAGAGGAGCAGATATTTGAAGATTTAGAGGGAAGGTAGAGATGTGAAATTGGTCGTCTCAGTTAGCAAGATACAGAATATCATAGGGCAATACAGTAGGGTGATGCTAAATAAATGCTTTATACACAATATCTCACACACTCTCAATGCTTTGTGCATTGTCTTCCATGAAATAGAAAATTATATTGTAAATTTGTTTGAGTTCATTGTAGATTCTGGATATTAGCCCTTTGTCAGATGAGTAGGTTGTGAAAATTTTCTCCCATTTTGTAGGTTGCCTGTTCACTCTGATGGTAGTTTCTTTTGCTGTGCAGAAGCTCTTTAGTTTAATTAGATCCCATTTGTCAATTTTGTCTTTTGTTGCCATTGCCTTTGGTGTTTTGGACATGAAGTCCTTGCCCATGCCTATGTCCTGAATGGTAATGCCTAGGTTTTCTTCTAGGGTTTTTATGGTTTTAGGTCTAACGTTTAAATCTTTAATCCATCTTGAATTGATTTTTGTATAAGGTGTAAGGAAGGGATCCAGTTTCAGCTTTCTGCATATGGCTAGCCAGTTTTCCCAGCACCATTTATTAAATAGAGAATCCTTTCCCCATTGCTTGTTTTTCTCAGGTTTGTCAAAGATCAGATAGTTGTAGGTATACGGCGTTATTTCTGAGGGCTCTGTTCTGTTCCATTGATCTATATCTCTGTTTTGGTACCAGTACCATGCTATTTTGGTTACTGTAGCCTTGTAGTATAGTTTGAAGTCAGGTAGTGTGATGCCTCCAGCTTTGTTCTTTTGGCTTAGGATTGACTTGGCGATGTGGGCTCTTTTTTGGTTCCATATGAATTTTAAAGTAGTTTTTTCCAATTCTGTGAAGAAAGTCATTGGTAGCTTGATGGGGATGGCATTGAATCTGTAAATTACCTTGGGCAGTATGGCCATTTTCACGATATTGATTCTTCCTACCCATGAGCATGGAATGTTCTTCCATTTGTTTGTATCCTCTTTTATTTCCTTGAGCAGTGGTTTGTAGTTCTCCTTGAAGAGGTCCTTCACATCCCTTGTAAGTTGGATTCCTAGGTATTGTATTCTCTTTGAAGCAATTGTGAATGGGAGTTCACTCATGATTTGACTCAACCCCATCAAAAAGTGGGCGAAGGACATGAACAGACACTTCTCAAAAGAAGACATTTATGCAGCCAAAAACACATGAAAAAATGCTCATCATCACTAGCCATCAGAGAAATGCAAATCAAAACCACTATGAGATACCATCTCACACCAGTTAGAATGGCAATCATTAAAAAGTCAGGAAACAACAGGTGCTGGAGAGGATGTGGAGAAATAGGAACACTTTTACACTGTTGGTGGGACTGTAAACTAGTTCAACCATTGTGGAAGTCAGTGTGGCGATTCCTCAGGGATCTAGAACTAGAAATACCATTTGACCCAGCCATCCCATTACTGGGTATATACCCAAATGACTATAAATCATGCTGCTATAAAGACACATGCACATGTATGTTTATTGCAGCATTATTCACAATAGCAAAGACTTGGAACCAACCCAAATGCCCAACAATGATAGACTGGATTAAGAAAATGTGGCACATGTACACCATGGAATACTATGCAGCCATAAAAAATGATGAGTTCATGTCCTTTGTAGGGACATGGATGAAATTGGAAATTATCATTCTCAGTAAACTATCGCAAGAACAAAAAACCAAACACCGCATATTCTCACTCATAGGTGGGAATTGAACAATGAGATCACATGGACCCAGGAAGGGGGATATCACACTCTGGGGACTGTGGTGGGGTGGGGGGAGGGGGGAGGGATAGCATTGGGAGATAAACCTAATGCTAGATGACGAGTTAGTGGGTGCAGCGCACCAGCATGGCACATGTATACATATGTAACTAACCTGCACAATGTGCACATGTACCCTAAAACTTAAAGTATAATAAAAATAAATAAATAAATAAATAAGAAAAAAAAAGTTCAAAAAAAAAAAAGAAATAGAAAATTATAAATTGTGAGTACTATCTTTAAATATTCCACCTCTGAAAGACAGAAATACCATCAGACATTCAAACGTCCTTTTCTAATTAAGAATTTTGCCTTTTGGGGTTACAGATTCATGATGTCAGTAAAGTTATAAATCATTATCCTTCCTCTTCACCAAAGAGTTCAAAACATATAATTGGTGTTCACATAAAGGTTTTACATTCTGCTTGCTGTCAGAAGTTTTTCCTTTCACTATTGGATTATGTGAACTAAAAAGGCAAATGAATGATTCACTAGAATTCATCAATATAAATATTTAATGATGTAATGCTTTCACCAGTAGTTAAATGTGGCTTATATTTTTCACTAATAAGTTATTTTTCATTTTTGTTCTCAAGTTTTTAAAATTTTTTCTGTAAGATGAGCACTTTCCCAGACCTCTATATCTAATCATGAATTTTGCAAAGTGAGTTACAATATAGAATGAACTATACTTAAATATAGTTGACCGTTTTTCACAATGTGTCTATGATTCAAATAAAGTAACATTTTAGAAGATAACAATCTACACTTACAGTTCTGAGTGTTATACAAATTTTTAAAAGCTATAAACAATGGGCATTGCTGAAATTAAGATACGTTTTTTAAAATGTCAGGTATATAATAAATGATCAATAAAGGGGTGTGCTCTTCAATGTAATTAATATTTTGGGTCATTTCTATGAGAATATTAATCCTTACTTGCTTTTATTAAACATACAGAAAATGGTAATATAACAAACACTCCAAATTAGAGAAGATAATACAAATATGAGGGTGCTTAACTATCAATAATTAGTTACTATAGTCCTATTAAAGTATATTATAAATAAATGTGTGTTTATTTGAGACTAAGTTATACTGCAATGACAAATTATGTACTTAAGAGATTCATTAACAAGTTCACTGTGTCAAAGGTGGAACCTAATATAGGAGTTCTTATGGTTTCCTAAGCACTCAGTTACTAAGTATGGTTTACTAAGCACTCAGTTACTACTAGTAACCAATGAAGCTAGCAACCAATTGTTTAATTTTACTATTCTTGAGCATATATAAGTACCCAAAGTAATAGGGAATAAATACTCTCAGGTAGAATATACATATCTTTTAAATTTATTTATTACAAATAATTGTCAAGACATTTAGTAAGAGCCTGGTATAACATGAGTGTCTATAAGAAATGTAATGTAAATATGACAGTCTACATATTTTTTAAGGTAGAAGAGTATGGTAAATAAAGATGAACATTTATAGATATATTTCAAGACTGCAATATATCTCCAGGACCAGAGTAAAGACTTGTTGAAGAATATTGTTCTCCCTCCTGAAGTTTCCTCTGCCACGTAATAGTATATATACTTTAGGTATAATCTTTAGCAGTTACATCATATAATGAGGTTGTTTTTATAATGCATTTATTTCCTGATTTCCTGATTAGATCCATCTATATCCTGATAGATAAGATGAGGATATTATTAAGTAAAGAAAATGTGAGAAAAACTGTTAATCAAGGAGATGCCATAGGGGATTTTGCGTTCTTTGAAGAGTTAGAAATGAGTAAATGACCTGCTTTGAAATACTAGAGAACTTTAGTATATATTTAAAACAGTTATTTTCTCTGTTGCAATAGAAATACTAAAATATGTTATCTGGAATACAGTAGTTGTCATCATTAAACAAAAGGAAAACACGTATTTCATATGGAATTATCAAATATATTGCCAAAAACATAGTTGGACTTTTCTTCGTCTTATAGATTTATCAGAAAGTTTCAAAAAAGTTATGAAATGTGTCTGTTCCCATATTTTATACACACAGCCATTTAACCACTTTGTTAGAAAGTTTCAAAAAAAGTTACGAACGTGTCTGTACTCATATTCTGTCCACATAGCCATTTAACCACTTTGCAGTATAAAATCAGTAAAATATTTTGAGAGTTTTGAAAAATAAAAATCAAACTAGTTAAGCGATGTTACAAATTCATATTAATATGTATAATAGCACATAATATCTTCTGGCATTTTTAATCAAAATACCACTTAATTGCCTAAATGTAACTTTTTAGCTTCTAGTGTATACCTCTTTTATACAGCAATATACCCTAACATAACAATGCCGCCAAATGTTTTAAATAGTTAGATATTTGCTAAGATGTGTAATTACAGTATATCTCTACATCTATGGCACATAATATCATTATTTAATTATTTTTCTGGGTTTGAGAAAATTTTACTAACACCTTCAACTGACATGAAACAACAAAAATAGTATCTGCTGTGAAACGCACAGATTGTGATTTTTATAGAAATTGGAATTCAATGGATAGTAAAAGGTTTTGTCTACCATGGGAATAACCTCAATGCTTCATTTTGAAAAAGGATCTAAATTGTATTGACTTGAATATTTGAAATTGTATTTGTCTAACTTGGTTGATATTTTAAAAGGTATTGTCCTTCTGATAGATAGATATATAACCCATGTAGAAAGGAGCATGAAATGTTACCATTAGGACACTTATTAATTACAATATATGACATTGAGCTGTTGAGGAGGAGAGAAACTCACACCAGTGTTTAAGATATAACTCAGAGTCATGTCAGTGTTATGAGCTGAGATTTTAGAGTCAATAGGCCTTAGTTACAATCCTGAGCTCATATATACTAGAGAGGTGATCTTAAGGAAGAAACTATAACAGAACATTAAATCGGTACTCTTTCTAACTCAATTTTGATCAAGTCCCAAGTTAAAATGTCTTGAACATCTATACAGTCAGTACATTTGAAAAAGGTGGTAAAACACTAACTTTGTAACCTTAAGTAGCCCATGCATTTCTAGAGAATAAAAAGGGTCAAGGACGCAGAAACCTAAAAGTGAAACTGAGTGAGAGTGAGAGAGACTTCCTGGACTGCACCTCATTTTGGTGCAGAATAAGAACATCTTCCTTAACTCTTGTCAAGTGAAAGCAGATTGGAACAGCTATGGGGAAAGTTGAGTGCACTTACTCACCAGTAAACTGATGATTAACCTATGCTTGGAGAATCTGAAGACCAAGGATTTTTGATACCGAAATGAAGACGCATAGCAGAGATAAAAAGAATAAGCTGTATTGGAACAGACTGTATTATTATGCCTATATATGCATTGAAAATATGTATTTAAATATACAATATATGTATATATTACCCATATTTACATACTAAATATGTAATATTAAATATTACGTAATAGTAAATATTGCATATTATATATGTAAGATAGGATTGATTCTGGGGCATGCCACAGAGGAGAAAGTTTATCTGGTGCCATTTTAAATCACGTCCAAAAGGAGTGCCTAGAGATCCAGTATGACCAAATCAAATAGTAACAGACAACAAGAATGACAGAAACTGAAGAAAGAGTCATAAGCATTCATCCAAAGAAGATGCATTTTCCATATAGCAATATGCAATTATATGTCCTTATAATAAAATAAGCTCAGAGGGACTCACAAAACTGCTTCATGAGAAGAAGATAACTTCTTCCACAAAGCCAGAGAGCCAGGAGTGGCTCATTAAAGCACATGTGAGTTAAAAACTTCTCAGTCCATTATAATGATGCCCCTTTTCCCTGTTCTAATTCAGGAGAAATTATAAAAGAAATGGCCAGCTTTTAGGGTAAAGCAAAAGAAGCAAAATGCTGAGAAACTGTTTCCTACAGATTTCCAGCCCAATCAGGCAGAAGTTGGCGGAGAAAGGACTTGGATCACAATGAGATATTGCTTATTATAATGGTTGCATATTTTTCTTATTGGATGATTTTTTCATTCTTTTGAGTTTCTGATTAGCCTTTCCAAAGGAGGCAAATCAGATATACGTCCATCTCAGTGAGCAGTGGAGTGACTTTGGATAGAATGGGAGTCAAGTTTGCCCTAAGCAGTTTACAGCTTGAGTTTTCCTTAGCGATATTGGAGGCCCAAGATATTTTCCTTTCACATACCTAAAGCAATCCCCTTGAAGTTGCTTAAGTTTTTATGTACACGGTGGGTTTAATAGAAGAACATTATTTTCTGCTTGCACCTAAGGGATTCCACAGATAAGTACCATTATATATCTTTAAGTGTCAGAATCTTTATCTGAAAAATTCTAATCATTTTAGGCAAATATATATGAGTCTTGTGTTGATTAAATAATATATTTTCATAATGTGTTTTGCATATACTAAGTATAATATATATGATATTTATATTATTCAGTTAAATACCAATCTCATGTACTAATTTTGTACTGTGTTATTACTAGGCACTGTATTTGGCAATCATTGTTTTAGGAAGATATGATGACTTTTATTAAGGAATCTTGTAGAGGAATTATTTTACAAAACAAATAATTCAGGATTCAGTAAACAGATTTAAGATTACAGAGGAGGGAAAGCTCATAACTGCAAATGAGGAACCAAGGAGAACTTCATGGGGTAAGGTATACTTAGCAGCAAATGAATAGCAATGTAAATGGACTTCTCTTCATTACTGAAAAAATGATTTTCTGTTTTTTTAATTGTTGGAGGATTCCAAATAAAATATGACAAAATACAATTATTGATGATATATTAATTTTTAAATAACACTTAAATAAAGAGGATGAAAAACTGATGCCCTGTCTATGTAATATGAACAACGCAAACATAAAAAGAAAAAAATATTTCTTTTAATCTTCAAAATAGCTGGGCAGTAATTTTTTCTATATCAAAATATTATTATATTTGCATTGTTATGATTATTTCAGATTTTTCTAATCAAATTGTGTCATTGAATTTAGCATATGGCCAATTTTGAACTTAAAAAATACTGAACTTTTGTAAAGAGTATGTGCTAACAAGAGATAATTACTTAAACAAGCACTATCTCCTCAGTTTAATTAACCAAGCCTTTCACTTGGTTTTCAGAGTATAATTAAATTAGATAACCTCAGAATGGATGGCTCACTTGAGCTTCTTGGAAAATATGCTTAACCTCAACAGTTTCTCCCGTCTATTAGGTAAATGGTTTTGATTAAGATCCCAAGTAAGTTCTAGTGTTTAGTCAAAAAATCTTGGTATGAGAACCTGAAGTATTATTCAAGGGCCTAAACAATCTTCCCAGATCTATTTTCATTCATCATTAATTACTTTATACCCATTATTCAAAGTTATCTCGATTTGTCAAATGAAATTAAAATTTCAATTGATTTTAAAATATTCAATAACTTTTCACTGTGGGCAATTGACAGAGACAGGCAAATTTCTAGTAAACAATACAATATTATCAACTATATTCACTGTACTGTATATCTTTTTTTTTCATAAGAAAGAACCATCAGCAAAACCCATGATTTTATTGATGTCCTATTCAAAATCAACAATGATACCCAATTTATAAATGTACATTTTGAATGTGAAAGAATGTGGCTGGCCATCTAAGCTGAGTATTTGTTTTAGTCTGAAAAACCACAGTAAATCCTTGACTCCTGTGGTAACTGAGAACATGCAAGGTCCAGTTGCTGCTGGGGAAAGTAAACTTTTGATACTTATGCACTCCCTTTTGTCCTAAGTTGTAAAATCACTTCTGACTGTAGCCCACTGGTCAATTTTTCCTTAGGCTTGGAAAAGACATAGAATTAATTAGGGGGTGTGTAATTCTTAACACCTGGAATCTACAACTCATATAGTATCAAAAGCAAAAGAAAAATTTCAGTTCTAATAACCTAGGTTAGAGTCATTCTTTATATGTTCAGTAAGACATATTCTCTCTCTTCCTTTAAACAAGGAATCAAAATTAGGCATAAATACGTCTTTAATAATACAATTTAAAAATACTAAAACATAATAAAATGGCAGTTTATACACTTATGTTTTACAACATACAACAACAATAAAGTTTAGATTCAAAGTTGATAAATATTTCAAATTTTCCTTGAGGAATAGATGCTTCAACAAGAGGAAATATTTCTACCAAACACCAAAATACTTATTTGGAGAACCATGCCCTCAGAAACACTTTATGATATCACCAGTATTTTGATGGAGTTCTTATAATTTATTCCTTATTTTGGTCACTATGAGTCCCAGAAGTGAATGCATCTGTGCTGTATTTATATTTAAATAATTTGTTATATTGTGAAAATGTATGTGTAAATGTTATACTATTTTCATGCCACCATTGCAATGTGCTTTAAATAATACCGTATTTGTACATCCTGATGATGTTGGTAACTGATTTCATTAGTACATAATGAAATGGACTAATGTTAAGACTGATTGTTAAACTAGGGAATTAACAAAGGTTATGTTTCCAGAGGGTGAAACAAGTTTGGGACTCTGGATGGCAGAACAAGTAGAGGAGAATAAATTTCAAATTTCTAAACCTGACAGAGGCATCACTCTCTGAAGACATGTTTCATGGTAACATGAAATTTATAGAAATGTATTCTAAACCTGCATGCAGGGCTCAGTGTCCAGAGATCAAGATCAGACAGAAGAATATACAGCCACCATTTTGTGACTACTGCCTTACAATAGCACAGGTCCACATCAGTCCTATGCTTACTTTTCTTTCATCTTTGACTCACTTTGTCCTATAAATGTAATATGTACATACAGAAAAGGTTCTGTATATGTATTAAGATTTTGTCTTTATATCTTGAATCCTTTACATAACTATATTATTTCAGCAGAAAATTTTAGACCAGAATACATATATTATATATATTAAATATATATCACCTCTTACATATTTTCATATATATATATGTCTCCATTTGTAACCAAAGTCGTATTCCTGATGCTCTCCATCATTGCAATTTGTTGTGAAAATATACCAAAATTGTTCATATTTGATTACATTATATAGCAAAAAGTTACATGGTATAAAATTGTTTTTCCAAAGTTTAGCCACTATACAACAGTAGAGATTCTAATTAGTCACTTTAGTGTTTATATTAAATACTTAAACATTGCCTTAATTCTCATATTTTTTGTATGAAGTGCTCTTCAATGTCAGAATATTTAATAAATAAGGCATTAGTGTAAAAGGATATCGCCATCAATAACTGTTTCCACTTTTCTAATGCTGTTTACTAGATGGATCACAGTGTGATCAACTGAGACATAGAATACTGAAGGAAAAGTTCTAAGGGATAGATGATAATAAGTTTTCAGGTAATGACATTGGGGTTCTTTGAAGATACCAATATAGTAGCATATGTAATCATTTGTATAATAATGAAGATAATAGACACAAGTTTGGGACTCACTCGTCCTTTGTGTTGACCAAGTATGAAAGTACATAAAGTTAGTTAAGATAATTCTGCAAAAGGGAAAAATGTTATAACACAGGCTTAACCTTGAGGAAACAACAGCATTTTAAGGGTGAAAGAGATGAACAGTTGTCTAGAAATAAGATCGAGAAAAAAATGAACACAGATTACATAAGAGAGCCAAGAACGTATGGTGTCACAGAAGCTAGGAAAAAAGAGTCTGTTAGCAATGAAGATGAGAATAATAGTGCCATACTCAGAGAACAGAAGAAAACATAAGACCTTGTCTGTCTTTACTGTTTTTGTGAAAATGAGGTAATTCTTGTTGACTGTCTTGGTCCATTTTGTGCTGTTATATATATTAGAACAGATAGGGTAATTCATAATGAACAGAAACAAATATATTGGCTCACAGTTTTGTATGCTGGGAAATCAAATATGGAGGGGCCAGCATCTGCAGAAGGTCTTCTTGTTGCATCATCACATGGTGGAAAAAGGGAGCTGAACTCTCTCTTTTATAACAAACCCACTCCTGAGATAACAAACCCAGGTGTGTAATAGTAAATTCGCTCCTGAGATAAAAATCTCACTGGAATGATAATAGCATTAATCCATTCATGAGGGCATAGCCTTCACAGCCCAATCATAGCTTGAAGGCCCGACCTACTAACACTGTCACAATGGCAATCAAATTTCAACATGGGTTTTGTGGGGGGACAAACAATCAATTATAGCCATAACCTTAGTGTAAAGAATTATAATATAATGGGATAAAGATATTAGAAAAAGGCTCACATGGCTGTAAATTGATAAAAAATAAAAGAGTTAATAGAGATGGAAAGATCAATAGAAGATGCTAACAAGAAGGTAAAGAAAATATAAGAACATTTATTGTAATTTCAAAGACAAAAGTTTATTGACCAATAGTTGGGGAGCTACTAGAGGGAGGAGATAGCTGATAGGGCAAGATCTAAGAAAAGAGAAATGAGTGATTGAAAAAGAAAAAAATGCAAATATACAGAAGGAAAAATAAGGAGTATTATTCTCTGAAAATGGGCAGAAAAGATAAAGACTGAAATTAAGATGGATATCTAAGTCGTAGATGAAGTGTCAAGAAGTTTAAGAAGAACATGCAAAATAAACTCTCGTTCTTTAATTAAACAGGCTACCAGCTAGGGGAGAGAATAAAAAAAACTGGAAAACTACTTGTGGCAGTGAATTATCTTCATTTTGGAAAAGTTAGACAGCATTTAAGAAGTAGGCAAGGTTAAACTCTTTTTTTTTTTATAGTGGGCTAGTCTGAATATTTCTGTTATTTTCTAGCAGCACTGTTTTCTCTATATGGTCCCTTAGCTCTCAAATGGTCTGCAGCTATTCTTACAGGCACACCTCTCTGCTTTTAGACTCTCTCCATTAAAATTAAACACTTCTGCAGCTATTTTCATCTTCTGAAGTAAACCTGAATGCTGAGTCTGTCTTGCTGACTCTGGCCCAGCGACAGATGAAACAAGTACATGGACATAGGTATTCTGCCTGACAGCGCGGCTAGGGGGCAGCATGGCTTAGCCCACTGATGAGGGTTCCACACCCATAAGCCAGCCCTGCTTGCATTTATTTAGTACAGATTTAATGACAGAGGCTTGGAGCAAACACAATTTGTGGGTAATAAGCATTGTCGACTCCCCAAGTAGAGGGCAGTCCTGTGCGTGAATGATCAAAGCTTCGTTTCTGGAGACAGGAGTAAACAAATGTATCTAGATAAGTTCCTTTCATTCTTTTGTTATTTGCCCTTTGCTCTCAGCCTCTGGATAAGAGAATTTGACTGTCTTCAGCCATAATTCTGTCCCGAAGCTTTTGCAAAACCTCCCGGCCTTCCAAGAAGGTCTGTGTCTTTCCTATAATTTTCCCCGCCACCCTGACTGATCTCCTACACCTGTATTATGAAATTATTCTATTACAGATACATTTTGTTCTATTAATTAAATAATATCCAAATTCTGTAGTTTAAATGTTATTATAATCATATGATTATTGTCATGAGACATTTGTAAGGTAACTGTAGTCTGTAAAACAGTAACTGCCCCAATTAGATCAGGAGTTGCTTTTGTTGCCCTTATTTATTTTTACATCATTTTTTTTCACTCCAATAACAAAAGGTTTTATTTTTGGCAGAAATTTGAATAATGAGTTGAAGCCTACTTATTCCTACACCCAGTGATAGCAATTGGTAAATTCATTAAATATGCTACAAAAAGAGTTTTTTGGATGTTTACAGCGTTTAAAGATCATCATACATACTTACGTTTACACATTTTTCTTTCTAATCTCTTAGAATTGTCGGTCTGGGACAGGTACATGATTCAAAAGTGTGGGCAGTGATATATTAAGCAACGTGAAAGAATTTCAGAACATAATATTATTATAAGAAAACGAAAACAAAAGAGAAAATAATGAATCAGATTTTTTTTTTCTCAAAAAACATAAATCACATTGAAGATAGAGATTAAATATTTACTAAATCATTTTCTAAAGTTTGTAAAAGGTGGGCAGATACGAGGTCAGGAGATTGAGACCATCCTGGCTAACATGGTGAAACTCTGTCTCTACTAAAAATACAAAAAATTAGCCAGGCGTGGTGGCAGGTGACTGTCCTGTAGTTCCAGCTACTCGAGAGGCTGAGGCAGGAGAATGGCGTGAACTGGGGAGGTGGAGCTAGAGCTTGCAGTGAGCCAAGATCGGGCCACTGCATTCCAGCCAGGGTGACAGAGTGAGAATCCATCCCCCCTTAAAAAAAGGTTGTTTCAGAATATCTTTGAAGAAATCCTGTTAGCGTCACCTTTTACATATTTTCAGCCTTTACATTTATTTTATTAATATTTTCTGCTGTGCTGTTTTGGTTCTTCACTCATTATTACTTCATATCATTTCCACTACAGTGTATATATATTTCCCCCTTAATATTCACATTCCTTCATATTTAAGTTTTTCAAGTAAATATCCTCTTTATTCACTTTTGTTTCAAAATTTACACTTAATTTTGAGAGCATCCATTAAATGACTCAAAAAAGTTTCATTTAAAAAAACCATTTATTAAAATTATGTATTTTTCTCTCCCCTTAAATGTTTTTTCAAAACATTTTGATTAATGCTTTGAATGTGTAATATCATACTTTTTGCAGTTATAAAATTAGCATGAGTATAATAGGTTTTTTCTTCATCATATATACTCTGATCAACTATCAGTAAGAAATTCCAAAATATGCAAATTTTGCATGCATTTTTCATAGAAATTAAATATTCTTTCCAATAAGAATAAAAAAAGGAAAATATGATCCACTTTGAATTATTGGAGAATCAAGGAATACATTAGTAAAAGATATATACCACATTTACTATGCATATCAAGTCAGTGTGGCATGGTAGGAAAAGACCAGGGATGGTTGTAAAAAATCGATTGACTTATTCTGGATTTTTCCCGGAATACATATAAAAACTTTGTTAGGTAATTTATTCTCTATCTGTTTCTATCAGCTTCCTCTAAACACAGAAAGTGAAGAGTGAAAACTAGTAGATACTCATGGTACTTCCTAAGACCTCTATTGTTTTGGCAATATAAGCTTCTGTATACTCATGATTCTAACTTTAAGATCTGTATCTGTTTTGCACAGACTTGAGCAAGTGAAATGTCTCTCTTGATAGTCTTGTATCCAAGTGAACTATCACTTATCAAAACTTTCTTAAACTAGATAAATCATCTAAGTGGCTGCTGACCTTACCGGTGACTTGAACTGGCTTAACGGGGATCAGAAGCACAGTAACATAAAAAATGCAGGATGCTGAAAAGAGTCATCCAACTGTTTTGCATTGCTGAACCTTGACATTGTTGAGCCTTCCAGTACTAACTACTAGTTATGGATAGCATCTTTGTCATCTCCACCGTACAGAAAATCACTACAATGAAATAATCTACAACAATGATAAATATGTGTCAACAGGATAGTCGAAAAAAAATATAAAATATAAACCTTTTCATTTGAAAAGAAATAATACAAAGTGTTTGTAGGTTTCTGACACTTCAATGTACCATGTGTGCTTTTTAATCTATTCTCACGTTCTTTTATGCAATATGCAAAGATATAAAATATCGTTCCTTTGGTTTAGCCTTTTAAATATTTGTTACGCGTCATTCTTCCGTTGTTTGATTTAATTGTATGAATTAATTTCACTTCTTTTTGATATTTTTATTATCTGCTTTCTCCTCCTTTATTTAAAAATGACTTTAAACATTTTAAATGTTAACTGGTTTGTCCTTGTCTTTGGTAGTTCCCTTTACATCAGGGCTTATCTATGTGATGCCAGACATTTCATCTGACACATGCCTTTTTTAACACTAACGGGTGTACTCTATTAACACACACTGGGCTGTTGATGATCTTAAAGCTTAAACCTTTGGTTTTTGGGGGAAAAAGATGACAAAATAAGCCAAATTTAGTTTATGTTATACATATCAGAAATTGAGGTCATATAGAAATAATTTATACTTCTTGGTAGGTATAAAACCATTTAATAACAGCAACAAGAGCTCTCAGATTAGAAATAATATTTCCTATATTCTTTAAATCCATTTTGTCTTATACCTTACTCTGAAAAATCTGTATTTTTTTTTTACTGAATATGCACTTTGTTTCACAATGACCATTTTATTCAATAGGAGCTACAGAATAAATTTAGAAAACACACATTGAGAGTAGAAAGGAATAGCAGAAAACTGCTAAAATTATTTTATAGTATATCCTAGAACTTGTTATGCAGGCAGCATTTTCTATAATGAGAGAAAAATACTAGCCATTATAAGGCAGATAACCAGATAGCCCTAAATAAGGAGAAGTGTATTCCCTAGTTATTGCTGAATTGTCCCATACTAAATTTTTCACCAATAATTCCAGATTTTATCTTAATATCACTGCTCCCAAAGAATGTCTTCAAATGTTATATATTACAAACTATATATTTTAATTATATTAATCATAAAATCACATGCTGCAATGCATGTATATTTTTTGTTAGCATAAAATAACAATGTATTGTAAACATACCATATTCATCTCAGATTTCAAAATATAATATTCTTCATTTATTCTTCATTTGACAGCCAAAGCCATTAATGACAAAAATATACACAATTTATTAAGAATTTATGGATATAATACTTAAGCTTTTAGGAACACCACAATATTAGCTACTGAGATAAAATATCCTTTAAAAAATTCTAATGTGGGACATTTCTAAATATAAGCCAAATGCACACATTCTTGAGGATAATTGTTCACAAAATAGCGTGACTTCTAATGGTATTCATTTGTATTATGTAGCATGAGAGATTACTTCATAAAAATATCGATTTAAAACTTCCTTGGGTTTTTATAGTTTTGGGTTTTACATTTAAGTCTTTAATCCATCTTGAGTTGAATTTTTGTATAGGAGTAAGAAAGGGGTCCAGTTTCAATTTTCTGCCCATGGCTAGCCAGTTTTCCTAGCACCATTTATTAAATAGGGAATCTTTTCCCCATTGTTTGTTTTTTTTCAGGTTTGTCAAAGATCAGATGTTTGTAGATGTGTGGTCTTATATCTAAGATCTCTTTTCTGTTCCGTTGGTCTATGTGTCTGGTTTTGTACCAGTACCATGCCATTTTCGTTACTGAAGACTTGTAGTATAGTTTTTAGTCAGGTAGTGTAATGCCTCCAACTTTGTTCTATTTGCTTAGGATTGTCTTGGCTATATGGACTCTTTTTTTTGGTTAGATACAAATTTTAAAGTAGTTTTTTTCTAGTTCTGTGAAGATTGCCAATGGTAGTTTAATGGGAATAGCATTGAATCTATAAATTACTTTGGGCAGTGTGGCCATTTTCACAATATTGATTCTTCCTATCCATGAGCATGGGATGTTTTTCTATTTGTCTATGTTCTCTCTTTTTCCCTTAGTGGTGGTTTCTAGTTTTTCTTGAAGTGGTCTTTCACTTCCCTTGTTAGCTGTATTTCTAGGTATTTTATTCTCTTTGAAAAAATTGTGAATGGGAGTTCTAGGAAATACCATTCAGAACATAGGCATGGGCAAAGATTTCATGACAAAAATGTCAAAAGCAATTGCAACTAAAGCAAAAATTGACAAATGAGATCTAATTAAAATAAAGAGCTTCTGCACAGCAAAAGAAACTATCATCAGAATGAACAGACAACAGAATTGCAGAAAATTTTTGCAATTTATTCATCTGACAAATGTCTAATATCCAGAGTCTACAAGGAACTGAAACAAATGTATGAGTAAACAACAAACAACTCCATTAAAAAGTGGGCAAATCACATGAACAGACACTTCTCAAAAGAAAACATTTATTCTGCCAACAAACATACGAAAAAAAGCTCAACATCACTGATCATTAGAGAAATTAAAATCAAGACCACAATGAGATATCATTTCATGCAAGTCAAAATGGCAATTATTAAAAAGCCAAGAAACAAAAAGTGTTGGTGAGGCTGTGGAGAAGCAGGAAAGCTTTTACACTGTCGGTGGGAATGTAAATGAGTTCAACCATTATGAAAACCAGTGTGGCAATTCCTCAAAGACCTAGAGGCAGAAATGCCATTGGATCCAGCATCCCATTACTGCCTATATACCCAAAGGAATATAAATAGTTCCATTATAAAGGCACATGCACATGTTCATTGCAGCACTACTCACAATAGCAAAGACATAGAATCAACCCAAGTGCCCATGAATGATAGACTGGATAAAGAAAATATGGTACATATACACCATGCAATACCATGCAGCCATAAAAAGGAACCAGATCATGTCCTTAGCAGGGACATGGTTGGTGCCGTAAGCCATTATCTTCAGAAAACTAACCCAGGAACAGAAATGAAACACCACATGTTCTTACTTATAAGTGGGAGGTGAACATTGAGAACACATGGACACAGGGTGGGGAAAAACACATACTGGGGCCTGTTGGGGGATGTGGTGGAGGGAGGGAGAGCATCAGGATAAATAAGTAATGCATGCAGGGCTTAATAAGTTCAGTTGATATGTGCAGCAAACCAACATGGCATATGTTTACCTATGTAACAAATCCTGCATGTCCTGCACATGTATCCCAGAACTTAAAACAAAATAAAATAAAATAAAAATTTCCTTGGTTGGGTAAATTTTACAAATGTTAACATCCTGTAGCATCCTGATACTGTTTGCTTTTGCTGCTACTACTCTTTTTGAATTACCCTCTAGGATCATTCTTCTATGAAAGTGCCAAGCTGTACACTATGGTAATTGAGGCAATTTTTTTCTAGAATTAAGGATTTCCCCCAACAAAATTATATTATTTTTCTGACTCTAGCTTTGATACAAAAGTTCAAAGGCTTCCTGGATTCTTGCTTGTTCAAAGGCTTCTAGACCAACCTTGCTCCTTTAATGCTTGATTTTTTTTTCTGTATGGGAGTTGAAAACAGATTTTACAGGTTAATATCATATATCAAATTAAGAAAAAACCCAAAGCATAAAATCAAGGTAGCAAACAGGTAGAAATAATTAAGTGGCATAAACCACTAGAGTTAGGCCTCTAACTAACTCTAGTCCTGGAACCAATCTTTCATTTCCCATGGATACTTCTGCAGTATCAGTTACAATGTCTCCTTTTAATTTTCTGATTTTATTTTCTGCAATATCAGTTATGATGTCTCCTTTTTCATTTCTGATTTTATTTATTTGAATCTTCTCTCTTTTCCAAAATCTCTTTTGGATTTCTTCCTGTTTCAATCTTCGTAGGTTGTATGTACCTAGAAATTTGTCCATTTCTTCTAGATTTTCCAATTTATTGGCATATAGTTGCTCAAAAGAGCCACTGATGATTCTTTGAATTTCTGCAGTATCAGTAACAATGTCTCCTTTTTCATTTCTGATTTTATTTATTTGAATCTTCTCTCTTTTTTTCTTATTGTGGCTAAGAGTTTGTCAAATTTAACTTTTTGAAAAACTGACTTTTGGTTTCATTGATTTTTTTTATAATTTTCATTTCAAATTTATTTGTTTACTGTTTTCTAGTTCTAGATGATGCATCATTATGTTGTTTATTTGATTTTTTCATCTTTTTTGATGTAAATGCTTATAGCTACAAACTTTTCTCTTTCTATTGCTTTTGCTGTATCCTGAAGTTTTGGGTATGTTGTGTTTCCATTATCATTTGTTTCAGGAAAATTTTTAATTTCCTTCTTACATTTTTCATTGAGCCACAGGTCATTAAGGAACATAGTGCTTAATTTCCATATATGTGTATAGTTTCTGAAATTCCTTTTATTATTAATTTCTAGTTTCATTCCATTGTGGTCAGAGAAGATGCTTGATATTATTTCAATTTTCTTAAATGTTCTAATATTTGTTTTGTGACCTAACACGTTGTCTATCCTTAAGAATAATCCATGTGCTGAGGAAAAGAATGTGTTGTCTGCAGTTCTTACCTGAAATGTTCGGTAAATATCTATCAGATTCATTTGATCTATACTGTACATTAAATATGATGTTTATTAATTTTCTGTCTGGAAGACTTGTCCAATGCTGAAAGTGAGGTGTTAAACTCTCTAGCTATTATTATATTTGAAACTTTCTCTCTCTTTAGATCTAATAATGTTTCCTTTATATACCTAGGTGCTCCAGTGTTTGGTGCATATATATTGAAAATGTTATATACTCTTGCTAAATTGACTCCTTTATCTTTATACAGTCACATTTTTTCTCTTTTTTCAGTTTTTGACCTGAAATCTATTCTCTCTGATATAAGTACAGTGACTCCTGCTCTATTTTGGTTCCCATTGACATGGAATATCCTTTTTCATACCTTTTTTTCAGGCTATGTGTATTTTATAGGTGAATTGTGTTTCTTGTAGGCAACAGATCAATGGGTCTTGGTTTTTCAATCCATTAATCCAGTCTATATCTTTTGATTAGAGAGTTTAGTTCATTTACATTCAACGATATTAATGTTAAGAACTTACTCCTGCCATTTTGCTATTTATTTTCTGGTTGTTTTGTAGTCTTCTCTTTCGTTTTTGTTTCACTCTTGTTTTCTTCTAGTGAAGGTAATTTTTTGTGTGTGTGATATAATTTAGTTTCTTGCTTTTTATTTTTTGTGTATTTATTGTAAGTTTTGTGGTTTGAGGTTAACACGAGACTTGCAAATACTATCTTATAATACGTTATTTTATACTGATAACAACTTAACAATATTTTCATAAACAATGAGCAGAAAGAAAACTAATAAAAGCTCACCTTGGCTTTGTTTCCCTGTTTTTAAACTGTTGCTGTTCCTATTTATATCATTTATTTTCTTTTTTTAACTTTTATTTTAAGTTCAGGAGTACAAGCGCAGGTTTTTTACATAGATAAACATGTGTCTTGGGGATTGTTGTACAGATTATTTTATCACCCAGATACTAAGCTTAGTATGCATTAGTTATTTTTTTTCATTTAAAATTTTTTATTTTCCTATTCCAACAGGTTTTTGGAAAGAAGGTGGTGTTTGATTACATGAATAAGTTCTTTATTGTTGATTTCTGAGTTTTTGGTCATCCATCACCTGAGCAGTGTACATTGTATCCAGTATGTGGTATTTTATCCCTCACCATTCCCCACCCTTTCTCCTGATTCCCCAAAGTCCAATATATCATTCTTATGACTTTGCATCCTCATAGCTTAGCTTCTACATACGAGTGAAAACATACAATATTTAGTTTTCCATTTTTGAGTTACTTCACTTAGAATAATAGCCTCCAATTCCATGCAGGTTGCTGCAAATGCCATTATTCCATTCCTTTTTGTGGCTGAGTAGTACTCCATGGTATATATATACCACATTTTCTTTATCCACTCACTGATTGATGGGCATTTGGGCTGATTCAATATTTTTGCAATTGCCAATTGTGCTGCTATAAATATACATGTGCAAGTATCTTTTTTGTATAATGAGTTATTTTCCTCTAGGTAGATACCTAGTAGTGGGATTACTGGATCAAACGGTAGACCTATTTCTTGTTATTTAAGGAATCTCCACAGTATTTTCCTAGTGGTTGCACCAGTTTCCATTCCCTTTTCACCACATCCACACCATCATTCTTATATCTTAATGTACTATTTATGTCTTCACAAGTTGTTGAAGTTACTGCTTTTGATTGGTTCATTGTTTAGTCTTTCTGCTAAGGACAAAAGTAGTTTATACACCACAGTTACAGTTTGTAATATTCTGTGTTTTTTTCTGTGTACTTACTATTACCAGTAAGTCTTATACCTTCAGATGAATATTTTTGTTAATTAATGTCCTTATCTTTCTTACTGAAGTATTCTCTTCAGCATTTCTTGCAGGAAAGGTCTGGTATTGATGAAATGTTAATACCTCAGCCTTTCTTTGTCTGAGAAAGTATTTATTTTTCCTTCATGTTTGAAGGATATTTTCACCAAATATACTGTCTTGGTTAAAAGTTTTTTTTTTTTTTTTCCTTCAGAACTTTAAATATGTCATGCCACTCTCTTCTGGCTTTAAGGTTTCCAGTGAAAAGTCTGCTGCCAGACATACTGGAGTTCCGTTATATTATTTTTTTCTTTTCTCTTGCTGCTTTGAGAATCTTTTCTTTATCTTGGCTTTTTTGAGTTTAATTATTAAATGTCTCTAGGTAGTCTTGTTTGAGTTAAATCTGCTTTGTGTTCTATAACCTTGTAGTTGAATATCGATATCTTTCTGCAGGCTTGGGAAGTTTTCTGTTATTATCACTTTGAATAATTGTTCTACTCTTGTTTCTCTAAACCCCTGGTCAAAAGGAGTACTGCTAGACTGCCACCAATGTTACCATAAGGCCCAAATTCTCTTAAGTCAGCTTGTAGTGAATACTGTCTGGCTTGGGCTCACATTTCAGGGTGGGGGGCTCCTCTGTGGCCCAGGACAGGTATAGAAATGCTGTCCAAGAGTCAAGTCCTGGAATTGGGGACCCCCAGAGTCCGCTTTGTGCTCTACCAACCTGTGACAATGTTGGCACCTAAGGTGCAAGACAAAGTTCCCTTTACTTTTCTCTCTGCTTTTCCCAAGCAGAAGAAGTTTTACCCCATAGCTACCACAGCTGGTAATATTCTGAGTCTCACCTGAAGCCAGCAAATCTCAAAGGCTCACCAAGGCTCTTGACGTAGTACCTGGGTATTACTGCTGGATATTCAGGGCCCAGAAACTCTTCATTTAGCAGGTGATGAATGCTGGAAGGATTAGGTTCTTTTCTTCAAGGCAGCAGTTCTTTTCTGGCCCAGAGTGTGTCTAGAAATATCCTCTTGGAGCTAAACCTTGGAATAGGACCTCATGACTCAGACTGGTGCCCTATCCTGCTGTGGCTGAGCTGGTATCCAAGATGCAAGACAAAATTCTCACCACTCTTCCCTCTCCAATTCTCAAGCTGCAGGAAGGGGTCTCTTTTGGAGCCATGAGCGGTGCAGACTGGCAGACTGGGGTTAGGGTAGCGGTGATACCAGCATTCCCTTGGCTTCCCCAGCTGATGTCTCAGTATGTCACATGCCCTCTCAGTTCACTGTCTCTGGGCCTAGTTCAGCCCTATGACCTTCCCAAGAGTTGCAGTCCTAAGAGGCCTTTCAGATTTATTTAGAGACCAAGAGCACTTTAGCTCTGGGTGGTGAGGTTTGTGGACATTCAAATTTGGGCTGCTGGGATGGGTGATTCCCCTCTGACTAGGGTTGGTTTAAATACTCCATTTTTGGGTGGGCATTAGCTGAGTTTTGTCTGGTTTTCCTTTCTACTCTAACAGAACAGCACTGAATTTAGTGTCTCACAGTTGTTGTGTTCTCTCTCCCCCAGCACCCAGAGATGCTCATGGCACCATGCCACAGCTGCCAGGGATGGAGGAGGGGTGGTGTTGGTGATTCTGAATCATTTTTTCTATCTGTTCAATACCTTTTTCAGTGATATAAAGTTAAAATCAGGCACTATGAGTGCTCACCTGATTTTTGGTTCTTATAAAGGTGTGTTCCTATTTAGATCATTGTTAACTTGGTGTCCTTGCTGAGGGAGATGACAGGTGAAGCTTTCTATTCTATCATCTTGCTCTGTCCCTATTCCACAAATATTTCATTCATTGTTTTCTATGTTGCTATTTTTGGACATGGGAATACTAAAATCTTTGAGATCTGATCTTTCTCTTAGGTAACTTAGAGCCTACTAGGGATGATACACATGTGTAATAAACAAATGAAATAAATTGTGTAAATATTAGAACAGAAGTACAGCATACTTGATATGGGTGGGTTACAGGCATGCTAGTGGTTTAAGTAAATAAAAATGCTGTCCTTCTCTCCTACAACCCGTTAATCTTTCATCACATACCTTGTTGCAGCTTCCCATTTGGCAAGACATAAAATTTAAGAAATGAAACTAGTACAGAGACTGAAGTTGCTCATGGAAGAGTCCAAAATGTAAACATTAAGACTTGAGCATAAACTGAGTTGAGACACCGGATCTATACATGTTAATTTCTTAGCAGCCTTACCTGAATGAATCAGGAGAGAAACTGATTTTGCTACAAGCAGTGGCATATTTAATATCAAGGATATACACGTATTTTTAAAAAGTGAGAGTTGGGGGGGCACATTAGAGAATAATTTTATTTCTGCCTCTAATGGAGAGGAACATAGAAGAAGTGATTTTTATTCTTTGTTACCTTGATTAACGCTCTGAATTCTTCTGAAGGTAAAAATAATGCATGTGATTTTTCCAATTTCTTGAAGTGCTTTTTGTTTGTTTCAATTCCTGTTTTACTTTGATTTTTGAATTCACATATCTCTAGTCATCCAAAACAAGTCTTACAAACATTGCTCAGATTTCCTGCATATAATCATTTTCTCCTCACAACTCTTCTCTTCTATATCTTGTGTACTAGGAACACTTCTTCAAACTAGGAAGCAACTTTCCATTCTCCTGATATGCAATGGGAATGGCTTCATTTAATGATTGCAACATATATGCCAAAATAATTTCCGATTGTCATCTAAAATAAACTGGTGGAATGATATTTTATTTTTCATATAAATCAGTACACCATTATGTTTTAAAATGTTTTATCAAGGAATAATGTTTAGTTTAGGTACCTGAGTTCATCTTTCTTAAAGGTAAATAGTACTTTATGATCTCTTACTGAATTTCAACATGGATATATAAATGTTACCTCATTAGTCTGTTTGCACAGTATCTGTGAGACACGGTAAGTATCAAAGGCCAGATTATAGTGCTGTAAAGAAGAACTGGGCTGGTTGCGGTGGCTCACGCCCATAATCCCAGCACTTTGAGAGTCCAAGGCGAGTGGATCACCCGAGGTCAGGAGTTCAAGACCAGTCTGGCCAACGTGGAGAATCCCTATCTCTACTAAAAATACATAAATTAGCTGGGCGTGGTGGCAGGTGCCTGTAATCCCAGCGACTCAGGAGGCTGAGGCAGGAGAACCACTTGAACCTGGGAGATGGAGGTTGAAGTGAGCTGAGATTGTGCCACTGCACTCCAGTCTGGGCAAAAGAGTGAGACTCCATCTCAAAAAAAAAAAAAAAGAAAAAAAGAAAGAAGGAGAAATGACATAAACAAATAAGGAGTAAAATTGACAAACGTCAGATAAACAGTGTTAGAATTTTTGTATATGAAAATGTGTCCTCTCTCACCACATTATGCCCTAAAACATTAGAAATGACTATCTTAATATTAAAAGTCATAATAATATAAATAGCTATAAATGTATTTATTTCTATTTCTTTAATGTCATTTTGCTATATGACCTCTATAGCAGCAGGTTGTACAGCAAGAATATTCTGTCTTTTATTAAATGCTTTACTTCATTTTGGCAAAGAAAACCAAGTGAAATTATAATTTTTAGAATAAAATTATTCTATATTATGCTATCAAAAATAACATTATTTTTAGAATAATTAGAATTTTCAGATATGTGAGCTTTATTGATCACAAGATTTTGTACACCTTTTTACTTTGAAAAAGTACATTTTAAAATCATTTTTCATTTTCATAATTCACTCTTGGAATGGAATTAAATGGTGTGATAATTTAACAGAGGATTATTTCCCTGCTTTTAGCTAGATAGTGCCAAAATTATTGGAGGATAATTTTTTATAAAAGATTTTTTTCAAACACCTTTAGAGAAGAAAATACTGTAACCTCTCTTGATAACACATTCTTGTGGCTTATGATACCCACAGTCAGGAAGTACTTACTTTTCTGCAATTTAAACTTATTCCCCCTTGTCCTATATTCAGTGAATGTAGAGGAAAAACTATTCAATACTACCGTACGAGACCTTTTTCATATAACCCCAAACTAATGATGAGTCTCTCCAAGCTTTCTCTTTCTTATGCTTGAATAAACTCACTTCCGCTTACCTATTCTTCATTACACACTTTCAGTAAAGTCTAATCTTTTTTTTTTTTCCCCACATGAAGGCCTACTCAAATTTCTTCAGATCACATATCAGCTTTTATTCAGGTTCTTAGTTCTAAGACATACCACTTGAGGATTTTTTTTTTCCCCGAAAGATTCACCTGTCTACCTTACAGACTAAGTTACTTTGAGAAGGTAAGAATAACACTGAGGAGACAATTCTATAATTTATTATAATCTATTTATACCAATTAAGTTTGGAGTATCAGAGGAGAACAGTAATTCTTGAAACAACTGTAAAATAAAAGAGAGCAGAACTAGCATATGCTATGATTCTAATGCTCCTCCATGAAACAATTTCAGTAGAAGGCTGAACTGTCATGCTCTGTAGTTACTTCATTCTTCAATACAAAGGTCAGTCTCTTTGACGTTTGCAATGAAAAGCTGTTTTCACAGCTATGATCACAAAGTTAATTACACATCAATTCTTTAAAATGATGTTTATGTTCATATATATTGTTCAATGTATATTTTGCCCTAACTAGGGGATCAAGTTAAATTTAGATGTCAAGGTCCTTGTAGTTTATTAAAGAAGTTAAATTTAATCAAAAAGTAATGTAAATGTGCATGATGCAAGTATTATATGTCATTGTAATTTTATGTGATATAATTGCATTTATAGCAGATCAGTGAAAGTTTGTGAAAATTGACCTATTAAATATTAAAATTTTCCCCGCCAGAGGTTGAATAGGAATACAGACTATAGAAGAGAATGTCAGAAAAAGTTTACAGGATAGAAATAGTAAGGCTAGAATTTTCTGAAATTCTGTGAATGCCTGTTCCATGATCATGATAGCAGCACCAGAAATATTACTAGGCTATAGGAACTATATGCTTTCAACTGTTTTCACCAGTATGAAAAGGCAATAAAGCAAGTGTATAAGGGTAAAAGAGAAGATTGTCTGATGTTTAACTTTTAGATTTCCTCTATATGATATTTTTTAAAGATGGACTTTAGACAACTAAAGTCTTCTTTCTCAAAATTGCTGAGATAGGAGTCTCAGACATTTTAAGTATTAAATATTAAACGATTAAGTGGATGTTTTTATGACTACTATATGTCTTCCTGAATTTCCCTTGTCTTCAACAACTTGTTAAAAATTATTTTGAGTAGTAGCTTTAAGTTTTATTTACAAACCTTCTTCATAGCAAAGAAGGACTTCTTACTTATAAGAGTTAAAACATATTACACCTCTGGATATAGCCTAGAGTGCATTTCTGAAACATTTATTCAAAAATTAAATTAATATAATCATGTATATTTCAGAAGGCAAAGATATTTTTATTACTAATCTCAGGATACACACCAGTGGCACCAAAGAGATTTAAAACTCAGAAAAAAACAAAGCAATATTATAAAATAAAAAGCAGTTCACTTGAGAACCCCAAATCTGCTAAAAATGAGTGAGCCAATTTTACTCTGTATAACCACAAAATTGAAATAGAGTTAACTTCTGATGATTAAAAGAAAAGTTGGGAACGTGTTTTGAAATAATTAATAATCTGGTCCTAGATCCTTGAGGAATTGCCATACTGTCTTCCACAATGGTTGAACTAATTTACATTCCCACCAACAGTGTAAAAGTGTTCCTATTCCTCCACAGCCTCACCAGCATCTATTGTTTCTTGACTTTTTAATAATCGCCATTCTAACTGGTGTGAGATGGTATCTCATTGTGGTTTTGATTTGCATTTCTCTAATGATTAGCGGTGATGAGTTTTTTTTCATATGTTTGTTGACCACACATATGTCTTCTTTTGAGAAGTGTCCGTTCATACCCTTTGCCCACTTTTTTATGGGGTTGTTTTGTTTTTCCCTGTAAATTTGTTTAAGTTCCTTGTAAATTCTGGCTATTAGATCTTTGTCAGATGGGTTGATTGCAAACATTTTCTCCCATTTTGTAGGATGCCTGGTCACTCTGATGATAGTTTCTTTTGCTGTGCAGAAGCTCTTTAGTTTAATTAGATCCCATTTGTCAATTTTGGCTTTTGTTGCAATTGCTTTAGGTGTTTTCATCATGAAGTTTGCCCATGCCTATGTCCTAAGTGGTATTTCCCAGGTTTTATTCTAGAGTTTTTATTGTTTTGGGTTTTACATTTAAGTCTTTAATCCATCTTGAGTTAATTTTTGTGTAAGTTGTAAGGAAGGGTTCCAGTTTCAGTTTTCTGCATGTGGCTAGCCTGTTACTGGGCATATATCCAAAGGAATATAAATTATGCTACTATAAAGACACATGCACACGTCTGTTTTTTGAAGCACCATTCACAATAGCAAAGTCATGGAACCAACCCAAATGTCCATCAATGATAGACTAAAGAAAATGTGGTACATAGACACGATGGAATACTATTCAGCCATAAAAAGGAATGAGATCATGTCCTTTACAGGGACATGGATGAAGCTGGAAGCCATCATCCTTAGCAAACTAACACAGGAACAGAAAACCAAGCACTGCATGTTCTCACACATAAGTGGGAGTTGAACAATGAGAACACATAGACACAGGGAGGGGAACAATACATACCTGGGGCTGCTGGGAGGTAGGTGGTTAGGGGTGGGAACTTAGAGGATGAATCAACAGGTGAATCAAACCACCATGGCACAAGTATACCTGTGTAACAAACCTGTACTTTCTGCACATGTATCTTGGAACTTAAAGTAAATTTTTTAAAAAAAGAAATAATTAATAATTACAATTACAAAAATCTGGACTATCCAATAGGATATGTATTTCTGCATTTTACAATTCAGAAAATTGAGGTTCAAGGATTAGGTGATTTTTCATAATTTGAAATGAATAAATTAAGATAAAATTAAGACAAAGAGCCAAGCTTCCTAAATTCTTTTTATTTTTACTTTTTCCTTTATTGCAGTATGCAGCATTCATGTTTAAAACAGTGTTTTTACTCATATTATTGTCTCTGTATGCCCTCCTCTTCATTAAGTTTTGAAGGTTGTGTTAGTTATTGGTTTCTAGGTAACAAATTACATAAACCTAATAGTCTAAAAAATCACGTATATATCTCACAGTTTTTGTGGATTGAAAGTTCAGGCTTAACTGAGTGTGCTCTCTGGGGTATCACAGGTTGCAAACAATTTGTTAGCTAAGTTGTAGTCTCATCTGAACATAGGGAAGAACTCACTTCCGATTTGACACAGTTTTGTTGGCAGAATTTATTGCCTTGTGGTTATAGAACTGATGGTTTCAACTTCTTGTTGTCAATGGGAGGCTACACTCACTTCCTAGAGACCACTCTCATCTTCTTGCCACACAAGCCTGCCAACATGTTCACAAACTTCTTAGGAGCCATCTAAGACAGAGGCAAATAATATAGTGTAACCATAAGAGTGACATCCCATTACATTATCCTGCCAATCCTCATGAAGAGGGGATTGATTACACAAAGACAGGAACACCAGGAGAGAGGAATCACAGCGAGGTACACTCTGTACTTCTCTTGGTAGTTTCAGTTGATTAGGATTATTAACATATTGTATTAATGTTATTAGAAATTATTATTTTGGGGCCAGCATAATTATTAAATGCAATCAAATTCTAGCCTCCAATCTCAACATAATGCATGAATTAAGTAATACTCTTTTTTACATTTATTATTCATTCTAGCCATGAGATCCTAGTTATGTGAGGGTCTTTCACTACATTATAAACAGCATCCTTCCCTTCTATTCCTTTCTAGAATATCCAGTAGGACAGAAAAATTTTGAACATAATATATGAAATAAGTCAATGGCCCTAACAAATTAGTGAGCTATTTCAAAAAATTAAGTTGGCCTTCTATAATTTTTATATAAGTTAAATTTCAGCTACAAAACCACAAACAATACATGCTGACCTATATCCAGGAACACTTTTAAGTTCACAAATTAAAACAGAAGAGAAAAAGCCTCCAATGAACTTTATTGTCCCTACTTACTTCATTTCATCATAGTACTCATATTTTAATATTTCTTTATTCTCTTTTTGACTACATATTTTGATGTCCTTTTTTTTCTTTTTCTTTTATATTTGAAATATAACAATGACTTTGTTTTTCAAATTACTTGTTTGACAGACTGAATTGGGTCCTTTGGTGTTTCAGGATGTGTACGTAGGTTACATTTAATTTCATATGAAAACATTTGGAAAACCATGGAAAAAAAGATGTATAATGAAGGTGTTTAAACACTCCCTCTAATATTCCTAAAATTGCAAGAGAGAAATGCGGAAAAAACATACTTTGTAAAATGTCATTGTTGCAGGAAGTAATACATTTTCTGTTAGGGAATTGACAATGTTAAATAGTTTAAGATACAGTTTGATTATGTTAATTATGGTTATATAATACCATGGATTTAAAACACAAATTTATACATGTTTTATTTAATCAATAAATATGCTAAAATATATAATGAATGTGATATCCATTAATATTAAAAGAACAAAAATATCACATTTATTCAGCTAGAATAAGAAGTATTCCCAAACTATTCCAACTAATGCAAAGTCAAAATATGTTCTATCTGACATGAAACATTGGCATGGAGACAAATGTGAAAATGGGCTTGGCTATAACCTCTTCACAAGTATTTTACTAAAATAAAAATGATAATGTTTACCACAGCTCATGCAAATCCATAATACATAATTCAAAATGTGATGAACACATTTGACATCCCATCTCAAAACATTAATGTGCTATTGTGGGGATTTGAACACAGTAGAGAAAATGAATATACTAAAGTCTAGAAACCATCTCCTTTTAAATATATTTTTCAATCAATAAATGAGATAAAAATGAAAATCATGTAAAATATATACAGTATTACTACATTTTTAACAGCATTTTTTTTCTATTTTTTTCATTCAGTCTCATTTCTCCACCAGCAGGAAGACTAAGAAAGATGGAGTTTCTCTCATTCTCAGTCCTCAGAGTTTGAGAGGAATTTCCAGGAATCAAACAGATTAAAATTTTTTTTTTCTGTAAAGTTCGATTCATGGCTAGAATAACTCCTAGCAATATTAATCACTTCTTCTCCCTCTGTACTTCAATAACTATTTTTTATTCTTCTGGTATAGCACTCACCATATTTTAAGAGTCACATAGCTACAATAATGGCCCCAAACATTTCTTGAATCTTACTCCTCCAATGCTCTTAATTACACTATATTTCTGATCAACTTCTAATTGTGTGTTCCCTTTATATTATGATGTTTCCCTAACTATCTGTGTTCTTGAACCTCCTATTTTCTCTGCACTGTCTGATCTTTGTCTGGCTTATGACATTTATTCATTTTTTAGAGCTCAGCACAGGACTGGTTTCAAGTAGACATTGTCCTCTGACCAAAGGGCCAGAATTAAGTAGTTTTCATTATTATTTTTAAAACTCACTCTTTGTATTTTGTATATATATTTGTTTTCCCTCTAAACATTAGCTTTTTAAATGGCATTAACTACATCTGTGTTATATTATTTTTATCTACTATCTTGCTAATTACTTCATATATTTTAAATGATGAAGAAAAAAATTAGTAGAAAGTAAGTGAGAATTGTATAGACAGACGTAGGTTATATAACTTCCATGAGCACCATATTTCTTGTGAATAAATGGAGATATAAATAACCCTCCCAACAAATAGTTTCCCAGTATATTATTTACAATAATAAATATAAAATTTAAAATCAGTTTTAATATACATAAAATGCTCAATATGTCTCATTTCCTTTTTAAAATATATTATAAATGGGCAGTATATTGATTGCTTACTTTGTCTAACTCTTTTACAGAATATTAGTTGTATTGAGAGTAAGTATTTACTTACCTTATCTCTAATTCCTAATAAATGCTCACAATTGACTTTAAAAATATGTACAATATAAGTGAATAAATTGACAAAATCTTTGCATATGGACTGTAGCAAATTTAATTTAAGCTAACCCAAATAAGGACATTTCATGCCTTGCCATTAATAATACGTTACATAGAAAATGATCTAACAAGTAGAAATTAATGGCAGACCAAGTATAAATTTCATATCTGAAGTCCTTAAGATAAAAATTTTACAAGATGCATTTTGGGACATGAAAAAAGAACATGAACAGACTGCAAACTGTTACACAATCAGTGGGTTTATGTAACAGTGGAAGGACCCTGAGGTTAAGAAACGTGTAAACTTATAAGAAAAATACCAGGAAACTTTCTCATCATTTGCTCCATTGAGGGACACTATCTTTATTATCTTAGACAAAAAATAGATCTACCTTTGCTCAGGAGAGAGACACAATCTCTGTCTTCCAAGGCTGTTCACTATACAAATATCCTTGAAAAGATAGACTGCTATCACAACATATGCAGAAACGAGATCCACAAAAACTTGTCTCCAATAATGATACCCCTGGGCCCCTCTCCACCACCACCACACACAACTCCTATCCTTCCAGCTTGTCTCAGGAAGGCATACATTCAATGTAATCACATTCCTGTACATTCATGGATGTGATAATCTGTTACACTACTGTACCAAAAAAATTACATTACTTTATTTGGTAAAATCAAATTTCATTAGGGCCAAAATACCATTCTCCCAAATTAAAAAAAAAAAATCCAATCTCAGAAACCACTGGTACACTTACCTTTAAGTGGTTATGCAACTTTTATTTTCCTACTTGGTGGTAAATATGGAAATATTTCCGAAAAAGTGACTTGCTTTTTCAAATTACACACGTATATAACTTTAATAGTTATTGACTGATTAATACAATTATGTCTGTACATATTCCTTTTTTTCTGTGAGGTAGTAGCTATTCTTCTGATTTCAATTGATAGAACTATTAAATTCTTAAATTTAAAATACAAAGTAATTCAGTTATTAATGGACAAGTGGATTTTAAGTTAAAATAATGGACTTCTGTCATTAGTTTCTACACGTTTACTACCAAGGAAAAAAATAGTATTTGTTAAGTTAATTAGCTTTATGGATGATTTATAATTTTAAAGTATAGCTTAATGAATTATTTTTAATTATTAGTCATTTTTTACTAAACTATGCTGTGGTAACAATCCCCAAATATTGGTGACTTACAATAGGGTTTTTTTTGTTTTGTTTTGTTCTAATTAAGCTGAATTTTAATGTCTTATTTTCATTACTGAGTCCAAGCTAAAAGAACAAACCCCTTTGAGACATTTTAATTCTCAAGAAAGACAAAAAAGAAAAATTGAAGACACACACGATGACACAAATTTTCTGTTTAAACATGACATATGTCACATTTGCTCACATCCCATTGTCTAGTGCAAGTTTATAGTTAAGTCTGCTATCAACGAGTATAATGTATACTCATCCCAGGGGGAAGGGCATAAAGAAGAATTGCTGTAGGCCAAGTAGAGAAAAGTGGTGAATAACTTGAATCAAAAGTGCAATTTAACACTGTCACCCATTGGAATAGACCATCTACCCTGTCTACCCCTTTCTTCCACAAAGCTTCAATGAAATACAACAATTTCTGAGAGATCTCAAATTCAAAGATACAACTGGGTTCAATAAATTTTGTTCTTGGCTAAAATGACTTCCAGCTAGCATATGTAGGCATTGTAGACATATTAATTTTCTTCTGTTCAGTTATATCCATACATTTTTAATGATGACAGATATATCAGTCTTAACACTTGTCATGGTAAGTAGAAGCAATAATTAGTGTTCACTTTGATTTAAACACAATTATTAACAAATGGTTCCAAAATAACTTATTTTCTTACACAAAAAAGAAAGTTGGACCCCACTTTTACAGCATTTGTTAAAGCTATTTTACCCTATTCATTTTTTTCACAGAATATAGTGTTATTTGTAATTGACAATAATAATTGTATATATTTATTATATTTGAGACAATATTTTGGAACATGTATACATTATGAAATAATTAAATCAAGCTAATTAACCTACACATTACCTTACATACTTATTTTGTAGTGGAAATATTTAAAATCTACTAGCTCAACAATTAAAAATTACATTATTATTAACTATATTACACAAAAAGACACATACTATAAATACTCTTTTGAAGTTCGAATTTTTTTCACTGAAGAATAAATATGTCATGGAAATCACTTCACAGACAACTTCCTTCTATATATTTGTATGTTAATGCCTAGTATTCCACTGGGTGGAGGCATCAGAGTTTATTCAGCCAACTCTCCCGTACATGAGCAATTTCCCAATATTTTGTAACGAGAAGTAAACTGAGGCTGGGTGTGGTGGGTCACGCCTGTAATCCCAGCACTTTGAGAGGTCAAGGTGGGTGGATTGCTTGAGGTCAGGAGTTCCAGACCAGCCTGGCCAATATGGTGAAACCCTCTCTCTACTAAAAATACAAAACAAACAAACAAACAAAAAAGATCAGCTGGGCATGGTGGCGGGCGCCAGTAATTCCAGCTACTCGGGAGGCTGAGGCAGGAGAACCGCTTGAACCCAGGAGGCAAAGGTTGCAGTGAGCCAAGATGGTGCCACTGCACTCCAGCCTGGGCGACAGAGCAAGACTCCGCCAAAAAAAAAAAAAAAAAAAAAAAAAAAAGAAGAAAAAAAAAAAAGAAAACTAAACTTAATGAATAACATTATCTATAGGCATTTCAGATAATTGAAAATGTATCCTGAGAGTCAATTTTTAGAAATAAGATCGTGAGTCCAAGATCTAATTGTAGTTTTGTTAGACATTTTCAAAGTCTGTTTATAAAGGCTGTACCAGATTGCATTCCTACTAACAATGCACAGCAGTGAAACTTTCCCCATAGCTGGCCAACAGAGAAATTTTTATTTTAATTTCTTTGCCAGTCTGATAGGTGATATGGTATTTCGCTATAATTTTAATTTTTATTTGTTATATTATGAGTAAACTTGAATAGCTTTTTTCATGTTTAAGGACTTATTATCTATGTTTGAAAATAGCTATTTATTAAATTTATTCATTTTAAAAATCAAGCATTTTATATTTCCCTCATTTTTAAAATATTTCTTATCTGCACTATTGCAGATAAGGGGTCCGCAATAGTGCAGTTGCATTGCAACAGACCCCAACATCTCGTTTCTCCTATCTAACTGAAGATTTGTACCTTTTGACCAACATCTCTGCATTTCTCCTCCCACCTCCCAACCTGGCCTTTGGTAATCACCATTCTACTCTCTCTTCCATAAGTTTGACTCCCAGAAGTGAAATCCACCTATAAGTGCTTTCCCACATGTATGAAATTATGTAGTATTTTCTTTTTTGTGCCTGGCTTATTTATTACCTCCAGGTTCATCCATGTTTTCACATATGGGAGTCCTTTCTTAATTTTTAATGCTGAACAGTATTCAATTGTGTATACACCAAATTTTCTTTATTCATTCATCATCCATTGATGGACACCTAGATTGATTCTATATCTTGGCTATTGTGAATAAAGCTGCAACGATTATGGTAGTGCAGATATCTCTTTAATATATTGATTTCCTTTCCTTTGGATATATACCCAGTAGTGAGACTCCTAGATCATATGGTAGTTCTATTTTTAGTTTTTTGAAGAACCGCCACACTGTTTTCCATAAGGGCTGTACTAACGTAGATTCCTACCAACAGCGCACAAGGGTTCCCTTTCTCCAAATTCTTATCAACACTTGTCTTTTATCTTTTTGATGACAGTCACTCTAACAGATGTGAGATGAAATCTCACTGTGGTTTTAACATGGATTTCTCTGATCATTAATGATGTTAACCAATTTTATATATATATTCATGCACTGCATAACAATATTTCAGTCCAAAAACCTCATATACAAGGGCAATTACATAAGATTATAATATTGTATTCTTACCATACCTCCTCTATGTTTAGCTGCATTTACATATAGAAATATTCATACTTAACATTATGTTACAATTACCTGCAATATTCAGTAGAGTAACATGCTATATAGGTTTGAGGCCTAGAAGTAATAGGCAATAGTACATATCCTAGTTGTGTAGTAGGCTATAGCATCTAGGTTTGTGTTAAGTACATGCTATGATGCTTTTACAATAAAGAAATTGCCTAAGTAGGCATTCAGCAGAACGTATCTCTATCATTAAGTGACTCATGACTGTTCCTGTTGATCATAGTTATGTCTTTTTTAAGGAAATGTCTACTTAGTTCCTTTGCCCATTTTAAAAATCAGGTTGTTTTCTTGCTATTGAGTTGTCTGAGTTTCTTCTATATTTAGGATATTAACTCTTCAGCAGATGTATGTTTAGCAAGTATATTCTCCTAATTCATAAGTTGTCTCTTCACTCTGTGGATTGTTTCCTTCTCTGTGAAATACCTCTTTAGTTTCATAAAATTGTATTTTTCTATTTCTGATTTTGTTGCCTGATATTTTTGGGTCCTATACAAAAGAATCACTGCCAAAACTGATGTCATGGAGCCTTTCCCCTGTGTTTTATCCGAGTAGTTTTATAGTTTCTGGTCTTACACTGAAGTCCTTAGTTCATTTTGAGATGCTTTTTCTATTTTTACTTCTGCATGTAGATATCCAGTTTTACTAGGACCATTTATTGAACATGCTCCCTTTTTCACATTGTGTTCTGGGCAACTTTTTCAAAAATCCATTGATTATAAATGCAAGAGTTTATTTCTGGGCTCTCTATTCTGTTCCACTGGTCAATATGTCTGATTTAATGTCAGTATCATGATGGATTTATTACTATAGCTTTTTCTAATTTGAATTTAAGTAGTGTGATGCCTCTAGCTTTATTTTTTCTTTACTCACCTTGTGACTATTCAGGTTTTTTTGTGGTTTCATATGAACTTGGGGGTATTTTTTCTATTGCTGTAAAAAATGACATTGAAATTTTGATAGTGATTGCATTGAATATGTAGATCCCTTTGGGTAGTACAGAAATTTTAACATTATCAATTTTTCCAATCCATAAACATAGGATATCTTTCCATTATTTGTGCCCTCTTCATTTTTTTCATCAATGGTTAAGAATTATTTTCATCAGTGGTTAAGGATTTTAAATATATCAATTTGACAAAATTCACCACCTGTTCATGATAAAGAGTCTCAACAAATTAGATATAGAAGGAATATACCTCAACAGAACAAAGGCCATATATAACAAGCCCACAGCTAACATAATTCTTAATGGTAAAATGTTAAAAGCTTTTCCTTTACAATCAGGAACATGACAAGGATGACCACTCTCTTCTTTTCTATTTAACATAATACAAAAGCAGTTCAATAAGAAAAAGGAAGAAAAGTTATCCAAATAGGGAAGAAAGAATTGAAATGGTCTGTTTGCTGATAATATGATCTTACATTTATAAAACCTTAGATAATCCACCAAAAAACTGTTAGAAATATAAAAAAATTCAGCAAAGTTGTTGGATACAAATTCAACATAAAAATTTTGTTTTTACACTTATACACTGTTAGTGTTTGAAAAAGAAATTAAGAGGGCAATCCTACTTACAATAGCATGAAAATAATAAAATAGGAATAAATTTAATCAAGGAAGTGAAGGATCTATTTGCTGAAAACTATTAAACATTGATGATAGAAATTGAAGAAGACAATAAATTATAAAGTGTATCATGTTATTCTTATTGACAAAATGGATAAATGTGTATTGGATAATTATGCAATTCAATTGACTTATAACTTTTTGCATGATCATCTGCAGAAAGTATTTTTGATTAATGAATTCACATGAACCTTAACAAGCATGTCTGATGATGTACTACAGACTGTCAGGATCCTGGTCCTGGCTTATTGAACACTGAACATTGGTAGTACACATATTAAAATTGAGATGTAATGTCAAAACATTGGATGGCAAAATTTGGTCAGAATTATTTTTATTTTTAAATTTTGTGGGCACATAGTAGGTGTACATATTTCTGAAGTACATGAGAATTTTCATACAATTATGCAATGTGAAATCATGGAGAATGGGGTATCCAACCACTCAAGCATTTATTCTTTCACAGAATTTTTGAAAGCCTGGGGTTATAAACTAAAAATAAATGTATTCATTTTAAGAAGAACATTTATTAACTTCTAAAGGGAAAACATAATAGAAAAGAATGGCATTGTCTTATAGTGGATAATGAAAGATAAGTACTCTCAACATGTTGTTGGCAAGGGATGTAATTTAATCTTCAGCTGTATACAACCATATACAATGCACAAAAAGAAAATGTTGACTGTTTCACTCTCTTTTACATTGCAGTAGAAATGCATATATTGTTTATTTGTTTTAACTAAGGGCATTTCAGATTTTGTATGTTTATACTTATGAATTCTTAGAGATATTTCTTGCTTCTTTTTGAAGCAAGGTATTTCTTATTACAATGTCATATAGTTTCAGATAGTATGTAAATCAATGCTTTATAATATTAGTTCCCTCTTGATAACATCTTATAATTGCAGCAAAAATATTTTATTAATCTTTTCATTGAATTAAACTATCAATAAGCATCACTCAATAAAATTTAATTAAATCAAAATAAATGAAATAATTACCCTAAGGATACTTTTCATGGAATTTGTAATGAACAGTGATTTATACTTCTCTTTGCAATTGTTCTTTTAAACAAATGTCAGCTTAATAGACCTAATAGCATAATGATTATTACACAAGTTCAATCTTTTACCTTAATAGACAATACACATGTACTCCACAATGTAATATATTGAAATCAGGCTATCAATGGGTTATTGAGTACAGCACATATAAGAGAGTTCATATGAAACACTGATCTTAATAATACCCAAAACTACAGATATACTTGCCCATTTGTCATAGTCTTAAGACATAATATATTTAATTCATATCCACTAATTTTGCCCATTGAAAAATATTATTTTAGAAATTAATATTTCAGTATATTAATAGTATTGCCTCATTTTATATATTTAAATACAATTCAAAATTATGAAACTGTTCAAGACAGAGATTGAGAATTAGGGAAAATGTTCATAGCTAAACCAAAGTATAGATCTTGAAAAAAAAGGCAGCAGATTGAGGATATAAACTGTAGGTACTGACAGAAGGTAACAAATCTGAAAAACCCTTAGTTACAACCAAATAAACAAAATATTCATTTAAATTGCAATAAAATTTTTAAAATTCTGGGAAAATATGTGGACATAGTCATATTCTCATGATAGTTAACATTCATATTATGTATTGCAATGATGGCTTCATGGGTCCTTATATCCAATGGCTTAGATGACACTGTTTTATCTGAGCACATTTTACTTTGTTATATTTATATTTTTTTCAAATTGATATCCGAAACCTCTCTGTCTCTCTCCCTCTTCCTCACTCTTTTTGTCTTTTTTTCTGTGTGTGTATGTGTGTATCTGTGTGTATTTATGTTTAATATATTTATCTTCTAGTACATATATACAAGCTATATGAATATATGTGTGTGAATATACATGAATATACACACATACATGAATATATAAATATATGTGTGTGAATATACATGAATATACACACATATATGGAGAGAGGTTATATATAGGCATATATAGGTAGATAGCTATAGAAAGATTCATGGATGATATATAGATGATAGATATGTATACATATAGGTATTTATTCTTATATGGTGAGCCTATAAAGACCAAATGATCAGAGCAGATAAAATATAAATTTATGCATTAATTCAGAAATATTGTTCAAAAACTTACATTGAGGAAACATAAAGTTGCATTATTGTTGTTGTTTCAATTCCATTATTTGTTTCAAAGAAGACTTTTTATTATTATTATTTATTTATTTTTTTTTTTGTAGAGACGTGGTCCTGCTATGTTGCTCAGGCCAGTCTTGAACTCATAGACTCAAGTGATTCTCCCAGCTTGGCCTCCCAAAGTGTTGGCATTACAGGTGTGAGCCATCATTCCTGGCCCCAAAGAGGATGTTTGAAATATTAAGAGCATAATTTTGTGCCCCAAGGGATTTTTAAAAATCTGTTTGAACACTTGAATTGCTTTCAGAGATACATACTCAGTCAATCACTCATCAATGACATTCAGCGCCTTCTAACTATAACTTAGAGGTGTGGTTGAATTTATTCTGACTTATACTAAAGACATGTCAGGAAGCTAACAACTGAATTGTGTGGAGAATCAAATTGTGAGTTACCTCTTTTTAAAAGCAAGGCCCAGATATCACTTGGATGTTGTCTCCACTTTTCCTTGTCAAAGTTATGGAAATATCTTTAATGACAGAATTACAGTGCCTATAAAATACTCACATTTCCATCATTAAAAGATAACATAATATGTAATCTATAATATACAACATATAATGTATAAAATATTATTATAAAGATTTATTCATTTAAAATTAAGCCTTATCAACACATATTTATTAATAATGAATATATGATATATTTACAAAGTGTGATGATAATAGTATGTATATATATATAATATATACACACACATATATAACACAAATAAATTGAATTTTCTGTGGCATTTTGTTAGATTGTAATATCAGAAGCACAATGTATAACAATGTAGATCATTCCGATATGATATTTAGTCACAGGGATTTTTCTTCTATCATTGAAAAGATGTTTGAGAAATCAAGCAAACTCAATCAATCTGGTGAGCTGATCAGGGGGAAAAAAGTACAGAAACCAAACAAAAACATATCCAGACATAAGATCCAAATTAAAATGATGCAGAGTAAATAATCCAATAACACCTTTCTAATCTGACTGTTAATGCTTTACAGCTACATAATCACATACTGACCATTTATATACCTAAAATACTTATCTGAGGAAACACATTTGTTAAAGCCAGCCAGAATGATAACACAGGCTTTTGTATGATTCCAGAAACTATTCCCAGTTACTTAGTTTCAATATAAGAAATTATTGGATGAAGAAGCTGGAAAGGAAAGTAGCATTTTTTTGGAAGTTTTTTTCTCAAATGTGAATTAGATGCCATTTATTTGTTTTTGGTTTCTTTTGAGTGTTTAAGAAAACAAATGTCACTAATGAATTTAGAGTGATTGAACATATAGAAGTAACATAGAGTAGCAGTTAGACATGTCATCTTTGTGGTAAAAAGTGGAAAGAAATTGTGCAAAAATTTCACAGTTTATAAATGAAAAGCAACTCATATTTGTTTATTTGTTTAGGCACTTATATATAATATACATTTTATACAATTTAATACATTTATAATACTTCTAATATTAAACATATTTCTAATACATGTTTATTTTATGTATGTGTGTATACACGGTTACACACACATATTTAAATATTCAAATATTAAGATGGAAATATGGAGGCTTTGAGGGCCTTCATAAGTTTGCAAAGTTGACACACAGCTATCAAATTAAAGTACATGTGGCAGGAAGACTGGAATTCCTTCTACAATCTTTTGATGCCTCACAAGGCTTTTCTTTCATATAATTTTTAATTGTCAAAATAACCTTACAAAATTAACCCTCATATTTTTTCTACATTTTATTTATAAAATGAAAATGATATACATATACAGGATTAATATAAAAATACTGTGAACTTCAGAATAAATATATATATTTATTTATTTACTATTGCAAAACACTGCTTCTATTCTAGTATCCAATCAACACCATTGTAGTTTAGGAGATCTTGTGCATATATACATACATATAAATCCTCTGCATCTTTTTAAACAATTAATAGATGGTAGGGAAATTAGCTGTGAGATATTTCTCTTCCCCTCAAGGTTGTACACTCTATGATGTCATAATGCATAATAATATGCTTATGGATATCCCAAGTCTAGTAAATTACTTGGCAGTTACTCAACAAATACTTATTAAAAGAAATTATACAATTCAACAACTGGCATTCTGGGGTAAAAGTAGAAAAAGTCTAATCTCATTCAGCTGGACAGCTGTGATGTGGATTGCAATTAACAATTTTCAAATTAATGATTGCATGAGTCATTATTGTTTAGTTAGAAATTTTATTGTGATAATCACAGTAGTGAAAGTTGATGGCTATCTGAATAATGAGTTGAACTGTGAGTCTGTTATAGTTCAATTGGAGTGAAATTGAAATACTTAATTGTGATTTTCCTGTAGGTACAAGATTGCAAGACTATGTGACACTGTGAGTCTTCATAAGAAATAAGAGCTGAGGAGGGATTTTAACACAGGAGATATATCTGCACAGATAATTCTAATATTTGATGTCAGTAGAAGACAGCTAACTCAAACTTCTAGTTCTAAAAAACAGGGACAAGTTTAAAAACTGTGTCTGAACCATAGTAGGCAGTCAGTAAATACTATTTAAATAAAGAAATCTATTCAGAACTTCTGCTAATTCCTGATGTATTATTATTAAAACATCTGTCTTTATAGATAAATACTAATCCTATAGGCATTGAAGTTCTCTCATAAGTTGATGAAAAAGCAAATTTGAATGGCTATTCTGAGAATTATTTTCAACCATTACATAGCTCTTAGGAAGCTAACCACCATGAATATAATAATTATGGCCTGAAAAGATGTGTGCCCGCAGGGTTTGGATGTAGAGGCATATAACTAATCTGAGACAGCAGGAATCTGTTGTGCAGTTGATATTTACCTTATCCTGTCTCCCATTAGATGTTACTTGAGGCCAATAAACAGATGAATGAAAGCTCTGCATCACTAATTATTAGAGAAATGCAAATCAAAACCACAATGAGATACCATCTCACACCAGTCAGAATGGCTATTATTAAAAAGTCAAAGAAACAACAGATGCTGGCGATGTTGTGGAGAAAAAGGAACACTTCTATATTGTTAGTGGGAGTGTAAATAAGTTCAACCATTGTGGAAGACAGTGTGGCGATTCCTCAAAGACCTGGAGGCAGAAATACCACTGGACTCAGCAATCCCATTACTGGGTATATGCCCAAAGGATTATAAATCATTCTATTATAAAGAAACATGCATGCGTATATTCATTGCAGCGCTACTCACAATAGCAAACTGTACATATACACCATGTAATTCTATGCTGCCATAAAAAGGAATGAGATTGTGTCCTTTGCAGGGACATGGATGGAGCTGGAAGCCATTATCCTCAGCAAACTCATGCAGGAACAGAAAACCAAATACCGTGTGTTCTTACTTACAAGTGGGAGCTGAATGATGAGAACACATGAATACTTTGGGGAGTGGGGGATCAACACACATTGGGGCCTGTCAGACGGTGGTGGTTGGGAGGAAGAAGAGCGTCAGGAAGAATAGCTAACAGATGCTAGGCTTAATACCTAGGTGATGGGATAATTTGTGTAGCAAGCCACCATGGCGCATGTTTACCTACGCAACAAACCTGCACATCCTGCATATGTACCCGTGAACTTAAAAATTGAAAATAAGAAGAAAAAAAACTTGCATAAATAAAACAATGTGTAAATTCCAAAGAAGAGGTAAAGGTCTAATTTGATATGACTGCCTAGTTCTGGGTGTAATATGCCATAAGAAACATGATGTTAAAGAAGGAATGGCACAGCATTTTCCTGAGAATCAACTTTGACAGCAGTATACAGTATATTCTGACAAGTTTAACATTCTGAGAATTTCTTCCTGGATGTAATTTTATGACCTGAGCTCTGATGGTAGTAGTACTTATCCAAAGAAATGCTTTTAGGAATAAAAGAGAAACTGTGTTGTCAATGCATTCATTTAGCAAACATTTAATTATCATCTTCTATATATCAGGCATGGAGGAGTTAGGTGCTTAAAGTATTTTAATTTCTTACATTAGATCCTTCAATTTATATTAAAATTTTAACCTACATTGTCTGCTTTCTATTCAAATTGTTTAAAAAGATCAGAACATTTCAAATATCTAACATTGAACTTGCAAAGTAATGATGGATCGGGCCAAAAATTAAGGTATCATAAAGGTATCCCTCAGCTAATGCAACTTCAAATAAAATTGCATTTCTGGAATATCACTAATTAAATAATGGAATTAGTCACAAATATGTATTACTTCATTAATTATATTGTTCTTTACACACACACAAACACACATACACACACACACACACAAAAACACACACACACAGAATGTTTATGAAAACACTATGTAAGATACACAGAATTTTAAGGCCCTAAAGAAAAAGCAATACATTAAGAAAAGAGAAATTGTATTTGTCTATGTGTATCATTTCCTGTTTATTTATAAAACTGTAAAACATATGGATAGTGTAGATCCACATCCATATCTAAAAATATGGATAAATAATTTGTAGATGGTTAATCTCATGGGAATAAAAGCAATATTACTTTATTGTAATATTACTTTAATAGGAAAACCATAGACCAAACTTATGACGTTAAGCACATCTTTCTTTACATCTTTGCTCTTTGTGGGAAAAAAAGTAGTAACACATTAAGAAACTACTTTCACTATCCTTCTGAATTATCTTGTAAAAATACATTAATCAGCCGGATGGGGTGGCTCACGCCGGTAATCCCAGCACTTTGGGAGGCCAAGGCGGGAGGATCACGAGGTCAGGAGATTGAGACCATCCTCTTTAACATGGTGAAACCCCGTCTCTACTAAAAATACAAAAATTAGCCGGGCGTTGTGGCGGGGGGCCTGTAGTCCCAGCTATTTGGGAGGCCGAGGCAGGAGAATGGCATGAACCCGGGAGGCGGAGCTTGCAGTGAGCCAAGTTCGCGCCACTGCACTCCAGCCTGGGCGACAGAGCGAGATTCCGTCTCAAAATAATAATAATAATAATAATAATAATAATAATAATAAAAAATCACTATTAAGCCATCTAACTAGCTAAATGTACCATATAAATAAAATTTGAATGATATAGAAAACATTAGTGGGGCAACTTGATTAGCAATGTTTGTTTTGCCCTTGGTAGAGGAAATGAATATATAGTTGTAAACTGAAAGAGAGTGAGAATACATCAAATTAAATAGTAAATAAAAATTCTTTGGTCAAAGAGGCTGAGACTTTATAAACCGAAAGATGTTAGCCATTTTAATTTAATTAGTTGAAAATAAGTACAAGTGTTTTTATTCAAATCTGAAAAGGGAAGTTTTCTCTTTATATAAAAAAATTCACTTTAACATAACAAAAATATAGAGCATGCTTTACTTAGTTATTTTTTAAAGCTCGTTTGTTTGAATATATATGCTGTATATAAGCAGAATAATTACTATAATTTAATTTAGACATGATGGACAAGAAGCATACGTATAATGAAATGAATATTCCCCATATGGTAAATCTATTTTAACTAAGAAAAAATAATCTCTCAGTCGGAATTCTGTGATGATAAGAAAAACCTATTTATACTACTTTATCAGCACATGCCTTTTAAACAAAATTTTACTGAGGGCTTTGCAAGCATGAAAATAGAGCAACACAATTAGAAAATATAATAGCGATGCTATTTTTTTTGAAGTTATAAAATATTCTTTTATGACCAGATTGAGTATGTGCTATCCAGAATATTTTACACCCCATCCAGTAAGAATCACTCTCTTTTTTTGTTTGTGGTTCTTTAGCACTTAGCACAGATGTATTTTACAGTATCTATCACATCTTCACAAATTAATTACTTGTTGTCTTGTTTTCTCCTACTAGGTGGAATGATTTGAGTTCTAGGATTGTGACTCAATCGTATTTGAATCTCCACAACTAGAACATAGGAAAATTATTTTGAGTTGGATGAATTTTTGCCAAATAGATACATGAATAAAAAAACAATACATAACAGAATTATTGCTCCATAACTTGCAATGCAGAATGGTCATAAAAGAAACATTAATAACTAAGAATTATGTTTTAAAAAATGCAATTTAAAAAGCTAGACCATGTTGAAATCAAATTGGCATTAGCATGATATAATTATGACTGATATGAATTCAATTATACCAAGATCATATGTCAGAAAAATATGTAAGAAAATGTGCTATATGAATTTAAGTTAAATGTTAACTAATGGGGAAAATATGTTTTATATGCTTTCAGATGCTTTTAAATAAATTTTTTATGAAAAATATGCATAATGTGTAATTTATGGAATATAAAGAATTTTCATTATAATAGAAATGAAAACAAATTGCCTAATTTCTTTTGTTTTACTAATCAGATATTTTGTTTATTATAGGGTGATACCTATAGAACTGTATACTTAAGATTTTAGAGCACATTTTAACACTTTAATAAGTGACTGAGTAAAAATGGAAAACATCAATCGCATTAAGTAAATGCGATTCTTTCACAAATCGCACCAAATTTATTTATCATATCTCTATTTCTCTTGTCAGTAAAATATGATTAAATCTAGTTTATTTTCTAAGTCTGATCTTCATTGCTGGGTGGGAGGTAGAAACTATAAAGACCTGTCTACAATGATGTTGAAGAATGAAAGCCACTTAAAAATCATTTAATTGCTAGGATATCAGATTTGCAACCTTTCATTCAGGATAGTCTGTTGTGTAATCAATTCTTGTTCCATTTCAATCAGCTCCTTTCCTCCCGCCACTTTTGTTAGAGTGATCCTCTTTCTCCTTTGCCATTTTCACTTACCTTTTCCTCCAATTCTTTCAGTTTTCAAAATAATATTTTATACTTCTTTCTTGCCTTAGTTATTTGGAATAGACTACATTATCTATACATTTTTAGCTCTTGAAGTCAGGATCATCTTTAAGCAAAATTCTTGGGTCAAATAACTTCCTAAGTAGGAATCGGTATTAGGCCTCTTGGTATTTGAATTTCATACCATCCAGAGAGGAAATTGTCCTGACAGTTTCCGTTTCAAAGAATATACATTTTTCCTAATTGAATACCCTTTATTTCCTTCTCCTGCCTGATTGCCCTAGCCAGAATTTCCAACACTATGTTGAATAGGAGTGGTGAGAGAGGGCATCCCTGTCTTGTGCCCGTTTTCAAAGGGAGTGCTTCCAGTTTTTGCCCATTCAGTATGATATTGGCTGTGGGTTTGTCATAGATAGCTCTTATTATTTTGAGATACGTCCCATCAATACCTAATTTATTGAGAGTTTTTAGCATGAAGTGTTGTTGAATTTTGTCAAAGGCCTTTTCTGCATCTATTGAGATAATCATGTGGTTTTCGTCTTTGGTTCTGTTTATATGCTGGATTACATTTATTGATTTGCATATATTGAACCAGCCTTGCATCCCAGGGATGAAGCCCGCTTGATCCTGGTGGATAAGCTTTTTGATGTGCTGCTGGATTCGGTTTGCCAGTATTTTATTGAGGATTTTTGCATTGATGTTCATCAAGGTTATTGGTCTAAAATTCTCTTTTTTGGTTGTATCTCTGCCAGGCTTTGGTATCAGGATGATGCTGGTCTCATATAATGAGTTAGGGAGGATTCCTTCTTTTTCTATTGATTGGAATAGTTTCAGAAGGATTGGTACTAGCTCCTTTTTGTACCTCTGGTAGAATTCGGCTGTGAATCCATCTGGTCCTGGACTTTTTTTGGTTGGTAAGCTATTGTTTATTGCCCCAATTTCAGAGCCTGTTATTGGTCTATTCAGAGATTCAACTTCTTCCTGGTTTAGTCTTGGGAGGATGTATGTGTCGAGGAATTTATCCACTTCTTCTAGATGTTCTAGTTTATTTGCGTAGAGGTGTTTATAGTATTCTCTGACAGTAGTTTGTATTTCTGTGGGATCGGTGGTGATATCCTCTTTATCATTTTTTATTGTGTCTATTTGATTCTTCTCTCTTTTCTTCTTTATTAGTCTTGCTAGCAGTCTATCAATTTTGTTGATCTTTTCAAAAAACCAGCTCCTGGATTCATTAATTTTTTGAAGGGTTCTTTGTGTCTCTATTTCCTTCAGTTCTTCTCTGATCTTAGTTATTTCTTGTCTTCTGCTAGCTTTTGAATGTGTTTGATCTTGCTTTTCTAGTTCTCTTAATTGTGTTGTTAGGGTGTCAATTTTAGATATTTCCTGCTTTTTCCTGTGGGCATTTAGTGCTATAAATTTCCCTCTACACATTGCTTTAAATGTGTCCCAGAGATTCTGGTGTGTTGTGTCTTTGTTCTCGTTGGTTTCAAAGAACATCTTTATTTCTGCCTTCATTTCATTATTTACCCAGTAGTCATTCAGGAACAGGTTGTTCAGTTTCCATGTAGTTGAGTGGTTTTGAGTGAGTTTCTTAATCCTGAGTTCTAGTTTGATTACACTGTGGTCTGAGAGACAGTTTGTTATAATTTCTGTTCTTTTACATTTGCTGAGGAGTGCTTTACTTCCAACTACGTGGTCAATTTTGGAGTAGGTGTGGTGTGGTGCTGAAAATAATGTATATTCTGTTGGTTTGGGGTGGAGAGTTCTGTAGATGTCTATTAGGTCCGCTTGGTGCAGAGCTGAGTTCAATTCCTGGGTATCCTTGTTAACTTTCCGTCTCGTTGATCTGTCTAATGTTGACATTGGGGTGTTAAAGTCTCCCATTATTATTGTGTGGGAGTCTAAGTCTCTTTGTAGGTCACTAAGGACTTGCTTTATGAATCTGGGTGCTCCTGTACTGGGTGCATATATATTTAGGGTAGTTAGCTCTTCTTGTTGAATTGATCCCTTTACCATTATGTAATGGCCTTCTTTGTCTCTTTTGATCTTTGTTGGCTTAAAGTCTGTTTTATCAGAGACTAGGATTGCAACCCCTGCCTTTTTTTGTTTTCCATTTGCTTGGTAGATCTTCCTCCATCCCTTTATTTTGAGCCTCTGTGTGTCTCTGCACTTGAGATGGGTTTCCTGAATACAGCACACTGATGGGTCTTGACTGTTTATCCAATTTGCCAGTCTGTGTCTTTTAGTTGGAGCATTTAGCCCATTTACATTTAAAGTTAATATTGTTATGTGTGAATTTGATCCTGTCATTATGATGTTAGCGGGTTATTTTTCTCCTCAGTTGATGCAGTTTCTTCCTAGCCTTGATGGTCTTTACAATTTGGCATGTTTTTGCAGTGGCTGGTACCAGTTGTTCCTTTCCATGTTTAGTGCTTCCTTCAGGAGCTCTTTTAGGGCAGGCCTGGTGGTGACAAAATCTCTCAGCATTTGCTTGTCTGTAAAGTATTTTAGTTCTTCTTCACTTATGAAGCTTAGTTTGGCTGGATATGAAGTTCTGGTTTGAAAATTCTTTTCTTTAAGAATGTTGAATATTGGTCCCCACTCTCTTCTGGCTTGTAGAGTTTCAGCTGAGAGATCAGCTGTTAGTCTGATGGGCTTCCCTTTGTGGGAAAAGAGGAAGTCAAATTGTCCCTGTTTGCAGATGACATGATTGTATATCTAGAAAACCCCGTCATCTCAGCCCAAAATCTCCTCAAGCTGATAAGCAACTTCAGCAAAGTCTCAGGATACAAAACCAATGTGCAAAAATCACAAGCATTCTTATACACCAATAACAAACAGAGAGCCAAATCATGAGAGGACTCCCATTCACATTTGCTTCAAAGAGAATAAAATATGTAGGAATCCAACTTACAAGGGATGTGAAGGACCTCTTCAAGGAGAACTACAAACCACTGCTCAATGAAATAAAAGAGGATACAAACAAATGGAAGAACATTCCATGCTCATGGGTAGGAAGAATCAATATTGTGAAAATGGCCATACTGCCCAAGGTAATTTATAGATTCAATGCCATCCCCATCAAGCTGCCAATGACTTTCTTCACAGAATTGGAAAAAACTACTTTCAAGTTCATATGGAACCAAAAAAGAGTCCACATCGCCAAGTCAATCCTAAGCCAAAAGAACAAAGCTGGAGGCATCACGCTACCTGACTTCAAACTATACTACAAGGCTACAGTAATGAAAACAGCATGGTACTGGTACCAAAACACAGATATAGACCAATGGAACAGAACGGAGTCCTCAGAAATAATGCCACTTATCTACAACTATCTGATCTTTGACAAACCTGACAAAAACAAGCAATGGGGAAGGGATTCCCTATTTAATAAATGGTGCTGGGAAAACTGCCTAGCCATATGTAGAAAGCTGAAACTGGATCCCTCCCTTACACCTTATACAAAAATTAACTCAAGATGGATTAAAGACTTAAATGTTAGACCTAAAACCATAAAAACCCTAGAAGAAAACCTAGGCAATACCATTCAGGACATAGGCATGGGCAAGGACTTCATGTCTAAAACACCAAAAGCAATGGCAACAAAAGCCAAAATTGACAAATGGAATCTAATTAAACTGAAGAGCTTCTGCACAGCAAAAGAAACTACCATCAGAGTGAATGGGCAACCTACAGAATGGGAGAAAATTTTTGCAACCTACTCATCTGACAAAGGGCTAATATCCAGAATCTACAAAGAATTTAAACAAATTGACAAGAAAAAATCAAACAACCCCATCAAAAAGTGGGCGAAGGATATCAACAGACACTTCTCAAAAGAAGACATTTATGCAGCCAAAAAAACACATGAAAAAATGCTCACCATCACTGGCCATCAGAGAAATGCAAATCAAAACCACAATGAGATACCATCTCACACCAGTTAGAATGGCAATCATTAAAAAGTCAGGAAACAACAGGTGCTGGAGAGGATGTGGAGAAATAGGAACACTTTTACACTGTTGGTGGGACTGTAAACTAGTTCAACCATTGAGGAAGTCAGTGTGGTGATTCCTCAGGGATCTAGAACTAGAAATACCATTTGACCCAGCCATCCCATTACTGGGTATATACCCAAAGGATTATAAATCATGCTGCTATAAAGACACATGCACATGTATGTTTATAGCAGCACTATTCACAATAGGAAAGACTTGGAACCAACCTAAATGTCCAACAATGATAGACTGGATTAAGAAAATGTGGCACATATACACCATGGAATACTATGCAGCCATGAAAAAGGATGCGTTCATGTCCTTTGTAGGGACATGAATGAAACTGGAAACCATCATTCTCAGCAAACTATCAGAAGGACAAAAAACCAAACACTGCATGTTCTCACTCATAGGTGGGAATTGAACAATGAGAACACATGGACACAGGAAGGGGAACATCACACACCAGGGACTGTTGTGGGTGGGGGGAGGGGGGGAGGGATAGCATTAGGAGATATAGCTAATGCTGTGACGAGTTAATGGGTGCAGCACACCAACATGTCACATGTATACATATGTAACAAACCTGCACGTTGTGCACATGTACCCTAAAACTTAAAGTATAATAATAATAAAATAAAATAAAATAAAGGATAAAAGCCTACTTAGAAAACAAAACAAAAAAAAAGAATATACATTAATTTTGAATAAAATGCTGAAAGCGATATGCAATTATACATCATTCTGCTTTCTCTTAGTGGTGGTGTATGGTCTTTTGAGATTCTGGGACCTGGCCACATTCTCTCAGAAAAATAGGCTCCTTTCAGTTGGAAACACTGAGATTTAAATACACCTACCATCACCAGGAGCTATTCTTGCCTTACATACCAAATGTCTCTTTGGAGATACATGCCCAGTTATAGTATTTTATGGTCCATTTATGTCCACTGGAGGTATAGTTTCAATCATGAATAGATGTTGTTCATATCGGTCAAGGACAGGACAAGTATAAATATTAAAATTTTCTTTTATTTCCCAAGTTCTTGATCTGTTGTGGGAAACTGACATAAGCCTAAACTTATGTAACGTGTGTAACAAATATCTTTGATATCACAGAAACCCAAAGACCTAGGGTTAAAATTCAAGGAATAAAATCTCCTTATTATAATTATTGAGATGCACCACTTGGGAAGGATACCCAAGGTACTTGTGCCAGAGGTAGCACAGGAAAGATTGGACCAGGCATTATGGCTGATTGGGAAAAATATTAAAACACCGTCAAGGCACAGTAATCAGGCTTTAAGTATGGTAGATTAGGTTTTGAGGAGACTGAAGATATAAACTGCCACAAATGTTCTTTTTTCTCTATTTGCTTCCCCTCAGCGCCACACTTTTAGTTGGTTGTAAACAGCTAGAGGATCAGCTTCATCAACTTTCAATCTAATGTGATAATACATTCATAGAAACGTTATTTAAGTAAATACAGTGTGATGAGTAAGATCAAGCTTGGACACAATATGACCTGGATTCAAGTCTGATTCTGTTGCTTAATACCTTGGTGATTTGGAGCATTGACTATGCTTCTCTTAGCCTTATGTTATATTCTGAATGTAGGGGTGGCTCCAAAATTTAAATACTGAAACCTAACCTCCAAGATGATGATACTAAGGTGGAAATGTGGGGAGGTGACTAGGTAATGAGGGTGGAGGTCTCAAGAATGGAATTAATGCCCTTATAGAAGAGACCCTAGTGAGATAACTGGTCTCTTCCACCCTGTGAAGACACAGCTAGAAGATGCCATCTATGAAGCAGAGACCTCTGTCCAGATATCAAATCTGCTACTTCCTTAATCCTGGACTTCCCAGTCTCCAGAATTGCGAAAAATCAATTTATTTCTCTTTTTATTTATTCTTAGGAATTTAAGGGGTAAAGTGAGTGCAATTTTGTTTCAGGCATATATCGCATAGTGGTGAAGTCTTGACTTTTAGTTTATCCATCACCCAAACCATGTACTTTGTACCCATTAACTGGTTTCTCACCACCACCTCCTTTCTCCTTCTCTATCCTAGCTTGAAAGTCTATTATTCCATATTTTATGTCCACATTATTTAGCTCCAATGTATAAGTGAGAACATGTGGTGTTTGACTTTCATTTTCTTTATTGTTTCAGTTAAGATAATGGCCTCCAGTTCTGCATTGTTGCTGCAAAAGACATGACTTCATTTTTTGTTCAGAGAGCTGGACAGCATTCCATTGTATATATATACACCATACTTTATTAATTCAATAATTTGTTCATAGATATTTAGGTTAATTCCATATCTGTGCTATTGTGAACAGTGCTGTGATAAACATAGGAATGCAAGTGTTTTTTATATAATGATTTCTTTTCTTTTGAATAGATATCAAGTAGTGAAGTTGCTGTATTGAATGGTAGCTCTATTTTTAGTTATTTGAGAAATCTCTATATTAATTTCTATGGACAGTGTACAATTTATATTACCACCATCAGTGTATAAGAGTTCCCTTTTTTCACATCCTCACCAATATGTGTTATTTTCTGACATTTTAGTAATAGTCATTTAGGCTGGTGCAAGATGATGTTTCATTGTCGTTTTAATTTGCATTTCTCTTGTGATTAGTGATATTGAACATGTTTTTATATGCTTGCTGGCCATCTGTATGTCTTCTTTCAAAAAATATCTATTCATTTCATTTGCTCACTTTATATTGTGTTCATTTGCATTTTTGTTGAGTTGCTTGAATTTCTTGTAAATTCTAGATACTATTCCCCTGTTGGATGAATAGTTTGCAAATATTTTCTTACATTTTGCAAGTTGTCTTTTCACTCTGTTATTTCTTTTGGTTTTGTTTATCAACTACTCAGCATAAAATATTTTGTTATCACAGCAGGAACAGACTAAGACATGTTAGTAACTTCATTTACGACAGATAATAATGCCTATTTAAAAATCCAGCACAGTGTTAGCTATGTGATACATTTTGATAAATAACTGCTAGTATGTCATATTGATGCATTCTAACATTTTAATGATTAAAACACCTTTGGTTTTAGTATCACTGAATAAGAAAAGCACTGCCAATTCAAATTGTAAGATATAGCCTAATGTTATAGATATTCTGGGATCAATAAAATATATTACTATTTACTTAATACAGTAATTTATTTTTAGTACTGAGTCACTTGTGAATATTTTAGTAGATTTTGTAGAAATATTTCAACATAATTTTGTTAAAATTTTCATTTGCCCTTTAAAATTTGTTTTATTTAACACAAGTAATAGGCATAACAATAAACTTTTTTTATTTTTTATTTTTATTTATTTATTTATTTATTTATTTATTTATTTTTGAGAAGGAGTCTCACTCTGTCGCCCAGGCTGGAGTGCAGTGGCCTGATCTTGGCTCACTGCAACCTCCACCTCCCGGGTTCACGACATTCTCCTGCCTCAGCCTCCTGAGTAGCTGGGACTACAGGTGCCGGCCACCATGCCTGGCTAATTTTTTGTACTTTAGTAGAGACAGGGTTTCACCATGTTAGCCAGGATGGTCTCGATTTCCTGACCTCATGATCCACCCGCCTCAGCCTCCCAAAGTTCTGAGATTACAGGCGTGAGCCACCGTGACCAGCCAACAATAAACTTTTAAGGGAGCTTTACTAGTCATTTTACCAAGATTGAGAGATTAGCAAGTTGAAACTTATCCTAAGCCAATTTTTATATAAAATATTGTCCAACACTTTCTGAAATTTACACATTTACTTTGAAAAAGCAATAACAAATATGCCTTAGTCAGAACTTCTCCTAAGTTGTTAATGAGCATTCAAGGTGTACATTAATATGTAATTTATTAATTTGAAAGTGTTTTTGTTTTGTAAGAAGTGAGTAAAATATATTACATATTTGTTTGATATTTAAGGTGGGTACAAAATGAATCAATTGTATTTAAGGGGATTATGTCAAAAGCTACAAAATATTCGTACTAGCATACTTTTTAACTTCACAAATGAGTTAAAATCACATAATTTAATATTAGAAAAAAGCTAAATATTTTATTAATAAATCCCATTAAATATTTGTTTTTAATAGCTGAAAATTTTTTTTAATTTTCAATATATTTAGAAAGCTCTATTCCACAGCTTGTCAAAAAAAATTATATGCATGTCCCTTCTTGTCTTTACAAATCAAGTCAAATGCCTAGTTATTTGAGGAGTCTCCATTCTGATTTCTATGGAGATTGTACAATTTACATTCCCAACATCAGTGTATAGTAGTTCATTTTTTTCTGCATCCTCAAAGTAGCATTTCCTAAGGCATCTCAAAGTAACATAGCCAAACCACAATTCTTCTGATTCAAACCTGTTTCTATCAGTCTCTTAAACTCAGTTATTATCTTTGAGATCAAATATTTTTTTCTTAAAACATATACTCAATCATTCAGGAGATTCTTCCAAATAAATTTCAAATCTGTCACCATCATCTTCTCTACCACTGCATTCTTATACTTTCAGGGTGACTCACTTCCTCAAGCTCTCCAGCATTTATTTAGCTATCATCCTCTTATTGAGACATCACCTGACCACATATATTACTTGTAGTGCTCTCTCCAACACAATCCTATCTTCCTTACTTTATTTTTTCTCACTGCACTTACTGGATAACCTACTACATGACTTATTTAGTTAGTTTTGCTTGTCTGCCTCTACTGAGAAGAGATAATTTTGTTATTATTGTTGTTCTCTGATATATAACCAGATAATACCTAGAGCCTAGTAAGTACGCAATAAGTATTGATTAAATGCATATATACTTCATTGCATTAGAGTTTGAAACATTCCCTTCAACTGTCTTTTCAAATAAAACTAAACTGGGTAATCAGATGCCACATTGAGACCACCTTTAGCCAAATTTACCAAATGCATGACATGTAAGATCCCACTCGTCTTTCCATGCAGTTACCAATGCCTATGTTTATGATGGTATTGGGGCAGTGCACTCTCAAGTCTACTTTCCAGTGGTTCTCTCATAATAATGCTATTCTCATTGTAACTTTTTAAATGTACTTTTGAAAGTGATTTTAATTTTCTTTGAATGTGTATATAATTGATAATAATAAAGGCATAACTATGAGAATGCTTTTATGCCAACTTGTTTCTAGGTTTTAAACATAACAAATGTTTCTTGATATTTGTGATTTGATAATTTAAAAAGTTTACCAAAAGTCTGAAAGAAAAAAAATCTATTATTAATCCACAACTTTTTAATAATTGCTTCAAAATAGTGCATATGATAGATAGGATAAGGCATGCACTAGTTGTAGCCCTGCTTCACTCATTTGGAGATAAATAATGGCTTTTGCATAGCACTTCCAACTCATCTAATTCACTCTGATTTGATACGTCCATTGGGAAGTATAGATTATTCTGAATTGATTGCTTTGGGGAGTCTCAGCAGATATTTCATATTCAACGGATTAACATAAGTATCAGGTTGTGTTGTTCAATCTCGTTTTCAGTGCCAGCTATTATTTGGACTCAACATTGCCCCATTTATAGGCATAATACAAAGCATGATAATCTGTGCAAATTTGTGAAAACATAGGTTTTTCACTAAACTTATTAAAAATTTGATTTTGGAGATCTGGATATACTTACCAATTATTTCTAAATACAACTTTTTAGGTAGTTGCAATGTAAGAAATAAATATAAACTTAGTAGAAAATAATTTTATATTGTCTGATTTGTATCTGTATGATTCTCTTGCTCTATCTCATGTTCCTCACTACAGAAAGGTTTGAAAAGTTAAAACCAGTCCACCTTCGGATGGATCAAGCTTAATGGCTATCTCAGTTCATGGCCATAATTGTACTATTATATGGAGTCTCCTATAACAAAATTATTAGGCAACCCACAAAAAAGCTATTGTTATTTATATTCTTTTGTTTAATGTATATTTATATATTACATGTCATGTGTCAGGCTTTGTCTTAGATAATAGATTGATGAACAAGAAAATCAGAATTCCTAATTTTATGGAGCTTATTTTATTTTATTTTATTTTGAGATGGAGTTTCATTCTTGTCACCTAGGCTGGACTGCAGTGGCGTGATCTTGGCTCACTGCAACTTTTGCCTCCTGGGTTCAAGCAATTCTCCTGCTTCAGCCTCCCAAGTAGCTGGGATTACAGGCGTGCACCACTACCTGTGGCTAATTTCTGTATTTTTAGTAGAGATGGGGTTTCACCATGTTGGCCAGGCTGGTCTCCAACTCCTGACCTCAAGTGATCCGCCCACCTCAGCCTCCCAAAGTGCTGGGATTATAGGCGTGAGCCACCGAGCCCAGCTGGAACTTATTTTCTAAAGGGGGATGAAAATAATACTTCAGCAAACACATAAATAAACCACAAAATAGCAAACTGAGACATGCTCTTTAGCAGGTTACTAGGACTAACAAAAAGTAGTGGTGGTCTTGCTGATGAGCCTGCATTTGTGTGCATGTGTGTGTATAGTGTGAAATGCGTGTGTGTAGTGGGAGTGTGTATGTGTTGAAAGTGGTGGTAGAATGTTGGTGGTGAGACTGGTTCATTCTTACAGTGGTTGAAAAAGAGCACTATGAAAAAGTGAAAGTTAACTGGGACCATGTTTCATAAGACACAGAAAATTTATGGATTTTATTCTAAAAACAGAAGAACTTGATGTTGTTGTTATTTTTAGCAGAGATGTAGACTACATTGATTTATATTTTTACATGCAATTTACCTACTACTTAAAGAATGAATTTTTGTCATCCAAGAGTAGAAACAGAGAGAGTCAGTAAAAGTTATTTTCACCAGTAGATTTTAAAATGCAAATATTGGCTGGGAAGGATGGCTCTCTCTTGTAATCCCAACACTTTGATAGTGTGAAGTGGGAGGATCACTTGAGCCCTGGAGGTCAAGGCTGCAGTGAGTTGTGATCATGCCACTGCACTTTAGCCTGGGTGAAAGAGTAACACTCTGTCTCAATAAAATGCAAATATTGAGAAATAGGCGTACGTTACTAACAACACAATATGGAGATATAACAGGAACAATAGAGACTAACTACTGAAATGCTAGACCCACTGAGACAAGTACTAGCATGTGCTAACAGAACCAGAAACTATTATTAATGCTTTGCATTATTTTATCTAATTGTCGTCACAACATTATGCAGTAGACATTGTTTCCTCATTTCACAGATACGAATACAATGGCACAGAGAATTTATTGCGAAGTTATACATCTAGCAAATGACGTAGCATAGAAATGGATACAGACAATTTTATTCCATAGCCTACACCATTGAATATTATAAGTCATCTCTGATTGTACATAATGCTCTGAAGCAATCACCAAATACAAAGTGTTTCTATCCAAGTTTATTTCTTAGTGAATCCAATAGAATCTTGGACTCACTGTGTGATTGTCTTCCAAGTTCCTAAGTATTTGCAGTGTACCATTAATTTTAAAATACTAAATTGACAACTACTTAAGAACAAGGTATTCCTATATTTAATAAAGAAAGAAAGCAAAATTATGAATCCAAGCTAGAATTTAACTTTTTACTTTTATACTACTCTACTTTTCAGTATCACATGCAATTTTTCATTCAAAATCCTTCTGAACTTCTGGAACTAATAAGTGATTATAGCAAGATTGCAAGATAAAGGCTAATGTACAAAAGTCAATCACTTTCCTTTACATCAGCAATGCACAAGTGAAATGTGAAATTAAAAACACATTATTATTTACATTAGTAGCCCAAAAATGAAATGCTGAGATATAAATCTCACAAAATAAGTACAAAATCCATGTAAGGAAATCTCTGAAACTCTGAAAGATATCAAAGAAGACCTAACTAAATAATGAAATGTCCCAGGTTCTGGATAGACAGATTCAATTTTGTCAGAATATTAGGTCTTCCCAATATGATCTATAGATTGAACCCAATTGCAATCAAATTCTCAATAAGTTTTTGTAGATATTGACAAACTGATTCAAAAGTTCATGACAAACTGATTCAAAAGGAGAGTCAAAATATCTAGAATAGCCAACTCAATATTGAACTAGAATAGCAAAGTTGGGGACAGACACTGCCTGACTTAAAGACTACTATAAAGTCACATTAACCAACGCTTTGTGGAACTGGAAAATATGGATCAATGGAACACAATAGAAAGCCCAGAAATAGATCCACATAAACATGTCAATTGATCTTTGACAAAGGAGCAAAAATAATACAATTGAGCAGATAGTCTTTCCAACAAATGGTGCCGGGACAACTGGATATCACATACGCAAACACACATGCACACACACACACACACATGCATACACACACAAAGAATTTCAATTCATACTGTATACTCAGGGTTCTTCAGAGAAACAGAACCAATGGGATAAAAATGGGTAGATATTTATGGACAGGAATTGACTTATTATGGAAGGCTGAAAGTCCCAGCCTACAGTCACAAGAACAATTAGCACAGGTTTTTGAGGGTGAATATGGATGTCCCATGTCACATATAGTACACATTTGCCGCCTTCTGCTTTTTTGTTCCATTTAGGAACTCAACAGATTCAATGATTCCCACCTGCATTGGTGGATGCAGTCTACCAATTCAAATGCTAATCTATTCCAGAAACACCCTCACAGACACATCCAGAAATAATGCTTTGCCAGCTACTTGGGCATCATATAACCCAGTCAAATTGACACATAAAATTAAACATTGGATAGACCTTACACAATTCAAAAAATTAATTGTAATTGATCATAGACCTAAATGTAAAGGACAAAACCATAAAACTCCTAAGAGATAATATAGGAGAAAACCTACATAACCTTGGTATGGTGACGTGTTTTTAGATATAACGCAAGAGACATGATTTATTTTAAAAAGTTGATGTTTGACTATATTAAAATGAAAAACTTTTTATCCGTGCAACATAATGACGAAAGTATGAGAATATAAGCCAGAGACAGAATATATTTGCACAAGGCACATCTGATAAAGGACTGTTAACCCAAATATGAAAAGAACCCTTAAAATTTAACAATAATAAATTGAACAAGCTAATTTAAAAATGGGCAAAAGACCTGAACAGACACTCCACTAAAGAAGATATATTTCATTGAGCAGTGGTTTGTAGTTCTCCTTGAAGGGGTCCTTCACATCCCTCGTAAGTTGGATTCCTACGTATTTTATTCTCTTTGAAGCAATTGTGAATGGGAGTTCACTCATGATTTGGTTCCCTGTTTGTCTATTATTGGTGTATATGAATGCTTGTGATTTTTGCACATTGATTTTGTATCCAGAGACTTTGCTGAAGTTGCTTATCAGCTTAAGGAGATTTTGGGCTGAGACGATGGGGTTTTCTAGATATACAATCATGTCATCTGCAAACAGGGACAATTTGACTTCCTCTTTTCCTAATTGAACACCCTTTATTTCCTGCTGCTGCCTGATTGCCCTGGCCAGAACTTCCAACACTATGTTGAATAGGAGTGGTGAGAGAGGGCATCCCTGTCTTGTGCCAGTTTTCAAAGGGAATGCTTCCAGTTTTTGCCATTCGGTATGATATTGGCTGTGGGTTTGCCATAAATAGCTCTTATTATTTTGAGATACGTCCCATCAATACCTAATTTATTGAGAGTTTTTAGCATGAAGCGTTGTTGAATTTTGTCGAAAGCCTTTTCTGCATCTATTGAGATAATCATGTGGTTTTTGTCTTTGTTTCTGTTTATATGCTGGATTATGTCTATTGATTTGAGTATGCTGAACCAGCCTTGCATCCCAGGGATAAAGCCCACTTGATCATGGTGGATAAGCTTTTTGATGTGCTGCTGGATTCGGTTTTCCAGTATTGTATTGAGGATTTTTGCATCGATGTTCATCAGGGATATTGGTCTAAAATTCTCTTTGTTTGTTGTGTCTCTGCCAGGCTTTGGTATCAGGATGATGCTGGCCTCATAAAACAAATGGAAGAATAACATTCCATGCTCATGGGTAGGAAGAATCAATATCGCAAAAATGGCCATACTGCCCAAGGTAATTTATAGATTGAATGCCATCCCCATCAAGCTACCAATGACTTTCTTCACAGAATTGGAAAAAACTACTTTCAAGTTCATATGGAACCAAAAAAGAGCCTGCATTGCCAAGTCAATCCTAAGCCAAAAGAACAAAGCTGGAGGCATCACGCTACCTGACTTCAAACTATACTACAAGGCTACAGTAACCAAAACAGCATGGTACTGGTACCAAAACAGAGATATAGATCAATGGAACAGAACAGAGCCCTCAGAAATAATGCCACATATCTACAACTATCTGATCTTTGACAAGCCCGACAAAAACAAGAAACGGGGAAAGGATTCCCTATTTAATAAATGGTGCTGGGAAAACTGGCTAGCCATATGTAGAAAGCTGAAACTGGATCCCTTCCTTACGCCTTACACAAAAATTAATTCAAGATGGATTAAAGACTTAAATGTTAGACCTAAAACCATAAAAACCCTAGAAGAAAACCTAGGCAATACCATTCAGGACATAGGCATGGGCAAGGACTTCATGTCTAAAACACCAAAAGCAATGGCAACAAAAGCCAAAATTGACAAATGGGATCTAATTAAACTGAAGAGCTTCTGCACAGCAAAAGAAACTACCATCAGAGTGAACGGGCAACCTACAGAATGGGAGAAAATTTTTGCAATCTACTCATTTGACAAAGGGCTAATATACAGAATCTACAATAAACTCAAACAAATTTACAGGAAAAAACAAACAACCCTATCAAAAAGTGGGCAAAGGATATGAACAGACACTTCTAAAAAGAAGACATTTATGCAGCCAAAAGACACATGAAAAAATGCTCATCATCACTGGCCATCAGAGAAATGCAAATCAAAACCACAATGGGATACCATCTCACACCAGTTAGAATGACAATCATTAAAAAAGTCAGGAAACAACAGGTGTTGGAGAGGATGTGGAGAAATAGGAACACTTTTTACACTGTTGGTGGGACTGTAAACTAGTTCAACCACTGTGGAAGTCAGTGTGATGATTCCTCAGGGATCTAGAACTAGAAATACCATTTGACCCAGCCATCCCATTACTGGGTATATAACAAAGGATAATAAATCATGCTGCTATAAAGACACATGCACATGTATGTTTATAGCAGCACTATTCACAATAGGAAAGACTTGGAACCAACCTAAATGTCCAACAATGATAGACTGGATTAAGAAAATGTGGCACATATACACCATGGAAGACTATGCAGCCATAAAAAAGGATGAGTTCATGTCCTTTGTAGGGACATGGATGAAACTGGAAACCATCATTCTCAGCAAACTATCACAAGGACAAAAAACAAAACACCGCATGTTCTCACTCATAGGTGGGAACTGAACAATGAGAACACAGGGACACAGGAAGGGGAACATCACACACTGGGGCCTGTTGTGGGGTGGGGGGAGGGGGAGGGATAGCATTTGGAGATATACCTAATGTAAATGATGAGTTAATGGGTGCAGCACACCAACATGGCACATGTATACATATGTAACTAACCTGCACGTTGTGCACATGTACCCTAAAACTTAAAGTATAATAAAAAAAATTTTTTTTTCAGTAGTCTCCCTTACATGTGCTAATGGTAGCTTTTAGCAATTTTTAATGTTGGTGGAAATCCTGGTAAGCTATTTTAGTTATGTACTAGGTGCAGTTAAGGCCCAACTCTCTCCAACATAGCTAGGGGTGTGGCGAAATCCACAGCTCCCCAGGCCTTACCAAACTGTAAAGCAGGCAAGTCAAAAAACTTTCAGAAGCCAAAGAAGCAGTTTATGACCTTAAAGCATAATTTAGCAGACATAATATCTGATCCACCCAATTTAGACCAAATGTCTTTATCAATAATCTCTAAAGCTGTTTTTATTTCCCAAAGATTACTAAAGTTACATAAACTAAAAGACATTACAGTTTTTAGTTTTCTTTGAAAGTATTTGATTTAAATGCTTATTTTTTAAGCCAATTAATTAGACCTCTTTTATATAAACATCACACACACAACACACATATAACTACACAGACAGACAGAAGAAGCTCCAGTAGTTGTAACATTTTTCGTTTGCCAGTTTTTATGTTTTTTAAGTGGAATTCTGGCTCTAGGGGTAGAGTCCTTGGAGGAACATGTCCAGGAAAGCATACAGTTTCTAGGGAATAATATAATAAGCAGGCACAGCTGAAAGGCAAAACAGATCAGCAATTAATGGTCCCATCCCTATTTTTATGCCATATTCTGGGTCCCAAAAAGATGGAATCAGCCCATCTCCCATGGGAGTCTTATCTCTCAGTGGGGGTGGGGAAAACTCCATATTCCTAGGCAGCCAAGAGCGTGCTTCTCTGATCCAAAAGCAAAGAGCCGAATAGTCACATAATTGCCATTAAACATCCCTAAAAATATAATTCATACCTAGTTATTACATGCCAAAACTCTCTTATAATATGAAGTAATTTCTGACACTCCCAAAAGTCAAAAATGTCACATAATGCAATGCAAAACAAAACAAAGTCTTACATTTTGAGAAGAATCTATCCACTTCCAGTTTCAAGGGTTTCATGAGGAAAACAGGTTTTTCCCAAAACTAGGTCTATGGCCCCTCCTCTCTTTTTACCAAGCAGCCCCAGGCTGTTAGAGCTTGAATATCCACTTTTAATTAAACTGACTTTTAACTGTAGTGCCAAAGAGGTTGCATGGGGTAACCAAGTTAACATTTTTCATTCTAGCCAGAGCAAAATATGTGTGACAAAACATAGAGGTTAGCCACTCCGCTTAGTACCCAATATTAAACAGGCAAGGCTCAAACTTGCTCCTAGATGGGCCCCATTATCTCTAAATTGTTTTAGAATCTTCTTCATATTAATAGACATCCTTAGATGAGACTAATTTTGGAACCCTCAATTTTCTAATGCACTTCAGTGCATTGTTCATTCTGAACATTCCAGTGTAAGTTATCTTCAGTAAGATTTTGCCATTTATGTAAGACTTTGCTGCTTTCCTGGCCTAATACATAAGCTGGAAGGAACTTAGTTTTGCAGAAATTAAGAATCCCATTTTAACCTAAAATGTTGGCTTTATTCTCAAGTTACCTTGATTAACTTAGTCAATAATTTTTTTTCCTACCTGATCACACAAGAAAAATGAAACTAAGGAGTAGAACACAAAAATTCCTGTGAATTTTCAAAAGCCAACTTGTACAACCCCTACAACATTACCATTTACTACCAGTTTCTTTCTGATCCAGTCAAATTTAAGAGGCCTCTAACTAGATCCAAGCCAGTTAATTACTGGATCAAATCTGATTCTAGATCCAGTCCAGTTTCTGTTGTGACTTCCAAAACCAGTTTGGAACAGAAATTTGTTCAAAGAAACTCAGAGAGCTCAAAACACAAATCCATGGAGCTCTGAAATCCAAGAAAGAACTTACCATGATTCCCAGCCATTCTGAGAGATTAAAGAGCACAGGTGGGTCCTTGCAGGTAACTTGCTTGTTCACTCAGTGCTCCTGGGGGTCGTTAGGAGCTCAGCTTCAGAACACACTCCTGACACCATCTGTTAAAAGAAAACTTCAGCCATATTAAATTTAATAGAGTTTAATTGAGCAATGAATGATTTCTGAATCAGGCAGCCCCAAGAAGCACAGCAGATTCAGAGAGACTCCAGGGGCACCTCATAGTCAGAACAAATTTATAGACAAAAATGTAAAGTGACGTACATAAATCAGAAGTGAGGTACAGAAACAGCTGGGTTGGTTACAGGTTGGCATTTGCCTTATGTGAATACAGTTTGAACACTCAGCAGTGTATGAGTGGTTGAAGTATGGCTGCTGGGATTGGCCAAGACTCAGTTATTGTTACAGACACATACTCCTAAGTTAGATTTTCAATCTTGTCTACCTATTAAGTTAGGGTATGACTTATCCACAAGGACTCACATACAGAAGTGTGGAGTTCTTCTCCTACCATATTTAGTGCACTTTAACACTACAGTGCATTAGACCATTGTTCAGCCAAGTTATTTGCTACTCTATAACAAGGATTAACTTTCCTCCAGTTCCCAATACCATGTTCCTCATTTACATCTCAGCCCTCAGCAGAATTATCCTTAACATTCACATTTCAAAATTGCACCTCAAAACCTTTCTAGCTTCAGTCCAGATTCAAAGTAACCTCCATATGTTTAGATATTTGTTACAGCAGCAATCCATTTCTTGGTGCTAAAATCTGTATTAGTCTGTTCCAGTAGTCTTGATAAAATATCATAGACTGGGTGGCCTAAACAACAGGAATTTATTTCTTACAGTTTTGGAGGCTGGAAAGTCTTAAGATTGAGGTGCCAGCTGATTCTGTTTCAGGTAAGGGTTCTTTTACTGGCTTGTAGAAGGATACATTCTCACTGTGTCTTAGTAGCAAGAGAAATAAGAACAAGCTTTCTAGTCTCTCTTCTTATAAAAACACCATCTTATTCAACTTGGGCTGCTATGACAAAGTACTATAGACTAGGTGGCATATAAATAACCAGTGTTTATTTCTCACAGTTCTGGAGGCTGGACATTTAAGATCAAGGTGCCAATATAGTCAGGTTATGGTGATAGACTTTTAGTTGCAGACTGCCAACCTCTGGCTGTGTCCTCACATGGTTAAAAAGGAAGAGAGCTCGGTCAGATCTCTTTTATAAGGGTATTAATTATACTCATGACTTAATCTTTTCCCAAAGGCCTCACCTCCTCAGATCTTCTCATGCAGTGTTAACATTAAGATTTTTACACATAAATTTTGGGGAGACACAAATATGTAGTCCATAACATATACTAATGCTATTATGGATATCATAAGTTCCACTTTTGTGATCTTATTCAATCTTATTATCTATCTCAAAATAGAGTGACATTTAGGGTTATAAATTTTAGGAGACACAATTCAGTCTATAACACTGTTCTAAACTTTAAGTACTATACATTTTGTTTAAGTTTGAAAGAACCTGGGACTTAAGTTATGAAGGATGTGAAGTTTGAAAGCTGATTATAGAACATTAAGAAATTCTGATTTCAAGAGAGTATTTGATTAGGTATCCTGGTCAACCCATCTCTGAAAACATGTAAAACAGTTGCTTAAATGTTTTGAGACACTTATTTAAACGTTTATATTAATACTTTGAGGCCAGACATCAAGCGAAAATAAAACCCAGAGAAAGAAGCATAGACAGAGACTTGCATTTACCTGGAAGGCATTTGATAAAGTGAATAAATTCAAGTTTCTTTTTCATGGCCTCAGGGAAAACTGGTGCAGGTCCATCTACCTATGTTACAAGACTCCAGCTTTTCTCTTCCTCCTGCAAGAAGTTGGTATCCTATGGTCCAGAGCATTAATTTGAGTATAAATTATAAATAATCTTGCCCACTGCTGAGGAGATTTCCAGGAAAAAATACTGCTTGGAAAAAATTGCTAAATGGACAGGAAAGTCTCCCAAGAGATTTAGTAAACACAAGCAAGCCTCTAGGCAAGTTTTCAGCCCTAATACATGCTCCTTGCTTGTCATTACATTTTTAAATTATGAATATATTGCAATGTAATAAAGGAAATTATATTGTCTGCAAGCATCTGCCAGCAGCAATCACACATCTCCTGTGTAGGAACACAATTACAACTTAGGCCTCAATAAAACCTACACGTAATGTTCCAAGAGGTAGGAGCTCACAAATATAAAGCAATAAGGCAACATAAACAAGAACAAGAATAGACAATAAACAGACTAACCATTAGTGCTACAACAAGACATTGGAAGTCAAGAATGGAAATAATTATATTTAATGCATTTGGCAATACAAAACATTAGGCTGAATAAGCAAATAATAATCATAAGACTTCAAAAATAATCAAGTAGATTGTAAAATAAACAATAATTCTCCAAACACATTAAACCAGAAACCATTAGTTAGACTTAGCAACAGAAGTGACTCAACTCAAGTGAGAAATTATGATTTGGAAAAGCAAAACAAAACTAAACTAAAAAGATCAATATTACATTGGTTAGTAACAAGTCATAGGTCTTGCGCACAATCAAGAGAAGAATCTTATGTAAGGAAGTAGGGGTAATTGGGGCCCATCTTAGCGTGTATTTGCTGCAGCCCACCATCAAGCCCTACCACCACACCCACACACACTCCATCATACAGTGGTAGAATAGATGAAGGATGGCAGCTATTAAAATTATTATTTAAATAAGGGGAAATTTGGAGATAAAAAAGTAGCCACTGGTCTAGAGCAGTTGTTAGCTTGCAGAATACTGGAAATTCCTTGATTAGGTTTTAAAGCCTAGCAGTAGTTCTCGTTACCTTTCAGCTCTGCTTCTTTACCCTGGTTTCTGCCCTCCAGGACATCCTTCCTATTCGATATGGTTTGGTTGTGTCCTCACCCAAATCTCATATTGAATTGTAGCTCCCATAATTCCCCATGTTGTGGGAGAGACCCAGCTGGAGGTAACTGAATCATGAGGGTGTTTTTTTCCCCCATGCTGTTCTTCTGATAGCGAATAAGTCTCATGAGATCTGATGGTTTTATAAAGGGAAGTTCCCCTGCACACACTCTTAGCCTGCCATCATATAAGATGTAATTTGCTTCTCCTTCACTTTCCACCATGATTGTGAGGCCCCCCCAATATCTGTAACTGTGAATCAGTTAAACTTCTTCCCTTTATAAATTACCCAGTTTTGGGTTATGTCTTTACTAGCAGTGTGAGAACAAACTAATACAATAAATTGGTGCCAGTAGAATGGGGTGCTGCTCTAAAGATACCCAAAAATGTGGAAGTGACTTTGGGACTGGGTAACAGGCAGAGGTTGGAACATTTTGGATGTCTCAGAGGAAGATAAGAAAATGTGAGAAAGCTTGGAACTTCCTAGAGACCTGTTGAATGGCTTTGACCAAAATGTCGATAGTGATATGAACAATAAAGTCCAGGTTGAAATGGTCTCAGATGGAAATGAGGAACCTGTTGGAAACTGGAATAAAGGTGACTCTTGCTAGGTTTTAACAAAGAGACGGGTGGCATTTAATCCCTGCCCTAGAGAACTATGGAACTTTGAACTTGAGAGAGAGTATTTGGAGTATTTGGTGGAAGAAATTTCTAAGTGGCAAAGCGTTCAAGAGGTGAGAGAATGAGTTTGGAAAATTTGCAACCTGGCAATGCAGTATAAAAGAAAAACTCATTTTTTGGGAAGAAAAAAATCAGGCAGCCTGCATAAATTTGCATAACTAAGGAGGAACCCAATGTTAATCACCAAGACAATGGGAAAAATGTCTCGAGGGCATGTCAGAGATCTTCATGGCAACCCCTCCCATTACAGGTCTGGAGGCCTAGGAGGGAAAAAGTTTCATGAGCTGGGCCCAAGGCCTCCTTGCTCTATGCAGCCACTGAACATGGTGTGGTGCCCTGCATCCCAGCTGTTTCAGCTCTAGCTGTGGCTAAAAGGGGTCAACATACAGTTCAGGCCATTGCTTCAGAGTGTGCAAGCCCCAACTGTTGGCAACTTGCACATGATGTTGGGCCTATGAGTGCACAGCAATCAAGAACTGAAGTTTGGGAACCTCTGCCTAGATTTCAGAGGATGTATGGAAATCCCTAGATGTTCAGGCAGAAGTTTGCTACAGACGGGAGGCCCTCATGGAGAACCTCTGCTAGGGTAGTGTGAAAGGGAGAGGTGGGGTTGGAGCGCCCACACAGGGTTCCCACTGGGGCCCTGCCTAGTGGAGCTGTGAGAAGAGGGCCACCATCCTCCAGAACCCAGAATGGTAGATCCACTGACAGCTTGCTCTGTGTTCCTGGAAAAGCCACAGATACTCAACAACAGCCTATGACATTGGCCAGGAGGGGAGGTGTTGTGCAGAACTTTTTTTACATTATCTAAAACGAGGTCCTTGTCCATTCCACAGCCACAAAAATTTAGGCTCACAGATGGTTTGAAGGGTGACGGAAGCAGGGTTTTATTGGATGAAAAGAAAGAAAATGGGGAAACAGGGACTCTTGCTAGGCCAGAGTGCCTGCTAGAGCACTTCCTGCCCAGCAGTTTGAATCCCAGCTTCCACACAGGATGAGGAGGGGCCAGGATCCTCCCTGCTGCATACTTCGTGAACTTCTAGAGGCTCCACCTCAGTGGGCAGGCTGGTTGGAGTTTCTCCAAGTATCCCCCTCCCATCTGGCTGTCTCATTCCCCATTCTAATGAAGTATATCTAACTGCCATTACATTAAGGATAAGGATGAAGACCAATTTTAACTGTTTCCTACTGGCATGGGGTGCTGTTTTGGGGGAAATGGCAGTTAGAGCTCTCTCAGCGACCTATCTAAGGGTTCCCAGCAGAAGAAGCCATCGTCAGAAACTCTGGTTGTATGACTGTTTGGAGTTTGATGGCCTGAAGGCAAGAACAGACAAATCAGATTATTAGAACACATGTATCAAAACGAAACAAAGGGAGGGGTAAGGACAGCTCAAAAATCCCAAGACCTTTTGCCAGTTTGCACAGGGAGAGGGAGGCCAAAACGTCGACTGGCAAAAAAACTTTACCCTATTGCCAATATGTTGGGCTTCTGAGTTCCCTTCCCCTGATCCTAAACTAAGCCAACCAGTTTAATGATTGAGAAAGTAACTCTAGTTTGGAGGATACATTTGAGGGGAGTGTCTAATAGTATGAAGACACAATTACCTATCAGTGAAGAGAGGACAGAAGAAGAGAGAAAACAAAAAAGGGTTTTTTTTTTTTTGGAGTCCCAGGGCTTCAGGATGCATTGGAAAGTGGTAGAGACTGAAAATGAATGGCTACCCATTTAGAAAGAGGGAAGCAGGCATCCGTGGTCTCCTCTTCCTAGCAGATACCCAAGGTACACGAGGTAGTGAAGACAGAGCATCCTCTTTCTTTCTTCCATCTTTGCATCCCCAAGTCCCGATGACCTTGGCAGATCCTGCCATGAGTGCCAAAGTGGTTTGTACCTATGAAGCAGGGAGGGCCTAGAGAATAGGAATTATCATGAGCTCTCACCTATGCCTCTATCTCCCTTATTGTCAGTAGCCTTGGAGTTCCCTAGAGCTCATTTATGCCATGGATATTAATGTGGCATTTATCCATGAAACAGGAAGCTTGGGGGTGGCTTAATTGGCAGGAATCAGCCACACTAACCTGTGCTGTGCCTTTTAACTTCCATTATTGTCTTCCTTTGGATCTCTCAGATCCAGTTTTCCTTCCTAGGGCTTTGACTCAAAGCTTTAAATTGAGTTTGGGATAAAAATGTGTCTCAGTGGGGTACCTGGACTCCTTATCATAAGCTGAATGCTAAGGGAAACTGTGGAACTGAGTCCTCCTCCAACAAGGGAGAGGAAAGGATGTCTTGTGACACATCCAGATAACTGGTAGCTACAGTTAAGCTTGCTAGGATTTGGGTGCATGGTGGATGGCTTAGTTAGTTCCTTTGGTTTTACTTTCCCAAAAAGGAAACCTCTGGTGATGGGCACCCTATTTATTCCATCACCTGGCAGGATTTGCCAGATAATTGCTCAGAACTAGAATATTGATCCAGACTTTTACATTACTCATCCCTCTTGTTCTTTCTGATCTGCAGCTGGAGTTTACTGGTTGTTTCACAGGAACAAGCAGAATTAGTCTAAAATGTAGGCAAAAACTTAAAAACATCTAATGAGTTTAGAATTTAATGACAAATGTATGATAAGTTTTGAAACATAACTTCTCTCTCTCTAGACTCATTTTTGTTAAAAAAACAAATCATCATAGGGCTGAGTGGTTTGCAAAATACTTTAGTCTTATACTTTGCCTGATTATTTTCATAAAGTGCAGCAAGAATAATTATTTCTATCTAGGCCTTTTGGATTGGCTTTGATGGAAGCGTATTCCACACTTTGTGTGCACGGTGGTTGCACCCAATCACAGACAGGACCTTTTGAAGGAATCCCAGATAAGACCTTTTAAAGCCCAGTCTAGCCAGGGGTTTGTATCCTGAAATACCTGTGAGTTGGGTGATCCTCTCCTCATAAGGTCCCAAGATAAACTTGGAACTCCTAGGCCTGTTAGAAAGTGACATTCTTTACTGACCACAGGTCAGGAACCCTATACAGGGACTGTGTAGACAGGGGTATGAGGCCAGTTTCCCCACTGGGCTTTAATTGGTTCTACAAGTTGAGACTGACTCCTTAAAGGGAAGCATATCCTACCAGTCAAAGACTTGGTAAAATAATCACTTTCTCCAGTCGTGTCCTGTTGCAAAAGAAAAATGGATTCTTATTGCACTGATACAAGCAACTATACTGCCATAAGTTAAGAATATCCACAGATAGTTTCTAAATTCTAGAGGAACCAGGCAGAGAGAAACAAACATGCTCCAAATTTTGATCACAGGATGTATACCTTACTTAATTATTAAAGGCTATAAATAGTTCAAAATAAATTTCCTTGACTCTGCAGAACAAACAAGGATCAGCAATATTCTAAGCAAAAGTCAAAAAGGTTGCTTCAGCTTTCTGAGTTCAGTCCCTTTAGTTAACTCTTGTTTTGCTTTATATTTGTGACTATTTCAGCTCTTCATGAGTCCTGTACATTTTTCTTTGTTCCAATGTTACAATCTCTAAAGTTAACAGAAACCTGATTGCCTCAAATACAATCAGAAATTGTATTTAAGAGCACCTATCAGAGTCCTACAGCTTATTATAAACCATCTTTTGAAAAGGATTAAACAAGACAACAATTATCTGTGAATAGCAAAATGTCCAGGGTAGTTACAGTTAAAAACACAATGATAAAGAAGTTTGGTTATCTTCATGGCTTACAGTAACTTAACATAAAAATCTTAATTATGAATGATAGCATATACTCAGACATTTGAATTTTATAAAATCTCATACCGTTTTGGAACATATATTAGCATTATTCACCAAAATATAACCTAAAGAAGACTGAGCATCATTTTGGCAATTCCGTATACCTAACCATGTCAAATAACCCTGCTTACTTCCTTTTTCTGGACATTCCAAGTCCCTCTGGACTATCTGAAAGTCAGGTGCCAGAGAAGACAATTTTGAAACTTAAGTTTGATTTTGGGAAGGCTACTAAATATGTTAAGTTTTAAAAAGACTTGATATTATAAAATAGAATTCCAGATTACCGTAAGTTATGTATTTTGCCAAAATGATGACTCAGAAATTCTAAAGAAGCAAAAGCCTTTTATAACCCTTCACAAATTTTGCCAAAGAGCAGATTAGCACCTTAGGAAAACCTTGTTATGCTTTTATTTCAATGCTCAATTTACAGAAAAAACACATAATACCTTATTTCTTTTAATTTAGTCAATATATTCACACAGAGAACCTCTTCTGTGAGATAAATTTCCACAATTCTTCCTCCACCTCTTTGAACCTTCAGTTTCCCTGTCTAACTCAAAACTATTCTTTAACCCTAGGCAAAATTTACATTTCTATGCCTCCTTATAACCTTTTACTAAAAAACACATTTTACTGTTCTTACACACCTTGCATATAAATCTATTCCCAGTAGTTTCGATTAACCCCTAGCAATTTTTAACTTTAAGGTAAAACTTGGTAAGTTGCTTTAACTGTGTGCTCACTGCGGCCAAGGTTTGCCTTCTTAGTAAAGGGCATGATTAATTCCATATTTCCCCAGGCCTTACCAGTTGTGAAGCTAGCAAGTCAAATAGTTCTCAAAACCCAAAAAGCAGTTAGTAACCTCAAAACACTTAGCAAACCTTGCATCTTACCTGCATAGGTTAGTTCACCTATTTACATTTTAATGACACCTGCATTTTACCAATAATCTTTAAGGTTGTTTTTATTTCTCAAAGATTAAAGTCACAAACTGAAAGTTACTACAGCTTTTAACTTCCCTTAAAAAAAAATACTTGATCCAAGCACTTGTTTTTCTTTAGGCCAAATTAATTAGAGTTATTTTTACAGACATTACACACAATACACACGCAGGCAGAAGAAAACCCAGTCCCCACAAGATCCTTTTTCACAATCAAAAGTTTACAGAGAGTACTAACAGTGATAATTAGGGGGGCCTGGCCTAGTAAAAACATCTTCTAAAAGAGGGGGAAAAAAACTTCCGGCCAGGCGCGGTGGCTCATGCCTGTAATCTCAGCACTTTGGAAGGCTGAGGCGGGTGGATCACGAGGTCAGGAGATCGAGACCATCCTGGCTAACACGGTGAAACCCCGTCTCTACTAAAAACATAAAAATTTCGCCGGCGTGGTGGCGGGCGCCTGTAGTCCCAGCTAGTTGGGAGGCTGAGGCAGGAGAATGGTGTGAACCTGGGAGGCGGAGGTTGCAGTGAGCCGAGATCTCGCCACTGCACTCCAGCCTGGGTGACAGAGCGAGACTCTGACTCAAAAAAAAAAAAAAAAAAAAAAAAAAACTTCCAAAGTTAACTGCTGATGGGGTGGAGAAGGGTAAAGAAAAGAAACAGTTTAAAAATGCCTGAAGAAGAATCTCTTATTCTTATGCAACTGGTTCCTCCAGCAGGGAGAAAAGTTTAAGCTTAATCCATTTATACCTAGCGTTCCATTATTGGAATGCTAAGGTTGTGGGAGTCATTTATATCCTGCTGCTCAAGGTCATCACCAAGGTCTGATTTTTCACACAAAAAAATTTGCAACTTCCAGCATAAATGGATTAATTACTGTCCGATAGAAGTTCAACCCGCTAACCGGGGAAGGGAAAGGCTCCAGCTGCTGGGAAAACACCAGTCAGCCATCCTGGCCACCTTGGGCCATGTGTCCAATTCCCAGCAGACAGGGGAGAGAAGCGAGGAGCTACTGCTCACTGGTCAGTCAAGAAAAAGAAAGGAAAAGGCCTTGAAAAGGCCCGAGAGCAACGGGGGTTGGGGCCATGGTTTCCTCACCCTCAGAAATCCGAGGATGGAAAGGCTTAGGAGCAACAGTGAAAGATTTTGAGTCCCCATTTCACTTGCCACTTCTTGAGCCCCTACGTTGCACACCAAAAATGTTACAAGACTTTCCTCAGTTCAGCTAAAGATGGGGTCCTTGTCCATCCCGCCATGAAAATTTAGGCTCGCAAACAGCTTGGAGGGTAAGTGAAGCAGGGTTTTGTTGGGTGAAAAGGAAGAAAAAGAGGAAACAGGGACTCTCCCTAGGCCAGAGTCCTGCTAGAGCGCCTCCCACCGGGCTGATTGAATCCAAGGTTCCACACAGAAGAGGAGGGGTCAGGCTCCTCTCTGCTACAAACATAGTGAACTTCCCGAGGCTCCACCTCAGTGGGCAGGCTGGTTGGAGTTTCTCCAGGGACCCCCTCCCACCTGTCTGTCTCACTGTACTCTGCAAAGCCACAGGGGTGGAGCCGCCCAAAACCATAGGAGCACAGCTCTTGCATGAGGAAGACTTGGATGATAGACATGGAGTCAAAGGAGATCACTTTGGAATTTTAAGTTTTAATGGTTGCCGTATGGGATTTCAAACTTTCATGGATCTGTAGCCCCTTTGCTTTGGCCAATTTCTCCTATTTGGAATGGGTATATTTACCCAATGCCTGTACTCCCATTATATCCAGGAAGTACTTAACTTGCTTTGTATTTTACAGACTCCTAGGTGGAAGAGACTTGCCTTGTCTCAGATGAGACTTTGGACTGTGGACTTTCAAGTTAATGCCAAAATGAGTTAAGACTTTGGGGGACTCTTGGGAAGTCATGATTGGTTTTGAAATTTGAAGACATGAGACTTGGGAGGGGCTGGGGTGGAATGATGTGGTTTGGCTGTGTTCCCACACAAATCACATCTTAAATTGCAGCTCCTGTAATTCCCACATATTGTGGGAGGGACACAGTGGGAGGTAATTGAACCATGGATGTGGTCTTTTCCTGTGCTGTTCTCATGATAGTGAATAAGTCTCATGAGTTTTATAGAGGGGAGTTCTGCACATGCTCTCTTTGCCTGCTGCCATATAAAACGTGACTGTGCTCTTCCTTCACCTTCCGCCATAATTGTGAGGCCTCTCCAGCCATGTGGAACTGTGAGTCAATTAAACCTCCTTTCTTTATGAATTACCCAGCCTTAGGTATGTCTTTATTAGCAGCATGAGAACTCACTAATACACTATTAGTGAGTTATAGTGATACATTAATGAAATGTATCACATGTGTGCAGCTAAATCATTTTTTTAACAGCCTGTTGACTGACAACAGAATGTTGGGCATCAAATGGCCTCCTATCATTGTGTACTTTCTCTGTCTTTTTCAGCCAAGTTGGTAGAATCTTTGCTGAAATTATTTTCTCAAACAATTTTTGGATCTCCTGTACAAGTGAAGAGGTTAAGAATCAAGACACACTTTATTTTTGTTTGACAACTAATTCCTCAGATTATCTCTCTTCTATTACTTTTATAAACAGCATGAAGAAACCAAGCAGCAACTTCAACACTTTGCCTAAACATCTCCTTGGGTATAAACTAAATTTATCTCTTATTTCTTCTACCTTCCACTTAACTATAAGCAGCACCTTTCCTAACTTTTCTGTCACCATATAAACAGAATTTCCTTTTCCCAGTTTTCAATAATACATTTCTCACTTCCTTTTGCATCCTTCAAATCTAGATTTCTAATAATACTAGCCTGTAAAAGGCAAATTAGACTTTCAATATCATATCATCAACATTCCTTCATCCTCAGTACGTTGCATAATTAGAAAGCCACTGCCACAAAATTATCACAAAACTCTGCTTTCAGGTATTACAAATATGTGTATCATATATTGTTACCACAACTATAATACCACAAACTTAGCAACAAAACACAATGTGCATTTATGATCACATAGTTTCTGTGAGCCAGAAGTCCAGATACGACTTAGCCTTGTCCTTTTCAAGGCTTCAGTGAAAGTGCCATCCAGGCCTGTGTACTTATCTGAAAATACAACTGGGGAAGAATATCCAGTTTCCTGAACTTCAGAGCTCATATGGATGGTTGACAGCATTCTGTTCCATGAAGGCTCTCATACTCAGGGCCTCTGTATCTGACTGCATATCAGCCAAAGGCTGCCTTAAGTCCTTTGCTATAGAGCAATGTACAGCAGCATCACAGTTTGTTTTTTCAAAGCCAGAGTCAGCTCCCAAGTTTGAGATTAAAGTAGTATGTAACATCAACATGGATGTGGCAACTTTTATCAAATTCTATTAGAAGCAAGTCATGGATTTTGCCCACATTTAATAGTTGTAGATTGCACAAGGAGACTAGGAGGTGAGAATAATTGCAGCTCACTGTACAGTCTGTCTACTACAGTTTCTCAAAACTAATAATGGATGTTAGAAGACATTGGACACATATCTTAAATATGATGGAACATTATCTCAGTAGAATTTGTTAAAAGGGCAAAAAGAATTATTTTTAAACAAACAAATATTGTATTTACTACATTTCCTCTCATTAATAGAAATTACAAAGATTATTAAAAGAAAAAGAAAATTCAAGTGGAAAGCTTGTATTGCAAGAAGCAATGAATGAACAAATAAGATGATAACTATAAAATCCAACAAAAAATGACAGAGAATGGAAAAAATAATAATCTTTTTTAAGTTTCAATAATTTTTAAACTAAAAACCAAAGAAGTAAATATATAGGAGGGAGGTTATGACAATCAAAATGTTAAAACACTTTGTATTGTTTGAAATTAGAGTACAGATGGTGGTTAACTTTAAATATAAAAAAATATTAAAATGTCTAGAGTAGGTACTCTTAAAAATATTTTTACAGTGTTCAACTTTTAAATGGTCTGAGGAGAAAAGTAATATAAAATATATGCATACAAAAAAATGGATACAGCAAGAAAAGAGAGAAAATATATATGGAATGGAAGGGATGAGGAGGAACATTAATAAGATCATAGAGACAAATCCATACAGAGAAAGGATACATGATCATAAATATAAACATATTTTTGAATAACACATAAGTCAAAGAAAAAGGTGTACACAAGTGAGAAAATATGAAAAGCAAAATAATAGTGAAAATACACAATTTGTGGATCAATCAATGTACTTCATCCTATTAGCAAAAGAAAAAATAAACATGTAGTCATCTTGATAGATGCAAAAATCCATTTGAAAAAAAAGGCCACTCTCATGCACAAACTAAAAAAATAACTCAGAATACTAGGAATAGGAAGAATTTTTTTTATTCCGATAATACATTAACCAAAATCTCCAGTAAATCTAACATGCAATAACAAAATATTGAGGTATTTTTCCCTGAGTTGGAAATGATAGCTACTGAAGGCTATATGAAAAATCATTCTAGCATTCCTTATTAATGTTGAACATTAAATTAAATACTGTATAACTCAGTAATTCTACAGCTACCTTTATTTTGGACAATTCCATCATTTTTTTAGGTTGGTTAAATTGGAGAATATCAGGAAAATTAAGAAGGATGACGTAGAGCAGACATCTTGTGTCAGATTGCCTTGTGCTCCGACATCAAGCCTGGAAACATGGGCCTTGACTCAAAGTTTGAATACATTGCTGTTCATTCACAGGGCTTAATTAATACTCATGTATCACTGCTATTTAAAATATTCATATGTATATTTTTTCTTTTTAATTTTAATTAGGAAATTTGTAAAAAAATTGGTTAAGGAGAAAAAGAACATTTGTGGAATAAATTAGAGATAAATTTCAGAAATTCTTGGATTAAATTTTCAACAATTCTAAATCTTACAGAATTGGACTTCCCCAACAGTTCATATAACTTTCAGAATTAAATAATCTTTTTATCAAGATTGGATGAGAATAATATATCTGTATTGTTCAATTATAATGCAGAGTTCCATTGGGTTACAGTTGGTGTTGGTTCTCTCTTATCAAATAGAAAATGGACAAGAATTTCCTCGGGCCAGTGGGCAATGCTTTCCTAAATGGTGTTCTTAAAGGAACTCACATATACATAGTATTGATTATAGTGCGCCTTACATTTTGCAAGTAATTAATTCACTATTGTTAAATTACCTATGTTATATTATCTTCCTAACATATTGCAGGGCTGTGAAACAATAAGCATTTAATAATAATTATTGACTTTGTAATGAGTTGAAAAACTATAGTCCCATTAGGTTATATATCTCAAACCTCAGGGATTCATTTTCTAAGAAATACAGCATTTCAAAGAGAACATTAAAGCTATGTGCAAATAATTTATATGCCAAACATAAATGTTCGCCCACTTTATATTTTCTGTATTTCAGGTTTCCCACCTAACCTGAGAAGATATTGCCCAATTCAAAGAAGAAATAACAAAATATTGACTCCAATATCCTTCAAGAATGAAAATACATTTAAATACAAACAATACAAGGGAACAGGAAATCTCATGCTGCTGAAATAGTGATTACAATGGAAGAATTCCTTAAACAACCCTTCAGAAACACTCAAGTACAAAAGGATCCATCTTTCACATAGTTAGTATTCTGGTCTTGACCAAGGACAAATAAAGACCAGAGCCTATTACCAACTGCTCCGTTAAAAGCTGAGTCCTTCTCTTTCATTTTGCTTGTCACAGTGCAGCAAGTATCTTCAATGATAAAGATTGTTTTTCACATGTGATCTGAATATACTTTAAGAGAATTATTTTAAAACACCACGCTAATTTAAAAAAATCTTATTGATCATCATATTGCTCCAAAGTGTTATTTGTGTTACTGTCACTTTGTTTAAACAAACTGCTTAAACATAAAATATCAAGTCTCTTTTTTCAAATATATAACTGATAAAAAGGCTATGTAGGAATATTTTTTCAATTCTTCCATTCAACATCCACAATCCTCATGCAGTGAGAAGTAAAACTAATTTGTTGGCATATGCCAACAATAATTAATGCAAGTGAAATAAATTGCAAGTAATTCTTCACTTGTGTATATTTTGAAACTGCTCTTGTCTCTAATCAAATAAAAATCATTCACACTTGTCACATACACACATACGTATACAACAGTAATAGCAGTAATATATCAGTGACAGTAACTTTCCTACAAGGAAAGCATTGCCAAATCTTCTTCTGGCTGCCTTCTGATCTAAAAATTGAGTGTACATTTGTATTATTTTTCTTACTTTATTAATTAGAAATATCATTTTCTGCTTTTAGAAGCTACATAGATATGGTTCACTCACATCAGAAACAGGCTACCTCATGGATCAGCAGCAGATTAGAATCTGAGAGACTATAAATATATATATATATATAAAGTAAAATGTAAAATAAAGAATGAGTTAATTAATGAATAGATGGCCAATAAATATATTGACACAATAGTGAACTTTACTAGTAGCCAAAGGTATGTTCCAATTTTGGCTTATCTTATTAAAGAACACTGATAAATTCATCTATGCTAAGTAGGATAAAGGACTTGAATATTTTCAACATTTTGGAAGAGTATAAATTGTGAATAAATATTTTTATGTTTCACAATTATTTTCACAGACAATCAATTATTGATGTCCTTTAACCTGTGAGCTAATGTTATCACTAGAAACAGATTTAAGGAAAAACCTAGTATTATATATAAAAATTGTATGTCCATTGATATTCATAGCCACATATAATTATGTGGGCATGGAACATAGGGAAAATAGTAAATGATGACTGAGATATGCCATCATTAAAAATATTTTTTCAATAATAAATATTTAGGGAAATTTGCATTATATATTGTTAAATGAAAAAGGAATTTGTGAAAATTTTATATTCAACAACATATGCAATGTTAATATAATACAGATGCATAATAAATTCACATCAAGAAGAGATGATATAAACATTAGCAATAATTGCCTAAGAGGTGGAAACTACTTTATAATTTGTTGTTTGTTCAAGCTATCCTCTTATTTTTCAATTTTTTAACCATGAAATACTTCTAACTTAACATGAAAAAAGTTATTAAAAAAGAATAAACTTGGAATATTTTCATTGTCTAACTTAAACGGATTTTCGCCGCAAAAAAGTAATAACGTATTTCTTTACTGTCATTTTCATCATTTAAAAAATGTCAGTCCTTTACGTGGTTTGATAGAATGAATAACTTTTGATTTCTTGATTCGATAATCTGGAAATCAGTGTAGTTCTTATTAAAATAGCCACAAATCTAAGGGAGAGTCAGATTTAGGGAAAGTCGGGTCATTTTGTTGTGTGTATCAGGTTTCTCTCATCAATTCATTGTCTCATGAGTAAGCAAATTCTTCTCTCTTCACAATTCAGCCACATAATCTTTTAAGATTCATTAGCCATTTTGTTTGTGCAATGAAGTTTCTCTACAAAATTCTAAACTGCTTAGTTGTAGATACTTTCTGACATTACTTTCCAGTTACTTTCTACAAAAATAAAAAATTTAATAAATATTTAAGTTTCGTTAAAACTCCGGGACTCTCCCCTGCACATTTATGCCTTTGAGGGCCCCTGCTGAGAATTAACTTTTTTGCTCACAGCTTTCCTACCTCATTTAATTTCTTTGGTTTAAAATTTTTAAAAATATTTACTTAGGTGCTGTGCACTTTCTATTTTCTCTTCTGAACTGAGATACGAGTTCCAAGTAATTGAGCAGTTTTTCTCTCTTTCCTGAGACCCACGTATATAAGCATATCAATCAGATACATTGGTAGCAGATTTTAACACATTTCTTAATTATGAGTGAAAGTACTCATATAGAAGAATTCTATATAGCCAAAAATGTTTTGATTATTTTTACTATTGCCTAATGTGATAGGAAACATAGAAAGATGTGCATAAATCAGATACATTTTAAACATTTATTTTCTTTAAGCCTTCATTTTTATTTACTTCCACTGGAGGTCCAAGAATCCTTTATCTAGTTTTACTTTTGTAGAACTATATGTCCTTTTAAGTGGATACACACTTTGGGTCTTAAAGCTCGCACCTTTTCAGGCAGTGTATTTTCCTAGGTTAGTTTGTTTTGTCTAGGCTAGGTTTAAATGACTAAAAATAGCGGCTACAGGCATTTCCCCAGATAAATTATTTCATATACTACTAGTTGTTACTAGCAGGAAGCACATTACAAATACTGATTCTGGTGTTTATCTGTGGAAGGATTTCTCCTGGGAAAGCGAGAAAAGATCTCTGGCTCAAGTAATGCGAAACCTGTCTAAAAGGAACCTGTAATCTATTTTAGGAGTAAACTGAAAGCTCCCAAGGAATAAGCGAGATGTCTTCAGAGGACTTTTCTGTCAGTGAGGTTCATAATTTGAGCAGGGACATTACTTATTAGAGCTACATTTACTTTTACCATGTTTGATCTTTTACATATGTATATATATACATAATTTTTCTGTATTTTTTCTGTCTTTTAATATATCGAATAACTTCATAGAACAAGTTTACATATGAATAGAGTTGATACAAATTTCTGCAAAGTGTTAAACTTTTTGGTTGTGTTCTTAACCAACCAGAGCAATTGTGGCTGTCAATAATTTGTTTTGTTTTACTGTCCTCACTGCAAATTTATCTTGCTACCTCTTTGCAATGGGTGGAAATGGATTTTCCCCAGTGTGAAACTTGAATATTTCAGTAGTCCAATTGTTCCAACCAGAAAGTGTGAAGTAACAGCCATGCAGGGAGAAGCTGTTTTTAGGGCATTAGGAGACACATTGTCAAGAGCATCAGCAGAAGCAGACTGTGTTGCAGCTGTTCTCCTATGTTATATAATGGAATACCCATATTTTAACTCTTGGCTGTCACAAGCAATTAACAAGGAATGAAGAAAATAACTTCAAATATTCATAAATAACTAGTAACTTTCACAGACCTTGAAATAGGCGATTAGATACTTCAAGTTTTCCTACCAAAATACTCAAAACTTTATTTCACTTCAGATAACGTTTTTTAGATAATTTCTTTTTGTTGATTTTTTTTGTCATGACCTACTACAACAGATATGAAATATGCGAGGTTACCATTTCTTTATTAAGAAATATATATTGGTATTATTCAATCATTGACATTCTAAGAGGTATTTGGTGTATTTAATTTCTTCTTAAATAAGAAAGTAGATTATGAAAAGATATTAAATTTTGCAAAGTATAGTTTACTAATTTTTACATTTGTCAATAATAAATTGTGTTAGTAAAGTTCTTACAAGAATCAGAAGTTGATTTTTATAGCCAGCTTTGAAATCTGTAAACAATGCTTATTGAAAATAAGATAACAGCATTTTAGTCAATGCATTAAAATTTAACCTGTGTCTGTTTTACCAAGCAAGCAACAAGTCTTTCTAAGAATAAAATTGTTCAGGTGGTGTTCAACTGTATTCAAAGAGAAAAGATGCCAACAATTTGCTGTAATTCACAAGTATCTAAAATTTCATAATATTTTTCTAAAATTATAGAAAAATAATTGAATGGCATGTAGGAATCCACAGATTTTAAATTTTATTACATATTTTTAGTTTGCTTTAATGGCTTACCATCTACATATGCATACTGATAATAAAACCTTTTATTCTAAAGGGTTAAATATAAACAGATTTGTCCTTTCTTCAATTTAGACTTAAAGAGTGCAAAAAACCAATTTAATTTTTTTATCTCATTTTTAAAACAAATTTACTTAGTATGTAATTTGTATAGGCATAATGGAATACATTAAGATGTAATTTCTCTTCTCCAATTCTTGGTAGAAATCATAAACCCAAGTGAAAAGTTATATAACCCCTAGATACAAAAAGTATTGTAAATTATTTAATTGAGAGAAGGATTGGTTTGCTAAACATTTATTCAATTTTATCATATTTAAGCGTCTTTGGGATAGTATGGTATGGAAAATTACCAAGTTTTGCAGTTTTAAAAAGAACATTAGGAAAAGTGAAGACCTAAATTTTGACAGTGGAATAAATGTAAATAGATTTAGAAGAAAACCTTCCTGGTACAAATTAGACTTGAAATGAGTGAATGAAGACGTTTAAGGAATCAATATTAGCTGTGTCAGTCTGAATTTGAGATAAAGTATGAGAATAATTTTTAAAGGATTGATTGCAGCCAAATTATAGAGGAGTGGTACAGCCAAGGTAGGAATATAGATTTTATTCAAGATAGGAGTCTGATATTTCAGAATGATTAATCTGATGGTAAACATGTACAATGATTGGACGGACATTTTGTAGACATGTATTTCAATTGCCTATGCATTTACTGATGACACACAGTATAGGGGACATTAAGAAGTTAACATGATTACTAACTATTCTAACATTATATGGGATGTCACTTTAGAAGTCTGAAGCCTGTACTGAAGTTGCAGAAGTCTAGCAAATTGGAAATTCTTTGTATCAAAGATAGCATATATAGCAAAGAAACAGGAATGACAGTTGTTTACCTTCTTTCTTCAAAAGAAATAATACTCATTCATGTATCTGGAGTATGTCCTAGGGAAGAATTACCAAGAACAGGAATACAAATGTATTCTCACTTTTCTTAACATCTTCATTATGTGGCATCTGTATAAGAGAAGAAACTGTTCTTATTCTCAAGAAAGTACCTTTCTGTCAACTGTTTAAACAGTAAAGATGCAAATATTCATACATAAATATATATTCCTATATTTTAAAATGCAAATTTGATCATGCAAAAAGGAATTACTTGTGGAGATAATTTTGAATCTCAAATTCACTGACATTATTTTCCAACAATGAAAATACTCATCTCCTTACGCAGCAAATAACACAAACTTTTCTTTCATAAAACAAGAATTTTAAGGAAGTCATAAAACAGAAAATACTAAAGCTTGAGGGGTACACTTTTGTTTGATCTTTACGCTTGCTGGGTTGAATTGAATGTTTTTATGAGTAAAGCAAGTAGCACAAACGGTAAATGGGTTTGTTGTAATACTAAGAGAATAACTAGTCTGGACAATTGAAACAGCTGTTGACACTTTCATCTTGTCATAGACAATACAGTGTAAAAAATAAATGAATATCACAGGAGTTAATATGATCCATAAAAAAGAGCATCTTCCTCCCAGTGATACCAGTAATCATTCATTCCAAGTATAAGACAAGAGGTATGTTTGGCATTGGGATGTATATGATATATAGCCTTTCCACAAGAATGTTACAGTAAATAGGAATTGTGGGGAAGAGGTAAACTGGGGAAAGATATATGACTATTTTGAAGAAATGTGGGAAATGCTTTCACTGCACTAATTAACAGTAGAGGGGAGTGAGAAATTAAATATTCCTGAAATAAACAACTATGAAGAAAGATCACATTTCAAAAAGAACTTGATTTTTGAGGTTATCTCTTCCTACTGTGATGGAGTTCTTCCACAAAACAAAACAAAACAAAACCTGGAATGGGACTGTAGATATCTCAAGGCTGTGTGGTTTTTAACAATAAAGGTCCTAAAGATAAAAAGAATTCATTGAAGTGACACCTACATTAGCATTTTCCCCACTTAGAGGCACTTATCCACTTACAGCGTGGGCTATAGAGGTCTGACAGAAAGAAACAACCTAAACATTATTGTAGCCTTATCAGTAGACAAAAAAGGGAGAATACTCAATTAAAGGCTACGGATTAATTCAGGACCTAAGAGGCCAAATCTGGGAGAAAAAAAGATCGCACAATAATGCACAAACATTATAATGTGATTGGTTTTAAAAATATTTGCTGAGTCCTAAACTATCACTTATTTAGTCAGAGGTGGAGATGCAATATAGAAATAACTGATAAAATTCTGAAAGTAAGTGAAAATTTTGTCAATCTTACAGTCAGGGAAGTCAAGCCATAGAATGAGGGACATCCTGAGGAGTGGGGCTGCAGTGAATATACAAAGATTCAGATGGTATCTCTACATAAGTTCTGAGTCCAAAAATTAGGGCAAACTAGAAATAGTACAGCCTTTCCAAATTCTGAAATCTAGCTCTAATTGGATCAATCTAATATGTCTGTATTGTAACTGATGGAGCAAAATTAAAGGAGAAATCTAATATCCCCCCAAATTTACATTGTTTTCATGTAACAAAGCCAAAATTGAATGATTCAAATCACACCAGGGACAGAATCATATGACTAAAAATAGGAAAAAAAAGAAGCTATAAAAAAGATATCTAGAGGCATCCACAAAATGTAGTTTTAAGACACACATTAAAATAGCAATTAAAATTAAAAATAAAAAAATTTAAAATAAATAAGATAGCAATTATTAAAATATTGAAGAAAATCAGTGGAAAGGTAGAGATTTGACCAGAAAATCAGGATCAACTGAAAATTTTACAACTGAAAAAATGCAAGATTAAAATTCATAAATTAGTATTTATATTTGAAAGCATATTAGAAACATAAGAAAGGGGATAAGTGAACTGGACAATGGCCAGTAAAAAATATCTAGTTTGAGAAATAAAGGAAAATACAGAAAAGTGGGTAAGTGACTTAGAAAAGCTCCACTGTGCCACTTAAGATAATTAAGTCCATTTGGCTTTTGCAGTTAAATGGTACAACCTTCTCCTCTCAAGGGTGTCCAACCTTTATGCTTCCCTGGGACACATTGGAAGAGGAAGAACTGTCTTGGGCCACACATAGAATACACTAACACTAACGATAGCTGATGAGCTTTAAAAAAATTGCAAAAAAAAAAATCTCATAATGTTTTAAGAAAGTTTAGGAACTTGTGTTGGGCAGCATTCAAAGTTGTCCCAGGTAACATGTGGCATGTGGGCTGTAGGTTGGACAAGTTTGCTCTATAGAGTAGAGGTTCTATCACGATTACTAATATGATTACAGTTGCTCTATTATAATTACTCCATTACTATTAAAGGGACCTAATCTTTAATGGCTTCTATTACCATCAACTCTTTCCTACAGAACTGAAGCACCCTGGGAACTCAGTGATGCTGGTGCCCCTTTCACTGGCACATTTCTTGTTGCTTTGGTAAATGATTGCTATATCTGAGCCCTCCTAAGGCCAACTCTTCTTTTGCTGGCCTTAGAGAATCCACTTAGCCTGTTTATTTTTCTGAAACATTCAATTCCTTCTACCATCCACCACAGCCATTGTGTTATTTTTATCTCACTTAGTTTATGCCATTGTTTTTTTCATGTTTCTATGATTTATTCATATAGCATGTTTATATAATTTTTCCTGTTAAATTATGTATACTCAGAGAGTCTTCAACACTGATAATCTCTTTAATAGCTAAATTTATGTTTTAACCCCCTTGATACCATGCAGTCAGACTATAGACCTATATGACCCGATGAAGGCTGCAGCTGAATACATGGGGATGTCTGGAGTTGGGATAGCCTTTAAAGTTGTCCCCAGATGTCTTGAAAGGCTGTGAATTTTTACTTTTATATTGTTCATTTATTGAATCAGACTATTTTTGGAAAGACTGACGGCCTTGGAAGAATTGGTATTCCATTTCTAAGGCAATCGCCAAAGATGGCTGATAGACTAGCACCATCTTCAGCAGTAATCTCAGTAGCTGGGGGGATTGTCTGAACTTTCTGAAGAAGCCTATGTGTGGCACATAACAATGTTCAACAAAGTAACAAAATTAATAAAACTCTGCTAATATTTTCAAGGAAAAAATGGGATAGGCAACAATTGACAAATCAATTAAAAAGGGGCCATTGCTATAGATGCTGTAATATTTAAAAAGACTGAAGAGTATAACATAAAAAGAATTGTCAATACATTTTTGAGAATGTAGTTTTAATGAGGTTTTCTTGAAAAGCAGAACAAGTAAAACTTTATAGAAGAATGTATAAATATTGTTATATTTATTAAGAAATCGCAAGGACAGAAAACCAAACACCGCATGTTCGCACTCATAGGTGGGAATTGAACAATGAGAACACTTGGACACAGGGCGGAGAACATCACACACCAGGGCCTGTCGTGGTATGGAGGACTGGGGGAGGCATAGCATTAGGAGAAATACCTAATGTAAACGACAAGTTAATGGGTGCAGCAAACCGACATGGCACATGTATACATACGTAACAAACCTGCACATTGTGCATATGTACCCTAAAACTTGAAGTATAATTAAAAAAGAAAAAAAAATCAAAACCAAATGTCAAAAATCTTTACAAAGAGAAAATTCCAGGCCAAGATGGCTTCACTTCACTTTGAATTCTTCATGCATACAAAATAAAATAATGATAACGTTGCAAAAACTCATCCATATTAAAAGGAAAAAATAGAAAACACTTACCACAACATATTTAAAGAGAATATGGCATTCTTATATAAATCTGCTGAGAATATTTCAAATAGGAAAAGTATAATCTAACCAGTCTCATGAAAATAAATACAAACACCAAAACCAAACATAATTTAAACAAATATTATTATACATTAAAAAATAAAATATCAGCAAGTTGAGCTTGTTGCAAGATAAAACCATACATTTCTAGAAGATAATAGAGTAGGATATCTTTATGATGTTGGGGGAGTCAAAGCATTTTCTTTTAATCCAGGACAAAAAATAATACAAACTAAAATATCAAAGATTCATAAAATTGATTTTAATATTTTATGATATTCTACATATTAAATTCTACTATTAAAATTATGAAAAGACAAATCAAAGAGTGGGATAATATATTTACTGTGCACCTATTGAATAAAAGATTCTTATACTGTACAAAATGGGTAAAATATGTTTAATTAAAAAATACAGGCAATCAATTTAAAAATTGTCAAAAAAGTAAAAGGTATATTATAAAAAAGGAGAGCCTAATTACCAGTAAGCACATGGGAACATGTTAAAAATAATTAACATTGTGGGAATGAATATTAAAACTGCAGCACCGTATCTCTACATTCCAACCAGAAATTGCAGCACAAAAATAAAAACTGTCAGCATTAGTGACAGTGTGGTGTAACAGAAGCTCTCGTAATATGCTATACAATGCTGTTTATGATAAAATGTCTTTGAAAAGAGTCCCAAACAACAACAATTTTAAAGACTTTGCTCTTGTTTGCAAGAGAATCATAGATAATTGACTTCCAGCAATGATGATCTCGAAATGAATATAATCTAACAGTTTTTCTTTTTCAGATGCATTTATCTGGAATCTGTGAAAGTCTACTCATCCTCTTGGATGTAAAAACACCTCCCTCTCTCATAAAAGGATGGAGGAAGGAGGAAGAAAGGAGCAATTGGTGATGCATGAGAGAGGTTTTCTGTGACACACTATTCTTCCTTTCCATAAAGGATAAAAATACTGAACTCACAGGGTACATTGTTAAGATTAAATATGATAATTTTTGTGAAAGATTTAGCACAGCACAAGGAACAAAACATCACTCAGTAAACGAGTTTTTCCTTATTCTATTTTCCCACTTGAATATATGGAGCAACTAAGTAATAATAATAATAACAATAATAATAAACCTTGAGAAATAAACTAAAATAATTTTTTGTAAGAGACACTCTATCAGTTGTAACTGTTATTACTATAAGGCAATCTTGAATTTATATTCTTTAGATAGTGAGGTAAAATAAAAAAGTTTAACGTGTTTATAAGATCTTAAAAGGGCATTGTCATTTTAGTTGGTTTCAAAATGTAAATGAAGGTTAAATAAAGAATAAATATTTCTTATCAGAAAGGCTGCTTAAATTATACAGCATTACAATAACAACTGCAAAAATTACACAAATACAAGATATCTTTTTTTAAGCTCAGCTATAATATACGCATGCTAATATGTGGCATTGATTTTTTTTCTTTCATGTTGGCTATATTAATTTGCAAAGTTAACATAGACAAATTTATACCTTTCAGAAACAGAAACAGCAAAATGAGTAAGATCCTGTGTAGAAAGCTCCAATATGGTATTTTCATTAGCAAATGTATGCATTTTTAAGAAACATCAATTTTTGGATTTTCTAAGATGTTTACTTCCCTGATAGTTTGTAATTTCTTTGTAATTTTTAAATGTACAATTTTTTTGTATGCTCAGCAACTCAAATTTAATTCAAAATAAAGATAAAACTTTATTTATCCCAGTCACATTTTATCTACAAAATACCATAAGCAATCATGCTTTTTATATCTTTCTATTCCCTGAAAATATAATGTAAACCCTAGCAAGATCAGACCCAATCATGTACCTCTGAAGATACTATGTCGTCTTAATTTTCAATGTTACTTAAGCAACGGCATATACATTATTCAGCTAACTTAAAAGTCTTCATCACCGTATTTAAAGCACTGCTTAACAAATTATCTGACAATTCAACATGAATAAATTCCCTAGTGTTTCTTGGCTAATTTCTTGACAATTTTCACTTGGTGTTCTATCAAGGGGTTAAGTTGCCCCTAATTTAATCTCTGTACCTAAATAGATATTTCACTACCAGTATGCATAGTTTCTGCCAATTGTTATGCATTTTTACCTTGTCAACTCCATTTCTCTTACTTGGTAACTTGTTCTCTCTAATCTACTTTTTAAAATAATAATTTTAAAAAGCCTTGAAAATTCAGAACAGAAATAATTCACTTCAGAAAATTGATTTCATTTTTCTCTTATCCCCCAACTTTAATGTACCTTTCTTTACACTGTCCTAACTAACCTTCAGTCTTCTTTGGACACCACAATAATTGGTGCCAATAGAAACTACTTTTGCTGAGAAAATATGTAATATTTTATTAAATTGATGATGTAGTATACATTAGGAATATAAGCAATGCAATATTTCAAGCCCAATTTCTAGAAGCATGTCTTAATTAAACTTTCTCTACATTGCAATTTATTGCATCAGTGTAGTAGACACAGAGATATTCTGCCCAAAAAAGGACTTGCTATTTGGGAGAATGATCAGTGCTCAGATCCCATTTTCAGCCCCTCCAGGCTCTAATTCAGTTTCAGAGACTATCTCAGTTGAAGTCATTTCTTGAGCTGGTAGGAGCTGTAAATGCTTGGTCTTCTCAGCTCAGTATAAAAACCTGTTAACTCCAGAAGTACCTGGCAATTTGGCAAAGGCTTTGTAAAACCTTTATAAAAATGACTAATTGCTTAGTCATCCCTGCCTCTTTTCTTTCCTTGCTCATTTATTGATACACAAAATTAGCATATAGTCCTCCATAAATGTCTGTTCACCCTATCTACAGGGTTTTGTTGGTTGACCAGATGTTTATCAATCAGGACTATAGTATTAATTAATTACATAGGGTAGCCATGTCTAATGATCACAATTTTAATGGGTTTTAACAAATGCATAGTGTCAGATATCAATCATTGAAGTACTATACTGAATAACTTTACCAGCCCTATTAATATCCTGTGCTTTACCTATTTAAACTTCACTTCACCCTCATACCTTGGTATGCATTGGTAAGTTTAACTTCTCTATAGGTTTGCCTTTTCTAGAATATTGTATAAATAGAATTATACGGTATATAGCCTTTTCAGACTGGCTTATTTCACTTAGCAATATGTATTAACAGCTCATCTATGATTTTACATAGCTAAATAGCATTCCATTGTTTGAATGATCCACAATATGTTTATCTATTCACCTTAGTTGTATCATTTTTGGCAATTATGAATAAAGTTGCCATGAAAATTTGCATGTTTGTCTTTGAGTGGCAATCAGTTGGATAAATAACTGGGAGCATGATAGTTGGATTGTATGGTATAACTATGTCCAGCTTGATAAGAAACTGCCAAAGTGTCTTCCAAACTTTCTATAGCTTAAATATTCTCACCAGCAATGAATGACAGCTTTAGTCATTCTAGTAGGTATGAAGTAAAATCTCATTGTTGTCTTAATTTACATTTCTCTAATGACGAATTTGAGCTTCTGTTTATATGTAAGTTAATTTGCAATCCATATATCTTGTTTGATGAAGTGTCTGTTTAGAAATTTTACTTACTTTTTCATTTGAGTTGTTTTTTATCTCTTATCATTCAGTTTTAACTGTTCTTTGTATATTTTAGATAAAGTCTTTTATTGGATATATACTTTGCAAATACTTTCTATCAGTCCAAGACATATTTTAATCTTCAGCACAGAAATATATATATATAGATACACACATATGCATATATACACATATATGTACATATATACACATATATATGTACATATATAAATATGATTTATAAATTTTACCTTATTTTTCTTTTATATGTGTCATGCTTTTGGTGTTTTGTCTACAAACTCATCCCCAAAACTATAATCACATAAATTTTTCTAGAAAATTTATAATTTTGCAATTTAAATTTAGCTTAAAATCAATTTTGAATTTTTGTATATGTTGCATGATCTGTATATATAATTCTTTCTTTTTTAACATATACAATTCAATTGTTTCAGCACAATTTGTTGATAAGGCTACTCTTTATTAAATTGTCTTTTCTTCTTTGCCAAAGATCAGTTGACTGTATTTGTATGAGTCTATTTGTGAACTATGTATTCTGTTCCTTTGATCTATGTGCCCATCCTTTTGCCAATACCACATTATCTTAATTACTGTAATCGTATAGTAGGTCTTGAAATTATGTAGTGCCAATCATTCTACTTTGTTCTTCAGGAAAGAAGAAAAGAACATTAGACAGTAAGTTGAATTTACATAAAGAAATAAAGACCACCAATAATGGCCAACACATAGATTAATATAAAATGCAGTAGAAATATATTTTTGGTTATAACTTTTTTCCTCTCCTATGTAGCTAAAAATGCAATGTTTAATTCAATAATTATAAATCTTCATTGATGAGCACATGATGTAAACTGATGTATTTTTATGGCAAAACAATGTGAGGGAAGAGAAATGGAGCTTTACAGAGAAAAGTTTTGTGTGTTATTAATATTGCTTATTATTATAATCTAGTTTCTTACAAATTAAAAGGATTGTTCTAATCTCCATGGAAAATGCTAAGAAAATAATTAAAATATAATAAAATAATAAAGTGAATTAAAATGGTGTGCAAAAAGTAACTACTCAACAAAAAAGAAAACAGTAATATAGGAAAAAAGAAAAATATACATTAAACATATGGAAAACATAACAAAATGGTAGGCATAAACCCAACTTTATTAATAATTACATTAAATATAAATGGATTAAACAAATTACATTAATTGACATTACATTGGTAGAATGGATTAGAATGGTAGAAAGAAAACACAATCCAACTATATACTGGCTACAAAAGATAGAGTTTATATTCAAATATACAAATAGCTTGAAATATAAAGGATTGAAGACTTATCCTTAAAAATATAATCAAAAGAAATCTGTAGAGGCTCTGCTGATGTCGGAAAATATAATTATTCAGAAAATAATTGATACAAAAAAATCAATACCGTTTTATAATGGCAAATGGGTCAATATATTAAGGTACAGTTTCATGTTTTCTTTTTATTTCACAGTAGTCCAGGTTATACTAAGTGTTCATACAATCAACACTTCAGATTTATAAAAACAAACTTTGACTTTATTAACAGAAATATCAATTCAGGAATCAATTGACATCAGGGGCAAATGATTGATTTTATTAAGAATTTAGTTTCATACATTCCTTTGCTAGGCACACTATTGGTTCATTGGAGGCTCTTAATTCAAAGTTTTGGATGATTAAAATATTCTCTTATACTTAACTGTAATTCAAAACTTTGAATTTAATCATAACTATATATTGATGCCAGATGCATGCTACTGTCAGTAAATCCCTTATGGAGAACTCATTTTTATATGTTAAAGATATATTTAGTCAAACATTACAATTAAATTGAGGCAAAGATCTTAAAAGTTGAGTTGTTTGTTTCTGTTTTGGATTTAGTTTTTGATCCAGGGCATTTTTCACATACATGTTCACTGCAGTCAAAATTGTGTTGTTATGACAGCACTGTTGTTGTTAAAATGTAAATATTCTATCATTTTTTGTATTCTAAAAATGAGCCATAAGCAAGAGCCTTCTCAACATGCTTTCATAAATACATTATTTTGGAGCCAATTCATTTACTTTGGTGATATTTCTTTATTTCTTTACCTACAGTTCTTGAGATTAATAATGAAGAATAAAGAAATAAGGCAGTTTCCCTGTGGCCTATTCAAATATTTTGTATTGTTTATATGATATACAGAAAAACTTTTTGCACTAGAAAATAGAAAATAGTGCCAGGCTGATTTTGCAGTAATCTGACCCTTAAAAAATTAATTTGCAATAAATGATAACAAATTTTGATCTGTCAAAAACACTATTGAGACCATAATTTGAATGAATTTGAATAGATTTTATTACTGGTTGATATGTAAGAATTCTAAATCAATCTTCTTTAAATGTGTTTTTTCATCAATAATTTTCAAGTAAACAAAATTAGTAGTGTCATATTTATGATTTCCAATTTTATTTTGGTAAATTTGTATTTGGAGCTTATTCATACTTATTTTATATGACTATAATTAAAGTTGTATAGGTCATTGCATATTAAAACACTACTAGAAGTGTTTATAGAATTTGAAATTGGAAGGTTTAAAATAATTCCATAATCATCATCCAAATAAATGGAAACATATTTCTTAAATGATTCTTGGATTTGTTATTTCTTTCACTTTAAAATTTTCAGTGGAACAAAATAATTTCCCATTTTGCAAAACAGAACACATAATCACTATTTTGAAAGGAGTTCCAATTGAAAAGTAAACGTATCTAGTATATAAATAGTAAAAGAATAATTTAAAAAATAATGCAACTGAAAATATTGTTTCTTTTAGTAAGAGGTAAAAATAATATCTATTAAAAAGACCTCAGAGAAACAAAAAAGAAAAGCTCAGATTTTGTAAATAAAATGAGTTAAAGAATAATAATAATTTTATTTGTACACCAATCATTTATTGAGTCAACAACTGCTACATATCATCCATGCACTCTTCTAGGTATTTTACAGAAATTATTTAGCAACACCAACATAATAAATTGTCTGAACTTTTGTAGAGTATATTCTAACAAAATTAATGTTGTAAGCAGATTACTCGATCTGGAAAAAAATGAAGCTCGTTGATACCTTAAAGGAAATTATTAAAAAATAAATGTCTATTGAAGACATTTGAAATACATATGAAAGGCACAATAAGAATAAACTTACAATATCAATGATATTTTCTGATGCACAAACTAGAAGAATTGGAACAAAAACAATATTAAAGGCTGTATGAGTATAACATTTTCCTAAGTTGGAGAAAGATATACGTATTAAAATTTTTAGGAATATTCATAATTTAATAAAGTATTAGAACCAATGGCATTTTCCTTCTTCTCTTTGTCTCTTTTAACTTTTCTACTAACATTAGTAAATAAAAGGATGTATCCAAGACAACATCAATGAAAACGATAGGAATATTCTGTCAAAGGATTAAAAACTACATCACAATTTTGAGACTCTGAATCAGATGGTGAAGAGATAACCACTAAAATGAGAAGTGAGAAGATAAGCAGCGAACACTGTTCTTGAGCACAGCAAGAAGCTAGTGAGAAGTTAAGCCGTACAGCAGAAACCACAAGAAGTACAAGATTAGCTTTTTAAAAAGTAGGTTCGTTGAGGTGTGGTTTGGAAAAATGGAATAGGACGAAATTCTGAATAGTAAATATGTGCAAAGCAAACGTTTCTTCTTCAAGCTTCAGAATGTCTAATATCTAGGCTTGTATCCCCAAATGATGAGGAAACAATATATTTTATTTTTGGTTCAAACAGCTTATTATTATTTATCATTCCTGAATGCTTCATTATAGTCCCTTACATCTCTTGTTAGGCAGCCATGTTTAGCCATTTGGTTCTTTTCCAGGTCTCTTAATAAGAAAAAATTTGTTTAAGAAGTTATGGACATGGGAGAAAAACAAAACTCTGTTTGTCTGTACTTATGGAAGCCTCAACACCACTTTAAAAGAAAAAAAATAAGCAAAACACACTATTTTGCATCTGAATTTAGGAAGAAAACATACATATCTGTATCTACAAAATAGTAATGTCACAGATAATATTTCAAAGTATTTTTCTCTCTTTTAATTTTACATAAATTATCAAACTTCTGATATCAAATTTTTATTGGACAATTCTAACATTCAAAACTGCATTGAATAATTGTATTTTGGGCACACAGGTCTAACTTAGTTAAAATAACTGAAGAGACTTGACCCAATATTTGTTTAGAAATTATTTACTTTCTCTTTATTAAAACCTTTTATCTTTCCTTTATGATCTTTTTTGTTTAAATTTGTTTCCACTCCAAAGTTCCATAACATAACTTTTGCTTATAAATAATATTAAAATGAGCTGGGTGTTGTGGCTCACGACAGTAATACGGTCAATTTAGAAGGCCAATCTGGGAGGATGGCTTGAAGCTAGGAGTTCAATGCCAGCTTGGTCAACATATCAAGACCTTATCTCTACAAAACTTTTTTTTTAAATTAGCCAAGTATGGTGGCATGCACCTGTGGCCCTAGCTACTTGTGAGGCTGGGATAGAAGGATCACTTAATATCAGGATTTCAAGCCTCCAGTAAGCTATGATCATGCCACTGCACTCCAGCCTGGATGACAGAGTGAGATCCTATCTCAAAAACATACATACATACATAAATAAAAATAACAATATAGAAATGAGAGAGGCCAATTATGATACTTGATGCTTTCTGATACAGCCAAATATTCTGGAGTAACTCATTCACCTGACATTTAATTCTTGTGTTTGATTTTTAAATTAATATTCCCAGATATCTTCCATTAGAAAATTTATTATGAGCATTCAGCACCTCTGATGGTTTGAAAGAAAATAAATGTAAACCAGAATAAGATTATGATGAGGAGAGGAAGTTGTTTGCTCATTGGATTACATATTTTCATTTTTGAAATATTTTTCTTTTCTAAAAAAAAATTAATAAATCTGAAATTGATGAAAACATTGGTTTTCATATATGTATACACACACACCTGTATGTGTATATATGTGTGTGTATATACACATGACACAGCTGTATATATACACACATACACAGCTGTATGTGTGTGTATATATACACACATACACAGCTGTATGTGTGTGTATATATGTGCATATACATATACATATATGCAGCTGCAAAGTGCTAATGGAAATATTCTAAGGAGGTGTCAATTGGGTGCTAAGAAGGAGCTCAGGCAAAGAGAGGATCTAGGTATTTCAGGAAAAGTGGTAATGAGGAACTTGCTACTGAGGCTTCATTAAATAGGTGTTGGAGCTCATAAGCCTTTTTTCTTTATTGATTTTATTTAATACAATAGAAAAATGTGTATTTTTGAATGGCAAAGGAATATAATACTTATGGCAGGGAGAATAATTTCTCCCCCAAGATGTCCACATTCTACTTTCTGGAACTTGTGAATATGTTACTTTATGTAGCAAAAAGGACTTTATAAATGTGATCTAGTTAAAGATTTTTGGATAGGAAGTTTATCCTAGATTATCTCTGTAAGGCCAATATAATGACAAGAATACTTAAAAGAGTCAGAGAAAGGGATGTGATGATGGAAAAAGAATCACAGAGAAATTTGAAGATTTTACCTTGCTGGCTTTGAAGATGGAGGAAAGTGGCCATATGCAGGTAGGCTATAGAAAGTGGAAAAGGTAAGGACATAGATTTTCTCCTAAAGCCTTCAGAAAGAGTGCAGCCATGTAGTTGCTGAGATTTAGTCCCAAGAAACCCATTTTGGACTTCCAAACTCTAGAACTGCACAGTAATAAATTTACTTTCTTTCAAATTACTAAGTTTGTGTCCATTTATTACAAGAGCAATAGCAGTTTAAGAAAATACTCTTTTGAAAAAATGTGCTAAATCCTAACTCTTATCTCTTATCTGGAAACCAAGTAGACATGATTGGGGCTTTCCTCTTTGGTGACATATAGTAAGTGAAAGTCAGGAATTATACCACTAAGGCAAGCTATTGTTACAGTTTTCCTCAAGCCCTAGTTTTCAAATTTGAACCTCAAAATTTGAAGAAAAGGTGATGGAAATAATCAGAAAGAATCATTTTATAGATTATTCCATTCTCAATGCAGTCAAGGAGCTAAATTTTTTATTGATGAGAAATGTTTTGGCATTCATGGGTAATAACGCAATCTCTTGTATCTAATAGATTAAAATTTTTAGAAGATGAACACAGAATGAGATTCAGTTAATAGTGCAATTAAATGTTTGCAATTTTTATGTGCAATTAGATATATGGATTTTTTCTGCATTGTTTTTAATATTTTTTACTTTTCTGTGCTTTTTGTAAAGTAGTAATGATCTATATTCTCTCTCTTAATACGAATCACTGTGTAAAAATATGATGGCCAATAACTGCTTTTGTCTTCAAAGCAATTTTAATTTTCATGATTGCAATTTAATGGCTTAATCACCTTAGTTTTTACATAAGAGAATGGTGGCAAAACAAGAATGGAGCAGTTGTCTGTCATTATTGAGTAACTTTACTTCACAGGGGCCTTGTCAGTCTTATTATCTTGTGACTGATCTGGTCGAAGACAAGAATTTGGAAGAAAGAAGGAATAAATAATGCAAAATTACAGACTCAGCTTAAAGGTTAAACTGGCATGGCAGGCAACATGTACTTTACCTTATTCCTTGTGCACTGCTCTCTGACTTTGTTGTAATTTGAAGGCTAGACGCTACAGAGGATGTTGGCTCCCTCCTTCCAAGATGAGTGGTTGGATTTTGACTAGCTTAAGCCAGACAATAATTATGTGACACAATTTCCATCAGTGAGGTTTCAGAGGACACATATTGGACTATCCTTATAGATGGGATGAAGATTCAACAATGTTTTGCTTTGTTGTACCCCTATACCAATTGTAAATCAAGTAGAATGAAAATAAAAGCCCATCATAACTTTGATTGAATATAAAGGTGAAAAAAGCTTTGGCTTTGATGAATTAAACAGAGAAACATATATTTTTTGAAATTTTTAATGAATAAGACCATTGATAGCCATATTGTTTAGGATATATTTTGAGTTGGAATTTTCAGGAAAAGAAAAGCATAACTGAGAGATCTGTGCTTACTACAAGGTGCATCCTTGAAAAATAATAAGTAGATATGTGTATACTCAAATAATTCTACATTTTTGTTTAATTGAAAACTTTCTAGATGGTGAGAACTGTTTTTTTTAATAGGTGACAACTTATTAGCAAATTAGGCACCTTAAGGGGTTACTTTCTTTTTTCTTTTTGTTTTTAAGAAATACTCACGATCACACATAACTTGACAGAAGAGAGCTATACCCCTACTTTTGGTGTTATTCTCATCACATGTCTGAAAAATACTAAATCATAACTTATACTTTTTATACATCATACTAATGGTAGACTAGAATATTGTTTGTATCTCTTTAGATAATATATCCCTAATTTGCTTATTGTAACTTTTGTTTTTGCAATGCAATAAACAGAAGGTTTTTATTATTTCTATAGGTTGGGGAGATGAAGTGTGCACAGAGTTGTAAAAGATATTCACTGACTTTCTGTTTCCAAGACAACATTTCATTAATCTTCACCATCCGGTATAAATGGGAGTCATCCATTATACTAAGGTTTCCACAACGAAAATTATGAAATGTCAAGCAGGTTTTAACCTCAGAAACTTGACTAAGAACATCCCATTCCTCAGTCTGTGCTGTCGCAATTCCTTATAACCTGTACCTCCTCCTAGGAAAGCCTCATGTAAAATCCTTACAATCTTGCTGTAACATCCTTACATGGGCCTCCTAGGAAAAAGCCTCAAGGATTTTGGGCCAGTGAGACTACCAAATAGAACACATTAGGCTTCTAAAAAGTTTTTATCTTTAAATAAGAACTTTAGTTTAATTTTGATAATCGAGATATGCATTTAGGTCTGTTAGTTTCTCCAAATTGGAGCCATTTTGTTCCAGCCATGGTATTAAATTCCTGTCTTATACACCTGGGCCAATGCTCCATATTAATAATTCATGTTATTCCATAGTTGTAGGCCCTCATATGTCTTGAAAATTCCCAGTGTCCAGAAACTTGAGTTTTGTTCTTGAAACCTATCTTGGTTGCTGAGAAGCAGCAACTGTCCACCCAGTCGTTATCACTATTCTGTCAAGGTCCAACTCTACCCCATTTTTCTACTGGATTTTTCAAATGCCAAATATTGTTCTACATAAACTACATTTTGTCTGTTTTTTTTTTTAACTTTCAGGTACTGTTTTCTGCTATGTAGTTAGAGTTTCCTGTAATTCAAAACAATTAATCTTCAAATTTAATGATCAGTTGAAGTGTATGCAGTGTGGCAGTCAGTCCAGATTAGTTTGTCCCAGTAGGAACTCTCATTCCCTATCTCCTTGTTTTGTGTCCTGACTGTCTAGATTCACCTTTCCTTGCCTCATTGTGTTATAAATTATAGTACACTTTTCAAATCTCTGTTTTAGTATATTTTAGTATGCAGAGTGCACTGTTGATTTTCTCCTCGAAAAATAAATTTCAAATTTTAATTCCAAAGCAGAAAATAATGAGATAAATCTAAGTAAAGGTGAAATGATATTCACCTTTATGAAAAGTAAAATGTCACATGCTTGACATAAAAAAACTTATTAAAAATAAAATGTCCACAAATGATTAAATGTAGCCTATCTCCTATATCATACCTGACAAAAAGGTAATAAAGGTATGTTTATCCAACAGATATTATAAAACTGTGTATGCCTATATACGTACATTTATATAAATATGTGTATCAGATATGCAAAAGTCATCTAAACTTCTATACTACAGGAAGATTAATAGTTTAAAGTATATGATTAATAATCAAAATTCTAAACGAAATCTAGTTACATGCAATACTAGAGTTCCAGCAATGGATCAGTATTCTGAGGCTTTCATGAAATGCTAAGTTATTCTTGGAAGTAATATTTTTTGCAGGATATACTAATTATATTATATCTGTATTAAAAGTGATACAAATGCTATTACATTAACTTTAATGTAAGTTGCTAAATCAAATGGCTTAATGTATATCATACTGGCAAAATATTATATTTAAAAAAAGTGTGATTAAACAAAAAACAAAATACTCTGCCAAGTCAGAAGTCCTAATTTTCCAAACCCTAAACATTTATCGTCTAGCTTTTTCTATATATTATTGTTAATGTATGCTAGCTGTCTAATCATTGAGAACTATTTATATTTTTACCCAATCTTAGAACATAAAGCTGATGTATTACAATTCTACTGAGACATTGGATATATGTAGGATGGGCTATACATAGATACATATAAAAGAGAAAATTTATTATGGCAATTGGATATTGCAGTTATGTAAGCCAAGAAGTCCCTTGATATGACATCTTCAAGCTGAAGAAACAGTAAATCTATAGTGTGATTCAGGCCAAGTCCAAAGACCTGAGAACTAAGGGGGCTTCTGGTGGAAGTCTCAGAGTCTGAAGGCCCAAGAACCAGGAGCTCTGACATCCAAGAGCAAAAGAAGATGAAAGTTTTAGCTCAAGGAGAGACAGAGAATTCACCCTCCCTCTGACATTTTGTTCTAGCTAGGCCTTGGTGGGGCTGGATGATGTCAGTCCACACTGGTGATGGCAATTTTTTTATTTAGTTTACTGATTCAAATGCTAATATTTTTCAAAATAACTTGATAAATACACCCAGAAATAATGTTTGACCAGCTTTCTGGGCATCCCTTAACCTAGCCAAGTAGACACAAATAATTAACCAGCACTACTTGCATTATTGAAAAATATGTTACCCATAATGATCTCTTGGATTAAAGCTCTTCCTTTTAAACTATCCTTTAATTCAATCTTTCTAGGGTTATTCTGTGTGTTGTATCACCTTCCATCTCTTGAAGAAACCACTCTGAAATGGCTTTCAGTCTACCACATTTTTAATAACCCTCACATAAATGTTTTATCTGGCTTCTGTGTCTTTAAACCTCATTTAATTCATCTCTCTGTGGAATTCACACTACTGATTTCTCTCCTTCTGAAAACAGAAGAAAGTGGCTTCTGTAACACAACACTCTCCTGGGGCTACTCCTTCACTCTTAACCTGCCTGTCTTCCTTTTCAGACTCAATCTCCTAGAGTTCCCCAAGTCTTAGTCTTAGGACCTCTTCCCCTGTCACTATTAATCCTTGAAGCCCAGAGTTACAACATTTATTTCTATAAAGATGACACAAATTTACCTATGAAACCAAAATCTCTCCACTGAATTCCAAACTTATATTAATTCCAATTCATAGTACTTTTTAGATATTTTAAGGGCAAATGAAACTTCAATTATACAAACAAATTGCTGACTTTCATTCTCCCTTCCATACTGCCTTTCCTCCTCTTCGCTCCAGAAGAGAAAACTTGATTCTCTTCCAATAGCTCATATCTCAGTGAATTTGGATAATTGTGTAAGCCAGAAACTTAGGAGCCTTATTGGATTCCAAATCTAATTTGTCACCAAGTTCTAAAAACTTCCTTTGTCTGTCTTCAATACTCCCTCCCCCATGAATTGTCATCTCTTACCTCTCCACTGCAGTCTCTCTGGCTACCTTTCAGTTTCTCCTGCCAAAGTGTGTTTGTCCATGCCGTTCCATCTGGGTGTAAAACTCCTTTAAATTAGCTAGACAATAAACTTGTTTCCATAGTTTTGGTTTTAGTTTAATTGTATCTTCCTAAAGTAATCTCCAATTACAGTTTCTAATAAAACCATGTACGGCCAGAAATACATATTGTGGGTGTATCTTGATATTAAATTGTGTGAATATTTGATAAATGCTTGTCTTCTCCATTAGGCTGTAATTATCTTGGTGCAGGGCTTCAATCTGTTCTTCAGTATCCAATGCATTGAAGATTAAGTAGGTGTTCAATAAACATTAATCCAAACATATTGACCATAAAGATTCTTTATTTTTTCATACACTCCACTACTCATTCATAAAAATGATGAAAATATAATGAATAAGTCATATGTTTTACATAAAATTTCCATGTGATTTGGCTTTTAAGTGGAAGAATTTAGACAAAGCATCATTTTCTTTCTGCTACTTATGAATCAATAATTAATGTAGGAAAAATAGATATAATAGTAGCAATTGGATCAACATTTGACAAGACAAATGATATCAAATTTTCAGAGGTTATGAGACAAAATAAACATAATGGTAAAATAACTTTATTATTGGTAATGTTTCTTACAATCCACTGTCACAGAATTCTGGATTTCACCCCCTAGAGAAACAGCAAATGTAAACTATTTCACAGGGTATAGCAACACACAGATTGAAAAGTAAAGGTAGTAAGAATAATATGGTAGAGTACTAATTTTTCTGCTACCTATTATTTCTTAGAATTGTGTGTATATCGAAATGACTATTGTATTTTATAATTCCATGTAAAATACATCTTTATTATATTCATATTATTTCTACATAAGATAGCAAAGGAATTTGGCATCAATTAATTAGAGGTCTAATTGAAATTGTAAAGAAGTAAGGTTATGTGATTTCTATCCTATGAAAACAGCCAGAGCAAATTATTTTAATTGCATAGTTGCATAAAATCAGGCTGTCATCTGTTCTATTTCTCATTATTACTCAGAGATGCATTACTTATGAATATTTAAAAGGAAATACTGCTTTAATTGGTTTTATTGTAGATAAAAATAAATAAAAATTTCACTTGCAAATATTCCTCTAAATCATTTTAGAGAATCATCTTTTTAAAAGTGAATCCTTAACAGCTCTTGAACATGCATATAGTTAGGATCAATATGCTACATTAATTAGAATCTGAAATGTAAAGCATATTCTTCAAAGTATTTATCTTTGACCACTGATTACATAATATGGCTTATGGATTTGGTGTCTATAATTGATTATCAAATTCATATTGTAAACCATCATTTGCAATTATACTAAAGAATGCACTGTACATGTTAGAATTCTCAACTTCAAAGAAGCATATAGAAGCCTTTAAACAAATCTATAGTTTGTGTATCAACATTTATAACATATGTTGAGGTTTTTGTTTTGCAGTACCTAAAGTTATGTAAACTAATTTTGATTACATCCAGAAGTATGCTTCATTGGTATAGACCTTCCATTTTATGAGAAGTATATTTTGCATTGTTCTGATTTCTTATAAGCTAAAGAATAAATATGTGTTGTATTTCAAGACACTCAATTGCACATATGTAATAGCAGTGAAATTGAAACTTGGAATTTGTTGTTTGGTATATTGAATTGCAGGTAAATTGAAGCTTTAACCATGAAACAATTTTTGTTCTAGAAATTGCTGATCTGGAATCAAAATCAAAATAATGTGAAACAAATCTTTCATTTTCTTTTCTCAAAGAAGTTTATTCACCCTTTAGAAAATGTAATTGTTCCATTATTTAATTTGTAATTCATGTCAATTAAATTGAATATTTTAAGTTGGTTACTATGAATAAGGCTATCTATTAAGTGATCAAATAAATCTATTATATACCATTACATTTATGTGCTGCTTTATATCGGGAATGTTTTGAGGACAGTTTGTGAACCTGTAAATGGACCTAGGGACCATTCAGTTTCCTGAGATCAAAGTACATTCATACTAATGCTAAAATGTGATTTCCCTTTTGCTTTGCTCTGTTGTTATTTCCAATGATGGTGTAAAATAGTGGTGGGGTAAAACTCCTGATGACTGATTATAAAGGTAGTGGCATTAAACTGCACTAGTAGTCATTGAATTATTCACTCCATACTTTGAAGGAAGGGAGCATGGGAAAGACATACTAAAAACAACAAAAGAGTTTTATTGAATAATGTCCTTAATTAAATGTAAATATAATCAATGTTATTAAATCACAGCCTTTATGTATGTAATATTTTCATATACTGAGTGATGAAATGGAAGAAATACATGATGTACTTTTCCTGCAAAGTATAATGGTTGCCTTCAGGAAAAGCGCTTGTGATTTTTCTTTGGGTTGAAAGACAAACTAGTTAGTATTCTCATGAAACACCATTTTTACTTGTAACAACAACTGATAGAAAGACTATGGTTATTTACATCTAGGTATTTAGCAGAATTTTCTTTCAAATAAACTAAGTGAGTCTTCCATTTCAAGAAAAACAATTCACAGTATTTTTTTTTCTAATGATAAAATTCAAGCTTTTATGTAAACTTTAGAGTCTGTGAAAAGTTATATCTGTATGCATGATCTTGACAGCTTCTCGACTTAAAGAAACCTCTGAGGAGTTGAACGCTGATATCAGTTTTAACATACTGTAAGGGAATATGTCAAAATTCAGACATTATGTGTGAGTATGTAAGCACATAGTTTCCCAATGACCAATGTGTAATATTACACATTCATGTGTGGGTAAAATACCAGTCAAAGGGTAATATAGAATAATGCATTTAAATGTAACAAATTTCAGCAAGTTCAGACGATTTCAGGTTTCAAGTTTCAACTAAATTTTAAGAAACTATCACTTGTTGAGTTTTGGTATGGTATCAAAGAAGAATTTTTACAATTATCTGAAAAGACCAACCTTTTTCAAATACAAATGTATGTAAGGATGGATTATATTTATATACTATTCCGTAAACAGCATATCTCAACATAGCGTAGAAACTGATATGAGAGAACTGCTTTCCTTTATTAAGCCAGAAACTAAAGATACTTGCAAAAAATGCAAAACAGTGATGTTGTTTGCAATAACTTTTTTTAAAATTTGGAAAATATCATAAAATGCATTATTTAGGTCAATACATTTATTATTGTTGACATTTTAAATGACAAATGAAAAATTAAATATCTCTATTTTATTACTATATAACAAATATAACACAAATACAACTATTTGAGGCCTTCAATAACTTTTAAGATTGTAAAGGTATTATGGAAGTCAAAATTTGAAGCCCACTGATCTGTGTAAATCTGAAGAGAACAGGATTTTATGTTTGAGGTTGTGAAAAGAAATTGTTTCACTTTCCTAAAAGAAAGAAGCTAATAATTTATATAAGAAGTCCATATTCCTAATTTCACTTATTGTTAATAATAATTTGTTATAATTCACAAATATTTAGAGTGTTCTCTCTGTTTAGTAAATATCTTAAACAAGTCTTATCCTCTGCTTTATTCTTTGTAATGAGTAAAGATGAACACATGAATGAATAATTAAATTAAGTGCTTTATTTTATATTCTTCCTATGAGTTAATTTAACATGTTGTTTTAGCTTCATCTTGCCTCTAAGGAAACTAGAGCCTCTTGGATTTAATACAATTCCTTGCCGCAATACAGATGAGGATGTGATGTTTTTAGTCAGACTATGAATGGGTCTAACGATAGAAACGTATTTTTTATTTTTTGTGATACCAGGAAGCAGACAGACTAGAGTTTTCTTCAGTTTCTAAAAGTTACAGACTTGCTTCAATCTCCCCTAGATATTGGCTTTGATTGTGAAGCGTATCGCCTATTATGCAATGGGGAGGCTTTAGCTCTAGCTATCATGTAGCAAACAGCCAGCCGAATTCCATCCTTAGATCAATCACTGGTAAAATTCAAATTCGATCAGTTATTATTTATTCCCAAGCATATTAACTTTGCACTTCAATCTAAACCAGGGTTCTGTTAAAGAATAATATAGGGAAATGCCAGAAAGTACTCAAGTACTACAGTATCTGTTTTTCAATAAAATAATGCCTGTCTGTAAACTTATTTTTTAAATCTTTAATTTGAGTTTTTTACATTCAGAAGTGACTGAGATTTCCAGAATTAACATTGTGTTGAAATACTAAAATATATAGAATTCGTTCATGTTATTAGTCAATCAATGATTCTGCATGCTTTTTGTAAGCAAACTCCTCTCTGTCTCAATCTCTCCCCCTGCCCGACTCCTCAAAGTAACAAGTCAAATAGAAGGGAGTACCTTGAGAAAACTAGGCTCCTGAGAATTTAACAAAATTCTACAGAAGGTCTTGGACATTCACCGTTCAGCTATTTAAGGACATTTTCAAAGAGCCGGGGTTGCTTCAATTATCTCTTCCACCATCTACAAAATATAAACTTTGATAATTACACTTGTCTTTTTATATATTTTTTATTATACTTTAAGTTTTAGGGTACATGTGCACAACATGCAGGTATGTTGCATATGTGTACATGTGCCATGTTGGTGTGCTGCACCCATTAACCCGTCATTTACATTAGGTATATCTCCTAATGCTATCCCTCCCCTCTCCCCCCACCCCACAACAGACCCCGGTGTGTGACGTTCCCCTTCCTGTGTCCATGTGTTCTCATTGTTCAATTCCCACGTGTGAGTGAGAACATGCGGTGTTTGGTTTTTTGTATTTTTATTATTTTGTTTCACTTGTGTTCATCAATATGTTTCAAGCACTGAGATGTCTGCATCAATATATCTAATAAATGTTTTATACATCATAGGTACTCACTAAGTATTATAGAATAAATAAATTATTGTCCTCATTCTCCATGAAATTTTTCTTACTCAGTTTTTGTAGTTAGTAGGCTTAATACCAATTCATCTGTGGAGGAGAGGAACCATCTCAATAATTTTTGTGTTATTTACAAAATAACATTTCTACATAGTGTTTATTCCTAAGTGTTTTAACTATAATAATGTTTTATAATAAATTTCTTTTTTAATATTGATTATGAGTGGTTATATTTTCAAATAAGTTTCTGCTTTCTGATATACAGTATATAGCATACATGTTCTTGTATCCTCTGCTATGTCTTGAAAAATGCTTTAATATCAAATACTTAAGATCAGTGATTGGCCAATTTCTCCAAATGCCTGAATAATCTCAAATTATTTTCAATTCTTGGCATGATAATGCATTGGTAGTTTAGAAATTCCATCTAATGGCATTGTAACTTTAATTTAATACACCTTCCACGTGTATATAATGTTTAATACATACTTCGTGGAACATAGTCTTTACTTCTGTGACAAAATCCTCTTTATTCTAAGTAAGAATCAATTTATGACATCACATTAAGATAGAAATGTCTTAATTATTTATTTGTCTTTGTTCCACTTCATCCCTTGCCAGTGTTAATAGAGTCATGTGTGCAGGAAGATGTAGAATTCCTCTGAAAATTGACACGTGTATCTGGCAAGGTGTTATTTTCTAATCTCCCATAGGGACAGATGCAAAAGATAGTGGATTAAGGAGGTAACACGTCAAGATTTTGATGTTTTATTTTTCCAAAGAAAGCTCCAAAATGCTTAGAACTACAAAAGAAACACAGACATCACAGTACATCTGTTTCCCCAGCTCTTATTAAAACTGACACTCAGTTGTAAAATATCAATGTCAAATATTATTATAATTTCTAAATACACTACAACATATTGTGAAGTTGTGATCATCTTGCTTCTTTTCTGATATTTTATGACGTTTATCAGGATAGCTTAATTTATAATCCATGATGGTTTTCAGAATAGCTTAAAAAATCAGAGAACAACTTTACTTCTTTATGAATATTATTTAGAATATAACACTGAAAGCTAGTCGCTGTACTCTTGGGAACGTTAGATGGCAGAAGATGTAATCCTATTGTATCTTAAAGGGGAACACATTGGTTTTGAGACCAGACAGGTTTTGAGTTCAAATAGACCCCTGATTTTAGCGAAGTAGTCTGGGAAAAACAACCTCGATACCCTACATATTCTATATTCTTATCTGAAAAATAATGATAATGTTTACTTAGCATTTTTTGAGAACTGATGATTTATGTGAAGTGCTTAATGTATCATTTAAATATTATGATTTTAAATATTATGTTAGGTATTTCTCCTAATGCTATTCCTCCTCCATCCCCTCATCCCATGACAGGCCCTGGTGTGTGATGTTCCCTGCCCTGTGTCCAAGTGTTCTCATTGTTCAATTCCCACCTATGAGTGAGAACATGTGGTGTTTGGTATTCTGTCCTTGTGATAGTTTGCTCAGAATGACAGTTTCCAGCCTCATCCATGTTGCTACAAAGGACATGAACTCATCCTTTTTTATGGCTGCATAGTATTCCATGGTGTATATGTGCCACATTTTCTTAATCCAGTCTATCATTGGCAGACATATGGGTTGGTTCCAAGTCTTTGCTATTGTGAATGGTGCCACAATAAACATATGTGTGCATGTGTCTTTATAGTAGCATGATTTATAATCCTTTGGGTATATACCCAGTAATGGGATGGCTGGATCAAATGGTATTTCTAGTTCTAGATCCCTGAGGAATTGCCACACTGTCTTCCACAATGGTTGAACTAGTTTACACTTCCACCAACAGTGTAAAAGCGTTCCTATTTCTCCATATCCTCTCCAGCACCTGTTGTTTCCTAACTTTTTAATGATCACCATTCTAACTGGTGTGAGATGGTGTTTCATTGTGGTTTTGATTTGCATTTCTCTGATGACCAGTGATGATGAGCATTTTTTCATGTGTTGGCTGCATAAATGTCTTCTTTTGAAAAGTGTCTGTTCATATCCTTTGCCCACGTTTTGGTGGGGTTGTTTGATTTTTTCTTGTAAATGTGCTTGAGTTCATTGTAGATTCTGGATATTAGCCCTTTGTCAGATGGATAGATTGCAAAAATTTTCTCCCATTCTGCAGGTTGCCTGTTCACTCTGATGGTAGTTTCTTTTGCTGTGCAGAAGCTCTTTAGTTTAATTAGATCCCATTTGTCTATTTTGGCTTTTGTTGCCGTTGCTTTTGCTATTTTAGTCATGAAGTACTTGCCGATGCCTATGTCCTGAATAGTATAGCCTAGGTTTTCTTCTAGGGTTTTTATGGTTTTAGGTCTAACATTTAAGTCTTTAGTCCACCTTAAATTAATTTTTGTATAAGGTGTAAGGAAGGGATCCAGTTTCAGCTTTCTACATATGGCTAGCTAGTTTTCCCAGCACCATTTATTAAATAGGGAATTCTTTCCCCATTTCTTGTTTTTGTCAGGTTTGTCAAAGATCAGATGGTGTGGTGTTATTTCTGAGGGCTCTGTTCTGTTCCATTGGTCTATATCTCTGTTTTGGTACCAGTATCATGCCTAATGTAAGTGACGAGTTAATGGGTGCAGCAAACCAACATGGCACGTGTATACATACGTAACAAACCTGCATGTTGTGCACATGTATCCTAGAACTTAAAGTAAAATTTAAAAAAGACAATACATAAATAAATATTATAAAATAAGACTTAAAAAGTGGGAGATGTCTTTTTCGCTCTCTCTGTTCTAAGCTTTGCTATGTCCAGCTTTACGGCAGGGAACAGTACAACTCAAGTATCACAAAGCCTTTAAGTTTGAAGAAATAATAGGAAATGGCAGCAATTCCAAAGGATCTTGACCATGTTGATTATTTACTCATATATTCATTCAGTTATTCATGCTTTTGTTTATTCATTCATTCAATCAATAATTACAAAATGCTTTTGTGGTAAAGCCTGTCTAGGTATTTACCAAAACTTGTTTTCCCTCTCTCCTTGGATACATAGCTAGAGTTTATTTTCCAACTTTTCATACGGTTAGTTATGGCCATGTGACTATGTTATGGCCAATGAAATCTTGGCAGATGTAACGCCAGTTCTGGCTTGTCAATAAAAAAAAAACTACCACATAGTCTCCTCTATAGTCTTTTGCTGTCTGGTGGTGAGATGTCAACTCTAGGACACACAGTCATGATATTTTGTTGGTCAGCCAGGTCCTAAATGACTATAAATAGTAGAGAACTTCTACCATCAATTGTATGTTGCATAAATGAGTAATAAATCACTTTCTCAAAAGTCATTCAAATGTTGGAATTCATGCCAATAGCTGCTAACATTACTTTTAACAGCAAGTACCTCTAATTTCTAAACAATTTCTGTTCTTGGCCCAGTGGTAAACAAGACTGAGTCTTTGTGCAGAATACTTCTGATTTCACTGAGAAGCCAAAATAAAATGTCACAAGTAATATATAGCCATAAAACAGAGGTTAGATGTATGCATAAGAATCTATGATAGCATAAAGAAGAAAGGCATGATCCTTCAATTGAGGCTGAGAAAAAAGGAGGCATTTAGAAAAGGTTTCCAAAAAGAGTCAGTTATTGATGTTTATTTTGAAGAATTAGTTGAAGTAAGGAGGAATGAAAGTGTCTCAGAGAAAATGGCATTAAAAAAGTAGAGAACTATATATACACATTTCACATATATACGTGTGTGTGGTATATATATATATATATATATATATATACCACACTATACTATACTATATACTATAGTATATACTATACTATATACTATAGTATATACTATACTATATACTATAGTATATACTATAGTATATACTATAGTATATACTATACTATATACTATACTATACTATACTATACTATACTATACTATACTACCCAAGGAGCATATTTATCCCTAATAGCCCAAAGACAGTTGACTCACTGATGCCACTGCTACTTCTTTTCAGGATACAGTAGGATCACCAATATCTGAAAGAGAAATTACTCATCAATAATCACAGTACACTGTGCAAATTATATATCTATACTAAATATATATATAGTACTCTCTTTATATATATGTTTAGTAGCATTATCTTAAAATGTTTGAATTATAGTACTATATTTAGTACTATTATATGTAAAAATGACTATATATAAATATAAATAATTATAGTATTATATATTTAGTATAGATATATGTAAAGTGCACAGTGTGCTATGAGTGTTAATGAGTAATTCCTCTCTCAGATATTGGTGATCCTACAGTATCCTGAAAAGAAGTAGCAGTGGCATCAGTGAGTCAGCTGTCTTTGGGCTATTTAGGATGAATGTGCTCCTTGTTTTCTTATCTAATCTCCATCATATGCTCTTCAGTTTTAATTAACTCTCTGGTTCATGCCCATTCCTAATGAGACAGATTTCTCCTAGTAAGAAATACGATGTATAAATTACTAATAATTTTCAGTCCTCAATAAGATATTCTCTGACTTTCAAGAGGAAAGTGAATACTTATTCTGGTGTGAGGATGTCTGAGTTCAAGTTCTTTTGCTAACACTAGCTGGATGATTTTAAGGCAAATCTCAACTTCACATTTCTCAATAGCATCATAAGAAAATAGGCTCCATATCTTCTTATCTCTGACTTCTATCATATTATAAAATTCTGGGAGTATAAATTGCATTCCATTTTGGAATTCTGGCATGGATCTTAATAATAGTTTCTCTCTCAAGCAAGCCATCTTTCTCGCCTCTGAACAAGCTCAAGAATACTTCATGGGTGTACTACAAACTTTTTTCTTCCTTTGTTATTCCTAATCTTGTTTCATTGTAAGTTATTTCTACTGGCCACTCCAATACTTCACCTTAGAATCCTCCAGTACAGAAATAATAAAAACGACCAAACCATTTTCAAAAATAAAAGGTATCTGGTTGAGTGTTAACTGCCAAATTTGATGAGAAGGGAAAGCTTTCTCTTACTTCCATTCCTCCACGCACACACTTACTAATTTGTAAGTATGTGCCTGCTTGTTGGGGTAGGAGTGGGGTTAGGGATTGAAATGCAAATATCATCGGCATTTTTATAAACTCCATTATCCACATATAAATGCATTTATTTTCAACAACCCAGTTTTATAATATATAGAAATTTCACATTTGAAAAGCACTGTAAGGCACTTCAGTGTTCTTAAATGGCTTGTTTCTCATAACTGAACATTTTAAATTAAAAATATATGTCATATAACTTGTTAATAATATGATGCATTTGAAATGTGCTTATAGAGTTTCCTGTTTGAGCCAAGCTCCCTCCCGTGTGGAGAATCAATACAATTATGGTTATTTTCTTGTCATTCATCTTTTATGTGATTTCATGTTCTAATAGCAATGTACTATTTTCCTTGATGGCTCTCCTATAATGCATATTAAGTCAATGAATGATTACATGCATGTGTGATATAAATGATGTACTCTGCTCAATTCAAAATCCAATTGCCAAAAGTGATTTTCATGTGAATATTTTAAAATATAGATTTAAATGTAACATGGCATCATGTTTTCTGTTCACTGAAGACTAAATGGTTTTCTGAAGCATTGTAAAGACGGCTATCTATGTTAAATCCTAGTGATATTTTTATTTTATTATTAAATCAAATTATTGAGTCAATGAAGTTATTACTTGAGATAAGGACTAAACTGAGAAAATAAATTGGAGAATTGACACAATTATATGGATAATTCAGTTACAAAGCTTTATTTGGTGTAAAATACCTTGACTGCTTTTCTATAATTGTCACAGTATAGTTTTTCAACTTTAGTTTCCCTACATATGTCAGCCATATTAATTTGTGGTTGTATATTTTGCAAATAAATTATGGAATTTGGATAAATTTTGCTAAATTTGTTTCATACTACTCCCATTCGTGATAATAACAGTTTTATTATAGTAATAAAGTCAATAATGATAATGATATATTATGGTTAGTCTATGCCAGATACTCTCTTAATATGTTCACATTGATTTATTTAATCCACCTGAAAATCCTATGAGTTAGAAATATTATTCCCAGTATAATGTGCTAAAATGGGGTACAAATAGAGCTAGGCTATCTTCCCAAGTTTACACAGCTGGATAGGGTAAAAGCAGTGTTTCATTGTTCAGAAGACAGCTGTAATAGGAGAGAAAGCAAAAGCCACTCGAATGGATTTATGGCTTCTGTTTGAAAAAACAAATACATTGAAATACATATATGCCATCTCTAGAGTAAGTAAAAAGATTTTTTTAAACAGTATTGCAAGATGAGGTGGAGTGACTTGTCAATACAGAATTTCAGGGCCTTGACAATGAAATTTTCACCTTGGCAATTTCACAAGGTGAAAATCAGGGATTTTTCATAAAAAGAAATCCCTTTGGATGGGACAGGGCAAAGGGAGATTTCAGCGGGTTCTATATAAGAAGGGGATCAATGTCAAGCTCAGGCAACTTGTACCTGACACAATTTCAGTCTATGTTCAATATTTTCATGAATACAACTGTGCCAGTTATTGATGTAGTGTCTCTCAGCTACGAATTCATTTTAACTGTACCCTCTTTTATGATGTTTGGCTAGAACAACTGCAAAAACTTTAAGCTTCGTAAGTAGGTTCTGTGCTAGGTTCTGCAATAAGATTCCCTAGAAAGAGATTAAAAGGCTGAAGGAAGAAGAGGTTGTTTCATTCTGTTGGTTCTCTACTGCAAGTTTCTGTCAGCATCTCTCAGAAATACTTATTTTTTCATTGTGAAAATGGCAGTTAGTTCCAGTATCAGCTGTTGAATGCTTTTTGCAATTTTTTTTTAACAATAGCCAAACCAGCATTGTCATGTCCCCAAGGAACACCAGTGTCAGAAAATTAGTAGTCAAACTCAGAGTTTGAGTCTCATCTCTGCAGAGCCCTCTTTCAAGCTTACAGTCACTAACTTCAGCCTAGCAACACTCTCTTCTCCTAAAGCTATGTTTCTCCACTTAACCCCTCCTCCCTTCTCCTATATTTGTAACAATCCTTGCCTTTTTGGGGGTTCCTCAAGTTCTATGGGTGAGAGTAACTTCATAGAATTTCTACCTCTGTGAAACTTTGGTGTTCATCAATTTATTGTCCAGTTCTTCAAGTCATAGTTAACATCTATTTATAAACTACAAGAGACAATAAGTGTCTATTGTTGTGTTTAAACCACTTCTCTTGTATTTAAGTCCAAATGTCGCTTCTCTACGGGTATGACATTTTTAATTGATTTGAGTTAAAAAGAGACAAATAGAAAAATTAACAGCAACAGCAACAACAACAACAACAACAACAAAAGTTTTTCCATCATCTGTCACCCAATAGAGAATTGACCTCTCTAAACAACCGATACAATCTATCTTCAGAAATCATTAAACCACAGAACTTGTCAATGGGAAATAATTTACTGAATTTTTTCAAAACAGAAACAAAATTAGTGGACTGAAAATTTTAAATGTGAAAAACAGTGAAGCAGCACAATCCTATTGCTACTTCGAATTCCCCTCTGGAAACCAAGCAAGGATACACCTAGGTTTGCACCTAACAGAAGGTGTACTTCTCTGATGACAAAATTTATCAGGCTCTGGTAGGTGAATCCATGGGGCATCTCAGTTGAAAACCTCCAAAATTCTTAAAAGATAACTTTCAGAAAAGGGTAAAATCAAGAAAGTGAACAAGTTAAAGATTTTATTTAATTAATATGATGTGAATGAGCCAGACAGATGGTATAAGGTATTCAAAGAAGAATTGAAAAGCACAAATTTATATGGATTAAAGAAACGATTTAAATGACTTGCAAATTTATTTACTTTTTTGTATCCCTTGTACATCAAATTCTTTTATAACTGTTTTTTTCCTCTAATTGAGCTCTTGTTAAAGGATATTATTTACACATGGCCACAGCTTATCCTTTTGATAAGCTATTTTATTGGCTCAACATCTGTGATTAAACCTATATTATTATGCCCTAGGGCCAAAAATAATGCATCAATTTGTTTCAGCTCAGAGTGCATCCCAGAAAGGAGTGAGATTTCCCCTTTCTTCTAATCTCCTTTTCTCAAAGAAAGCACACAGGAACCAAATCAAGCCTTACATACCTGGTGCATCATAGATGCTTTTTGCTGAGTATTGAATATGGTAGCTTTTAATTTGTACAGCAGTTCTCTCCTCAGTGGATTTACAGAAGCTTCAGCAGAAATTAGAAAGCATGTCTCTTTCTCAGAGGACCTATCTATCTCTATGGGAACCATGGTGAAGAAGGAATAAGTAGAAGACTAACCAGAAATACAAATAGCCTGTATTGATTTGTCATCAAATGGAAAAGCAAGAACTTCCTGTGGATGGCAAAATAAGGAGTATCAATATCTATCAAGAATGGTAAAGTAAGATTACCTGAGAAAAGTTATCCAAACATATGGTTTAGCAGTTGTTGCCTCCAATATTCCCCAAACTGTTAATTTTGACCCATTTCCCAATTATTACCTACTGTATGGTTCTGTCTTTCTGGGATTTCCTGATTCCCTTTTTCCTGAAACATCTGCATCTTCTTTCTATAATTCCTTTTCCAAAATGCCGGCTTTCTACAAATTGACACGTTGATTTTCCTTGTTTTTTCTTCATAGGTTGGCCAGACTAGAAGTTATTTTGTTCAGTAATAACTTTTGTTTTTGCCAACCTTTCACTTATTCGCTAACTTGAGCTAGGAGAGTAGGCAAAAGATCTGAAAAGAAAGTGGTTAAACCAGGATTAACAGGCTTAATCAATAATAAGTTTTGAGTCTGGAAAGGCTATCCATGTGGTTAGTATTTCCAAAAGAGAAGAGAGCTAACAAGACAATTTTTATAATTTAGGGTCTCTAGTTGACTATTGAGTGACCACAAAAACCTTCACCTGCTCCACTCTATGTAGAAACTGCCAAGAAGGTTTTTAAAGTTGTATTATTTTGGAGACAGTGTCTCACTCTGTCACCCTGACTGTGGTGCAGTGGCATGATCATGGCTCACTGCAGCCTCAACTTCCTGGGCTCGAGCAATCCTCCTGCCTCAGCTACCTGAGTAGCTGGGACTACAAGCTTGTGCCACTGTGCCTGGCTAAGTTTTGTAGCAATGTTTTTTTTTGTTTTTGTTTTTTGTTTTTTTGTTTTTTTCATGTTTCCCCAGCTGGTCTTGAACTCCTACACTCAAGTGATCCTCCTGTATTGGCCTCCCAAAGTGCTGAGATTACAAGTGTGAGCCACAGTGCCTAGCCCTGGCAGAAGGATTTGGATTTACTGCTAGATTCATTCCTGTAAAATTTGAGAAAGGTTCAACAAGCCACTATTGGAAAGTAGTGGGGAACTCATTTGATTTCTCGGTACAACGACATACTCTTCCCAGTTCACATGTTGAGTAAAAGCTTGACCATGGCAATCTTTCTTGGTGGGCTTTTTGCACTCAACCCTACCTTCCTTGTCACGGTTGATGGATAATTAAACTTTCATGGTCATGGGGCCTCCTAATGGGGTAGATTTCTTTTGTTGGCTTTCAAGGTGTTTGCTTCAATAAATGAGAAAGGTGTTGAGCAGGATTGCATGCAGTAGGTGGTGTGTATAACCAGGTGTAGGCCTGTACACTGAAAACACTCTGGAGTACTTCTGCAAACTCATGCAGTGCTGCTTGAAACATGGAAAAGAGCCTTAAATTGATGACATCAGGTGAGGAACAAGGCATATTCCCTCTTAAGATTTCAGGTACTCTAGGTGGTCCCTGATAACTTCTCAATTGCATCAGATTCACTGGTAATCCAAATTGAAAAAGCTTACTTCCTTGCATTTTGGTAGGAAAAATACAGAATTATATGACACTGTGTGTGTGTGTCTGTGTGTGTGTGTGTGTTTCTCCTGTTTAATATATCCATCTATCTCCTCTTTTGGTTATCATTTTTTAAAAGTATAATGCAATGACTTACCATCCTGACATACTTATAAGTGAATATTGCCTTTGAACAGGTTTTTAATTATCCCTTGCTCCAGCAATTTTGTTATCTCTGCTTTCCTAGCTGTGTGATATGTGAAAGGAATCTTGTAGGTGGAATCTAATCTAGGACATGGAACACGTAACCTAATGTCCTCAAACTGAGTTAGTAATTCATCATTTGTTAAAGAAATTAAACTCTCATTCTTCCCTGCAGGGAAATTTTCCAAGGAAAGAATTTTCCCATTAAAAGACCCTTGCTTTCCAGTCCCCAGGGTTCAGCCTCAGGCAGAGAGAAAAAAAAAAGAGAGACATAGAAACAAAACAGGGTGGAGATAGAGAAATAAGCAGGGTTCTAGCTTTCAGAGAAGGAAAGTACTTTCAGTTCTCCCACTTATTCACATTTTTCAACATTTCCTTTGGGCTTTACAGCTCCTTTTAAACTTTCTCCCTATAATGATATTCATCCCATACACACCTGTCTCTCTTTTGCTTATAATGGAATTGTTCTAAGTTTCCTTAATAATAAACTAATTTATACAAATGAAGTGAACTTTCTTTGGGGCACAGTGAAGCTGAATTTTCACTTACCTGTTTCTAACATGACAGCAGAGAGATACCAGCCATTTAATAAAACACCTTTTCTCCATTTGTTCACCACTAAAAGTAATTGTGATCCTGATAAACCAGGATAAACATGCTTACTCAAATAATAAATTTCAAGTTTGGAAAGGGCTATACATCTGGTTAGTATTTCCAAAAGGGCACAGTATTAGAAGGAAAGTTTTTATAATTGAAGGTCTCTATTGGACTATTGAGTGACCACAAAAACCTTTAACTGGTCCACTGTATTCAGAAACTGCTAGACTACCATTCGTATCAAAATGTTGTTGGGAGATATTAAACAATCCTGCCAAAAATATGCTCCATTCCAATATGGAAGATAGAGAAAACACAATTTAGTATTGAGTAAGCATTCCATATTATACTCATAAAAGATAACGTGAACACAACTACAAATTTAGGACAAAAATTCAAGTATAAATTAACCTCCTGGGCTCAAGTGTTTCTCCCACCTCAGCCTCTTGAGTAGCTGGGACTACAGGAGTGGGTCACCACATCCATGTAATATTGGTATTTTTTTGTAGAGACAAGTTTGGTCATGTTGCCCAAGCTGGTCTTGAACTCCTGGCCCTGGCCTCCCAAAGTGATGGGACTACAGCAACTTTACTTATAACAGCCAAACACTGAAAACAACTCAGATGTACTTCTAGAGGAGAAGGGTTAAACAATAATCAATACATCATACTATGGACTTTCACTCCCACAGCCACATGTATGAATTGCCAGATAATCATGGTGAGTGAGACAAAGGCAATCCCTACAATTTACATATTATTTGATTTTATTTATGTAGCATTCTTCAAATGACAAAATTATAGAAATAGAGAACAGATTAGTGGTTGCCTGGAGATAAGGGCTGTTGTAAAGTGAGTGTAGTTATAAAAAGGCAATAGTCTATGATGAGATATAAATGTTCTTTATCTTGACTTAATGTTAGTATTCTGGCTGTGATATTATACTGTGGACCCGGAAAATTTGACAGGTCTCAGTTAATTTAGAAAGTTTATTTTGCCAAGGTTGAGGATGTGTGCCCATGGCACAGCCTCAGGAAGTCCTGATGGACATGTGCCCAAGGTAGTCGGGGCACAGCTTGGTTGTATACATTTTAGGGAAACAGAAGACATTAATCAATATATGTAAGAATTACGCTGGTTTGGTACGCGGGAAGACTCAAAGCAGGGAGGGGGCTTCCAGGTCGCAGACAGGTGACAGACAAACGGTTGCACTCTTTTGAGTTTCTGATTCACCTTTCCAAAGAAGGCAATCAGATACACATTTATCTCCATGAGCAGAGGAATAACTTTGAATAGAATGGAAGGCAGATTTGCCCTAAGCAGTTCTCAGCTTGAATTTTCCCTTTAGCTTAGTGATTTTGGGGTCCCAAGATATTTTCCTTTCACAGCACTATAGTTTGCAAGATATTATCCTTAGAGAAACCTGTATAGACTCTACAAAATATTTATCTATATTATTTATTACAGCTGCACGTAAATCTATGTCAAATTATTAATAATTTTATAAAAGAAAAGGTCATGTGATAAAAATTTTAATTATGTAGTATTTGTGTGACAAATTTTAAGTGTGAACCAATTAATAATTTGCATAACTTGTATGATATTGAGCTGGTCTACCTGTTTAAAAAAATACTGCTAATATGCCTCTAGTTTTGCTTTTTCTTTTTTAAATTGGAGTTTCTTACATAGACCCTGTCTTGGTGCATTTTTTGTTGCTATAACTGAATATCTGAGAATGGTAATTTATAAAGAAAAGACATTTATTTCTAATAGCTCTGGAGGTTGAAAAGGCCAAGAGAATGGCACCAGCATCTGGTGAGGCCTTCTTCCTCTATTACAACATGGCAGAGGACGTCAAAATGTAGAAGGCAAGAGAGTACATGTCAACTCAGGTCTCTCTTCCTCTTCTTATAAAGCCGCTAGTCCCAGCATGGGGGTCCACTCTGATTGCCTTATCTAATCCTAATTAACTCGCAAATGTTCCACCCCCAGTCAACATGTAAATTTGAGGATGTTTCCAATACATGAAGTTTTGGAGATACATTCAAACCAAAGCACACCCTAAACTAAATGAAAGACTGTAAATATACAAAATTTTCAAAAGAACAACCCTCACATAAATCATACCACACTGAACAGACACATAGTGCCTAATATTAAGGACTTTAAGATGCTATTTTTTCTTCAAATTATACCTATTCAACAGGCTTAACTAAAGCAGCAAATCATTTATCTATTTATCTCTTAATCAGGTCACTCTGGCTTTTCTTTCCCAAAATCGTGAAAAAGTTTTTTTTTTTTTTTAAATCTTTGTTTAAATTTAAGCTTAAAATTCCTGAACTGTCAGAAGGTTCTTATTTAAAAATCATGTATGCTTTGTGAGGTAATGTAGGGATTTTCTCATTACTACAAGCTCAAACAGAACACTTAAGACGGCTATTGAAAAGAGTACTTGCCTGACCAAAGATGACTTAATGCTTTTTAAAAACTTGTCCTGGCATGAGAAACAACAAAACAAGAAAGAAAGAAATTAAAAGTCTTTAAATCTTGTATTTCAAATCTGTGACAATTGTGTTATCTTTGAAAACATCAATTTTAATCTGTGTTCCTATTGATCCTCTATTGGTAAACTTCATAGAATTTAGATGAAGTATCCCAATGCTCTCTAAAAATTTAGATTTTTTTAATAGACACCAGTTGAATACCCTGCAGAAATATAGGGCTTATTCTATGTCATTTTAAGCAGTTGAATTAACCGATTAAAGATACTATTATCTAAAATATACTACAGGTTTAGTATCCCTTATCCAGAATGCTTAGTAGCAAAAGTGTTTCAGATTTTTTATCTTTTTCAGGTTTTGAAATATTTTCATTGAAGTAGTTGACCATTCCAAATTCAAAAATCTTAAATCAGAAATGCTCCAATGAGTATTTCTTTTGAGCCTCATGTTGATGCTCAAAAGTTTTGGATTTGGAGGCATTTCAGAATTCAAATTTTGAGATTTGGAACACTCAAGCTGTACTTAATGATTTCCTTATGTACTAATCAGGGTTATCCAGAGAAACATCATCAATAGAGTGTGTGTGTGTGTGTGTGTGTCTGTGTGTGTGTGTGCGTGTGTGTCAGAGAGAGAGAGAAAGAGAAAGAGAGACTTATTTTAAGAAATTGGCTCATGTGATAGTGAGAGTTGGCTTCTATAGTTTTCAAGGAAGGATAAGATAGCAGGCTGAAAATTCTGGCAAAAGTTGATGATGTAGTCTTAAGTCAGAAGAGAGTTGAATGGAATAATTCTTTCCTTTTTAGTAACCTGGTTTTTTCTCTTAAAAACTGTAACTGATGGGATGAGGTCCACCCACATTATGGAGGGTAATTCGCTTTACTCAAAGCCTACTGACTTGAATCCTAATCACATGTAAAAAATGCTTTCATAGCAACATCTAGACTGGTGCTTGACTAAATAACTGAGCACCATGACCTAGCAAAGTTGACAAATAAAGTTAATATTCACAGTCCATCCCATGTGAACATGGCACTATATATATTTTCTTGAGCCATATCTAATCTCTAAATAAAGACATTAACAAAAGAATACTTTTGACCAAAATGGTAGAACTATCTTGCTTGCAACTGAAAGAACACTAACCATTTATGGTTTGGACCTGTATCCCCACCCAAATCTCATGTTGAATTGTAATCCCCAATGTTGGAGGTGAGGCCTGGTGGGAGGTGATCTGATCATGGGGGCAGAGTTCTCATGAATGGTAGAACACAATCCCCATTGGTGCTGCTTTCATAATAGTGAGTGAGTTCTGGTTGTTTAAAAGTATGTGGCACCTCCCCGCTCTCTCTTCCTCCTGCACTGGCCCTGTGGAGTGCCTGGCTCCTCCTTTGCCTCCCACCATGATTGTAAGCTTCCCGAGACCTCCTAGAAGCAGATGCTGCCATGCTTCCTGTACAGCCTGTGGAACCATGAGCCAATTAAACCTCTTTTATTTATAAATTACCCAGCCTCAGGTATTTCGTTATAGCTGTGGGAGAACGGACTAATACACCATTTTTCCAGAAGTTAATGCTAAGTCTCTGGGTGATATTTGCTCTTCTCCTTGATGTCCTGTAACTTAAATATTATGATATAATGTTAATACATCTTATGATATATAATAAAGAGATAAGAGAAGGAAGATAATAAAGATAATTGCTGTATACGTATACACACACATATTCATAATAATTACAGCCCTCCCTGTAACTAATTATGTGGTTGTAGCTGTTATTTATAGCTACTTTCTTCTACTACCCATTCTCATTGTCCTTAGTAAGGACCTCAGCTGGTTGCGTTTCTCCATTCCTGAAGAGTTTGGGCCATTAGTAGTCAAATATAAATTGATTTTTTGTAGTTTTCCATCGATGTTACTTACAGGGCATGGTTGTACTAATAGATGCTGTTATGGGCTGAAAGTTTGTGTCTCTCAAAATTCATATGTTGAAGCCCTAACCCCTAATGTGATGGTATTTGGAGGTGAGCCTTTAAGAGGTAATTAGGTTTAGATGAGTTCATGAAGGCTGGCCTTCTTGGTATTAGAGTCCTTATAAATAGAAGAAAGGACAGTGTGGTGGCTCACGCTTATAATCCCAGCATTTTGGGAGGCCAAGGTGGGTGGATTGCTTGAGCCTAGGAGTTCGAGACCAGTCTCAGCAACATGGTGAACCTCGTCTCTATAAAAAATACAAAAAGCTGGGCATGATGGAGCATGCCTGTAGTCCCAGCTACTGGGGAGGCTGAGGTGGGAGAATTACTTGAGCATGGCAGGCACAGGTTGCAGTGAGTCAGAATCACGCCACTATACTCCAGCTGTGTGACAGAGCAAAACCCTCTCTCAAAAAAAGAAAAAAGTAGGAGAAGCAGAATGAGAAGAAGGCAGAAAGAGGAAAGAATTAAAAAAAAAGAAGAAAGAAGAAAGACGAGAGACCAGAGTGAGCATGTGCTCTCTCTCTCTCTCTCTCCACCGCGTGAAGATACAGTGAAAAGGCAGCCATCTGCAAGCCAGGAAGAAGGCCTTCACCAGGAACTGAATTTGCTAGCACCATGAATTTGGACTTGCTAGCTTCTAAAACTGTGAGAAATAAATGTCTGTTGTTTAAGTCACTCAGTCTGTGATATTTTGTTATTGCAGCCGAAGCTAAGACAGCTACCCTAAGGGATGTTCTTTATTTTAGACATACTATTGCATATCTCCATTGTGCAGTAGGAATCCATTTATCACTATATAATTTGGATCAATCACCCCAGTCAGTAAGGTGACACCTTTACTTATCTGTTGACTCAGAGGCATAAGGAGCCCAAAGTGGCTAGGGGGCAGTCTTAAGTTTATTTCAATGAAATCACTATTGTATCTCCCAGTGCAAGCATTCCTCCCTTTGAAATTAAGACTTCTATACTAGCATAGCTAGGATCACAAGGAAAGAAAGAAAAAAATCCACTAGTGGGTAACATTAACTATGGGTAATATTGAGTACCACTCCCATTCTACCTGTCGATTCCTGGGCCCATGAATCTTGGCTATGGGAGAAATTTCCCTTTAGGTATTCATGTTAGTAGTCAACAGGTATTGTTCATCCTCAATTACCATTTTTTAAATAGTGATATAGTCAGAAAAATATAGGTTTTGTGATAAATATATGGAAAAGATACAAAGGAAAAAATACATGAAAAGGATCAAAGGGTAAAAACTTGCAATATTAAGTGAATAATTTCTGGAGATACAATGCACAGAATGATAACTGTATTTAATGATAATATATTGTATATTCAAAATCCACTAAAATATTTTACAGCTTAAATACATTTACCACACAAAGGAAGAGAGCCAAAAAGGTAACTATGTGAGGCAATGTGTACGTTAATTAACTTGGCTGTGAAAATCAATTTTATAATGTATATGTATATCAAAATATTATATCACAACCTTAAATATATACAATTTTTATCTGTCAATTATATTTCAATAAAGCTGAAAAATGTAAAGAAATATACTTAAAAACAATTTATTTGTATTTCTGCAAAGTTTGTATTTCTAGAAACAATGATCCCTGTATAATATCAGATATATCTCTCTACAATATTAGATGAGGTTAAAATCAAATTAATACCATATGTCTTATTTCCAGTCAGCTATTATTCCATATCCCTCAGTCATGTTGCTTGTTTTATTTTCTAGCAGGAAACTTTCTTTTTATGAGTATTTGGGGGGCATTTTTATAGTTTTAAAGTTTTTTTTTGCACTTCCCCCAAATTCAACTTTCCCCCAAAACAGATACTATCCTCTATAATTTAAAGAAAAATAAAATACCACAAGTATAGAAAAAAACTGGAAATAACATGGAAAAAATGTATACAGTTCCCGATTTTCTGGTAACTCCGACATATAAAAGACATGCTAGCAAATTATACTTGTCCGTTTCTTCTCTAATGAAATTGATGTCATTTCAATAAGAGGTTTATTACTTAGTAAAACTTCTAACATTTTACTAAGTCCCAAAATTCTATATGTTAATACCATATTGGGCTTTAGCAGGACCAAATAAATATTTACTATATTTCCTACTCAAATTAAGGAGTAGTTAAGAGACAAATAGAAGATGAGAATAATAGGTATAAAATATGAATGCTACTGTTGATGAAGTATAGGTTGAAGGACAATACTGGGTATGCAAGCTTCCTATATACTGAACACAAAGATTGGGCTTTCAACAGAATCACAGATATTATGAAGCAACTGGAAACTTCCCTTCACAGGGACAGAATCTACTCTTATGAAACAAGCAGCATAACAGATTTATGTAGAATTACAGTAAGAAAAGGGAAATGTGGGTGAGGTGCATGGAGAGGGACCAGAGGTATTAAGTTTAGTGGAGTTTCTCTTCCTGAAAATAGAAGTAGGGAGTAAGTGTTCACTCAGCACCCTAACATCATCTGTCTACTGCTTTTTGTTTATGGTGCCTTCATAGAATTCCAAATTGCAGCTCTTACAAAAGAAATGCCAATATCTAAGTAAATTATTCAGGGAATAGGTTACTAAGCTATTCTCCCATGAAACTGACCCTCCTACAAAAGTGGAAGAGAAATAAAATGTTCTCCTAACTAACTAATTGAGAACTGGAATGAAAATTACTATTCTCAAAAGGTAGAAATAGAAAGTTAATCAAATCATCTATTCTAAGAAGTTATATCCATAATTTCATTCTCCTGTGGGTTTGTAGCATAAATAAACACTATTACTGTGGTTTAACAGTCTCAATATCAGAATTTATTTTATCGGGACTCCAGAAGAAGTGGTCCACTAGGCAGCTAATAAAAACACAAGCAAACCCTATGTGATAAATACCTCCATTCTAAGACCTGAAATCCATTAGGCACAATTTCAAGATAAAAAAGAATTTCCCTATCAAAAGTCAGACATAAAAATTGTAAATAATAGTGAGGAAAATTGGGACAGTAAAACATCAAACACTGTGATGATCAGTCTCAGAATATAAATTAAACATTTAATATACTGAAAATGATAAAGAAGAATTGAAAATGTGAGTAAATAGTAAGCAATGTTATAAAAACAAGATCTTTAGCAATAAAAGTAAAATAAATAAAATTGAAGTCTCATGTGATGGATTCAACCACATATTTGGACTAAGGTAAAGAGAGAATTAATAATCTAAAAGAAGGGGCTAAGAATATTATTAAGAAGAAAGTACAGATAAATAAAGGGATTAAAATGTGTAAAAGAGAGATAAGGATAAATGGACATCTAAATGAGAAGGTCGGTAGTGAAACACATAGTAAAATGAATGAATTACTATACTCTACAACTAGATGTATCTGAAGTAAAATTTAACACAATATTGAGTAAAAATAGCAAGACTGGAAGACAAATAGAATTCTGTTTTTGTAAATTAAACATCATAAAAACAAATTAGCTATTACTTAGTGATAAGAAAACGAACTATACAGCTACAAAATTCTGCTATATCCGTTTGCGATCTTGAAGCCAAAAATGAAGCTAAAAGATATGTCTAGTGAAAAAAAAGTAGACAGACTGAAGTTCCTAGTGGGTGATATCTTCAAGCTTTCATACCAGTTCAGAACTGCCTATCCTGTCTATTTCTTTTCTTTTTTTTCTGGTTTTGTTTTGTTTTGAGACAGAGTCTCACTCTGTTGCCCAGGCTGGAGTGCAATGGCGCAATCTTGGCTCACTGCAACTTCTGCCTCCCAGGTTCAAGCGATACTCCTGCCTCAGCCTCCCAAGTAGCTAGGATTACAGGCGCCAGCCACCATGCCTGGCTAATTTTTGTATTTTTAGTAGAGACGAGGTTTCACCATGTTGGCCAGGCTGGTCTTGAACTCCTGACCTCTGGTGATCCACCGCCTCGGCCTCCCAAAGTCCTGGGATTACAGGCATGAGCCACCGCGCCTGGCCAAGGCTGTTTCATGATACACAACAATACTTATCTGTTAGACTTTGTTAGTTGTTTTCTATTAGCATCAGCTGAAAGAACCTGCAGATTAAACCTTCCCACCCGCTTCATATAGGCATTCCGTTCATAATTTATTTACTTCTGAGTATCATCATTTTAAAAAATATCCAGCTATTTGGTAAGTGAAAATTCTCATTTTAATTTTACTTGGATATTTTAGATTACTCTTGGTATTGCAAATGTCTTATACGCTTATTCGTCATTACACGGTTTTCTTTTGGAATTTTTGTTGTGTAATCTTTACCTGTTTATGTCTTAGAATATTCATATTATCATTAATTGCAACATGTGTTTGATATGATAAAATATTAATTTTAATTACTAAACATCAACTATTAATATTAATATTATATTAATATTAATCAATATTAATTAATAAACATCAAATATTAATGTTAATAAAAACCAAAACTTGATATTAATATTTGATGTTTACTTATTTTAAGTATTACCTGTTGATTAAGTTTATTTTGCTAGACACATTCAATAACAGATACTAAGGTGCTTAAAAGCTATATTGATAATTTAGTTTTCACTCACCCAAATTATGGGATTTTGGTTTCTCTTATAACTCTCCTATATTCAGTCGGCTTTGCAGAGGCAGAAAAGTGTGACACCTTTTCTTACCTAAGTGTCCAAACTGTCGCAGCCAACAGTCCTATAACAAAAAACAGGTTAATGAGAAAAGCATAGCAAATTAATTTAATCAAAGTTTTACGTAACATGAGAGTCTTTAGAAATGAAGACCCAAAGACACAGGGAAAAGGATTTTTATGCTTAGATTCAATGAAGAATGAACAGCCATGTAGAAATGTAACTGGACAAAGAGTGTCATCTAATGGTAATAGACTGAGCAGAGAAACTCGTCAAGTCCTAATTGTTCAGACTCTTGGCCTCTCTGTGTAGCATTCCTTATTCCCAGGCAAGCAGCAGGACTCCTCTGGAATGAAGGTTTTCAAGGGAGAAAAGAAAGGGAAAAAATGACCTTTCTAGGTTATATGTGGCTTGCGTTGGGGGAAAGGAGTTCTAGTTTCCATGACCCGCCTTGGAGAAGAGCAATGCTGGTTTCTATGACTTGCACTTTCTTCCGGAGAAGAAAGGGGGACAGGAAACAGGAGGATGAAAGATTAGAGAGACCTTGCATCTGACACTGATCTCTTTAAGTTCAAAGTACTAAGCATGTCAAGGTGCCATATTTGGAGTATTGTTTTCTGAGCCCCAACAGCTTCCTTTACACACAAATGTACCCACAAAATTTATTGCTTCTTTTAGCTAGTATTATGCTATTTAATGGGTAAAATTTGCTCTTATTTCCAGTAAAGGAGGTGCTACTTTCATTCTTTGAAGTGATCAGTAAAATATTAATGTGATTTGGTAAGAATAGAACAAGACATATTGACAAATAATTTGCTGCAAAATAAGAGATAGCTAAATTTAGGGAACATATAAACTTTTTAGTGAATATTTTATCAAAGCATATCTACCAGAAAATATGCTTCTGTGTAAATCGGTCTTCTAAAACTTTTTATGTCCTGGAATGCCCTTCATGCTATTGCTCCAGACAAAATGTCTTTTTCCACGTCTCTGACAATTCTTTCCCATCCTTTCCAACAGAAATTAATTCAAAACTTGCTTTCCTGTGAAGGTTCTCCAACCAACTTGTTCATCTCATCTTTTCTTATCTATTCATAGGTGATTTTTAATCTTTATAACTCTAGCTTAGTTATAATTATTGCAATATGAGTGCCATTATTCTGTCTATACCCCTAAAATATTTAACCCAGTTTGCTGCACTTAGTGAATTCTCATGAAATACTTGTGGAATAGTACTTTATTTAAAAAAAAAAAAAAAACCATTCTGCCAAAAAAGCTTGGCAGTCTCCGATTACTCCAACCTTACCTCCTATAGATCACCCATAACAATCTGCTCAATTCTGCCCAGAACTCAATGAATAACAAACATGTGAGGTGGTATTATTTTTTTCACAGTAGAAGATGTGTTCTATTATCAATTACCTGACATGTCAAGTGAAATAAGTTTAACCAGCTGCTAATATTTGAAATAAACAAGCGGAAAGTAGTTTAATATTCTTATTATATAACACACATTTTAGAATTAACAATTATACAAATACTGTAAGATTCTTCCACTCTTTTGGCACACATTTAGTGAAAGCCCAAGCCTTACAATGAGAAGGATAATGAAATATGACTCCATTTTCTCTAATGTTGCAGGGCAGGACAGTTAAATTTTTCTCAATATAAATATTTACACAGCTACTGCTCATGAATATAACCATGGTTTAGGGCCTGGTCAGATGTAAGAATTCAGCAGAGCTAATTCTCTATGCCTGTAGGTAACAGATTAGTAGTAGTAACAGCTGGGCTCTCTGCAACTAGCAGGATGCTCAGGTAGAATGCCCAGCATGGGAGCTGTTTTAAAATGGAAGAGCTTATTTTATTTATTTAGAACGTATTTACTGAGTGTCAGTACTAACAATCACAGTGAATGAAAATGCCATTTAGTTTATTTGGTGGAGGCTGTTGATACAGAACAGTTTAGGGTCTCTTCTAACCTTGACTTTGAGCAATGAAGATGCAAAAAATTAAAAGATGTTTATTGTAAAGTGCACAGAGTTGTGAAAAGGGAAGAAAATGAATATGTGCTTGTGCAAATTGAAAGATAATGTTAGCAATGAAGTGACTGCCACTCACGGATCATCTATCTTAGGCAAGTATTATAGAAAAATAAAGAAGGATAAGACAAATAATTCATGTAAATTGATGGAATAAACATCACTCGAATCCTTTGTAGAATCCCTGGGTTAGTGGCTCCTTAACTCCATTCTCTGTGTTTCTAGCAACAGGAATATGACAGCAGCGGCAGTCATATGTACATTACTAAATCCTCCATTTTATTAGAATATAAGTAACACAGAATTGCAAGCTTACGTACACTGATTGTTTCCTTTGCTGAGCAGAAGCTTTTTAAGTTGATGTAATCTCATTTGACTATTTTTGCTTTTGTTGTCTGTGCTTTTGAGGTTTTACTCCAAAAATCTTTGCCCAAACCAATATCCTCAAGCATTTCCGCAATGTTTTCTTCTAGTAGTTTCATAGTTTCAGGTCTTATATTTAAAACTTTAACCTATTTTGAATTGACTTTTATACATGGTGAGATATAGGGATCTAGTTTTATTTTTCTGCATGTGGATATTCAGTTTTTCTGGTACCATTTATTGAAAAGACTGTCCTTTCCCCAGTGTATGTTCATAATTTGCTATTTCTTGTGGAGAAGAAAATAATGTATAATTTCCTCTAAGCACTGGGTCATTACATATTTAACCCAGATGTTTGAAGATTTTTAAAATCTGAGACAGGAAATGTGTCAAAAAAGTCAAATTGTGAATGTCAATTTAAGTACACAATTTGCAATCATAAAAAATGGAATTACCTCTACTATGATTTGCATGTTTGTCTCCTCCAAAACTCATATTGAAAGTTGATCCCCAATGTTGGAGATGAGGCCTAATGGGAGGTGTATGGATCATGGGATTGGATCCCTTATGAATAGATTAATGCCTTTTCTCAGTGATGAGTTCTCACTCTACTAGTTCCCACGAAAGAAGATTGTTAAAAAGAGCCTGGCACCTCCCCATTCTCTCTTACTTCCTCTCTCCCATGTGAGCTTTGTATACACCAACTCCCATTTGCCTTCTACCATAAGATACAGAGTCCCAATCTTCAATGTTTCAGCCACTAGAATCATGAGCCAAATAAACCTTTTATCTTTATAAATTATCCAGTCTCAGATGTTCCTTCGTAGCAACAAAAAACAGACTAAGAAAACTTCCTACTTAGGAGAAAAAAGGCACAAAGTATGTCACATCAAATGGCTTTTTGTTATGAATGCAAACATCTATGCTGAGTCTGATCAATCATGCATACTCTCTCCCTACTAACTAGTTCCACAGTCCTGGATGCTGAAAGAAGGAGTTTAAGGTGGAGTAGTAGTTCTGAGAAAGCTGGACTGCAGGTCATTCTGTGAGACCTTTCTAAGAGTGGGCAGAATCCCCTTCTGCTATAAAATTAATTGACTAGAAAGGCTGCTGTACAACTTTGGTTTTTGACTTTAATTGTATGGTGAGTTGGCTTTGCTGAAATTATTTATTTGATTTTAAAGTGAAGACTGAAATCTTTGAAATAGTTTTGGAATGGATCTTATAGCTGATTATTGTAAAGCTATGACCTTCCTTAATACCTGTCATTAATAAACATTAATGCATATATTTTTATTTCTGCTAGTAAACTAATAATTCATATTATTTACTTTTACTGAATACTTAGTTATGTCATTAGAATTCCTTTCAATACACTATTTTTAATGCATTAGAATATTTTTTTTTCTTTGAGACGGAGTCTCACTCTGTCACCAGGCTGGAGTGCAGTGGTATGATCTTGGCTCACTGCAACCTCCAACTTCCTGGTTCAAGCGATTATCCTGCCTCAGCCTCCCTACTAGCTAGGACTACATGTGTGAGCCACCACGGCCAGCTAATTTTTGTATTTTTAGTAGAGACAGGGTTTCACCATGTTGGCCAGGATGGTCTCAATCTCCTGACCTTGTGATCTGCCCGCCTCGGCCTCCCAAAGTGCTGAGATTACAGGCATGAGTTATTGCACCCGGCCCCGCATTAGAACACTTTTTACTGAAATATTTGTTTGTCTACATGTACTGAGGTTAACTATACAAGAATTTGTTGAAATTTATTCTGCTTTCTTGCCTGCTTTGTATGAAATTTTACTCATATTTACCTTGTCCGCATGTGCTACATAGGAATTCATTCAAATTTGTTGTACATTATGTCCTGCTTTCTACTTACCATCATTACTCAAATAAATTACAGTATTTGCTTATACAGAGTTTTGTAGCCTAGTATTTACCAGTATACAAATAAATGTATTATTTCTGACTATGTAGCCTTATTTTTTCAGTGCTAGTATAATATTAATGGTTATAACAAACTTATGCTTTACTACAGGATTTTATCATAACCTATACTATATTTACATCAACACAGTATGATTTTGCAACAAAATAACTTTAAAAATACTCTCAAAATCTGTTAGAAAAGAAGTGCAGAAATTTAATTTCTTGCCCAAAATTTATCAGTACATTTTTTGGTAACTCATTTTGCCTACATACTTCAAATGCTGGAAAATACAAGGTGGTTTCTGAGAACATGAAAAAAAAAGACTTTTCTTAGGGAATAAACAAAAAAGCAAGCATTCTTTTAAGGTACATCACCATATAACTATCCCCAAAACAGTGGTCTCTTGGGGAACTAGAGCTACTGTGCAAATATAGGGATCTCTAGCAGAGAGTTTACAGCTCCTTCCATTCCACCCTTCCAAGATGGCTGCTTCCAAAGTACAGTGAATAAGGTCAGGTATACCACAATATAACTCAGCATAGGAGCTCAACTAGAATCAATAAGATTCTCGTGAATGTAGAAGTTACAGTATTAGGACAGCAACTGAGCAATATTTTATTATTTTATTATTAAACTTTTGTCTCTAAAATCACAGCTAGCTTATATTTACATTACATACCAAAATGCTATGGATATTGAACATAGATTAGTACTTGTGATTACTAGTCATTAGCTATATCATCATTAATCCACAGCTAGTTTACTAAATATAAGCTCTGAGTCAACGGCCATACCCTCTTGTCCCAGCATACTGTTTCATCTCTCTTTCTGCTCCCAGATGTCCTCACAAATATTACAGCAGAAATTCTAACTTGAAAAGATGTTTATGGAAGTGAATAGAATGGAGATATAGCTCTTTTGCCAATATTATGTTACTACTCAGTGCAGCATGCTTGATCTCTGTTTTCAAAATAAAAGGATATGTGAGGGCATCAAGTTTCAGCTATTACTTTGTGATTCTCTCTTTATCCATCATCAGAAGGGATAATTAGCTCTGCCTTCCTTCCCTCAGAAGATGTTTGTGCAAACGATTTAAATAAAACCTCTGGGATATCACTTACTGAGAGGAAGTGTCCACTGGGTTTGTTTCATGTGACGAAAAAGTCAATCCCATAAAGAGGAATTTCAAGCCTCATTAATAAATCACAGGTTCCAAGGATGATATGGAAGACACAGAATCAGAGGGTTGAAGACACCGTGTAGACAAAAGTAATGGTTATTTTGGCAATAAGCCAATGCGGAGTGATGAAATTATTAAAGATCCCATCTAATGCCTTAGCAATATGTAGACTTCAGATCTTTGCAGTGCTTTGGGTAACAAATGACAAGAAATTTCCCAAAACAACCAGAAGAAGTTTCAACAACTAACTTACAAAATTTCAGGGCAGTTGAAAGTTTTTGTACACTTGAGGTAAAGACCAAGATTCAATTACCATGAAGTTATTACATAGTCTAATTTTTCATTTGCTCTGTGGAGCTCAAGGCACTATTCAGGGCCTAGTAAACATTTTCCCTATGGGTAAATAATAATACATTAGTTATTGTGGAAAATGATGCAAATTATATCCAATAAGACAATGTGAAAGCGAGTAAAAATGCATTTAGGTTATTTCAAACATTTCATGCACTGTTAAAGAGTTTCCAAAATGTAACAGTAATTTAAAGATTGAGTTTCAGAAAAGTCATATTATATAAACTTTGTCAACATGATATGATAGTTTGGTTTCTGCTAAGACATTAATTTTAAAAACCTTTGATAGTTTGAAAAATAAGTGCTTTTATAACCTGTTCCATATTTGCATAATGCTTTCTAGTACTCATGAGCAACAATAATCTAAATTTTTTCACCAATCTGGCTAAAGTCCCTCAAGCAATTTGATTTTTCCGACATTCTTTTTAGCAGATGAGTATTATTAACGTAATACAAATAAACCAAATACACGCTTTTCCAGAGCACACATAGCCTTTTCATAATTCTTTCAATCATTCCATGGTAAAAACCCACACAATAATGACAGGTCTTTAATTCTATAATATGATTATAACATATGATTATATCTTTTTTTTTTTTTTTTTGAGACAGAGTCTTGTTTTTTCACCTAGGCTGGAGTGCAGTGGTGCAATCTCAACTCACTGCAACCTCCACCTCCAGGTTCAAGTGATTCTCCTGCCTCAGCCTCCCGAGTAGCTGGGATTACAGGTGTGTGCCACTACACCAGGCTAATTTTTATCTTTTTAGTAGAGACAGGGTTTCCCCATGTTGGCCAGGTTGGTCGCAAACTCCTGACCTCAAGTGATCCACCCTCCTGGGCCTCCCTAAGTGCTGGGATTACAGTTGTGAGCCACCACGCCTGGCCTGTATCTTAAGTAAACATTCTTAAATGTTTGTTTTCTTCTTCTGTTATTAGTGATAATAATTTACATCATGCATTACATTTTAAAAGGTATAATGCTTTACATTATTTACTTTCATTTAAATTTTTAAAATATTGTACAATTTTTATAAACTTCCACTTAGAAAATACATACTTTTGCCCAGTAACTAATGAATAGTTGATTTTGTGTGTCAAACACAAGTCTTAATTTTCCATATCCCATGATATTTTCCTCGTATTATGTCTCAACCTCTTGTTACTGAATAAGATCTTGTACCACCTATCTGCATAAAGCTATTTGCTTTGATATACATATATATACACACACACAATATATAGTATATAGTATATATGTATATATAATATATATTGTATGATATATGTATATATACACATATATGTATTTAACCTATATATCTCTATATGTACATATCATATATATATATATATATATATATATATATATATATATATGTCACAGGATCCCTTGGGTGTCACTTAGCTAGCTGGAAAACTCTGTGGCTGGCAGCACCTCTGCTTGAGTTTTGCTTGCACTCGTTGTGCTAATTTCGCCCACTCAGCTCATCAGGATGCACTAGGCTCGTGCTTCTGGCCGGGATCCCGTTTCGGTGGAGGCTGAGCCAGGCGTGGAGCAGTGAGGGGTGTGTGAGTGGGTGAGTGCAAAGTCCAGCCACTGCGCACAGCCCAGTGCACCGGCTGCCTCCGGCGGAGCCGGCAGCTCCAGGCGCTGATACAGGTGCCAGCTCGGTAAGAGGCTGTAGGTGGACTAGGCATATCGCAAGCTGCTTCCACTGTTGGCACTAGCATCTGGAAGAGGGGAACACCGTGGCTCCTGAAAACTTGGAGCCGCCAGCAACTGAGGAGTCCCAAGGAGTGAGACGGGGGTGTCGTTCTACCACTCTCTCATTCCTGCAGCCGGCAGCTTTGTTAGCGGTGGGGGCCGGGTTGAGGGGTGGTGGTATACTAGGGGGGTGGTGGTATATACTACAGCTCTTTCCTTCCGGCTGCTCGCAACTTTGCCAGGTAGGCGGGGGCGGGGGTGCCTGCTTTAGCTCCTTCAGTTCTGCTGCCTCACTCAGGCTCATGGCTCCTGGGCTGGCCCAGCCCCGCCCCCACTTCCTATCACGTGGAGTGGCTGCCCATGGCGGGCAAACGGTAGAAGGGTATAATGTTACATCTTTGACTCTGGATATCCCAAGATCTGGGATCCCAGAAGGGTCAGTGCTCTTCACGTCACTGCCTGCAGCTTGGTGAGCTGGCCAGGAATATGTTACAACCCTTTTGCCCCCATCTACAGTGTGGCAATCCAGCCAGGAAAGGGTTACAACCCTTTTTGTGCCCACAACTTGGCGAGTCCTGAGTTCTTGTCCCACATCCAGAAAGAACGAGGTTACAGGGACAACTGGAGGGTGAGCAAGGCAGAAACAGTTTTATTAAATGACAGAACAGCTCTCAGTAGAGAGGAGACCCAAAGTGGGTAGCTCCTACCCTGGGGCAATAGTCCTGAGGTGTGGCTGAGTCCATCAGGGTTTTTATGGGCTCAGAATGGAGAAAGTGCATGCTGATTGGTCCATGGGTGGGCCTGGAAATAGCAGCATTTGATTGACTGAAAGGCATCAGGAAGTTCTTATTCTGGATTGTGAATTCTACCTGGAACTGGAAGCCCTGTTTTCAGGCTTCAAGCTGTGTTAGGCTTGAAGGTCAGGTTTCACTGGGGACCCGCCTCTATCTGCCTATGAATTTGTCTGCCTCCTGCTGTTATCATACATATACATAAATATTTACATTTCTATGTACTTGTAAATCTGACAGCACAATGGCATGTTACAAAATGAAGCCTTAACATTATCAAGCAATTATTTAAAATAAAAGTAGTAATCATAACTCTAGACCTCAAGAGAAAGTCTTATACTATTGCAAGAGGCAATAGTATATATTTTAATAGGCTTAATCCAGATTTCAATTTTTTGTATCTATACTGTAACTAAAATGTTCTGATCCATATATGAGTGTTAAACATGTTTGATTTAACAACTTAACTATTATGTGGAATATTTTCTTTTTTAGCAACAAAGGGAATTTATTATATTTATTATGATCATTGGATTAAATTATCACTCACATTATCTGAGTCCAAGAAACCTTAGCAGCTTATGATCATTCCATTCAAAATATAGGCGAGCAGTGGTCAAGATGATAGGGTAGCGGAAGCAAATAAATATCAGTCAACAAATTATTTATAATTCATTTTGCCTTCTTTATTGATAGCAATAAACAATGGACAGGGCTACACAAAATAAAAGAGCAGTATAGGTAAAGCAATGTAATAACAAACATAAAGTAATGGAAACATCGAAGGTGGAGAATATTATAAAGTATTTATTTTTTTAATTTTAGATTCAGGGGGTATATGTGCAGATATGTTGCATGGATATATTATCTAATGCCTAGGTTTGGGCTTCTAGTGAACCCATCACTCAAATGATGAACATAGTACCTAACAGGTAGATTTTCAACCCTTGTCTTCCCCTTTCCTCCCTGCTTTTGGAGTCCCCAGTATCTACTGTTTCCATCTTAATATCAGTGTGTACCCATTGTTTAGTGCCCACACTATAAGTGAAAATAAAGTAGGGGTGTTAAAAAGAATGAATTATAGAATATGAAAACAGGATTAAGTCACAGAATGGAAAGAGAGTTACAGAAACAATTTTAAAAGACAAAAATGGGTTAGAAGGGAAAAAGAAAATAAAGACATTAAAGAAGTTTTTGTTTTGTTTTTGAAGGAAACAATAGCCATGAAAGGCAAAACATGGTGAGCATATAAGAAAAAAATAGAGAAAGGAGGCAAAGAAGTACTATAACAATGAGTAAGTCACAGAAAAATAAAAAGAGAACCCAGACAAAGAAATGCATGAAGCTAACAAGAAACTAGTGGGTTTGAAGAAAGAAAAGGTGCAATTGTGCCCAGGGGATGCTTGTACAGGTATTAGTTTCAGTTAGCCCATTAGAGCAGGTTTAACAGGAAAAGAGAACAAGTCACATGACAAATATTTCTACTTTATGTCTTTCATAATAGACCCCAGTCTTGTCAGAATGCCCTGAGAGGAAATTAAATTAGATGATTTCATTGGAAAGTGATGCAGAGGCAAAAAGCATAGTTTAGAACCCTTAAAAGCCAGGAACTACTACAAATTAGGAGAAATACGTGGTCATAGGAAAAGAATGCTTTAACAATAGAGGGTTTCTGGCTTTTAAAAAAATTTTTCCTTTCACTTTCTTTCCTTTGTGACAAAATATACCTAAGTCTAGTCAACCGGCTCAGATCTGCCTTAGGAGCAGGGCAATAACCTTAAGGCACTCACCTGTATTCGGTTCCTGAAGTCAGATACTGCTATAGAGTGCTCTCTGAGAGATTGTATTTCCCTCTAAGTGCACTCTTTTCTTCTTGAATATGCTTGTGCTCAATTTTGTCCTATTTGCTTGCACCAACTTCAATTATTAAACAGTAAATCTAAAGCAGTAATTAATTCAGTTTGTGTAGTCTTGGATTTTTGCTCTAGCAGAGTTTGTTTCTTTGTTTTCTTTTTAATAGTAGGAGAGTCCCTATATTTGACAGAAGCTCAGTTTTTGTGGGGGAGGGTTGGTATGGCACCTACCCTACTGATAATACATAGATCTTTTATTAACAAACCAAAATATGTTTCTGTGAGAGTCAGATTTCTATTTCAGAAAATGGCTACATTGGTCTTTTCTAGAAATTCAGTTACCAAAATTGAACAGTGGGAAATTAAATTCTTTTAGTTATTTTTAAATGTATAATTAAATTAAAACACTTCTAGGCTACATTCCTCAGCTCTCCAGTTTCCTGGAAGCTTTTCTGTACCCTCACAGGCAGAATCAGTAGCTTTGTGATGCTCTGGTAGCATTTGGACATTACTTGTCACATCATCCACTGGCTATTTTCTCAGTTCATGTGCTGCATTTGCCTGATCTGTCAGGGTGCATGCCACATCGTATCCTCTTAGAGAGTAGAAACAGTACATTACTAAGCTCTGTGTAATTGTGCCATCAGAGGCCAAACTTGCCTTTAGGCAATTAATATAATTCTGTGGAATTGATCACAAAAAGGCAGGAAAGAAGAGAGAAAGAAAAACTGAATGTCTATTTCCATGCCTAGCAGTGTGTATAAAGTTAAAACACCTTATTGAAATCAGGCCTTTAAACACCTACTATATCTATTGCTTTATTTCTACTGTCAGAATTAAAATATTCTCAGCCCTACATATATATATATATATATCCAGACACACACACACCCATGCAAACATACCCAGCCACATATATAGAAACAGTATAGATTTTTCAATTTACAATTTCAACTTATTTCCCTTTTAAAAGAAAACATCTAAATTTCTGGGGATAGTGTAGGAGGCACAGATAACTTCAGAGATAATTAATTTTTGCATATTAAAGACAAGGTAGAAAATTTTATTTTTATTAAATAACACATGGAATAAAAACGATATATTGTCTCAGATGAAGAGATTAATATAGTTATTATATATGCACATATATTTATATACACATAAACATGCACACAAATATGCTTGTGTGTACTGATGCATAGAAAAATTATAAACATAAGCATAATTTTAATTTTCCTGTTATTGGTTCTGATCATCAAATAGAGCCCCTATACATTTATTAAATTTTTAAATATTAAAATATATTTAGCAAATATTTTGAAAAATAAAAATAATTCACAAGTTATTGATTATTTGCACGAATAAGGATATTATGTATAAAGCTAATTAAAATATAACTGATTTTGAAAATATTTAATATACCATCAATTTCATTGAGATAGTAAAATAATTTACATTAAATATGTCAGGGATTGATTAGTGGCCCATATCAATAATAATCATTTTCTAAACTTTGTTTCTGGCATGGTATTAAATGGATAGCACACAATACCCCACATAATCTTCCCAACTACCTTATAATAATGGAAAATACCCCTTTTTGAAAATGCATAAAAGCAAGGATCAGAAAACCTTTGAAGCAGGCTAATAATCTAGGTTAGGAAAGGCAGACCCAATATTGCAATCCACCAGGGTTTCTCAACCTGAGCACTATTGATATGTTAGACCTGATAACTTTTTGTTGTCAGAGACTGTTACGTGAAATGTGGCATGTTTAGCAGCATCCTTTGCCTCTACCCACTAGATGCTAGTAGCACACTCTGACACTGGAACAACAACAAAAAATACCTTGGGACATTGTCTGATGCCTCCAATGTACACAACTGCCCTCTTTGAGAAGCACTGCTCTACTATTTGAATCCAAGAAACGTGTTCTTAATGACTGTCTCTTGACCTAAGTTTGCTAATAATCAGAGACAACCAGCCCTGAGAGTGACTGTGAGAGTGAACATTGACACACAGTATCTGTGAGACAGAAAAAACTGGCATGTATTTACCAAGTATATGCTATGTGTGGAGCAGAAAGAATGTAGTTGTTTATTACGTGGACTTTGTTCTGTAGTTTCCACTTCCATTATGTTCAACAGTGTAATTTCTACTGAGACAAAATAACCAGAAAGCAAGGGTGAAAAAATCACATTTTTATTAAGATTGATTCCTGCTACTGTCTCTTAAAAATTATAATTTTAGGAAAATTGATTTGAATCTCTGTTTCCTCATCTGTACTGTGAGGACAATAATATCAAGTTTACAAAGCTGATGTGAGAAATGTAAAGGACAATATATTTAAGGTTTCTGGGAAATAAGTGTTCAAAAATTAATGGTGTTTATCATCATGATTGGAGAATGATCAAAAATATTCTGGAGTTTTAACACAGAGGAAGAAACTTATTCAGGGCATACTGCTTCACAGTTCTATAATCATTTTAAATATTTTCATATCCAAATCATGCATAATAAGATAAATTATGTGTTGATTGAGGTGATAATCCCTACCATCCTTTCTCAAAAATGAATTTTTTTCTTAAAGTCTGTGAAAGCAAATACAGCACTGTGGACAAATGTACCTGTGCCAGAAAACATAAGAAATGATTGAGAAATATAATGGAGAAATCTACAATGAAATAAAATAATGTCTTAGAAAATTCTATAAGAGAAGAAAAATTAAAAAAAAAATAAACTCAGCTCTAAAATTTATACCAACAAAATTTTATGCTTTTTATCCAGAATTTTTATTTTTTGTATTGGTTTTAGTAGCTATGCTCTATAGAAACCTAAATTGTCAACCAGTTCATAGAACTACAACTTCCAATAACAATTTTAACAGCAACCACTTCTACAACGTATTACCATGTTATAAACTGAATTATTTCAAAAATGAAGGGGCAGTATAAGAGTATTATCTAACATAAGGTAATACAAGTAATAGTATCTTACCAATCAGATATAGGAAACAAATATCAGTGGTATATATATATGTATAGTTATATGCATGTTTAGTATCTATCTACCTACCTATCATCCTTTAATTAGGACTGACCATTAATCTGTAACTTCTCAATAAATTTTGTAGATTTTGATTACTGATAGATTTTGTAGCTTTTTCATTTCTGAGCCATTAAAATAAATGCTCAAAGTAGGCATGACCATGTGATATTGAAATGACTTTTTCTGAGCATACATCAACCTCAAATACGTCCTTTGCTCAAATAAGTCTATTAATGTTAAACTGCTTAAATAAAACCAACTTGAGGATGAGGCCTGTAATAGCAAGGATAAGCTATCTGGTTTTAAAATGGGGACCAATTTTCCCAGCTTCAAACACTAGTAATCCCTTACTTTAAAATGTCTTGTCAGTGTAAATAAGTCTGAAATTGAAAGTGCTCAATTTGGTCCATCATATTAGACCGACTGACCTGAATAATATATTCTCTACTCTGTAAAGCAGAGATATTCTCAAAGCTTTAGGCGCCCTCAGCAGCCAAGATGTGGGTGTCCCTGCAGCCTTACAATGGACTTCTCCTGTATTCCAGTAATTATCCTTCCATAGGTTGAACAATTGCTCTTTCTGCCCCACCTTTGTAGAACCCACATTACATATTGTCACACAGGGGAAGGGTTACATTTCAAACACTTATTTATCCTGAGTAATGATCAATATTGTTGCTGTCTTCTTATGTGAGACAAATGACATTTGTAACTTACGACAGCATCCCAAGGTGCAGGTTGTTTTAGAAATATATCATAGAAGTGCAGACAGGATAAGTGACACAATTCACCACATCCTATCAGAAATCTAAAAATACTCAAATAGGTTGGAGAATTTAAGTTCATATTATTTGAGTATAAGGTACATTAAGGACTGTCCCTTAATAACTCAAGTCTGTCTAAAAAAAAGAGAGAATACAATTATAAGTTAATGTAATGTTCAAGGACAGAGTCTATGCAGAAATATTAAATTAGTCAGAAGGGTTTTATCTAATGAAACCCTGTATAGGAGAAAGAATGCCTTACCAGACTAATGCTACCATCTGATTTTTCTGCCAAGTATAACCCTATGGTGGAGCTATGTACCTTAGGACCTAAGGCATCGGTTTTCAGAGCCTGACAATATACCTTTGACTTGCATTACTAACATTTTTTTTTCACATTTTATCTTCACCGAACAATCTCAAGAGGCTTTTGCTCCTTATGTAGCTTATCAATGGTAATAGAGTGAACCGGTCAGGCTGGCAATCCTATTGGGTCTGTCTGAAATGTTCTATTGGTGGAGATTTTCACTTTTTGGTTTTATTCATTAATTTTTTATTTTAATTTTATTGTTAACTGAATCCATTTTCCTGAGTCTGAATAACTCTTTGCTATTTAGTTGGGACCTACCATGGTGGTTATCTTTGTCTATAGTATGTTTCTTTCAACTTCCACATCAGGTATATGCACTTTTAGAGCAAGAAATTTTGTAAATATTCCTCCACGTCAATTTATTAATTTGGAGAATGTCAAAAGTGCAGGAGATTGCTGAAAATTTCTAGTCCAACCATTGTGCTGATTCAGTACAGGGACTTCCTTGAATGTTCTCAAGAAACTAAAGAAGTGAATTGCAGCATATGAAGAACTACCTGAGTCCTAAATAAATCATTGGACTTGCAAACATTTTCACTGTTGTATGTATAGAATAGAAAATATTAAAAACAACGAGTTTGTGTAAGTTTATACTTCATGTATAAGAAATATAACTGGGCACAACAGATTAAAAAGAAAGGCATGATTGAACTATATGCTGTTTATTAAGAGGCTCTCTTCAGTTCCAAAGACATACTTAGATTGAAAAAGAAAGAACAGAAAATGTATTGGATGTGACACCGAAGGCATAGGCAACAAAGGAACAATAAAGACTAACTGGACTTTATAAAAATTAAAAATGTACATCAAAATATACTATCAACAAGTAAAAAGACATCCCCCAAAATGAAAAGAAAACCCTGCAAATTACATGTCTAATGAGGAATTAATTTTCAGAATATATAGAGAATTCCCAAAACTCAACAAAAACCAAATGACCCCATTCAAAAACTGGGCAAGAACAACCGGGCGCAGTGGCTCACGCCTGTAATTCCCCCAGTTTGGGAGGCCAAGGCGGGCGCATCACGGGGTCAGGAGATCCAGACCACAGTGAAACCCTGTCTCTACTAAAAGCACACACACACACACAAATTAGCCGGGCACGGTGGTGGGCACCTGTAGCCCCAGCTACTTGGGAGGCTGAGACAGGGAGAATGGAGTGAACCCAGGAGGCAGAGCTTGCAGAGAGCCAAGATTGCGCCAGTGCACTCCAGTCTGGGAAACATAGTGAGACTCCGTCTCAAAAAAAAAAAAAAAAAAAATTGGGCAGGAACTTGAAGAGACATTTTTCCACAGAAAATATACACATAGACAAAAACACATGAAAAGATACCCAACATCTCTATTTAGAAAAGGTGAGTCAAAACCACCATAATATACAACCTCACACTCGTTAGCATGGCTATTTCAAGAAACAGAAAACAAGCGATAGTGTCCAGAATTGGTGGGTTCCTGGTCTCACTGACTTCAAGAACGAAGCTGCAGACCCTCATGGTGAGTGTTACAGTAAAGGCATCATGTGCAGAGTTTGTTCCTTCTGATGTTCACATGTGTTCGCAGTTTTCTCCTTCTGGTGGGTAGGTGGTCTGGCTGGCTCAGGAGTGAAGCTGCAGACCTTCACAGTGAGTGTTACAACTCTTAAAGTGGCGCATCTGGAATTTCTCGTTCCTTTCGGTGGGTTCCTGGTCTCACTAGCTTCAGGAGCAAAGCTGCAGACTCTGGCGGTGTTACAGCTCACAAAGGCAGTGTGGACCCAATCAGTGACCAGTAGCAAGACTTATTGCAAACAACAAAAGAACAGAGCTTCCACAAGATAGAAAGCCACTGCAACCACCTGCTACTGCTGACTCAGGCAGCCTGATCTTATTGTCTTATCTGGCCCCACCTACATCCTGCTGATTGGTCCATTTTACAGAGAGCTGATTGGTCTGTTTTACCGAGAGCTGATTGGTCCATTTTGACAGGGTGCTGATTGGTGCGTTTACAATCCCTGAGCTAGGCACAAAAGTTCTCCATGTCCCCACTAGATTAGCTAGACACAGAGTGCTGATTGGTGCATTTACAAACCTTGAGCTAGATACAGAGTACTGATTGGTGTATTCACAATCCCTTAGCTAGACATAAAGATTCTCCAAGCCCCCACCAGATTAGCTAGATACAGAGTGCTGATTGGTGCATCCACAAACCCTGAGCTAGACACAGGGTGCTGATTGGTGTGTTTACAAACCTTGAGCTAGATATAGAGTGCTGATTGGTGTATTTATAATCCCTTAGCTAGACATAAAGGTTCTCCAAGTCTCCACTAGACTCAGGAGCCCAGCTGGCCTCACCCAGTGGTTCTGGCACTGGGGCTGCAGGTGGAGCTGCCTGCCAGTCCTGCACTGTGTGCCCACACTCCTCAGCCCTTGGGTGGTGGATGGGACCGGGCACCGTGGAGCAGGGGCAGTGCTGTTCTGGGAGGCTCAGGCCATGCAGGAGCCCACAGTGGGGTAGGGGAGACTCAGGCATGGCGAGCTGCAGGTCCTGAGCCCTGCCCCACGGGGAGGCAGCTAAGGCCCGGGGAGAAATTGAGCACAGCATGGCTGGGCCAGCACTGCTGGGGAACCGGGCGCACCCTCCCGGGCGCCCCAGGCTGCTGGCCTGGGTGCTAAGCCCCTCACTGCCTGGGGCCAGCAGGGCTGGCTGGCCGCTCAGAGTGCGGGGCCCGCCCGGAGTGCGGGGCCCGCCAAGCCGACGCCCACCCAGAACTCTAGCTGCCTCCCAAGCGCCACGGGCAGCCCCAGTTCCTGCCCGTGCCTCTCCCTCCACACGTCCCCACAAGCCGAGGGAGCCGGCTCCGGCCTCGGCCAGCCCAGAGAAGGGCTCCCATAGTGCAGCGGCAGGCTGAAGGGCTCCTCAAGTGCGGCCAGAATGGGTGCTGAGGCCGAGGAGGCACGGACAGCAAGCGAGGGCTGCAAGGGCTGCCAGCATGCTGTCACCTCTCAATAGCAGGGATGTGAAGAAATCAAAACACCTGTGCACTGTTGGTGGTAATGTAAAATGTGCAGCCACTGTGGAAAACAGTATAGCAATTCCTCAATAAATTAAAAATAGCATTAACATATGGTTCAGTAATTCCACTTCTAGGTATATACACAAGGTTACAGAGAGATATTTTTATACCCATATTGATAGCAGCATTATCCGCAATAGCCAAAAGGTAAAAGCAACTCAAGTGTCCATCAGCAGATGAATAAACAAAATAAGCACAACAGAATATTATTCAGCTTTAAAAAGAAATGATAGCCTATCATATGCCACAAGCATGGAGGAACCTTGAGGGCATTATGCTGAGGACATTATGCTAAGTGAAACAAGACGGTAACAAAAACTCAAACACTATCTGATTTTATTTATATAAGGTATGTAGAGTGGTCGAGTTCATAGAGACAGGAAATGGAATTGTGGTTGCCAAGTGCTACGGGGAGGGAGAAATGGAGAGTTATTGTTTGATGGATATAGAGTTTTACTTTTGTAAGATGAAGAGAGTTCTGGAGATATCTGATATTGATGATTGCTCAACAATATGAATGTACTTAATACCATTTAATTGTACACTTGAAAACAATTAATATGGAAAAGTGCTACATCTCTTTCATCTATCCTTGCACAAATAATATTATCTTTTTTGTGGAACGGAAATTCATGCATTACCCAGGAAACCAGAAGCTTCCACTAATTTAAAAAGAAATCATCTGAAAGGAGAAATTAATTACTTATAATTTTATTACAGGTAAACTTAAAAAGTTGAGTATAAATCTGTTTTAATATAAACATTATTTCTAAATATATTGTAGTGATATTTTTGCTCAGTACCACTAAATAATACAGTATGTCATAATAGAAAAGAAACTGAACTGTAAGTCAGAAAATTTGACTACGTTCTTACCTTGATATCTAATTGGATAACAACAAAAAATAAGGACAAAAATGCCTAGCATTAAGGCAAAAGTCACTTGTCTTGCTCTGTTTCCTAGCTATTTAACCACAGGTAAATTATTCAAATTACCAGGGACTAGATTCCGTGATATATAAATTAGTAGAAAAATAGCATCTATATCATGGGATCTTTGAGAAGATTAATAAAAGCATACTGGAGATGCTTAAAAAGAATAAAAATGAACAAACTCTCAATAGAGTAAGAGCTCAAGGAGTTTAGCTATTATGATGAAACCTAGATCCTTATGGTAATTATAGCTTTAATTACTTGTTTATATTAACTCTTTCAATCCTAACAACAAATATATGTTGTACATATATTTTTCTTTTTCTTTCTTTCTTTCTTTTCTCTCTCTCTCTCTTTTTTTTTCTTTCTTTTTTTTTTTTCTGAGACGGAGTCTTGCTCTGTTGCCCAGGGTGGAGTGCAATGACATGATATCGGCTCACTGCAACTTCTGCCTCTAGGGTTCAAGCGAGTCTCCTGTCTCAGGCTTCTGAATAGCTGGGATTACAGGCATGCACCAACATGCCTGGCTAATTTTTGTATTTTAGTAGAGACGGGATTTTGCCATGTTGGCCAGGCTGGCTTGGAACTCCTGACCCAAAGAGATCCACCTGCCTTGGCCTCCTAAAGTGCTGGGATTATAGGCGTGAGCCACCGTGCCCAGTCCATAATTACGTTTTGTAATCCCATAACATATTATGTACATAATTTTACCCATCCCTATTTTACAGCTATGCAAAATGAGGCAGAGATATTAAATAACGTCATGTTTGAAATTCTAACAGCAGAACTTTCTATGTATGACATTTAGGAAAATAATGAGAAATTTTATGTAACAGAAAAATAATACACATGAACTAGTATGATAGATTGTAAGCCTAGAGAGTTGATTATGGCAAACTGGCGAAATAACTTGACTGACGTAATAAGAAGTTTAATATTTTTAGGGTAATATTGAGTTAGTATTGAGTCTTTAAACAACCAAGGTCAAATAGAATTATAATTTTCTATTTGAAAAAAATGTAGACATTACAGAATGTTAGAAAACAGAAAAAAATAATTTATTCCACCTGTCTAAAGCTAATATTTTATTTTGTGTGCATTTGCTTAGTATTTTTATGCGTATACATTCATTGCTAAATTATCACAATGCGCATTTTTATTCTATTATAATGCCTTTTTCATTTAACATACCCTTTTTATTTTTCTCAAAAAATACCATAAAATTTTGACTGATTATCATCCCTAATAGGCATATAGTTTGTCATTAGGAGTAGGTTACCATAATTTATAATTTAATTAACCCTTCCTCTGCATGGACATTTCAATTGCTCCCAATAGTAATGTACTGTATTTATGTGTCATTGTGAATATATCGCTCTCAATTACATTTTGAAATAGTAATATAAAGTCAACACATACATACTTTCTTATGGCATGTGATATATACTGCTGTGAATTTTTTCCCTAACACTTTTACCAATTTTCACAGCTACCAATTTTCCCATAACTTTGTCAACAAGTGCAAGTTTGTTTTTCTTTGAAGTTTACTTACAAGGGGTATGGAGGAATAACTTCTGTGAAGAGGCAAGTAAATGGGATAATATTCAGTGGTAAAGTTTAAAGTCCAATAAAAATTAAGGAGTTGATGTGAATAGCAATAACATTAGCTTCATATTTATTAAGTACTTTCTACATGTCGTGTTCTGAATTCTGAATGCTTTACAGGCATTATTTAATGTACTCCACAGACTAACCTTAGGAAGTATGTAGCTTTATAAAACCTCTTGCAGATGGAGAACCGGAACACAAAGATATTAACTAACTAGATAAAGTAAAACTTTTTGAGTAGCAGATTTTGGACATAAAGAGTTATTAAATGAGGGTCTAAGTAAAAAGCACAATCAAGCTTTCTGATTTCATTCCATTTTTTAAAATTATACTATAGTGTATCATTTTTTAGTCCTGGCCAAGAATGTTATTACAACTTATATATTAATGATCTTTATATTAAAACACAATAGGAATCTGTTTAATGTTTTTTAAAAAAATTATATTGTACACCAATACATCATAAGAGCCCACTTTGATCGAGTTTTTCTATTGGTTTAAAATAATTATTACAGATATGGTTCTGGCCACCATTTTATATATCCAACTTGTGTTTTTTATTTCCTCCTGCCCCAGTGTTCAGAGAAACCGGTCTCCACATATTTCAGCAGCATATCATACTGACTTCTCATTCTTTGAGTGTTTTAGTTAAAATTTTTCAAATTTTATTTATGTTGTAAACTGATTAATTCTTAAAATGTGGCTAAAACATTTTGTATCTTTCACTCCCTTCTTAACCACACTTCCATCTTCCTTCTCTTATTTATAATTTTTTATTTCTAAAGCCAATGGCATTCATTAATTAAGGGCTTGTATTGGTACTTCCTCAATTACTTGAATACAAAGTAATTTCTTTCTACTTCAATATTTTTTGTTCTATATTATAACATGTAATTATGTAATGCTTATATTTGATAAATTATTAGAACTTCTTAGATTTTTATCCTATTCAAATAGTTTGAAATTTATATGAATATAAACCAGGTTTTATTTTACCTTCTCCTGAAGTAATGAATATAGAAATTTAAAAAGAAATTAACTAAAATACCCTCGATAAGCTCTTATTAATTGGTTGCCTGGCCATATACTATGCTTTAGTTTTTTATTCAGGTAGATTTAGGTTCACTTTAAGATACTAAAGGTAAAATATAACCAGAGCTAAGTAAAAATGTCATATTACTTTATGTCAATGAAAAGAAAAGCAAGCTTTTGCTAAAGCATCAAGATATTGTGTATATATATGAAAAATGTATATATAGAGCTATATATATTATGTGTGTGTGTATATGTATATATATAGAGAGAGGGGGGGAGATATATATGGGGGGGGAGAAAGAGAGAGAGTTCTTTTGAAACATCTCGAGAAGTTTGTCCTTATTACATTTTCATTTGCAGACAATTTGTAATTTTCTTCCTGGCCTATATGCAATGCCAAATTAAATTTGATAAAAAATATATATACTGAATATATGGTCTTTTTTCTACTATGGTGTTTAGCAACATTTAAATGATTAAAATACTATATAATTTTTGGAAGTTCCTCTAAAGAATGAATAACTCCAGTCTCGTGACATAACCTACCTTAGAGAATAATCTTTGATAACAGTTGTAATTCTACTCTCTGTCTCTACTTTAAGACATCGTGGACTGCTGTTTTTAAAAGAACAAATCCTTTGTTTCAAAAACTTTAATCTTCCATGAAGATGCTAAGAAGTATTAGGTGCATTCTCGAGTACAAATCTATACAAGTTTGTGAAACCTACTATGTCATACTTTTAATTTTTACTAGGAGCACTGAAGTTATTTCAATAGCTGTTATAATAGAAGAAAAATGTTAATTTTACTGAATTGTTGAAATTTGTTGATTGTTGAATATCCATTATTAGTATTTGAACTTTCGTTGTTAGGTTCAGTATATTTTTCCTTTTCACACTGATTACTTAGCTTGAAAGAGACATACCTTTTCATGTGTAATAGTACTAGAAGTTATAATGGACACTATCATATAATCACATTTTAGGAGCTACAGAGTAACCTAAAATTTTTATGTCTTTTTTTTCCTACTGTAGATAAATGGGTTTGATTGATTAAAATGTTTATGGCTTTGAATAACCACCTTTACTAAGTCTCAGCGGTAGGTCAATTTGCTCAATTAATTTACATAATTGAACATGTTGCCTATGGTAGTGGCATTTGTACGTGGCAGAATTGGAAATTGTTCCTGAATATATTATATTTATTAAGATTAGATGACACAGTACTGTATATAATAGTATTTTGTGGTTTGAAATAAATATAGTGTGATGTGGATAATATATGAAGAATGTTTGCTCTTCAATAGTTTAAGGAAATATACTCCTTTGTGAACTACATATACATGTACATTTGTGTTTACATTTATAATGTGGTAAGTAGTTTGCTTCCTTCTGATTGTATTCATTTCCCTGAAGATTTGAATTGAAATTCTCCAAGAACAGCTTCCTCCTCCAAAACTGAACCTGTACTTCTTAACTGCATTGTATGTTCAACATGGTATGTGTGATTTAATTACATATGTAACTTGCAAATCAACAGCACAATTGGGTTACTGCTCTAGTATAGAGAAACATGTTGCTAAATATACGATCAGAAAAGAAATATTTTATAATAAGAACTATTTTATAGTATCAAAAACATAATATATGCCTTACTATATAATATATTTAGATTTATATGTGAGAATGGGCATCTTACATATTTTAATACATGTATACTCATATTCACAGATGCCTAAGTGTATGTCTATGGTTATATGCAATACATATTATATGTTAACACATTATTTTGTTTGTTAATTGTCTTTTGTATTTGTATGCATAAGTGGGTCTCAGACTAAAGAAGGTTACTATTTCTGAATAACATTTTGGGAGAAATTACTGGTTGGATGAAAACAAAACAAAATATTTTAATCATAGTTATCTAATTCTGAATAGAAGCAGAATGTTGTGTTTTCTCAGGAGAAAAACACAAAATTCTAATGAATCTGTGAAGTACTTGCATTATATTTCTAATAGTAATATAACATCCCATATCCACTTTAGCATTAACCATTGATTTAAAGGCACATACACTGTCTTTTGATTCAATGCCAGATTGCCTGGGACAGGCCTTGGCAATTAGATCACTGCAAATAGAACACTGACAATAAAGATTATATAGGAGCTTCAATTTCAATTGTGAGGAAGTGCTCAATCTCACAGAATTTCAAATCCATGTTCATTACTGAATCTCCTACTAAGTTTCTACTCTGAGGTAGGCAATAAGTTTTCAACATATTTCCACAGTAGATATAATGGTCAGGTAATAGATACCAATATTTCTTACATCTCAAATCTATTTCTGTGGGTCTCACCCTCTGTAATTTTTTTCTGGGTTTCAATTTAACCACTGAGAAATATTTACTCTGGATAAGACATTATGTTTCTGCTCAGGTCAGCTTGGGGGAGAACAGGCTGATCTGCCAGGTTGTTACAGTAGGTAGCTAGTAAGCCATGAGCAGGGCAGGAGAGCGCTTCCCCCAACACACATCAGGAGTGTCAGGCGACCATCAGGTGATGGTCAGGCTGTCATTAACTGTTTCTCTAAAGTAATAATTGGTCACAGCTGGCGCCAGGGAAGGGCGGTCTCCTAATAGATAGAAAATAACTGAAATGGATCAGCAGCTTCCCAATAAGATTGCAGGAGTGGGAGAAGTAATGCAAGATCCCAGAAGTAAGCCAACGTAAAAAACCCCAAGTAAAGAGGTAAAGCTGTGCACTTGGTGTCTCAAGTTCAAGTTGCCTGCTTGGCCCTCTTCCAAGTGTACCTTCCTTTTCTTACTGCTCTAAAGCTTTTTAATAAACTTTCACTTCTGCTTTAAAACTTGCTTCGGTCTCTCTTTCTGCCTTATGCCCCTCAGTTGAATCCTTTCTTCTGAGAAGGCAAGAACTGAGGTTGCTGTAGACCCATACGGGTAACTATCACCCCTAACAAGATGTTGTCAGTTAAAGCAATAAGCCCAAAATGAGAGAGTTAAGCCTTTAGTCAATTGTTGAATTGATAGTATCAAGAGGCTAACATTAGAGTAAAGGGCAACTCTCCCTGTTGTCTTTACCCCATGCAATGACACACAGGTGGGGGCCAGGTAGATCAGCGAAGACCTGGAGGTCATCTTGCTGTTCAGGAAGTCCAGATAAAAGACTCTGGCAGCGTTATGGCCCCTGAGGTTTCGGGAGGTACCAGGAAGGGAGGGCTACGGGTGGAAAAGTACTAACTACTGAGTCAGATTGAGAGAAGGATCAAGGTTTCCCTCTTCTTCTCCCACAAAAAGGCCTCTGTAGAGATGTCTGAAGTGATCCGAGGTGCAAGGCCTCATATAAGAGGCCTAGGACTAAAGGAATAAAGGTGTTGGAGCTAGCAGCAAATAATGTAAATAGGCGTGACAGCATATATGCATGACCGGCATGACCAGCTGGAGTCCTTGGATGTAACTTCCCTTGAAGACTATAATGGACTGGCTATGCACCAAGTCTGGTGTGTTTGGAGGGTAGTTCACCCCTCTGAGGCCTGTCAGGTAAAGGCTTTGTCATTGCCTGAGGTCTGGCCTGAAAAGTTACACATAGGTTTTTAACCAGGTGCTGGACTTCTCATTATGTTAATAGTTGCATTCATTACTTCTTTTAATATTCCCAGTAGCCCAGTGTGATTATCTATGCTTCATTGATGAAGGAACTAGGGGTTACACATTGTTAAAAAAATTTGCTTATAAAAACATTTTATAAAAGGGTCAGAGCTTACCTGACTCTAAAACTCATATTTATATCATTATATTGTATACTGTTTCCTAATTAAGTAAATTTCAAGTAACACCATCATTGAAAGAGGTCATTTTCTGACTCTTCTCTACAGTTTTCTTTCCCTTGGCTGAATTTAATCAAATGCACTCTGCTAATCTGCCCAATTTTGTAAATCTCATTTCTTAATATCCTGTTTTTAAACTATTTTAAATAGATGGAAATCCTGTTTCCTTAGCCTTCATTTTATACCTCTTTGTTATCAACCAGACCAATTTGAGTAGTTTTTTGAAAATTCTTTCCCTTGTTTTTTTCCTCTTAGCTCAACACTCTCCAATCTTTGAGTTCCTTCTAGGTTGGTCTTTCACATGATGGACAATAAAGGCATTATTGTGTATTAGTTCCCTCTAATCTTAGTGAACTTTCCACCTTATGCATTTTTCCAACTGCTATTTGTTCTGATACATTATATTTAACTTTCTGTGTGTCCTTATACATTTTTTAATTAAAGGTGTTATATCTTGGTAGGACAGGGGTGTCAATGTATATGCTGCTTCAGCGTCAGTGTAACTTAATTTCACACAGATTTGGGGGAAATGCAGTTCTCTGTGGGGAAAAACAACAAAAGAAAAAACTCAAATGAAACAATTTAATCTTTTATAATCATCCTCTATGGAGAGTAGAGGTGGAACAATAAATGTAGAAGGATGCTGAAAATAGCAGAAACCTTGGCAATTCTGTGTATGAGGTCATGGTATATTGAGATTTGAGGAATAAGAGATTTAAGGATAGTCTACAAGACCTTGATACTTCAAGTCCTTTAGAAAACATAACAGGACCAGGAGATGTGCTTTGTCTGACTATATTAATGTTATTTTCTTTCTCGTTTTTTTTTTTTTTAATTTTCCTCCACCAGCTTAGAAATTTGCTAGAAATATATAGGGCAATAAACAATGCTACAGATTTCTAAGCCTATATCTTTCATTCTCCTAAATTGTTACTATTCTTACTCTGATAAGCCAAATGACATTTTTTGATTTCTAGTTAATATTCTTTCATCCTTTCCAAAACCTCTCTTAACCCCATTTCCAAATCTGAGGCACATCAAATGAGTCTACTTTCTTGGGGGCTTCCTGTGTCCTGGGCAATCTTCTTCAAGGTTGTTTTCAATTGTATTATAAATATAAAAATTTACATGTCTCTTTTGGCACCATTTAGGGTGCCAAATTTTCTTGAGGAAGAGGGTGCTAAATAAATAATTGTTGAAATAATGACCCAATGAAACAAATCTTCTTGTGTAAATATACACAGAGAGAGAGTAAAGAAACTGAATTGGGAAATAGTAGATTCCCTTATGTCATTCAGATGTTTTGAGAAACCTCACATTTCGATATGTTTATAGAAATGAATTTGTAATTCTTTCCTTAATTTATAAATTTTATTTAAACAACTCTATTGAGTCACAATGTGACAACAAATCTTTTTTCTTAGATACTGATGATAGATGTCAAATGTTCAAAGATTCATTTAAATTATGACCTCAATAAAAAGAAATATGATGACATAAATAAGTATGTAGAAAGCCTAATTAAGTTAAAGTTGGTGTGATGGTGAAACCAGTTGGACAAATAAAAAAATGATTATGGTCAGTTATTGGCTACTTATAAATCTTTTACAGAACAAGCTTAAAAATCTATAGCCTAGGCATACCTTGTACCTTAAGCGTAAGTATTATCTCACCTTGAAAATTTCATATAACAAGCTTATAATATTAGAACACCAGGTATCCCACAATGCAAACAGAAAATGTAGTCACATTGCAGCCACAGCAATTTGTTACAGTTAGTGGGCATATTTTCATAACTTTTGGTTGTCATATATTGATAAAACCTGCCATAAAAATAGTAGGTGATATCTGCTATCAACTCTTATAGTTTTAACTATTTAAATTTGAATGTATTTGCAATATTCGATCTAGGTACAGGTAACCTAAATAAAATTTGAGCTGAAAAATGTGATACTTTACTTACCCTTGAGCTAAAAGTTCTTAAGAAATAAATCTGAATAAATCTATTTATTTCATTCATGTATGCTCATGATAAAGATGTACTGGACATGCACAGTATAAGCATTTTGAGACATGTAATACTTAAGGAAATAGAACATATACATTGTAAGTTGTTACATATGGATTGGGTACAAATAAAGCAAATACAATACAAATGAGGAAAATGTATTTTATATAAGAGAACATGATAGAAAACTTCAGGAGGAAGTTGATATTTTAGCTAAGGCTTAAATAGTACACAAAAATGGCTAAATTTGCTTGATTAAGAGAAAAATTAAACACTCTAAAGTGAGTGGAAAATACTTTTTAAAAAAACGTCATCTTTTGCCTTGGCGTGGTGGCTCATACCTGTAATCCCAGCACTTTGGGAGGCCGAGGCGGGTGGATCACTTGAGGTCAGGAGTTTGAGACCAGCCTGGCCAACATGGTGAAACCCTGTCTCTCCTAAAAATAGAAAAATTAGCCAAGTGTGGTGGTGCATGCCTATTATCCCAGCTACTTGGGAGGTTGAGGCAGGAGAATTTCTTGAACCCGGGAGGCGGAGGTTGCAGTGAGCCGAGATCATGCTACTGCACTCCAGCTTGGGTGACAGTAAGACTCTGTATCAAAAAAAAACAAAAACAAAAAAACCTCAGCCAGAAAATGATACATACTGCATAATCTCATTATTAGAAATTTAAAAACAAGCACAATTAATGAACAGTTCCTTAAATCACATTAAGAGTTAACTTCACGAAGTGAGAAGTAGAGTGACTGAGAGGAAATATGGAAGGATATTGAGTCCCAGGAATATCTTATTTCTTTAATCTCAAAAAAAAGTAATATTTTAAGAGAAATAGGTAATAGGGCTACATAAAAAACCTTTTGTTTCAGCCTACAAAATTTGGACTTTATATGAGAGTCAACTGGGCATTAGGGAACTATTCTTAAGCTTTGAACAGATAAGAACCAAAATATATGTTGTTCTCTTCAGAGGATAATCAGGCAGTTACAAGTAGAAGTGACTACAGATGAACTAACTGAATGAAGATGTGAAGAAACTACTTCCATTCGAAAGGTAATCATAACCTAAACTTTATTAGATAGAATGGGAATACAATGAAATAATTAAGAAAAAAAGAAGGAAAAGTAGAATGCATTAAACATGGCAACCGATATGGCTAACCAGCGTGAAAGAGCATAAAGATAAATATTTACTGTAATGCAAATAAATAAAGGCAAAAAAGATGTCTGGGTCATTGATGGAAAAGGGGAAAATCAGGAAAAGAATGTAATATGTATTGGAATAATAATCAGAGATTCTAAGGATACATTATATATCAGAAATCTTTAATGTTTATAAATGTGCTAAATCTTTTAATCTTCACAGCAAAATATGGGCTATGAACTAATATTATTTTAATTTTAACAAAAAAGAAACTGAGGCAAAATCAGTTCAAATATTTTGTGCATTGTCCCAAAGCTACTGTCAGAAACAGAAATTAACCCAGACTGTCAGACTAATTCCTAAATTCTTAATCACAACACTCTTTTACCATTTTGCCTGAAATAATTGAGTGCTTATTCTGTAGAAACACCATTTCAAGTGCTTTATATACACAATAAGTCATTTAGTCTTTAATCTTATGAGGAGAGTATGCTTATGATCTTGATTTTAGTAAATGTCAGCATAAGAACTTAAAAACAGCTTCCTGTCTCCTGAGTCTGCACACTTCACCACTATTAAATTTACCCCTGAGATAATTGGTTTTAGACTTCCTGAGTTTGAAGTATAAGTGCAGCATTTAGGTGCAAATATCCCGTTGGAAATTAGGTATAGAATCATAGGAGGAATTTCACCTAGGTACACTTATGACACACTTCCACTTAGAGAGATTTTTAGCTAAAATCACAGGGAGGAATGGGATAATAAACAGAGAAGAGAAAATACTATCATAGACAATTAAAATTATTGTCTTACAGAAGACACAAGAAACAACAATATTTTCTGTATATGTCTAAGAAAAATAGGGTGAATTTGTTTATAAAAAGGTTACCAGTGCTTAAATAAACAATAAAGTTTTACATTTAATAGACACAAAAATCACTAAATCATGTGTTAAATAGAACTAATCAACAATAGTTCACAAATGTAATAACAAATTAAATCTTTCCCTAATGTTTTCATTGTATCATGGTCATATGGTTATTTAGGGGGCAAATCAGATATTTAGGTTCTAGTATTCATGAGACTTAATACGCCATCCCTTTGTTCATATTTATGCCTCACTGTTTTGGGTAACTGAAAAGTGTTTATTTACACAACTTCTGCAATCCTAAATTCTAATGAGGAAAAAGTCTAGTAGTTTCTGAAGCCATTAAAGGACAACCCAATAATATATTTGAAGACTCAGCAATATTGATCAGGGAAACATTTCTAAATTTATTTCAAGATCAGTTATTTTTATTATTTTAAAATATTTAACCATATATTCAAGATGTTAATTGCTTATAAATATCACAGAAGGCATAACTATCAAATTGAAATCAAAGAAGGAACTTTGCGTGTGAGATATAATCACCTTACAAATAGGAATAGTGCATAACATGGAGTAGTTTCATTTTTCATGGATTTTCAATTAAATAAGAATTAAAATTTCAGCTAGCTATGGTCATTACATTTATTATGATAAACAGAGGTATTTTATTCGTTGAGATAAATACATTGTTGACATTAGAATGAGTTTTATTGCCTCACTTAGTACTTCAAAAATTTTATGAATTATACTAATTTTATTTTTTAATAGAGCCTATGTCTATAAAATTATTCCTTCACACAGATATATTAATAAAATAAATGTAATATCTCTGAAAACAAGAACTGTACCAAGATATCACTAGCAGTTAATATCTTGTTGGTAATTATTAGATTGTTACTTAATCAATTCTAATAGATCATAAGAATGCCAATTACCTACAAAACATTATTGGAACAGTAAAGGAAGAGAATAGTTTCAAAATATTTCTTCTATTCTCTCAAAACCTACAGACTCCTCACCAGAGATGCCTTTCTTTGAGTCTTAAAAGTGTTTAAGTTTAAAATTAATACTTCAAGCTGGGCACAGTGGCTCCTGCCTGTAATCCCAGCACTTTGGGAGGCCGAAGCAGGTGGATCATTGAGCTTAGGCTAACTGTATTTATTTAATGGAGATGGTGAAACCCCATCTCCATTAAAAATACAAAAATTAGCCAGGTGTGTTAGCATGGATCTGTGGTCCCAGCTACTAGGGAGGCTGAGGCATAAAAATTGATTGAGCTCAAGAGGCTGAGGTTGCAGTAAGTCAAAATCATGCCACTGCACTCCAGCATGGGTGACAGAGTGAGACTGCATATCAAATAAAATAATAATAATAATAATATTTCACACTGTAGTCTGTTTTGTTAACCACTAAGTACAAAAAAACATGTGTCTGGCACATTTGTTCAAGAAATGTTTGTTAACTTAATGCATAAATATTATCAGGTTATACTTTTTTTAGTAACACAAATCCCTGATAATGGAATCCAGAAGTGAAAATAGCAAGAATCAAGTCAAAGCACAATGGGCATGCTTCACAGAGTTGCCTAGGGTCACTGAACAAAGAGAAGCCAGTCTAAACAAAATTGCTCATCAGCTTAATTCAATTGATGTAATTTTTTTAATTGCACTAAATTAACTTTCTTTTTTTCTTGTTTAAACACAAGTAAAATAATCCTAATTCATGTATATTGAAATCCCTAATTCCGCTAATAAATCTAAACTTAAAAAAAGTTCCCACAGCCTGAAATCATAGCTCTATTGTTAACACTCTTTCAAAGATTTGGGCTGAATTTAAAAATGTTTTTCAATATTCATACACCATCCATTTCTGTTTAGGGATAAGGTGACAAATGTGACCTTTATTCTTAAGAGTTATAGGAATAATTTTTTAAAATGCTATAATAAAGGTAGTTATCACTTATGATAATGACTCTAAGCAAACAAATAGAATTGGCAGTCTTACAGGAATGAATGGGAAACAGAGCATTTAAGGACACCACAACTAACTGTTACTATATTATTTTAAACACGCTAGCCAAAATAGAATAGCCTTAGTCTGACCCTGCAAAAAGATCTCCCATTTCTGTGTACCTGTGAGTGTGTAAGTATATGTGTTTGTGTGTGTGTGCACATATGCACATATGCTGGTTCTTTTAGATGGAGTAATCCTCTCCCCAGACATGTTTATCTATTAATGAGATGGAAGAGTACCCTTGACCCCCTTGTGAAACTTGCGACAGGAATGTGGCTCATTTACTCCCACTTGGCACGTTCAAACCGTTTGCGGGAGCAGAGCACGCAGGTGAGTGGGTGCTGGGGCCAGGGTAAGTGCTTTTGGGTTCCGGCCCCATGGTGGCATCTAGGGGTGTGCTACAATTAATGCTCTTTTAGCTTTGCCGTCTGCAGATGGCTTAAGTGTTAAACAGTTCGGTGAAGAGTCATTGTGAGAGCCTTATTGGTGTCCCGCACCCAGTGCATCCCGAATTCTTGTCCAGTGTCCAGGAAGAATCAGGTTACATGAACAGTTTGAAAGGTGATGAATGTGGAGGATTTTATTAAGAAGTGGAAGTGGCTTTCAGCGGAAGGGGAGCTGGAAACGGAGGGAGTGGGGAGAAAGGGGAGAAAGTCATCTTTTCCTGAAGCCAGGGCCTTTCCAGCCGGGCTCCTCTTCAAAATCAATCATGCTGTCTGAAGCTAAGCCGCATCTATCCATAGTCTCTGATGCTCAGTAGCTTCTTCTCACAACACTCAGCCAGTTGTCTCTCTTCCAGCTGAGGTCTGGGGTTTATATGGGCACAGGAAAGGAAAGGGGTGAACCAAAAACGATATGGAAAACAGAGAAGTGAAGTTCTCCCTTAGGGCCATAGGCCCAGGCTCGAGGGTGAAGCCCTTGCGGGGGCCTCCACCATCTTCTACCCAGTATGTCCGTATCATTAACTATTGTTGATTCCTTTGAAATTTAGATCTGCTGAACACAAATGTCACCCATTCGATGAAAGAAAACAAATCCCATTTTAATACAACTCTGGTTATATTAAAGAATTCTAGTCTTACTCAGTTTTCCATATGAATATGGTATTGTGCAAGTTGTTGCAAGTCATTCTTTTGTGTTATAGTAATTGACTAATTTTCTTTTCTTTCCAATAGAACATAGTGTTTAAAGGCAAGACAATGTTTATTCAGTTTAGCACTCTAAATTTCTAGCATAGGGTGGGATCAGAAAACAAATATTTGTCTAATCAATTAAAGGATAATACATAAATACAAGAGACTATGATAAGTTATTACTTAGCTGAATAACCACAGTGTTTTAGAGTATAAAACGGAAGAAAAAAAAGCAAGAATATTGGATTTCAATTTAGTCCAACACAAATATGAGGGCTATTTGGCTGCAACATCTGTCACCCCATTGATCGCCAGGGTTGATTTGGCTGATCTGGCTGGCTAGGCAGGTGTCCCCTTCCTCCCTCTCTGTTCCATGTGCATCCCTCCCGAAGCTGTGTGTTCAGTCAAGGAGGATGACCATCACTGATAGAGGAGGACTGGTCTTCAGTCAAGGGTATACAAGTAGCTGCACTCTCCTGCTAGAACCTCCAAACAAGCTCTCAATTTAGTTCAACAAACATTTATTGGATGTTTTGTGTATGTCAGGCACTGTTTTAGATAGCTCATTTGAAATAGTGGTCTTCAAATGTATTCATCTTGTACTCTTAGCAATAGCATACAAACAAATAAATAATAAATAATATTTTAAATGATCATGATAGAGATCAGAGACAGGTATATTATTTCTATAAATTTCATATTAATATGTTAGCCTCAACAGAAAATTATTAGGGAATATATGAAAGTATATATATATATATATATATATATATATATATATATATATATATAATTTATAATGTTTTCTTATCAAAACTCAATAGATGGTTCTTTTCGACACCCCAGTGTAAGTCTCTGCTGTTAAATGAATATACGAACTTAATGTTATTGCTTTTAAAATGAAGACATTTTTCACATTTCCAATAGGTATTAGGTTGGTGCAAAAGTAATTGTGATATTTGCATTAATAAAACTATTTATAGGGCAAATAAATGAGGAAAAAAGACTGGGCTCATCACCCATGACAAAGGGCAGAATAGGCCATACACAGATATTTAAAATAGCAAATTTGCCCACTTAGGCATGCAGTCTCAGTCTATGTTCAAAACAGTTATATGTGGGACTTGAGAACTGCTAACAGATTAGTTTACTCTACAGTATGTGTAACATATTTCAACAATCTCCAGATTTCAATCACCATAGAAAATGTTTGACAGCTGATCACTGAAAACAAATAACAACAATAAGCCAACCACAGGTAAATATATTTTTAAAAAATTTTAAAACTTTTAATTTTTTTTTCTCCTGGTAAAATTGAGTCAATATTTGAGTAAAATCTGGCCAGGCGTGGTGGCTTATGCCTGTAATCCCTGCACTTTGGTAGGCCAAGGTGGGTGGATCACTTGAGGCCAGAAGTTTGAGACCAGCTTGGCCAACATGGTAAAACCTCATCTCTACTAAAAATACAAAAATTAACCGGGTGTGGTGCTGCACCCTTGTAGTCCCAGCTATTCGGGAGGCTGAGGTGGGAGGATGGCTTGAGCCCAGATAACAGAAGTTGCAGTGGGCCAAGATTGTTCCACTATACTCCAGCCTGGGCAACACTGTCCTGCACCTCCCCTCCCCCAAAAAAGAGAGTAAATTGAGAGCAAAACCTCATTATGGCCACTGCCAAGATGAATCAGAAAGATGCCAAATGAAAGGAATAGGCAAAGGGAGTAGACATTTTTCAGAATATTCAAGACAGAGTTTCCCTGTAATTCAACATTTTCTGAATTCTTGTGCTAACAATTTGTAATAGTGGTAAATACTGCTATAGATATGTGTGTGTGAACATTATTCATAAAACATGAATGTAAAGCAATTCAAAAAGAGTTAAAGAAATTAATATCCACTTATCATCTTTCATTCAACAAGAGTGTAATTTAAATTTCATTGACAACCTGTAATTTAGAATTCTTAATTTCATATTATAGCCAAAGGAATTAACTTATTCAAACCAACAGATATTTAATGAGTTCCTACTACATGCCATGTGCTATTTTAGGTCTTGAGGATATAGCAAGGAACCATTACAGTCCCTTCCTTGTTAGAGCATATATTTTTGTGGACATAGACAAGGATATAAGCAAATATGTGTATTATACATAAATTGATGAGAAGTTTTGTAGTGAAGAACTTATGATTAAGAGAGCTAGAAAGTGTCAGAGATTGGGGCAGTGCTCTTTTATGTAAAGCAATCAGAGAGTCTAGAAAGAGTGCCATGTTAGAATTTGAGATGCAAGCCAAACATTTAGAGCACATGAATTGAAGGAAGAATTGGTGCAAAGCAGGATCAAAGAAAAACAAGAAAGCCTGATTAAGTACCTTGAGAAGAATAACCAAGGGATTCAGAGACAGGAGATGAGATCAGTGATGAGAGGCAATATAAAAATTTTGTCTTCCACTTTGAGTGTGATTGGATACCATTATAGAGCTATGAACAAAGAAGTGATATAACTTAGATGGGTAGAGCTGGCTTTTTTTCTGAAAAATAGAGTTTGGGGGAATGCATAATAGAGTTAGGAAGCCCAGTGAGAGTTAGGGATGCTGTTGAAGTAATTGGAGTGAAAGATTATCCCCGTATTAGCATATGTGGTGAAGATGAGAATCTGGATTCATATATTTTGAAGGTAGTCAAAAATAATTTGCAATTGGATTAGATGTAGAACATGAAAACTAGAGAGGATTTAAGAAATATTTAAGCAAGTTAGTTACTTCCTAGATAAAATGGAGTAAAGGTATTTGGTAAATACAACTGTTCAAATGGGATAAATGGCTGAAACAAAGGGGCTACAGGCTCTATGCAAATCCAAAATCCAGTGGGGCAGTCAAATCCTAAAGCTCCAAAATTACCTCCTTTGACTCTATGTCTTACATCTAGGTCACGCTGATACAAGTGGTGGGTTCCCATGGTCTTGGGCATCTCCACCCCTGTGGCTTTGCAGGATACAGCCTCCCTCATGGCTGCTTTCATGGGCTGGTGTTGAGTGTCTGCAGCTTTTCCAGGCACACAGTACAAGCTGTTGGTTGATCCATCATTCTGGGGTCTGGAGGACAGTGGCCCTCTTCTCACAGCTCCACTAGGCAGTACCCCAGTAGAGACTCTGTGTTGGGGCTCTGATCCAACATTTTCCTTCTGCACTACCCTAGCAGGAGCTCTCCATGAAGCGCCCTCTCCTGTAGCAAACTTCTGCCTGGGCATCCAGGCATTTCCATACAACCTCTGAAATCAGGCAGAGGTTCTCAAACCCCAGTTTTGACTTCTGTGCACTGGCAGGCTCAACACCACATGGAAGCTGCCAAAGCTTGGGGTTTGCACCTTCTGAAGCCACGGCCTAAGCTCTGCATTGGTGCCTTTCAGCCATGGCTGGAGCAGCTGGGATGTAGAGCACCAAGTCCCCAGGCTGCACACAGCACGAGGACCCTGGGCCCAGCCCATGAAACCATTTTTTTCTCCTAGGCTTCTGGGCCTGTGATGGGAGGGGCTGTTGTGAAGATCTCTGACATGCCCTGGAGACATTTTCCTCATTGTCTTGGGAATTAACATTCAGGTCTTCATTAATTATGCAAATTTCTGCAGCCAGCTTGAACTTCTCTTTAGAAAATAGGATTTTCCTTTCTATCACATTGTCAGGCTGCAAATTTTCTGAATTTTTATGCTCTGTTTCCTTTATAAAATTGAATGCCTTTAAGAGCACCCAAGTCACTGCTTGAATGCTTTGCTGGTTATAAATTTTTTCCACCAGATCCCCTAAATCATCTCTCTCAATTTCCAAGTTCCACAAATCTCTAGGCCAGGGGCAAAATGCTGCTAGTCTCCTACTAAAACATAACAAGAATCACCTTTGCCCCAGTTCCCACAAAAAGTTCCTCATTTCCATCTGAGACCACCTCAGCCTGGACTTTATTGTCCATGTCACTACCGGCATTTTCGGCAAAGCCATTCAACAAGTCTCTAGGAAGTTCCACAGTTTTTCACATTCTCCTGTCTTCTTCTGAACTCTCCAAACTGTTCTAACCTCTGCGTGTTACTCAGTTCCAAAGTCGCTTCCAGATTTTCTGGTATCTTTACAGCAGTGCCACACTCAACTGGTACCAATTTACTGTATTAGTCTTTTTTTATGCTACTGATAAAGACATACCCAAGACTGGGAAATTTATAAAAGAAAGTGGTTAAATGGACTTACAGTTCCACGTGGCTGGGGAGGTCTCATTATCATGGAGGGAGGCAAGGAGGAGCAAGTCACATCTTACATGGATTGCAGCAGGCAAAGAGAGAGAGAATTTGTGCAGGGCAACTCCTCTTTACAAAACCATCAGATCTTGTGAGACTTATTCACTATTACAAGAACAGCACAGGAAAGACCTATCCCCATGATTCAGTTACCTCCCACTTGGTATTTCCCACAACTTGTGATATTTCAAGATGAGATTTGGGTGGGGACACAGTCAAACCTTATCACTAATCTTCTTCATAAATGCTTTCCATTTGGGTCAATAGAGTAATACAGATTCCTTTCTTTCATTTAGCAGTGTGCATTTAAGATTCATCTATTTCTCTTTTTTTGTGGCTTAATAGCTCATTTTAAAGTCACTGAATAATATTTCATTGTACATATATACCACCATTTATTTTTCCCTTGACCCACCTAAGGACATCTTGGTTCCCTCCAGTTTTGTGGCAATTATGAATAAAACTTCTATAAGCATTAATGTGCAGGTAAAATAGACCAAAGAAAAATTCTTGGACCTTCAACTATTAGAATCTTAGCAAAAGAGCTATCAAATACTGTTAAAGCACATACAGTGGTAAAATAAAGGAAGGCAAGCAAGAAAAATGTATGATCAAGAACGACAAGAGAAAAATAATGTTTCACGAAGGAATAGCTGGGCAAATGTATCAAACTAATTTGGCATATGAGAAATTAAATATAAGAAGAAAATAAGAATAGACATTGGACTGAGCAATGGGCTGTTAATCAACCTGATAAACACAATTCAGTGGAGGAGAGAGAACTGGAGTGCTTTTACAGTATTTATTTTTAGTCATTTGTGATGCTATAACAAAATACTTCAGACTGGATAATTTATAACAACAGAAATTATTCTGGAGGGTGCAAAGTCCAAGATCAAGGCACTGGCAAATTCATTATCTGATGAAGGTGCCTTCCTCATAGCTGTTACCATCTAAGTGTCTTCACATGGTATAAAGGATGAAGGAAGGGCAAAATGACCTGGTTAATTCCTTCCACTCCTTTTATAAAGATGCTAATCCCACTTATGAGAGTAGTCTTCTGAAGGCCCTACCTCTTTAATACTATCCAATTGGTGATTAATTTTCAACTATATTCAAATCATAGCAATATTTGACAAAAAGTAGATAAATAAATAAAGGCAGAAGAGTAAAGAGAAAAACTATGGACAACTCTTCAGAATTGTTGCTATGAAGAATGAGGTCCATAGGTTTTAAGAGGTATGAGGTTTCAGAAGAAATGCGGGTGTAAGATTTTCTTCATGGGGGATTGTTCCATAGTAATGTAGGGGACTGTAGAGTATAACTTTATATTAATAGTAATAACTCATCATTCGACAATTTTGTGACAGGAGAAAGTGAAAATAATTTTAGAAGCAAAGTTCTTTAAGTATACTCAGTGCTTTAATTTTAGCTATCATTGTATGCCAATGCTAAATATGATTATTTTTTGCTATAAGCACAAAAAGTTTACCTCTCTACATATAGCATTGGATTTTTCTACACTGACAGTAATTTAAAACAACACAATAAGTATTTTAATTTAAAGTATTTAATAAATGATTTCCAGCTATATGTGGATACATGTATAAGTAATTATTCTTCCATATGATTATATACTCTGGGTGACATATAAGAGAACTCCTCATCTATATATAAATTTATGTCATACTTTAAAATATATTTTTACTTAAAATTTTAAAATATATTGTATATTCAGTTATAAATGTTACATACTCTTGTTTGCTAAGTTTTTTTTTAATAATTTGGATGGCTACAATAAAATTATTTTTAAAAACATTTAATTTACACAAATTTGCAAAAATAAAAGGGAAAGATAATAACATCTGAAAATTGTGTGTTATTTTGTAAACTATTTCATTCAAAAATTATGCTCTGACAAATCATGTGGTTTATGAGCCCAGAATTATCCTTATAGCAAAATCAGACACAAAAGTACAAAAAAGAAAACTGTGTACAAATGTATCTCATAGAGAGACAAAAAATCTTAACAAAATATTAGCAAATAAGTTTAGCCATACATAAAAAGAATTGCATACCTTTACCATTGGGATCTATTCAACAAATGCAAATCTGGTTCAACATTTGAAAATCTATTAGTGTTCCCGTATTAACAGACAAAAGAAGAAAAATCACATGATACTTTCATTTAATGGAGAAAAAAAGCATTTGACAAAATCTAAAACCCAGTTTTGTTAAAACTTTTAGGAAATTAGGAATAGAGGGGAAATTATTCTAACTGATGAGCCCATCTACAAAAACTTGCAATTAAAATCATATTTAATGATTTTTAAAATGGCTATTTTCACCATTGAAATAGTGATTAAGACAAAATAAAGAATAAGTTAAATATATGCAATGGCTCCACTACTATTTAACGTAGTTCTAGAAATTCTAGCCAGAAGACTATTAGAAAAATAAAATAAGACAAAAACCATACAGATTGTAAAGGAGTAAATAAAAATGTCCATATTCATAGGCAACATGTAGTCTATATAGAAAATACTAAGGACTCTACCAAAATATTTCATATACCTAACAAGTGAGTTCAGCAGATTCACATGTTGTAAGGTCAACAAGTAAAAATCAATTGAATTTCCATATATTAACAACAGACACAGGAAACTGAAGTTAAAAGCAATACCATTTATGATCACTCAATAATTAAGATATTTAAGAATAAATATATACAACATATACAAAATATACACTGAAAACTATAAAATACTAATGAAATATATTTAAAATAATATCTGAATATGTGTGACATATACTAAGCTTATGAATTGGAAATCTGAACATAATAAAGATGTCAAGTGTCTTCAAACTGTTATACAGTTTTATCAAAATCCTTACCAAATTGCAATATTTTTGTAGATACACAAATTCATTCTAAAATTTAATATGAATGACAAAGAAAAGATAGCAAAACCAATTCTATAAAAGAAGAATACAGTGGAAAGAACCATTTTCTTTGTCTTCAAGACTTATTATATAGCTACAATAATCAAGTCTATGTGATATTGGTAGAAAAATAGACACATAGGTCAAGGGAATACACAAGTACACCAAGATGATTTTGAAATGGTTCAAAAGCAATTGAATGCAAAATGCTAGAAAAATTGGATATTGGTAGACAAAGTGAACTTCAACCTAAACCTCACATCTTACACAAAAATTTAAATAGAGCACAGAATTTACTATAAAACAAAAGAAGTAAAACTTTGAAACACAGGATAGGAGAAAATCTGTGGAATTCAGAGGCTGATGAATTCTTAGGCATGACACTAGAAGAATAATCACAAAAAGTAAATTGATAAATTCTGTTTTATCAAAATAAAACATTTTTGCTCTGCTAAGTTTTTATCTGTTAGGATAAAAATACAAGCTACAGACAGCAAAACCATTTTTAAGCCACAGAGCTGACAGATGACTAATATCTATAAATATAAAGAACTCTTAAAAAAATCCAATGAAAAAACTGGCAAAAGAAGGAACAATTCACCAATTCACTAAAAGGATAAGTTGAAACATACCTGAAGAGATGTTGAACATAATTTGCCAATAGAGAAATGCAAACTAAGACCACAATGAGGTATCACTACACACCGATTAGAACAGCCAAAAAAATATAATAACACCAAACGCTGTCAAGAAACAGAGTAACTATACATTTCATACATTACTGACGGGAACATAAAATAGGTACAGCACTACGGAAAACAGTTTGGCAGTCTGAAAAAGTTACATTTACATTCAACCCAACAATTATACTCTTGACAATTATCCTGAAGCAAAGACATCTTATATTCTCACAAAATCCTATATGCTTATCTTTACAGCAGCCTTGTTCATAATAGCTGAACACAGGAAACAACCCAAATGCCCTACAATAGGTGAATGATTGTACAATCTGTGCTATGTTCATTCCATAAGCCCAAAATAGAAATGAACTATTATTGTACATAGCAACTTAGATGGATCTGAAGAGCATTATGCTGAGTGCAAAAAGCCAATCTAAAAAGATCACACCCTGTATGATTCCATTTATATGACGTTCTCAAAATGGCACAATTATAGAGAAGGAGAATAAGTTAATATGTTGGGGATAATAAATAAAAGACATTGGGGATGGTAAGAGGGGACGTATATAAAGTAGAAGTAAGAGAGAAATCTTTGTGGTGAAGGAGTAGTTACACATCTTGCTTGTGGTAGTGCCGATGACAATCTGTGCACATCATTAGCTATATAGAATTCAGCACACATATTTTACTGATGTCAATTTCCTGATTTTTATATTCTATTTATATAAGATATAACTATTGGGGAAAACTGGGTGAAGGGTACATGGGACTCTTCCGTACTATCTTTGCAACTTTCAGTTAATCTAATATTATTTCTAAATAAAAAGTAGATAACAACAGCAACAAAGAAAACAAAAATATCTGCAGGCGATACATTTTAGACTACTGCAGAAGAGAGTCATGGGTATAATAAGGACTAAACCCCAGATACTTGGTTTAGTGCACGGGATTGGTCTATGATCTGCTTTTCCAGAATTAAACGATGTAATACAATAAAGAACAAGCAGAGAAACAGATAGCAATGAAATCTCATAAAATTCAATGTTTATAGTTTTTGGCCTGTCAGTAGATTTGACATTATATAGTGTTTCAAAATAACTAGAGTGAGAGAAGCAGAACAATTTTATTATTTTAAAACATGTTTTATGTAGAGTAAAATCCTGTAAAATACTTTAAAACAAAAGAATATGCTAGAGTTTTTGTTGTTTTTTAAGATTAATTTACTTTTAACGGGAAAGAATGAATTCAAATTGAAAAGGAAACTAATATGATAAACTTCATTCCTCAGATAGAAATTGGGTAAATGCAGGAAACCCATCAGAGCTGTCTTTATAAAAGGTCATATTCATCAAGCTTGTTATTCATACATCTCTTGTTTATTTTGTAGACAAAATATACAAGATAGAAGAATACTCTGTCTTCAACCATATAACTATATGAAATGTGATATTATATGTAGTATGAAACTAATTTTCAGATTATTAAACATTGTATGGATAAAGGGAAAAATTACCCAAGCTAGCCTCATTTCCTGAAACAAGATTTTTAAAAATGAGTTATCCTTAAAGCATGAAATATTCAGGGATCTGGAAAATATAAGTCTAATGTAGATCCTCCTTTATAGAAATATGGTTTCTTTATGATAATTTCTTTTCTGCACTATTTTCTTTATTATGCTAAGAGAAGCACCTTAATATATCACACCATCATCTAAAGAGATTATTTATGGCTAGCTGAACAAGTTAGAACAACTTTATTTTTCAACTCACAGTGATAAAACCATCTTTTCTTTTGTGAATACAATTGCAATTATTAATATCCTACAACTATGCTATTCTAAGTCCCTTAGTGCAGTTGTTCAAAATGCTGTACTGTTTTGTATTAAAATGTGACTCTCAGCTTCTAAGTCCAGTGTGGAGACTCTCTGTTATTCTCTGTGATAATGACCTAATCCTAATTTATTCCCTTACTATACCTGCATCTACAAATGGAACTATCAAATAATACTTAGTTTTTGTCTCCTATTTTGGGTTTTAAAACAGGCTTCAACAATCAAACAAGAGAAATGGCGAGATTAGCTCTCTTTTACCCAGAGAGGAAGCCTTATAATCACATTTGGGGAAAGAAGTTTATACACCAGTTGGAAAATGACTGCCCTGGTTAGACTCAGCAAAGAAGGCAGTTTTTTAAAAACAGTGACAATGGCCATAAAGTCACTAAAGAGACAGTGCTGTTTTTGTTGTTTGTTCTTTATATATTTTTGATACCTGACAATCACAGTCATTACAAATAAGTCAGCTCTATTGTCCTGTAAGTGATGATTTTTTTTTAACACCCTTGTTTTGCAGGGGGGACATTGGTAGCTGTTAATCATAGTGTCCGTATTTTTTCAGAGTTAGAGTGGTAGGTGGCAGTCAATGCTTTCTTCTTTCAGTGGCTATTGTAAGTATAATTTAAGTCCATTATAATACTGATTGGCAAATGCATATCCTGTCTTCCGGCATCTTACTGAGTATATAATTCTGTTTTCATTTTTGGTATCAGATAAGGTACATTTGTGATTATTAAACAATACTTCTGTCTTTAAAAGATGTTGCATCCAATAGTAATTACTTGGTCTAAGAGATTACATTAGACTATTTTCTAATTAAGCTTTTATATTACTTTTATTTATAAAGATTATAAATCTGCAAAAATGTAGTCACATGTATTAAAAAATAAAATCAATATTTGATACTCTATGATATATTAAAAAATCCTTATATACATTCACCTATAACATAGATCACAATTTTGTTTGGAAAGCCTATTTTTAAAAGGTTATATTAATTATTACTCTTTTATTCAATAATGTGGAGGTTTTTACCTATGATGATTATAACTCTGTTTTTAAAAAATATTTCAGCAAGATAGTAATCAGGCTACAGTGTCTGTATACCCAGTTGACAACCTTTCAAGATATATTTTTCAAAAAATACCTGCATCCTTACTTTCTCCTGAAGCTGTGCTTTGAGGAAAAATCATTCCTCAAAGAGATCTATAATTTCACTCAGAATACATAAGAGAATATGTTTTTCTGAAAACGTTTCCAAGCAAATATATAAATGTGCTATTGGTGTCTCAACTTGCCTTGGGTGTAACCAACAGAATTGAGAGATATTTTCTGCAAATGGAAAAGATTGAATAATGATAGTTTAGTTACTACATAATAGTGACATCATGAAAATATCTACAATGTTTTGAAATCACATAATTAGCTGATATTTATACTTTAATTTCACCCTGAAGACAATTTTTCTGCAGACTCTTAGATAAATAAAATTATTTGTAATTGAGTGTGAATAAATAAATGATATTTCAAATAATATTTCCAGGTCATAATATTTTGGAGAAGCAAAGTTAATATAAGTTTTAGATTAAACACTTGTGAGAAATTTACCAATAGCAATCATTATTATATAACAGTTGAATATATTGAAATTTCGGATATTATACACCCTCTAGAATATAGAAAAAACTGGTAGCAAAAGCCATTAATTCCCCGAGATGCACACTTTTTGGCTTCTGGTACAGTAGTTTAAAGGCACTATAAGCAACATTACACTTCTTATACCTTTCCCATATAACATGTTTTCAGTAATTTGTGTGTGTGTGTGTGTGTGTGTGTGTGTATACTGAAGGAATTTTAGTTTACTTACGTGGTTAGAGGAATGGTTTATAACTATTTTCTGTAAGGCCTGGGGATTTCCACAAAGTGATTTAAGGGAGGCTATAGGAAAAGGTACAGGAAAAGGGGAGAATGGCTGCTTGGTTTTATCTGCGTTCTATACTAGGCTTTAAAAAAAGTGTAAGTTTACTTGAAGAAATATTTTAACTTTTGTGTGTGTGTATGTGATACAGTTTCTTGTTCTGTCACCCAGGCTTAGAGTGCAGTGGCACAGTCAGCTCACTGCAGCTTCAAACCCTGAATTTCAGGGATCCTCCCCACTCAACCTCCTGAATAACTGGGACTACAGGTGCATGCCACCATGCCCGGCTAATTTTTCTGTTTTTAGTAGAGGTAAGGTCTCATTATATTTAGTACAGGCTGGTCTCAAACTTCTGGCCTTAAGGTATCCTCCCACCTTGGACTCCCAAAGTGCTGGGATTACAGGCAAGAGCCACCTTGGTTGGCCTGATTTTAACTGCTAAATAAATATTTGATAACCTCTTTTTACATAGAACACTTTAGGTTTTTTTTTTTCTTCTATCTGATAGGGACAAATCTTATTTGAAAGGAAAGACAGTCAGAGCAAACCTTTTCTTCCAAGAAGTCAGCTGCTCTGAATAGCACACTTTTTTGTCTTGTTCTTGATTTTAACAGATAAAGATGATCATTGTTTGCATGTTATCTATAATTACATGATATTTACATAACAAAACAAGATGATTGTTAAAAGTATTTCAGATTCATGAGATTTTGGTAGAAGCTAGTACATTTCTAAAATCCCCATTAGTTCCCTCATTTCCCATTTATGAGACTTCATATTTCTAGCTAATCATAAAACAATAAGCAACAAAGAAGTCTAGGAAGGTACTATTATAAGACCATAAAATCAGATTTACAAATATTCTCTATTCCTAGACAGCACAGCTCAGTGCATCTTAAATGTAATTGTGCATGACAAGGGTGTATTTTTATTTAAAATGCAGATGCCCAAACTTCATGCCCAGAAATAATAATTTCGTAGGTACTCTGGATCTGCATTTTTAACAACCATCACAGATGGTTCTACATTAGAAGTTTCATAGACACATTTAGAGAAAGACTGATTAAAGTCATCATCATTTCTTCATTGTCATACTTTTCTGTCAACTGTCTTTTTTTCCCAACTCACACTTTCACTTTGTTTTATAAACTGCAAGTGAGAATGCAATGCAATGTACTGAATTTATAGTCTAACATGTGGCAGTCATATCCCCAGTGGGTGTTCCTATATTGTTTCCCTGCAGGTCATGACGGAAGAAGAAATAGTAATGGGGCTAGTATTCTAGATTAATTATCTATAATTCCTGATTATTGTTAGCAACATGTACGATAACATTTCAAAATAAAAACAAAATAGATTTAAAGAAAAAACACTACGTACAAATAATGATTGGGAATTATTCCATATGTTGCTAGAGAAAGGACATATGATAATTTACACTGGAACATTTATTTAGGAGATCTCAAAATATAAAAACAGGCACAGCATGTTACCCCTTAAAAATTAATTTTAGAAGAAATTTTTAAATTATTATTTTTTGAGACAGGGTCTTGCTCTGTTGCCCAGGCTGGAGTGCAGTGGCTCCATTATGGCTCACCGTAGCCTTGACCTCCAAGGCTCAATTAGTGCTCCCACCTGAGCTTCCTAAATAGTTGAGACTACAGGAGTTTATCATGCTATACCCAACTAACTTTTTTTTTTTTTGTAGAGACTTGTTCTCAGTATGTTGCCAAGGGGCGAGCTACCGTGCCCCACCCAGAAGGATGTCATTTGAATTATTTCCGTGAAACTAAAATAATTATTTTTGAAATGACTTTATATTACCACAAAATATGTTTTTAAAGTTATTTAGTCTATTACTTTTTTAATCCAAAAAGAAAACATGCACATTTCTGATCTTGGCTAATTCATCCCTCCCATCACAGCCTCATACAGCATATTACACTAATATCTTCCCTCTCATTGTATAAAGCCTTCAGAATAATCAATAATATATTTATGTCCATAGTCAACTGATTTAGGAAGAAATCTATGAACACAACATTTCTTTTTTTTAATTCTTCTTTTTTTATTTTGAGACAGAATCTAGTTCTGTTACTCAGGCTGGAGTGCAGTGGCACAATCCGGTTCACTGCAATCTCCTCCCAGGTTCAAGCTATTCCCTCAACTCAGCCTCCCAAGTAGCTGGGACTCCAGGCGCCTGCCATCATGCCTGGAATTTTTTTTTTTTTTTTTTTTTTTGGATTTTTAGTAGAGACGAGGTTTCACCATGTTGGCCAGGCTGGTCTTGAACTCCTAACCTCAAGTGATCTGCCCACCTCGGCCTCCCAAAGTGCTGGGATTACAGGCGTGAGCCACCACACACAGCCATAACGTTTCTAGACAAATTAATACACTCGTCTTTAGATACTATTGATAGAAAAGTTACTCTAATTTTCTCAATATCTTAGCTTATTTAAGAGTAACTAATCTTCGCCCGGGTGCAGTGGCTCACAACTGTAATCCCAGCACTTTGGGAGGGTGAGGGGGCGGAACCCCTGAGGTCAGGAGTTCAAGACCAGCCTGACCAACATGGCCAAACCCCCTCTCTACTAAAAATACAAAAGTTAGCTGGGTGTGGTGGCGCGTGCCTGTAATCCCAGCCACTTGGGAGGCTGAGGCAGGAGAATCTCTTGTAACACGGAGGCCGAGGTTGCAGTGAGCTGAGATCGCACCACTGCACTCCAGCCAGGAGACAGAGTGAGATTCTGCGTCAAAAAAAAAAAAAAAAAAAAAGTAACTAATCTTCAAAAGTATGTACTACAAACAATTTTGCGTTTGGTTTTCAATGTACTTAATAATTACTAAATAAATAAAAAAAGTTCTGTGACAATCATTTGTGATTTATTTAAAGCATTTATTGTGTTCAAGATATTTAACATGGAAGGGTATTATATATTAATTCAAGAAAAAAATGTATGAAAACATATTCCATATAGAACTATAATTATTTTATAGCTACTGTAATTGGAGAGTTGTATTTTACTGAAAATTTCTCAAGAAGAAATACTAAAGCAAAGTGGTCCAGGTAGAAATTCATAAAAGAAATGTGTCTCATATGATGAAAAGACTAGTCCTTGCCAATGCTATTTATAAGTTATCATTAAGGTAGCATTATAATTTATCTTTTTGAGGTCATTGGACTGAAATGAGAATTGAAAGATTGGTTTCAAATATTCCTATTTAGAAGGACATGATTTTATTTATGTTAAAACTATTTTAAGTATTTTTTAAATTCTCTAGTTATCTAATTTTGTATTACTGAAAATTTTGTACATGTTCTGTGTTTGGAAGAAAATGGAAAGATGAAAAATAATAACACAGAAGATCATGTAAATCAAGCCAAAAATATAATCCATTAAATATTTTGGTGGTATACACTTTAAAAATACTTTATTTTCATGTATTTGAATATGTATGTACATAATCAGTATTTTATTTTTCCCCAAAAAGTGAATCATGAGGCCAATTATTTCATTTTAGATTTTGCATTTATTTGGTTTTAAAATATAAAGTGTAAAGAGAAATTTACATATTAACATAAAATAAATAAATTTTGTAATTTCTCTGGAAAATATAATGAATTAACCAAATAAAACCCAATGTTGTTGTATTTTTCTTTCTCAGCGATGAGCTACATGGAATGTTCACATTTATTTTATTTATGGCTTAAATCCATTGAATTCATGGTCGTAAACTTCATTAAAACAATGAAAAGCAAAACATATAAACATACAGGTTGATAATAGATTTTAGTAGACCTGCCCAATCTGTGTTCATTTTTATATACAGGAGTCATTTACCTTACTCAGACATACAGCAGGCAGTTAAATATTGATTCAATTGAATTAAAAAAATCAAAATATACTTTTCGCTAATTATATCATTAAAAAAACAAACAGATGTGTTCAATGAAAATCATTACACGGGCCACGCGCGATGGCTCACGCCTGTAATCCCAGCACTTTGGGATGCCGAGGCGGATGGATCACCTGAGGTCAGGGGTTGGAGAACAGCTTGGCCAACATGGTGAAATCCCGTCTCTGCTAAAAATACAAAAAATTAACCGAGAGGATTCCTGTAATCCCAGCTACTCGGGAGGCCGAGGCAGGAGAATCGCTGGAACCTGGGAGGCAGATGTTGCAGTGAGCTGATATCGTGCCATTGCACTCCAGCCTGGGCTACAAGAGCAAGACTCCGTCAAAACAGAAGGGAAGGGGAGGGGAGGGGAAGGGAAGCAGAAGGGAAGGGTAGGGAAGGGTAGGGAAGGGAGAAAATTATTACACGAATCTAGAATGCCAAAACTGTTATGCTTATTATAATCTCTTTTTTTCTTTCATAATCCATATCCCAATTCATTAGTGACAACAAATTATTTGTGCCAGTTTCCAAACATATCTAGAACTCTACCCTTTCCCAGAACTTTCAGTGCTATCACTCTGGTCAAGGACATCTTCATTTTGTATTCATTTTATCCCAATAGCCACCTAACAGGCCTCCTTCCTACTGTACATGGCTCCCTGTGGTCCTTTCTTCATCCAGTATCTATGCAGAATTTCTAAATGCACAGCATGATTATCTTGTAAATAAAACACTCCAAATGTCTATGCCTTACTCTTAATGAAAGTTTTTTAAATTTTGATTTAATTCTTATTCTCTAAATGACTTTTCTCTTCTTCTCTGAACCCATTCACTATCATTTTGCTTTAGAACATGCAAAATGTGCTCCTCCCTAAGGACCGTATTAATTATCTTTTGCAGCATTTTAACACAGAGAGTATTTTAAAGCACACCCATCTAATACTTCACAGTCTCTGTAGTTCAGGATCCCAAGCTTGATCTACAGGGTCCTCTTCTTCAGGGCCTCACAAGGCTGCAAAAAGGCATCAGCTGGGATTGCAGTTTTTTCTGAGGCTTGATTTTGAAAGGATCCCCTTTAAACTCAAGTTGTTGTTGGCAGAAATTAGCCCCTTGCATACCATTGGCCAGTGGACAAATTTCTTCCCAGCTACAACCCAGAGGTTTCCCTCAATTCCTAGCTGGTTGTTTCCTGGAGGCTGCTCTCAGTTTCTTGTGACATGGGCCTTTCCAAAATGGCTACTTATTTCATCAAAGCCAGCCAGGGAGAGCATCTTCTAGCAGGACAGGTATTAGAACTTTTTGCAGCCTAATTGGATAAGTGACATCCAATTATCTTTGCATTATTCTATTCATAAAGCAAGTTACTGTTTTGCCCACACACAAAATCACAGGAGAACGTAAATTTCAGGAGCTGGGTATCATGAGATCCTCTTTAGAGTGTGTATGTAATGGGGTCTTCCCACCTGTTAGTTTTCTATTTGCCCTGAAAGATGTTTCTTCAGATATCAACCAGGCTTTCTCCTCACATTTTGTTGAAGTTTGTATTCAAATGTCAATTTATCAGAAAAGGCATACTAATCCCTGCATATGAAGAGTACTCCGCAGGCAGCTTTTGGTAACTTACTTTGATTTCTGCCTTTTTTCTTTTTTTGTGGTAGTTATTATTACTAGCTAGAGATCATATTTATTTTGTTTCACCCCTCTAGATTTAAACTCTTTTAATACAGGTATTCTCTGTCTTATTCTCAGATATAGCTCCACCTTCTAAAAATGTGCTAAGCCCAAAGAAGAAAGGTGTTCAAAAATTAGGCTTTTTTTAAACTAAAAAGGTATATTTATTCCCAAGTATATTCTAACACAGTGTCATATAGATCTGCACTGTGTAATAGTAGTCACCAGCTATATACGACAATTTTTTTTAAATTAGTTAATAGTAAATATTTTTAAATATCAGTTTCTCAGTTATACTAGCCACATTTCAAGTGGTCAATAGCCACACAGGCCTAGTGGCTACCATACTGGAAAGCACCAATATTGAATAACTTCATTATTGCAGAAAGTTCTATCAACCAGCCTTGTTTTATATATTTATTCTTTTTGTTTTCTATTAGGTTTTGAACTTCCATGGAGAGTAAAATCTGTCCTAATCATCTTCATATGATAAATTTTTATTCTATTATAGAAAACCTATAAGATTTTACAGAAAACGTTGTTGAATGAATAGATTTTGGGGTGAATGAATGAAAACACAATTCCATGCCAGAAAAATAATTACCCTAAATAATTCAATAAATATTTAATCAACAGATAACTCTTGGTTTGTTTTCTTCCTTATACTAACTCACAAAGGGAGTTTTATTTTAAAAATTTTGCAAACTATGATCAATTTTATTTCAGAAAAAAAATCTTCTACTTAATGAAAATTCATGAAATATATTACTGTGACCATAAACAGAGAGAAACACGTAGTATTAGTTTCCCAAACACTATATATTTTTGCTATCTTTTAAGAGACCACAGTGATATACAAAATCATGCCTGCTGACTGGCAGATCTCAGTAGCACTAGGCTTGTTTTATCTTGCTCTGTGTTCCTTGAAGCTCATCATAAAATCTGTAGGATTTCTGTGTTCACAAGTTAGAACAAGACAGAAAACATCTTCTTCATTTTTGAGAAGAATAAATTTTATTCTAATACACAACAATCTACTAATTTTTAAAAATATGAACTATTATATTGGGATAGTACCTAACTTGAAATGAAAAGGTTGTAATAAGTCATATGAAAGGTGTGATTGGAAGAATGCTTAACAACTAATATACCTATCATATAAATATACATTAAGTGTGTGTGTGTCTATTATACTATAAGTATCTATCAATAAAATCATATTTATATTTTCATAATGGCAAAATATGGTACTGATTCTTTTTGTATTTTTTATTTATCACCAGTTATATATCTTGGACTTAACTCTGAATTACTAAAAATTAAAATTTATTCCTCTATTAATATGGTGAGTAAATGGTGGCTGATAACATGTTTCTGATAGTTCATGTCCAAAACTGTGAGAATCCTTATTGTGAAAAGTTTTATCATGGCCCATTTACTAACAGAATAAGGCAATGAGCCTATGAAGTCACAAATCCATTTTAAAACTCTGAATTATATTAATACCAGGATAATTTATGGAAACAAATATAGTATATGACAATAATTATGAGTGAAAAGAAGAAGCAGCACCTGCTTTGTCATCTTCTGAATCTCTCCATCTATGAGGATTGTATACCTCTCAGAGAAGACATTGAAACATGATATTTATATATGTATGAACACTGTTACTTTTTTTAAGGAAGGTCTTGGCAGTGTTGCAAAGAATATCTAAAGATGAAAACTGAAATTTAGTTTCTTTTAATGTAGGGCGTACACTGATATTTTGATAGTGTTTGGGATAAAGTTGAGTTTTTGTATAATATTTATGTATTTTATATATATACATACACAAAAAATAATTTCCAAAATATATCTATCTACATAGTTTTTTTGTACTGCATAGTAATATAAAATTACCACAATTTTATACCTTAGACTAGTTAAGTCAATAATTTATTTTCTTAGCAGATGAAAATTTTTTCTTAAAATATGGAATGTTGAGTCATATTTTCCATGAAAGTTTTCACTAATACTTTGTTAGAATACAAATAAGAATGACTTAATTATTTATTAAAAAAATTATTAGAAAAAATATTTGCAAAAAATAACTTTAATTTCAATAAAGCCATGCAGAATGGGCTTTTTTTTTTAACCTGAGAAAATGTTATATTCATCTATGTTAGAAAAGCTGAAGCAAGCATATTGGATGTCAAGCATCTCTAAGTCGATTTCTCATTTGCTCTGCATCTTTGCAGAGCTGATTTGAGCATAGCAATTCTTTGAAATCAATGGGAGGTTGGCAGTTGGATTAGCTAAGTACCATCATGGAGCATGACAAGAAATTGGTCCTTTTTGTCATTTTCAATATGTTTTTTCTTATTGTAAACTAATAAAGACAGGAAAATCTTAGTGAGCAATTTTATTTAATCTTCTCATTAAGGATATTCAACTATTTTCATTTAAAATCATGTACAAATTTAATGTTTTCAGAAATTTCTTTGATCACTTGATCTTAATATCTAACCTACTCACAGTACTTGCTCTTCCCTAATATACTTTAGTTCTCTTTATAACATTTATCATTCCTTGTTTTTATATTACAGTATATTTATTTATTTTTTTGGTTATTTTGTTCTGATTTATCTGTGACAATAATCCCAGAACTTAGAAACTTTTTATCACTGGGTAGATGCTCAAAATATACAATAAAAATATTTAATTTATTTAAGTGTACCTAATATCTACAACCAATCAGATATTTGATAAAACTACTCAATATTCTGTTTGAAATATTTACTGGTGATGAGAGAAACTGTTCTGTAATAAAGCAGACATTCTCATTATTCTAGAAAGTGTCATCAAGCAACAAGGAATAAAAAAGCAGCAGATATACTTTCCAGGTTTTAAGGCAACTATTGTCATTGATATAGGAACTAACAATCTTGACATCTAATTTTACCTCCTGGTACTTCTCAGAAAGAACCTGAGCCTCCCAAACAAAGAACCATTCATCTTCTTCCATTTGCTTCTTTTGTATTTCTATTGAATGCTTACCACACCCTTATTTATCATTTATAGTTAGTTCAAAAGTTTGCCCTTGATTTCTGCTAGCAGACAGGGAGGGAAGCTAGGAATAGATGAAGCCAAGTTTTATTTTCACTAACTCGTTGTTTATAACACAAAGGGAAAAGAATAAGCAGATTTCATCATGGGCACCACAACTCATTTCCTTTCTACTTGATGCAGAAAAGAGCATCCTAATAGAAAGATACCCAGCCTTTCCTCTTCAAAATAAAATATGCATATTTTTGACTCTGCTTCCTATACAACACATGTAGATAGCCCTGTTACTTCTTCTTCACATGAAAATATCTCATAGATGTTCCACTTCCTAAATAAATTACTGGTAGTTGCACTCTATATAATCTTCCTCATCACTGTTCATGAAGTTTACTTGAATATTCAACTTAGTGCCACATTTCTGAAAAGTGTTTATATTCTGGTTTATATTGATTTATAGGATGAGTACACTAAAAATCTATACCATTCAAGTTCATGAATTTGATTTTTTTATTTGAATTATTCATAAATATTTGAATGATGTAGGTCATGAAAAGATGTAGGACAAATACTTCATATTTTTAGGCTTAGGGTAAGTGAGATACTTAACCAGTGTATGAGATTATCATTTACTTCACTTTGTTTTCAACTGATGAGGTAGTAACTTGATAACTAAAATAATTACACAGAGAATATATTAGGACATTTTTCCATATTTCAGAGATGAGGAAATTATTTTTTTAATAGAGATAGCCAAGTTGTGGACATTAAAGATCTCAGAAAGAAAACCTGTAGAATGTCAAAGTTCTAGGAGGCTCACTAACCACTTTTAGATATATAAAACAAACAATCAAAGCCAAAGTATTTTAGGCATCTGTATGAATCATAAATTATGTCTTTATACTTAAACAAAAGGAACTGAATAAAGGGAAAGCCATAAATCAATGGCCAAAACAAAGAACATTTCCTTAAGCGGTCGGTGTTGTCCCTGGTGAAGTAGTTAAGTAGGCTGCAGTGCACATTGACTCCAGATGTTCAAGCTACCCTAAATTTGATACTATTACTCCTCACTCCTCTTGTCTGCTCCTTTGGCATCCACCATAGTATTTTTGCTCTTTTAGCCCTTCATAAACTTTTTAACTGACTTCCTTTCTTATTTCTGAAGTATTTTTCTGTTTTGTTACTCCACCCAGGCTAACACAGATATCCACATATTTTATCAATTTACTTATCAAGAAACTATTCTTCCCCAAACTGTACATGATCTCCTGGCCGTGTTATGGGTCTTCTTTCTTTCTTGACTTCGTTTCTCTCATCCTCCTTGCTAAAATGTTGTTGATTTCTACCAGCTGCTTTATTTTATTATCCCATTCTTCAAAACGTACTCAATTTAACTTTCTCATTACCAATATGCTGTTTTTTCTCTCCAGGGCCCTGGTCTATTTTTCTGTATTGATTATTTGGTACAAAATAGTGTTTAATCTATAGATTTCTCCCTTACTACTATTTATCCCCAACCAGTTTAAGTAGAATTCAAGAAGTCATACAGAACAAAAAAGGTGTTCATCAACTAAGAAAAAAAAGAGGTTGAGAGAACTTATGACCACCTGTTGTCTTCTAAATAGGGACGATGGTATTTATCCTAGTGCCTCATTTTTCACTAAGTAAAGACTGCATCCTTGTTCAATGTTGGCTCTAAAGGGTAGAAAGAACTATTTAAGCTAAGAAGGAATATTCAGGAGTTGTTTTATTCTCTTTTAAGGAATATAACTCATTCGAAGCATTTTGGTACCTTTGTTCCTCCTGATTGACTGAGGAGGCATTTCTATACCCACTTTGCAGTAGGATGAAATGTTAATGAATTTTGATGCAGTGGTAATAGTTAACTTTGCTTTGAAGGCAATTTGAGGAATAGTGTGTTAAATAGGGAGAGACAAAGTTTTGCATGTATTTTAAAAGCTAAGTAGGAAGCAAGGAAAGAAATTTCTTGAAAATGTAGAGAAGAAGGATTTATCAATAGAGAAAGCTTCACAAGATACTAAGAATGAATAGGATTGAGCAATGACGTGAAAGAATCTTACCTGATTAAGAAAAATAAACTAATAAAGATTAAATTGAAAAATAATCAATATTACATTTAGAGATTTGAAAAGTCCCTTCCCGGTAACACCTATCTCATTTGGCAAATTGGAAGTGAAACTATGTGCTTAGGAAAGGGGGATGGAATTTGAGTTGAATAAGAACCTTTCAGATAGATATCAAGAAAAATTACAAGATATGCTGAACTAATACAGCAAAAGATAAAAGAAAAATTTTAAAGTTGCAACTACCCCTAATGCCTTTCTATTATTAACGGTACCAATTTTTAATGTGTATTTTCTCCAGCTGGGGCTGATACCTCACTTGTTCAAAGAAATGTTGAAATACTGAATTGTTAACTAAGTCAGTGATTATGATATGCTAGGGATATGACAGTAAAAATGCAAATAGTCCATGGTGTTGATAATGCCTATGCAAAACTGTATGTTTGAATATTCTGTCTATGATACTTAGGCTTATGTAACTACAAGAAGAGGATGTTAGATATTGACATAAAAGAAATAAAGAACAGAAATAGCTGTTTTCAGGAGTGAAGAAAAAACCACTAAGAGATAAGAAATTATAATTAATGTTTAGATAATAGATTTGAGTGTGCTCACAGTGGTATCGTAGTTTATGTTGAAAAAGTATTGAGTAAGATCATGGCTGTAGACTATAGTAAAACGACTAAATTTAATGAAGACTAGGAGCATCTTTCTTTATATTTTAATTCTTATTATATATGAATTTAAAAATAGACCTGAGCAATTACATGTTCAGTGATAAGGAATAAAACCATTTTTTTTTTACTTGTCTTCTCATTGAATATAGGTAACTGACCTTGGAAGTTAAAAGATGTCAAGTGCAATGCATAGTGGAAAGTGATGGAATGGGACTGCAGAAAATTCACAAGGAGCAGAGGGTTTTTGTTCTGTGTGAATTGAGAAGTAGTGGTCTGGAAGTTATTGTAAATTATTCTTCTACCTCTCAGCCCTTTAATGAGTAGAGTATCAGGGAAGGCACAGCTTCTAGTTGACAAGCCTGAAGGAAAACATCAATGGGAAATACCTAGGTTTTAATTTAGCAATAGTGGAGAATAACTTTTCTATGAAGTAAATGAGTGTGGAATGTTTGTTTATTAAAGAGCGAGAGTTTCAGATGATGCAGAGGGAAGGAGGGTATAAGTGAGAAGACTAAATGTGATTTGGAAGGATATGCCCAAGGAAAGGGGAAAAAAAACCAAGAAGCAAAGAAAAGAAAGACCTAAGGGGCCTCCATTTCCTTCACCAACCCTGTATCAATATTATTTTGGTCTAAGACCAGAGTTAAGCTAAGGATTGCAGGCACATACATAGTATGGAGATACAGGTGTCAAGACACACCCCATTGACACGCGAGTGAGCACTTTTAAGGAGAGTCAAGTAATAATAAAAAGAAAGCCTTTCACAAAGTAGATTTGAAGATAATGATATTTAGTTAAGAGGCACATCAGATTCATCACTTTGGTGTCCAGGTGGTGATATCAAGGGATCAACTGCCCCATACTTTTTCTTCCCATTCAATTTATGAACTCTTAATTGATGCTTAGAAATATTTGATACTAATAATTCTTTCATTCTATGGCTCAAAAATTTTAATGCATTCAATGATATGAAATAGCACAGGAAAATCATATCGAGGATGCACATTTCTATAGATAATTGAATGAAGATATATAATTTTTCACATGTCAAAAGTATTAAGTCACTATTTAATGAGCAACAACAGCAGACAATACTATGGTGATGCTAAAAAGTGAAAGGGAATGTCAGCTGATCTGGAATTCTATCACCATATAACAGGCTCTAAGTCTACAAAAATGCTCAGTCACAGCCAAAGCATAGTTTCAAAGATATTGATCTTGTGACAACATTCTTTTGAAATGACTTTATTTCTGTTCCAATAAATGACTCAAGCAGATTTTAAAATGAAGTTGAAGCCGCATAAAGAAATCTACATTGGTGTTATGAAAGTGCCTATTTTGACTAGCTGAGAGAAATGGTTTAGTATGCAGTTTCTCTAATAGACATAGGCTACAAACACTCTAAATAATAGAATGTAATGCATGCTTTGTGAATTAAACAGTTTATAATTGCAATCAAGTCTCTAAACTATTTTCTTCTGATAATCACCTAGTATTAATGCCTGGCTGCAGTTTCTTTCACAATATTTCAGTAGGTTTTAATAAGGCTGCAATGAGTTCTTATTGTGGACACTGTTGATTATAAACTTTATATAATCTAGAATTTAGAATTAAATATATATATGGACTATATTCTTTTGTATAGACTTACATATGTTACAGGACTGCATGTAATTGTCCTTTTTCAGAAAGGCTAGTCTAATTTAGAAATAATTCTAATCTGTTATATTTGAGTGTAATGCGACTACTTAAAAAATAGCATTCCATTTTTTAGATATTTATTTCTATCCAGCTTGGCCCCTTCAAAGCAGTGACACATGCTAGAATACATGTGAAAAATCAGATATGGAAGTAAAGCAAAGAAATATGGTAACAATGAAGGTAGTTATCAAATAACTATCTGAATTGTTTGAAAGATAGCTGTGCTGTCACCTTCTTCATCCACTTCACTTCAGCTACTGATAGATATTGGTTGTTGCTTATAACACAGTTTGAAACTGTTGCATTCTATCTTAACAACATTTTCACCCAGATGATGAAATAACACTTACTTCACAGTATGATGTGGACAGATGATAGAAAAATACAAAGCAGTGCTTCATAACATTACCAAAAATCTAAGATAAAATAACCTGAACAAGCAAGTACATGATAACAGAGAACATATACATGTTTGAAGCCTAAAGCAGCCTGCAGCATTACATGTTGGGAGTTGTTTAAAAGAGCCACCAAGAAATTTTAACTGTGTAAAGCCATGCTATGTACACTGTTGGCAAAACATTTCTTAATTAAACATCTAACCGTAGATATACATTTTATCAAGTGCAAGCAAAAGCCTAAAGAAGGAATACAGAACATTGAAATTGATGCATGGCCTCTTCAACACAGAATAAATATTGAACTGACCTTAACGTTGTGAGCATCTGGTAATTTTCCAGAAACAAATCTCATCCTTATAAACACAGCAAAATATTATTTGAAGTGGTGCTAAAGGCAGCTTGATTTTGGTATGCAGTTTTTACTACTGTTTCTTATATTTCCTACATAACAAAATCAGTCTATTTAAATCTGGTATCAGATCCCCTACTTTGGTGTTATTATACCCTCACTTTAGATTTTCAGCATTCACAAAAACTAAGTAAATACCAACAATTAAATTGTACATGTATTTATGTGTAGTTACTTAAAGCTTTTTAAAAAATTACCATTAGAAAATGACATATCGAAGTAAAACCAAATGGGAAAAGTTAAATATTCCCCTTCCACTGGATATTTTAGTGGCCAAATTATTTTTTTAATTTATGATTATTCATTCTCCTTATTCCTTCATCCATCTAGCCATCTGCTTACTTAAAAAGAATCTATTGAACATGAGCTATGTGATAAGTACATGGAATAAAGAGGTAAGTATGACAAAGGTTTGTGTATATGAAATTAAGAGTCTAGAAGTACAAATAGATATAAAAGTAATATCATAATTATGTTAACATTTGGAGACCTTTATTCTCTACAAAGTATTTTACATATGCTTTCTTATTTACTTTTCATGATAATTTTATGAGCTAAGGATCAGTATTTTCGTTTTACTGGAGAGAAAACTAATGTTTAGAAAGTTAAGTAACTCAACCAAAATTTCAAAGATATGTTGTATGTTGAGATTTGACAATATCTGGCTTATATCAAAGTGTCTGCTCTTACGTGTTTTAATATTACCTTAATACTATGTATGCCATTAGATGTTGTGAATATTATGGTCGTCCAAAAATATTAAATGAAAAATTTTAGAAATAATCCATACATTTTAAATTGAGCATCATTCTGAGTAGTGTGATTAAATCTCACATCATCTGCTCAGTCCAGCCTGGGACTTTATTCACCCCTTTGTCCATCATGTCGACACTGTAGACACCATCTGCCCATTAGCCACTGAGTCGCCATCTAAATTATCACATTGACTGTTGCAATATCACAGTACCTGTGTTTAAGTAATCTTTATTGTACTTAATGGTAGTCCCAGTGCACAAGATTACAGATGCTGGCAATTCATATATGTCAAAGAGAATCAAAATATATGCCAAAGAGTAGCTGATAATCTCTTACTGTGCCTAATTTATAAATTAAACTGCATCATCAGTATGTATGTACAGGAAAAAAAACATAGTATATATAGAGTTGCATACTATCCATGGCTTCCAGCATCCACTGGGGATTTTGAAATGTATCCCTCTCAGATAAGGGGGAATTATGGTATTCAGCCTACACATTATTCTATCTCTTAGTCACCTTGAACTTGAATTGCTATAATAGTGTTATTTAACTGAAGTTGCTGTCTACAATTTCTTCTTCTTTAAACCACTTTGTTTATCTGAAGGCTGCCTTGCTTAGGTTAATTGCCTATTCTCAAATATATTATAGCTCAAATATCCACTGACTACCTGAATTTTTTTTCCTATTTTTAAAATTCTAGATTTCACCCTCCTGATCCAACAAATTTCTTTCGGCATCAATGCACATTCTTTAATCAGACAATGTCTTCACTATCCAATTAATATATAATGACCATTCCTAATGCTGTTTCTTTGCTTACATAAATTATTCTCCTTTAAAAACATTTTTCCCCTGATTTGGCTATCTAAATTACTTACTTTCAGAAAAATTAATGGAAATACCCACATTTCCAAAGGAAAAAAAATAGGCAAAAATGTCATAAGAAAACTCATAAAATGCTTAATTGACATGTAAAATTGTTCCATAGAACCCACAATCAATATGAAAATTTAAAAAGAACATAAAATCTATTTCTATAATCACTTTATATACCTAAGATTTCATTTGTTGCAGTGAAATAATCATTTCCACACATCAACATTCATTTTCTCCATTACATCACTTTAGTAATTAAAAAGTTGTCATAATCTCTTTCGTGCCTGAATTTATTGTACTTATCCAGGCTAATTAATACCCTGATTTTGACTTCTTTGGGCTTTTTCATGATTTAAACTTTTTATACCTGTTATGATATAATAAATTAGTACAATCCTAGAAATTCCTTCAGCTATTAAGAAAAAGCAGTATCTGTATAATGTTAGAACAGGAAAGCTGACTATTTGACAGTAATTCTCATTTGGTCTTCAAGGCCATTACATGTCCGACAAAATATGGAAAAATTTCATATTGTACCATGTTTAGTCTTTCATTTTATACCATAATTTAGTTTCTTTTGTACAGAAACTAACTTATATATTCATTTCTCTACATGGAATTTAAATAATGGTAGAAGCATATTCAATAAGTAATACTTATAAATTAAACTAAAAGGGTAAACTTCTTTCCTCCCAAAGCAAAGTATAATTAAAATTATAGCTTACTTGCCACAAATTTAAGAAATCAAATGTATTTGCATATGAGATAATCACATATTTTATTCATAGATATACAGTTGTACATGATATATATTTTTCCCACTCATCTCTTTTCTAACAACATAGTTAAATCGAAATTATTAAGGAAAACTAGATTATTTGAAATGGAAATACATTTTAACATATACAGTGAAAATTCTAAGTATGATTAAAGGGGCTAAGAAGAAATCTTTGAATCATACCCTGCATGATGCCAAATAAGCAGACAAATTTCAAGCCCTTCATTGGCCACTCCTTTTTTTTTAAATTATTTTTAATATTTTCTCTTTTTTAAAAATTTTACTTTAAGTTCTGGGATACTTGTGCAGAACATGCAGGTTTGTTACATAGATATACATGTGTCATGGTGGTTTGCTTCACCCATCAACCTGTCATCTAGGTTTTAAGCCCCTCGTGCATTAAGTATTTGTCCTAATACTCTCCCTCCCCTTGTCCCCCACCCCCCACAGGACCCAGTGTGTGATGTTCCACTCCCTGGGTCCATGTGCTTTCATTGTTCAGTTCCCACTTGTGAGTGAGAACATGTGGTGTTTGGTTTTCTGTTCCTGTGTTAGTTGGCAGAGAATGATGGCTTCCAGCTTCATTCATGTCCCTGCAAAGGACAAGAACTCATTCTTTTTTATGGCTGCATAGTATTCTATGGTATATATGTGTCACCTTTTCTTTATCCAGTCTATAATTGATGGGCATTTGGGTTGGTTCCAAGTCTTTGCTATTGTAAATAATGCTGCAATAAACATATGTGTGCATGTGCCCTTATAGCAGAATGATTTATAATCCTTTGCGTATATACGGAGTAATGGAATTGCTGGGTCAAATGGCATTTCTGGTTTTGGATCCTAGAGGAATCGCCACATTGTCTTCCATAATGATTGAACTAATTTACATTCCTACCCACAGTGTGAAAGCATTCCTATTTCTCCACAGCCTTGCCAGCATCTATTGTTTCCTGACTTTTTAATAATCGCTATTCTAACTAGAGTGAGATGGTATCTCATTGTGATTTTGATTTGCATTTCTCTAATGACCAGTGATGATGAGCTTTTTTCCATATGTTAGCGAGCCGCATAAATGTCTTCTTCTGAGAAGTGTCTGTTCCTATTCTTTACCCACTTTTGGATGGGGGTGTTTGTTTTTTTCTTGTAAATTTGTTTAAGTTCCTTTTAGATTCTCGATATTAGACCTTGGAAGATTGGTATCTTGCAAAAATGTTCTCCCATTCTGTAGGTTGCCTGTTCACTCTGATGATAGTTTCTTCTGCTGTGCAGAAGCTCTTTAGTTTGATTAGATCTCGTTTCTCAATTTTAGCTTTAGTTGCAATTGCTTTTGGTGTTTTAGTCATGAAGTCTTTGCCAATGCCTATGTCCTGAATGGTATTGGTGATTCCTTTTTTTTTTTTTTTTTTTTGAGATGTAGTCTCACTCTATTGCTCAGGCTGGAGTGCAGTGGCGTGATCTCAGCTCACTGCAAACTCCGTCTCCCGGGTTCACGCCATTCTCATGCCTAAGCCTCCCTAATAGCTGGGACTACAGGCACCCGCCACCGCACCGGGCTAATTTTTTGTATTTTCAGTAGAGATGAAGTTTCACAGTGTTAGCTAGGGTAATCTCAATCTCCTGACCTCATGATCCACCCGTCTCGTCCTCCCAAAGTGCTGGGATTACAGGCGTGAGCCACCGCACCCGGCTGGTGATTCCTTTTAAAAATCAGCCAAAATTGTTTTATGGCAAGCTCTCATGTTCACACAAGTTCTCATGTTTTCACCTTGCTTCACTGGCTGCTATAAACAGAGATGCTAAAGTTGTATAGCAGTCTTTTTTTTTTCCCTGTTTGCTCATCCAGAAATGTTTTCTTCTGTCATTATAACAATCAAATATTCTCATGAAATATAGGATAAAAATACACATTTAAGTATCACTTAATGCTTTTGTTACACTGAGACTTAATTGTTTTACTAAGACCTGCTTGTATTAATTCTACAAAACGAAATATAAATATTTAAAGACATACTTTTAAATATAAGATGGATACATAAAATACTTCTACCTTATATGATTCAATTGTAATTATCTTCTCCTTTAAAAATTAATTCAACACATAAAAAATTTTAATTCATTCATTTTTATATACAACCTAAATATTCACTGAAGATATTTGTGATTTCTTTCCTCTTATGTCTGATTATATTAAATTTCATTATTCTTTTATATGGAAGACATATTTTAGGACTTAATGATGTCACAAAGAGTAGCTAAACATTGTAAATTAAGAATTACAATGCTGTAGAAACAATCATACTACTCTTGAAAATACTTGATCCCATGCAACACTGATTACCTCCTCATATGAAGTCCTGTTACCATGTCTAGAGACTGCGAGTCATGAACATAGCACTTTTAAATTACACTTATGTTAAAATGGCTTTTTTAAAAGGTCTTGTCTAACTTAACACTTATATAATCCTCTTTTTGGTCTCTGTCAGACTCTCTTTGCCTTTGGTATTTGTGTTTTCACTTAGTCTGAAATCTTCTTTATAGTGTCTATTTGCTCTTTTCAAATCCCCTTTCACATTCTTTTTTTTCTGTTCACCATTTAGTATTATTCTTTTCAGAGTTACATTCTTTGTTTTATTCTCTTCCTGTTGTAGAGTCAATGGACGGCAATTCTCCATACGCCTATGAATTATGTTGTTACTCTAGCCCAGTAGTTCTCAACCAGGGATGATTTTGTTCCTCTACTGAAGAGACATTTGGAAATGTCTGCAGACATTTTTGGTTGTCACAACAGGAAGGGAGGATGCTATTGCCATTTAGTGAGCTGAAGGCAGAAATGCTGCTAAACATTCTATAATGTACAAGACATCCACCCCACCAAAAAGAGTTGTCTTTTCTTAACACATATCTCTATCTTGTTTATTATATTATTTGCACACTTCTGAACTCATCCCTTCTTTTATTCATTTTACCTTAGACTTTGATCTCATATCAGAAAAAATAGTTTGCAACCACTCTTTTATATAAATTTTATACCCCAGAAGGACACTGAAAAAGCTGCTATCAAACTCTTATCCCAAAAATTCCAGTGAAAAGAAATAATATCCTAGCTCTCTTGACGCTGACCGGTCAACTTAACCTTCAGAATGGGTAGCATATATGAAGCCAATAGCTCCTTGAAAAATATATGGATGTAGAGGACAAGTTGAAGGGGAAGAAAAATGTTCTTGAAGAAAAAAATTGCTATTTTTTAATGATCTCTTTTTAGGCAGAAGGCACTATGGTTTTAAAATTAAAATACTCCAAACCTTCCTATTTAAAGTTTTGTTCTATTAATGAAGAGAGAGAGAGAACAATAAGATGTGTACTGTCTTCATTTCTTCCACTAAATTATTACGCTTTTAAAATTATCCTCTCTCATGATGGTGATAGAATCTACCAAATTAGAGTAGTATTTAGGTTTAATTCAATACCAGATCAATTTCACACATTCTACGTGTTAGAGGCACTCTAAGGATTGGAGTGAAATAAGAAAGATGACTGTGGATCCTTCAATTTGTCATATTTGATAATAAGAGTTTTCCTAATGTGATTCTGATTACTAAAATTTGATGTGCAGTAGGTTGATATAATACGTTGTTTGGCAGGATCTATCTTCTTAAGAATCTGAACCAGTGACCTTTCTCTATGCAGTCTCAAGTAGGCATGCAACCTACTGAAGAACCACACTCTACAAACCTTCAGGTTGTAGTCAGATTGTTTCCCTAAAGTGCTAAGTTATCATTCAGTGGGGGTATTTGCCATTGTTCCTTTTCTGCCATTTCTTGTTGGCAAATTGTATCCCATGCTGCTTGATGCATTTTCTCTAGTTTTTCCAGGGTCAGAGATTTTAAGGGTACACAGTTTGGGTGTACACAGCACCATTGTGGTTACATCTTCCACAGACAACTGCCCTTGTTGTGGAAGAACTTCACTTCCACCACATCTAAATTGTTTTAGGAGTCTTCCTCTAGTGTTATCCTTCCCCAGGGATTTGAGTAGAATATTGTCCTGGAGTCATTCTGTTTATAAAATCACAAGCATTCACTGGCATATGTTAGTGTCTTTTATTTCTAGTACATTATTTTACTCCCTGAAATAAGGAACAAAAGATCATTCAATGATACCTTGTCCCACTTCAAAAATTGTTTCTATTAGTTCTCTCATGCTGATTAAAGACAATTCAGAGGGAGACATGATAAGGAAAATTTTAGAATTATTATTATGAATAATAAAGGATCCAAAAATATTAATAGCTCCTTGGCTTTTTCCTGAAATGTATGAGTATATAAGCTTTGAAAGACGTGTCTTAGAAATGGTAACATCCTAAAAATAAAAGTTTAGTATAATTATCTTTTAATATGTCTTTTGCTAGATTTAACTTATTTAACAGTTAAGGCTACTATGAAATATTTGTTCAGATTTATTAAATTTATAAGTATTATAGTTTTTTCATGGTTTTATGAAAATATCAATTCTGTGACCTGTATTTCAACAGCCTAATTAATGGGGGAGGTTTTAAGAAATCACATCACGTGTATTTTGAAAATTTAAGTCATGGAAAAACAACTCAAGTATCCTATATAACGTTTATGCATTTTGTTTCTTTTTTTTTGCACTGCCCAGAAGATATGTTTGGCATATCTTGAAGAAGCAGAAACATCACTGAATATCCATCAGGTAAAGCAATTTTTTATCCTATTAGGAAGTCTATCAAAGACATGAAAAGACAGGAAAAATAATTTTAAGTTGAGGAGAAAATGTACATGGTGTTACCATCTGCTTTGAAAGAAAGCCAGATAAATAAGACTGAAAATCCATTTGATGGAGATACCCTGTAAGAAACTGGAATAATGAAATTTTATTTTTTTAAAGACAAAACTCAGAGATGCTTAAGAAAATTGGAAAATGCCAAGCAGACTGGCAGCAAACAAGACAGACATATTGTCTGTGTTAAAAACAGAGCCTTACAGTGATAAACAGAGTTCTTCAACTAAATTTGCTTAAAATGTGATGCATGGGATCCATAAATTAGTCTTTATTACTCATTATAAAGAGTATAGCTACATATTTTGAATCAATAATCATTTCAAAGAATACTGTTTCTAGTTAAATAAAAATAAGCGTTCTGTTTTTCACAAATAGTACTTTAATGCAGGTAGTTTATTTCTGTCACGTTGTAATAGTCTTACTCTATTTTTGATATTTGATTTCTGACAGATTGCAAGCCCTGCTATTCCTCCTTCCCTTCTCCTCAACATTTAGGTAAACTGGTAAGAGATCCCAGGTGTTCCCTCCTTGGGCACTAGTGAGCAATTAAAATCATGTAAGACCCTGCCCACATGGCAACCCTCAGGTGAGCCCTACTTTCTGACCATAATAAAAACCAAATCCAGTTGCCTTTCCTCCTCTTTTTGGACTGCTTGAGAGCCTGCTCTGCCCTCCCCAGAAAGCCTCATCTACGAGAAGTAAATTTACTCACACCTGCTTGATGCACATGTGATGTCATCAGTTGTGACATTTAAATCAAATTTTGGGAGGTGGAACAGGGGTTCATCTCCCCTTTGAAGGGTGACAATAACACACTTCAATAGATGAATATATGTGTAAGATAATTTACATAAAGTTTATATGGTAGAAGATATAGATTGTGGAAAATATTTTTGTGTAATTTAGCTCACACATGTGAATCTAATAAAACATTTTATTTTAGTTTTAATATGCCATTAAGTTAGTTCTTCCCTAGATGAAATAGTAAAAAGCACCACTCTCCCAGTAGTTTTATTTTCAATTTTGTAAGTAGATATTAAAACAGGAATGAAAATTTAGTGTTTAAATGAAATTTTTAGCTAGCAAAGTTTGCAGCCACAGTGATTTGTGGAAGATAAATTATGAATGCCTCCTGAAGACACAAAATCTACATATTAAGAATAAGTACATTTGGGGAAAAAGAAAAATTCAATCACTATTTTTTTACCTTGGTATTACTATTCAATCTTAATTTTGACAAATATTTACAGGTTATAGGATTGATAAGTGTTAATACAAAAGAAAGTATATTATTTTTGTTTAACATTGTGTTAATCATATGTTTCTACCTGCCTATGTAGATGTTGATTAGTAGCTGACTAGGGTGGAAATTAATATAATAAATTAATAGTAATTCACAATTATATTTAAATTCAAATTTATTGCATAACATGGAAATTTAAATTATTCTAACACATGAATAAGGCATTATTGAATATATGTATGTATATATGCATTATATATACAATGTAACATCAAATTATATATGTGTATGCTTCATATCAAGTTTAGAATGGTTACTGGTATATGTGTATGTGTGTGTATATATATATATCTGTGTGTATATATACAATCTGTCTGTGTGTATAAATATATCTGCATGGTTAAATAATGTGTACAATATATGCTTAGTTTTGCACATAAATTTATTCTCTTTTATGTATTAATTTGAGGACATCTAGAACATATTTATTATTTCAGGATAGTATGAATTATTAATTTGTACCATTGAGATTATTCTCAAAATGTTAATTGTGCATGTGTGATATTTATATTATTTGGTCATTCTTACTTCGAGATAAGGACATTTTTAACTAAAAAAATATTTAAATGATTCAATAATAGAAAATGCCTTCTGAAATATATGAACTCTTAATGTGTTTCTTCTCTCTTAGTGAAAATCTAAAAATATGAAAACTAAGTCTTCAGAGCGGCAGCAATGAATCAAACCTATTACTGAGACTTTAAGCCTCTCCAGCTGCATGTGAAGGAGGTGTGAAAAAATGAAAGTTCAATAATCTAAAAAAAAGTAGTGCCTTTCCGCACTTTGTGGGATGGTGGTGATTGTGGAGCACACAAAGTAGTATTCACTCAGTGGGTGATTTTTGCAGTAGCAGTCTGATCTAAGTCTAAATCTCAATCCAAAATTAAAACTCAAGATGTGTTTCATTGCTTCTGAGCCAACATTTTTCTGAACTGTATTCTCTAGCTAAGCTCTTCTATGTCTCTGATCATCTTGTGATTTTACCTTATTTCAAGTGAAAGTCTTTAGAACATCCCTTTTGAAAAAAAATGTGCAATTTTAAAACACACCTGCCTGGATGATTGCTTCTTATTTTCATTACCTCATTTGGAAAATCATAAATTGTCTCTTATATAAGATGGAATAGTAAAATGGAGTGGAAAATGTCTCCAGAATTTCATGTTTCTTACTGTGTTATCCTGGGAGATCCTCAATTTACAGAATATAGCTACAAGGATTTTTCAGTCTTTTAACTTGTGGTGTTCAAAATGATAAATTATGATAAATATGAAGAGTTAAATTTTCTTTTGGTGGAAAGATAAAAATTGATTGCAACCTTGTTTTTCTTTCATATGGTTTTGTTATTACACTCAAATAATAAGTTAATAAAATGTACTGATAGTGTTTCAAATAAACTTTGATGAAAATCATGATTTCACATACACTGAAAAAGCTATTTGTAATTGCTAATGTAACAGAGTACATAATGAAATTAAGTAACTAGTTTGTTATGAGCCCTTTGTACTTAAAGCTCTGTCTAACAGAGCTTTGCTTCAACAAAATAGCATCAGATCTCCAGGTTTACCGACAAAATTGTCTTAATGTAAAATTACTGAGCATAAAGATAACCTCATATAGCAAGGAAAAAAACTTATGTAAATAACCACTCAGATGACAAGTGCTAAATAAAATGTCCAAAGTGTTTATTTGTAAGTTGAAAATTTCTATCAGAAGGGCATCCTTTGTTTTGTCCTACTTGTCTGTCCACTGATTCCCAATCTCACTGATATTTTCTCTAATGGAAAAATAGAGAAACTACTGCCCACACACTAAATTTTCTATGTGTGTGTGTTTATGTGTATAATATGTGATCAAGAAAAGTCATGATAAAGTAGGAAGTATGGATTTTCACATCTGAAGAACACTGGATTTTAGTATCTCATCTACTTGCAAAGTGATCTATAAACTGTAATTCTACTGAGGCACTAATAAGACATTGCTTAAATGCTTAAATAACACCTAGGTAGATAACATATGCATAGCATCTGCCACAAAACAGGTACAAGATAAAATTTCCAAAATGGCTGGAAATTTAAACACAAATTTGTCATGTAAGCTTGAAAAATATTTTTGTACTATGGTTTTGTTCAGAAAACAAAGTTGAAAAAAATGAAAAACACAGTAAATAAAAATATATTTAATTTTTTTAATATTTAAAAATATATTGACTTTTTTAAACTCAATAAGAAATAAATAAGTCCTCGAATTAAAAGGCAGACATAGGAATTAAATAGACATGATCTCCTAATAGATTCAGATACAGATAATTTGATCAAATCAAATACCCTTTAATGATAAAGAAATAGGAAACTACGAAGCTAGGAAATGAAGAGAATGTTCTAACCACTGAAAAGGCATCTATGTAATGCTAACTAACTTATTGATGAAAGCCTGAAATTTTCCTCTCTAAATCAGAAACAAGGCAAGAATGTCCACTCTTTAATTTATTTTTAATATTTTAATGGATGCTTTACCCAGGACAGTTGAACAAAACAAATAAACGAAATATAATCCAGTAAAAGAGGAATAAGTAAAAGCATCTTCATTTGCAGACAACATAATTTTGTATAGAGAAAATAGTAAAAAATCCACATAAACACTAAAAAATTCAAACAAGTTCAATGAGGTTGCAGGTTGTAAGATTAATGGACAAAACTTAATTGTATTTCTAGGCACTAACAGTGAACCACTGAATATGAAATTAAGAAAACAATTACATTTTCATGGCTTCAAAAAGAATAAAATACCTAAGAATAAATTCACCCCAAAAACACAACTCTTGTACACTAAAAACTACCAACATTGATGAAAGAAAATAAACTTAAATCAATGGCAAAATGTCACATGTTCCTGAATTTTTAAATGTAATGTTGTAAGATGGCAATATACTTTAAATTGACCTACAGATTCAGCACAATTTCTAACAAAATCCAAGCTGTCTTTTTTGCATAAATTGACAAAATGTTTCTAAACGTCATTTGGAAATGCAAATGATACAGAATGTACAAAACATCTTGAGAAAAAAATACAAAGTTGGGAAACATAACTTGTTTTCAAAACTTGCTAAAAAGTTACAGTAATCAAGAATATGTAGTAATGGAATAAGGTTAGAAATATACATCGATGTATAGGTCTTGAGAATTGAGAGTCAAGAAAATAACCCATTTATTGAGAGTCAGTTATTTCTCTACAGAGGTGCCTATACTATTCAATAGAGAAAAATTGTCTTTCAACAAGTATTATTCTGACGCTTAAATGGGCCACCTATTACACACCATATATCACAATTAATTGAAGATTAATTATCTAAATGAGAGCTAAACTCATGAATAGAAGAAAAAAATAACTACACATTTTGTGATGTTGAATATGCAACATTTTAACATATGATTATGATACATATGGCACAGCAATTAAGATAAAATGAAGTTGACTTATCAAAATGAAAAAAACTTCAAAAGACACTATCAAGACAGTGAAAAGATGACTCACAGGATGCATGAAAATATTTGAAAATGATAAATCTGGTAAAGGTAAGGCTATATCATCCAGAATATGTTTAAAATTTTTAAAACTCGATAAGGACTAGACAAGCCACTGAATTGAAAGATAGACATAGGAATTGAATAGACATTTTTTCCAAAGAAGATTTACAAATTACCAATAAGCACATGGAAAGATGCTCAACATCTTTAGTCATTCAGGAAAGATCATTTAAAATCACAGCAAAATATCACATAACATCTACTAGAATAAATAAAATTAGAAAATACAGCCAATTACAAGTATTAGCAAGAATATGGAAAAATTGGAACACTCATATATTGCTGGTAGGAATATAAAATGGTATAATTGCTTTGGAAAAGAGTTCCTCAAAAGTCAAATATAGAGTTGCCAAAAGACCCAGAAATTTGACAAAGTAATTGAAAATATGTTTCCACAAATAATCATTTACATAAATTTTCATGGAAGCATTTTCATATTAGCTATACAGTGGAAAAAAAATTGTTTATCAATAGATCCATAGATAAGCAAAATGTGGTCTATCTATACAATGAAATATTTGTCTATAAACAGGAATAAAGTATTCATTGGTGCTTCAACAAGGATGAGACTTGAAAACATATGATGAGTGAAAGAAGCCAGACACAAAAGGATACATCTTATATGAATCCAGTTATACAGAATTTCCAGAAGAGGCAAATGAATAGGATAAAAGTTGAATAGTAATTTTCAGGGGTAGGGGAAAAGAGCAAATGGGAAGTGACTGCTAAAGAATATGATATTTATTATTGGATGATAATATTTTGAAATTAGAATATTTTTGTTATTGAAATAACAATAAATAGCATGTTTAAAGCTCTGATGGAAAAGGTAGATTACAAGCATGATTACAAGACAAATATCAGCAGAGAGATGTAAATCATAAGAGCGAATTGAATGCTCATTTTACAAATAATGCCATCACACACAGCAAAACAATAACAGATAAAGGATGTCTTTATGGGCCCGTCTGTAACATGACATGGCTGAGAAAGAAATCAGTGAACTTTAGGATAAGTCAGTAAAAATACACAGTCTGAAATGCAAATAGAGCAAAATAAAAAAGAAGTAGGAGAAAGACTAGAAGGCGGAGGAAGGGGAGCAGAGATTCAGGAGTAGGAGGAAGAAGAGGAGGAGGAGAAAGAAGAAAAAGAAAAAGAGGAAGGTAAGGAGGAAGAGAAGGAGAAGGAGAAGAATAAGAAGAGGAGGAGAAAAAAACTGAACACTTAACAGCTGTGAGACAATATCCAAAGTTCTAGCATGCACATTTTTGTAATTGCCTAATATTTTGCCAAAGTCACTATATAGTAAGTGGGCTAGCTGTATTTCATTCAGGATTTCAAACTTCAGACTCAAATTTTATACAATCAAGTGTCAGAGTCAGATTCTTTACAAGGTACTATATTGCATTCCAGAGAAGCATACATACACTGTAGTAGATTGGGTAAATGAGTAATAGCTGTTACAAGGAAATCCCAAATATTAGTCTTTAACGTGACTAAAATCTATACTTTGCCCTAAAACCCAGTCCTTTAAAGCACAGAATGTATTACCGAGAGTTCTCTGACAAGTGATAACTCAGAGACCTGTGTCCTTCCAATTTGCTATTTTTGCATGGCAAGCAAGAACTTGGTGTAAACAAAAGAGATGTTTCTATCCAGAGCTGGAAATTGCATATATGACTTCTGCTTAGATTATATTAAAGAGAACCCAGTCATACAGCCCCAGAATAAAGGCAAGAAACAGGGGAATGAAAATTTCTCGTTTGTTCAGGAGAAAATGTAAATAATGCATATTTAGTATTTGTCTGCTACTATACACATATTATATACATACATATTATGTGGTATATTGATTTTACCATATGATTGCCTTAATAATGCATATAATATTGGATTAATAAAACCTAGATATCATCTTTTTGCCAGGCGTGGTGGCTCATGAATGTAATCCCAGCACTTTGGGAGGCTGAGGTGGGTGGATCACCTGAGGTCAGGAGTCTGAGACCAGCCTGACCAACATGGTGAAACCCCATTTCTACTAAAAATACAAAAAGTAGCCAGTTGTGGTGACGGGCGCCTGTAATCCCAGCTACTCAGGAGGCTGAGGCAGGAGAATCCCTTCAACATGGGAGGCGGAGGTTGCAGTGAGCTGAGATTGCGCCATTGCACCCCAGCCTGGGCGACACAAGAGCGAAACTCTGTCTCAAAAAACAAACAAACAAACAAACAAAACCCTATGTATCATCTTTTGTATTAGTTTTCTATTGTTTCATAACAATTAACACAAATTTAGAAATTCAAAACAAAAGCAATACAGATGTATAATTTCACAATTTATTTGGGTCAAGAGTAGAAGCATAAGCTATGTGGGTCTTTTGCTCTAAATCTTACCAGGATGAACTCAAGGTTTTGGAAATAATTGCAGTCTCATCTGGGGCTTGGAGTTCTCCTCTAAACTTGAAGATTTCTGGCAGAATTTTGTTTTTTGTGGTTGGAGGACTGAGGACTTCAAATCTAAGAGGCTGCCCATTATTCCCTGCCATGTGATCATCTCCAGATATAGAATTATTTTTCTTCAAATCCAACAGAAGTGTAACTTCCTCAGACTGCTTCAAATCCCCTTGACTTCTTCCATCTTGGAGTTCTAGGGCCTCTTAAAACTTCGTTGAACCAATGCTGTCTTTACCACTGGAAACATTCATTAGTGCCATTAAATCTAAACAGATTAGAAAAACACTTCCAGAAAACCCAGAAAATTTAAAATAATACATCCTTAAAAATCTGTTGCTCTGTAATCACTTTTTGTATCAAAATCTTTATCAACTAGGATTCTATAACAGAAACAGTGGAGACTACATATGTAAAGGAATTTGCTGCTAAAGCAACTGTGGATGTTTACTCAGTAATTCTAAATGTGAACTTGCTATTTAGCAAGTTTAAAGTCTGAAATATCATAGCCAGGCTGGATACATGAGCATGGACCAAACTTACTGCAACAAGTGGAAATCAATCTCCTCCTCATGAAAAAAAGTCCAAACTCACTTTTAAGAATTTTCCACTGATGAAATCAAGTATACCCAGGGTGAGCATCTCTAATTTAAAGATAACTGATTGGGAACTTTAATTTCACCTCCAACACCACCACCAAAAAAAAAAAAAATCCCTTTATAGAACACATACACTAGAGTGTTTGAGTAACTGGGAGAATTTAGGCTGTTGAATCCCCTTTGTCCACCAACGCTTACAAGAGAATATCTTTTGTAACCCAACCTATCTAGACACATTAGAAAATGAATTCTGAAGAACACAGTTTAGCTTAGCCAATTTGACAAAGCCATTAGAGTTCACCACTTGTCAATTTGGCATCCATACACATCTCCTTAAATACACATCTGTAAAATAGTACTTAATCTCCAAATATAAATAATAATTATGTCATATCTCCACAAGATACACCTATCTAGCATAAAGTAAAAAAAGCCTTTTTTATAAAGAAAATAATACAGAGTGTCTGGGTGATATTTACTCTTCCCTATTGATATCCAAATCCCTGATCACCCAAGCCATTTGCCATTAGGTCATCTCTCATTTCAGGTAAAAGATGTTAAAAAAATCTAAAAATAAATAAAGTGCACAGATCAAGATTATACACTGGTAGGATTTCCCTTCACCACTCTATGTTAGAACCATAATATAATTTAAGTTTTTTAGGGAATGTGTTGTATTTCTTGAACTACTCTACTCCTTGCAACTATCTGCAAGTTTATTGCTACATGAATGAGAACAATGAAAAAATGTTCTATTTCCAAATTAGATATTGACTCTTTATAAATAGCCACGTTTCTCTTGCCTCACAAGTGTTTCAAATTTAATCTACATACAAAATCTACAGTTTTGAAAGTATTTGGCAGATTGTAACTATAGGCAATGTTCAGGCTGATTAGGTTTCAACTTTGGCAATTGCCATGTGAGTTAATCTTAAAGAAAAAAAGTATTCAGGGGATAAAACAGCTTATTTCTTGATTTCCATTTGTGAGGAGTTACCTTTAACCACTAATATTATCTTTTCCTTTTAATATTATAATGAGGAATCAAGATTGTCAGAAAATTGATTTTGTCCCCAAAGAAAAATAGCATTCCAAGAATAGTTTTTCACAGTCATGGTTTGATTTCTTGAGAAAAAAACAAAAACATAGACTTTTATGCTCAGATTTTCAACAGCTTGTTGTATTACCTTAAATAAGTAAATAAATATATATGTATATGGACTTGTGTGTGTGCACATATGTGCTTACAAAATGTCACCATAGAGCAACTGCACTAAATTGTTTATATTCATCCTGTAGGAACAGTGAAGAGTTAGCGTGGCTAACCTCCGATGGTGTGATCATGCAAGTTCTGGAAAACTACAGTAACTCTTATGAAACTACACTTGTATATAGAAAAATGTTACTTATCTCTAAAAGATTTATTTCCTTTAGGTAGATATAGTTGAGTCAATAACACCGCCTGTATTTATCTAATGAGATACAAACACATTTTTACCAAGAGTATCTGTCATTTGTATTTTCTTTCAAATTCTGTATTATGATTTACATTGTATTCAGAAAATAAAATCAAATTCTAGAGGAACAATAAGCTAAATGATTATGAATATAAGTGTAAATTTACCAGAATAGATTTTGGTTTGCTAGAATATGTCTCTGTATTATAGGTGGAAGTATCAGTATTAATTGGAACATAGCCTCAGTAATGGATATTATTAGCAGAGTTACTTGGTGAAAATTTCACAAAAGACAGTAAACAAATTATAGTAGAATGAAAATAAATCAGTAGTCTTTACATAGTATAATTTTTCCTTCCTATAAAGTAAAATAATAAATTTTAAATTAGGAGTTATTTTAATTTTCTAGCCCTCTATATTTTATGTATATATCTCATTTTCATTTTAATGAAAGCTATTTGCAAATTTTTAAGATGAAATATGGAAGAAAAGAGTATTTAGATGATCACTTAAAGAAATTTAAATATGTTGACATCACTGCTGTTTTAATGAAAAATAAAAGATTATATATATGTATTACTATTTTATAATAGTGCATATATATTATATATGCACTATTTTGTACAAGTGATTTTTAATTTTAGAAATCACTAGCATTTACAAAACAAAAAGTATATTACATGTTTTATACTTAACATTATTTTTCAAATAATTATTTGGAGGATGAGAATCACGATAGTTGTGATTTGTTCTGATTATTAACAATTTGTTAACCTGATTAACAATTATTAACAATTAATCTGTCTGTATCATTATTTTACATACATCAAAAGCAGAGTCTTCAACTCTTCTACTCACAATAATAAATATATATCTTCTAAAAAAGAAATAAGACTTGGAACGAACCCGAATGTCCAACAATGATAGGCTGCACCGCATGTTCTCACTCATAGGTGGGAATTGAACAATGAGAACACATGGACACAGGAAGGGGAACATCACACACCGGGGCCTATTGTGGGGTGGGGGGAAGGGGGGAGGGATAGCATTAGGAGATATACCTAATGTTAAATGAAGAGTTAATGGATGCAGCACACCAACATGGCACATGTATACATATGTAAGAAACCTGCACGTTGTGCACATGTACCCTAAAACTTAAAGTATAATAAAAAAAATAAAATAAAAAGAAATAAGAAATATTTTGCTATTAACTTACAAAAGATGACAGTAATAATTTCTTAACAAATTTTAGGGATTTTTTAAGAAAAAACTGAAAAGCTATTTATTTCTGTGAGCCTCATGTCATCTGTGCTTTAGAATTTCTGATTTACGTAACTTTATTATAAAAGGTACAAGAGTTTTACATAAAAGACAAGAATATAATCCTCTAAAATAATTTTTAAATGCTGAAACATATTTGATTATTAAAGAAGATACAGTGACACGTAGAGAAAAATGGTTGTGTACCAAAAATATAAATATTTCATTTTATCATTAATATTTTAAGTCAGAAGATTATCTATCAAGGGACTTATACCTGTTTCATAACAAACCTTATTATTTTAAAGAGCATATAATTATTTTCTGTAAGTTAATGTTCAAATGAAGCAAAAATAAAGGGTAATTTCCATTTTTATAAAAGAATAGCTTAATTGTGAACTCTGTGACTTTATCCAATGAAGTAATATGTTAAAGAGAAAAGCCCAAATTAAATTTCAGAAACACTTATTGAAAACTTACGGGGCTCTGGCCTCAGGTGATGCTTAAATGAAAAATAGAGAGGCTCTTTCTTCAAGTTAGTTAAAAATGTAATGGAGAGAAGAACATGTAAAAACAAGTGATTATTAAAAAGTATATTAAACATTAAGCTAAATTATAACTGTCATTATTTAGGGACCTGGGGAATAATTTCTTATATCAAAATAATAAAACTTTTCAAAAAATAATTGACATTTTTCTGGATATTAAAAAAGACAAAAAAAGTTATAAGTCTTGCAAGTAAGTTCATAATAACAGAGATAGAATGTAGATTAGCAGTGAGTGCGAAAAGAAGGCCTAGAATTCAGGGGGCCTGAAAGAAAAATTTCCAAAGGATCCATGTCACGATAGGACTTTTAAAATATAGGACATGATTAATAATTGATTTTTTAAGTCTTCAAAAGCTGTATGCTAGACACAACATAAAGATCATGGTTCACATTTGGGATGCACACCAGAGCAAACTGTGCCTAAGATTACTGTGGTGACAACAAAGTCATTATTCTGAAAAATGTAGAGCAAGATGATTAAGAAATATTATAGTATTAATGAAACAAAGTTTAATTAGCTGTGAACATATGAGAGAAGAGCATATAGTTGTGTTTTATCAGTCACAAGTAAAGAATCCGTTCACAAAATTTTTTGTAAGGCCCTTGGAAACAGTTAAAACTACATAACACATTAATATTTTAATGATATTAAAAGACCAAGTGATGAAGGCACCAATAGACAAAGCGGATTAAAACAAAAGTTGTTTTAAATCTTTGATAGGGTGTGTCAGAAGAGTCTGCCAATTTGACAAAATGGGAGGCTGCAGTCTAAATGAGGAAAATGTTTGAATCCATTCATGAAAATTTGACACAAAATAATGAATAACCCAGTCACACAGGATTAAGTAAGATAGTAGAAGTTTTTGTTGTCACAGAGACTCAAAAATATTGTTCATTTAATTTACTAGACTTGGGACAAGTGAAAAATCATTACAACTCTTTAACCCTCAAGGCAGCTCCTTCTCCTCTTCTTCTGACAATCATTAACCTATATAAGTACAGATAAATTAAATTATAAAATGAAAATCAAGAGAATGTATTCGGACTCAACAGAGTCTAAATATCACTAAATAACTTAGTATATGTTCTCTCTCTCTCTCTCTCTCTATATATATATATATATATATACTATTTATATATATTTGTGAGTGTAGCAAATGCTTATTTACATAATTGTAGTAGTTTTGCTGTTGTAATAATTTTATAGTTGTAATATTATTAGTGGTTGTTGTAAAAATATTGTAATAGTTTTGTAATGTGATTAGTTGAGATAGTCTTGTAGTTTTGGAACTATTAATGATATATTTATTGAAGTACTTGTTAGGAAAGATCACTGGAACAGAGGTAATTGGCATACCTTGTCCAATTCACCTTTAAACAAATGAATGTACGTAGCCAAAAATATTTTGTCTAAAACCAAGTATTTCAATGGGAAAATATAGACTATGAAATCAGAACAGTTGATTTTATTAAGTCCTGACTCTACTAGTTTACATGTTTTGTGCTTAGACAATATATCTAGTGTCTCATAGCCTTTGTTTCACCTCAAAACATGGACATGGTGGTGGGGGAAGGGATATGGAATGGAATAACCAATAAAATATTTTACAGTGAAGATTTTTTCTAAAAGATAATATGTGTTAACATACTTTTCAACACTAAAACAGGTCATAAATTTGTTGTAAGCAGGCAAGAGCATGCTGTTAATCATTTCTGTGATGGGTAGGCTATTGGCAAGTATTATGTTCAGTGATTAAGAAACACTTGCCAGTGTTAAATTTCATATATTTCTCATTAGAATCCAGATTTTCAGCTTCTCTTGAAAACTGAAATATCTGACAACACTGACCCAAAACTCTTTGAAGGTAAAAATTGGTAGGAAGTGAGTAACTGTTGCCTTTTAAGCAAGGCATGCTCCCTCTAGTCTCAACTTTGTACATCTCTTTGTGCTCTCCCTGACATGAGGATGTCAGTTGTCAGCATTGTACTTGATAAAATTTGTCCTAGTAGAGTTTAGACATATGTAAAATATTTTTATGCCTAATCACTGCTAAAAGTTTGAAGTCAAGATATAGACTAAAGGGCTAGAGTGTTTTGTATTTCCTTGGGGAAAGTAGAATATCCATGCATGTTTAGTTCATGAAAATGAAGTTTATGTTAAGATAAAAGCTAGACAAAATTAACAAATTTTCATATCTCCATCTATTACCATATTTACATTGCTTCTCTAGTGATTTGAGTCACATATTCTGTTTCAGAAAATACAAATATTAGCTGAAGACTCACTAATGTAGGGATGAAATTATAGAACAGTAAGTTTAGTTGGTATGTCAAGAGATGGTAGGGAAAAAAATGTTGATACATTCAGTTATCATGATTAATTTTCAGTGACATAACCACATCAGTTCCTTCCACTTCAGCATCTCCAAATATTATATTTCCTTTAATTTATACTTTAATGCCAAAATGCCAACATATCCTTTTAAATCCTATGAAATAAAAATTCTACATTAGTATTTTTTTTGTTATTATCCTTGACCAGTCAGACATATTTTATATAACTAAACTTCCACCTCCAAATTATCTAGTTTGGATCAAAACAATTATAAAAAGTTGATGTTGTAATTCTTATCAACTAAACTTTGAAAGAAAATCTCCGTGCATTTTTTATATTGTGATTTTTTTCTGGATGCCTAGTTAAAATTGAATTTACCTTTATGCATATTTTATTTCTCTTTTATTTCCAATTTCTATCTTTCTCACCACTGTGTGATTCATAAAACTAAAAAAAATTTCTTTATTTTCCTATGTATTTTAAAAAATTAATATATACTACTTTAGCAACCATATATTAAAAGATCATATCGTAATAGTTAATGACTTTGATAATAAATATATATAAAAGAATAAGGCTATTGTTCAAAAGACAAGCAAACAATGAAGTACAACATAGTGTTTTCAGATGTAGAATGTAATAACTATAACAACAGTAAACATAATACTCAGCATTCATTAAAATTGTATATGTTACATCATCATGACAATAAAATAAATTGACATCATTATTTAAAACAAGTAACACAGTCTTAAGCATTTATTAAAAATAATTTGTTATACTGATGCTCAGAAGCTCTAATTCACATAAAGCAAAACATTGCTCTTAAATAAATTTACTTATTGATGCTTGTAATGATGTAGTCTACACATAGCTAAAATGTCTAATTAAAGTGTTTTAAGAGTATGATTGTAATAAAATAATGCTTGCTAAATCATAGTTTATTTTTTGAAAAAATATTTTTAATCATTGTTAGAATTGGGACATCTGCATAAACTACTTTATAAAGTCATCTTTTTTAGGATTATGACTATTTAGATTTCCAGTATAAGAAAAAATAGTAACTACAATATAACCACAGAAAAATCCACTGATAAAACCTTTTACATGATAAACATTGCTAGTTTTCACTGATAAATGATATTCTTTTCTTAAGCATTTATATTAGGTATAAGTTTTGTATTTGTTCTTTCCAGCTTATGGAATATGTAAAAGTTTTGCTAGGAAATTATGTGGTATTAGGAAAAGTATTACTTCACCTTCCCATAAACAGGGGAGGTCTAGGAGGAGAAGGGGGAGGTAGAGATTTGATTATTATAAGTGCTTTTCAAAAATTTGTGTAAATGTATGAGTTATATGTGCAATTTTATTACACACGTAGGTTGCGCAGTGCTCAAATCAGGGCTTTCAGGGCATCCGTCATCTAAATAATGTATGTTGTACCCACTAATTTCACATCCTTCTCCCCATTCCTATCCATTCACCCTTCCAAGTTTTCATTATCTATTATCCCACTCTCTACGTCCGTGAGAATACATTTTTTAGCACCCATTAATGAGTGAGAATATGTTACATTAGTCTTTCTGTTCCTGACTTGTTTCACTTAGGATGATGATCTCCAGGTCCACCTGTGTTGCTGTAAAGAACATGATTTCATTCTTTTTTATGGCAGAATAGTCTTACATTGCATGTATATAACACATTTTCTTTATCCATTCACCTGTTGATGGACACTTAGGTTGATTCATTGTGAATAGTGCTGCAATAAACATATAAGTGCAGGTATCTTTCTAATGTAATAGTTATATAAAATATGTCTGACTGGTCAAGGATAATAGCAAAAAAATTATTATATTAGAAAATTTCATTTCCTTTGAGTAAGTACTAATTTATATTCCCATGAACAGTGTATAAGAGTTCCCTTTTCTCCACATTCTCGCCAACATCTGTTATTTTTTTGACTTTTTAATAATAGTCATTCTGACTGGGGTAAGTTAATATTTCATTGTGGTTTTGACTTGCCTTTCTCTGATGATTAGTGATGTTATCCATTTTTTCATATACCTGTTGGCCATTTTCATGTCTTCTTTTGAAAAATGTCTATTCATATCCTGTGCCCAATTTTAATGGAATTATTTATGCTTTTGTTGTTGTTTAGCTGTTTTGAGTTCCTAGTATATTCTGGATATTCATCTCCTGTCAGATGAATAGTGTGCGAATATTTTCTCCCATTCAACAGGTTGTCTCTTCACTCTGTTGATTATTTCTCTAGCCATGAAGAATTTGCTTAGTTTAGTTAAGTCCCATTTGTCTATATTTGTTATTGTTGACTGTGCTTTTGAGGTTTTAGTCATAAATTCTTTTCCTAGACCGCTGTCAAGAAGAGTTTTCCCTATGTTTTTCTGCAGTATTTTTATAGTTTCACATTTTACATTTAAATCTTTAATCCATCTTGAGTTACTTCTTGTTTGAGATATAAGGATCCTATTTCCTTCTTCTGCATATGGCAGTCCGATTTTCCAAAAACCATTTATTGAAGAGAGTGTCCTTTTCCCAGTGCATGTTATTATCTGCTTCGTTGAAGATTAGATGGCTACAACTATGTAGCTTTATTTCTGGGTTCTTTATTCTGTTCATTGATCTTTGTTTGTATTTTTATATCCATACCATGTTATTTTGGTTACTATAGGCTTGTAATGTAAGTTGAATTCAGGTAATGTGATACCTCCAGCTTTATTCTTTTTTTTGTTTAGGACTGCTTTGGCTATTCAGGCTTATTTTGGCTTCATATGAATTTTAGGATTGTTTTCTAATTCTGTGAAAAATAGGTAAGGTATTTTGATAGGGATTGCGCTTATTTTCTGTATAAATTATCCAGGCTCAGGTTTTTTGGTTTTTTTTTTTTTTTTTTTTTTTTTTTTGAGATGGAGTCTCACTCTGTCACCAAGCTGAAGTGCATGATCTTGGCTCACTGCAACATCAGCCTCCTGGGTTCAAGCAACTCTCCTGCCTCAGCCTTCCAGGTAGCTGGGATTACAGGCACATGCCACCATTCCTGGCTAATTTTTTTGTATTTTAGCAGAGACGGGGTTTTACCATGTTGCCCAGGCTGGTCTTGAACTCCTGAGCTAAGGCATTCCACCTGCCTTGGCCTTCCAAAGTCCTAGGATTACAGGCGTGAGCCACCACACCTGGTCAGGTTTTTTTTTTTTTTTTTTCAGTGCGAGAACAAACTAATTCAGAAAATAGCTACCTAGGAGTAGGGCATTGCTATAAAGACACCTGAAAATGTGGAAGCAAATTTGGAACTGGTTAAGGAGCAGAGGTTGGAAGAGTGTGGAGGCCTCAGAAGAAGACAGAAAGATAAAGGAAAGTTTGGAACTTTCTAGAGACTTGTTAAGTTTTTGTGACCAAAATGCTGATAGTGATATGGACAATGAAGTCCAGGCTGAGGAGGTCTCAGATGAAGATGGGGAACTTACTGGAAAGTAGGGCAAAGGTTACTTTTGTTATCTATTAGCAAAGAAATTGGAGGCATTGTGCCCCCGCCTAGGAATCTGGGGAAATTTAAACTTGAGAGTGATGATTTAGGGTACCTGGCAGAGAAAATTTTAAACAACAAAAAGTGTTCAAGAAATGCCCTGGCTGCTTCTAGAGGCCTATTCTCATATTTGTGAGCAAAGAAATGATGTAAAACTTGAACTTATACTTACAAAGGAAGTGGAGCATAAAAGTTTGAAAAATTTGCAGGCTGGCCATGCGGTAGAAAAGAAAAACCCGTTTTCAGGGGAGGGATTTAAGCAGGCTGCAGAAATTTGCAAAACTAAAAGGAAGTCAAGTACTAATAGACAAAATAATGGGGAAAAAACCCTGAAGGCATTTTAGTGACAGCCCCTCCCATCACAGGCTGGAGGCCTAGGAGGGAAGAATGGTTTCCTGGGTTAGGCCCAGGATCCTGTTGCCCTGTGCAGCCTCAGGACACTGCTCCCTGCATCTCTGCCATTCCAGCTCCAGCCATGGCTAAAACGGGCCAAAGTACAGACTGGGCCATTGCTTCAGAAGGTGCAAACTGTAAGCCTTGGCAGTTTCCACATGGGGTTAATCTTGCAGGTGCACAGAGTGTAAGAGTTGAGGCTTGGGATCATTCGCTTAAATTTTAGATGTATGGAAAAGCCTGTATGTACAGACAGAAGCCTGCTCCAGGGACAAAGCCTTCATTGAGAATCTCTACTAGGTCAGTCTTAAGGGAAAATGTGAAGTTAAAGCTTCCACACAGGGTTCCCACTGGAGCACTTCCTATTGGAGCTGTGAGAAGAGTGCCACTGTCTTCCAGACCCCAGAGTGGTAGCTCCACCAACAATTTGTACCATGTGCCTGGAAAAGCTGCAGGCACTCAATGTCAGCCCTTGAGAGCAGCCATGGGAGGTGAACTCTGCAGAGCCACAGGGGCAGAGCTACCCAAAGCCTTAAGAGCCCACTCCTTGCATCAGTGTGGCCTGAATGTGAGACATGGAGTCAAAGTAGATTATTTTGGAGCTTTAAGAGTTAGTGACTGCCCTGCTGGAATCCTGGAGCTCCTCTCTTTTGGCTGATTTTGAAACAGGAGTATCTATGCAATGCCTGTGTTCCTATTGTATTTTGGAAGTAACTAACTTGTTTTTGATTTTTCAGTCTCATAAGCAGAAAGGACTTCCCTTGTCTCAAATTAGACTTTGGACTGTGGACTTTTAAGTTAATGCTGTAATGAATTAAGACTTGGGGGACTGTTGAGAAGGGATGACTATATTTTGCCATGTGACAAGGACATGAGATTTGGGAGTGGCCGGGGGCAGAATGATATGATTTGGATTTGTGTCCCTGCCCAACTCTCATGTTGAATTATAATCCCCAACGTTGGAAGAGGGGCCTGGTGGCAGGTGGTTGGATAATTGGGACAGATTTTCTACTTGCTGTTCTCATGATAGTGAATGAGTTCTCATGAGAGACCTGGTTTTTTAAATGGACATAGCACCTCCCGATTCTCTATCTTACTCCTGCTCCGGCCATGAAAGTTGTGCCTGCTTTTCCTTTGCCTTCTGCCATAATTGTAAGTTCCTGAGGCCTCTCCAGCCATGTTTCTTTTATAACCTGAAGAACCATGAGCCAATTAAACCTCTTTTCTTCATAAATTTCCCAGCCTCAGGCTCAGGTATTTCTTTATAGCAGTGCGAGAATGAACGAACACAGTATACATTTATTGTGTGTGTGTGTGTGTGTGTTTGTGTGTGTGTGTGAATGAAAGAGATTTAGATTCATCTTTAGACCAAAAATTCTAATAAAAATAATTTCAAAATGCTTTCAATTCTACAATTTAAAAAGTCCAGCGATGAATAGTATGCAGTCCAATAGTGATATGGTGGTTTCACTGTGTGTTCAAAGAGTCTGCCTCCTCCTTTTATCAGCATTTCTACACATAGTGTGTCACACTCATGGTTATATTTAAAATAGGTGACTCAAGTTTAGCCACCAGTCATTCAATGGTCATTCCTTTCAATAAGACAGAAGAATCAAAACAGGCATGAATTCTCCCTTTAATGATTTTTCATAAGTTAGTAAAATGACAAAATGGGAAACAATTAGCTTTCTCTGACAAATGTACTTTCATTTATCTGCATGTTTGAGTTATTTATTGAATATATGTTTTCTAAACTTTAAGCATAATTGGGTGTATATATATATATATATATAGTTATCATTTTCTAAGAAAAACCTTAATAAAAAAATCAGTAAAAATTTCCACTATAACAACATGTGGTTGAATATATATCATTTTTAATCTATAAATTTGTAACAGAAATACTTTGTTATGACAGATTCTAGAGTCAATAATATATTTTAAAAGATGTTTTGGAAACTTTTAAAGAAATAAATTGTCAAGAGCTGAGTTGAGCTGGAGCAAATTGAGGTACCATGTGTTGGATTAGTCAATTAAGATGACAAGCCAAAATGAAAATAACAGTCAAGTCTTTAATCACTTACTTCCATAGTAGAAGCAACATGAGAAAGTGCCAGCTCCACCAATGTTCAGGACTAGTGCCAGATGAGAGTCAGGTTTATCACTACAGACGTTGGTGGGGTGGAATGGGGAGACGCCTCACTGCTGAGGCTGCTCTGGACAAAACACTCCGGCCATTTTATGGACCTGGGGGCCAGGGAGAGAGAAAGTAAAATGACTAGTACTGGAAAAAGTACTGAGTACTAAGTCAGAGTAGGGAAAAATGTATTCAAAATCCTCCCCTTCCCCACCATGAAGACATCTTGGTGAGAAGCCTCTGCCAAGGGCCAAGACAATACTGTTTTCAGATGGAGGTATCAAGGCTGGGAATGCAGAATGCAAAGATTATGGTTGGCCTTAGGGACCTGATTCTTTGAGTTCAGAAACTGCAATGCATTGACTGTGCACCAAGTCTCATGTGGGGAGGACAGTGTTCCTAGTGCTCTAACTTTATGTTCTTTATGTGTGTTTACTTTTGTATTAGTCAGCTTGGGCTGCCAAACAAATATCACAGACCCAGTGGTTTAAACAATAAAAATTTGTTCTGGAGGATAAGAAGTCCAAAATTAGGGTGCTGGCAAGGTAGATTTCATTCTGAGGCCAACTCTTGTGGCTTATAGATAGCAGTCATCTCATTTTGTGTTCGTATGACCTCTTCTTTGTGCCTGTGGAGAGAGCAAATCAGCTCTCATGTGTCTCTTTTTGTAATAACCCTAATTTCAGTGGACCTCATTTAACCTTAATTATTTCCATAAAAGCCCCATATCCAAATACAGTCACATTGATGAGTTAGGCCTTCAACATATAAATTTGAGAGGACACAAATATTCAGTCCATAACAATTTATTTTGACTTTAATTGAATAGACTCTCCACAAAGCCAACTGCAAGAAATAAAGAATATAATCAAAATTACATTATAGTCATAATATAAAATATTTTCAGATTTTTAAGAAAAGATAAATGATAATTCATTAGTTGTTTCACTTATAAGATAACAAACAGGAAGTATAATAATCAATAAATAACTGATTTATGTTTACATATTAACTGATAATAGAGGTGAATTTATAGTAGTAGCTATGTGTTTGGTGGTAAAGGGGAACTGAGAAAATTAATAATGTAGGTAAACAAAACTATGAATATTGTGAATCAAAGCTGTAAAATGTGTTTGTGATTTGCTGTGCATTTATGCACATATATATATACATAAGTAGATATAAATATAGATACAAATGTGACTATATACACATATATAGCTATATTGATATAGATATATTCCATGATATTTTCCATTTAAAATTTGAATTTGGTGTAGCATTTACTTTCCTTCTCCTATGCACTTTCTGAATATTTTTGCATACATATGCACCCTTCTTAATAATCATGTACACTTGTTTGGATGCATTATTAAGTTCATATTAAGAAAACAAGGTGCATATTTATAGCATTTTTAATAGCTAAGGTATTTAACACTATAGGAAACTACGTATTAAAGTTATTAAATTGTAGATTCACAATGAGGACATTGGCAGTGATTTTATTAAAGTTATCTTGTGCTAGTGCTAATCTCCTACAATTTATTGTACTTCATTCTGAAATATTCTAGTATTGATGATGTTTCAGAGTATTTTTAGTTTAAGATACAATTTATATTGAGAACACTTATTTCATAATCCTCGAAAAAGAAACATTTAGACCAACATAATTTTTAAATGTTTCTGGACAAGAATGCATGTGTTCGGGTTGTTCTGATTTTAATCCTATATAATGATATAGCTCGGAAAAACCACAAACTGTATATAAGTCTTAGTTTATCATTTCATTAAAATAGAAAAATAATAAGGTTTTAAAATAGAATCTTAATACAATCTACCATGTAAAATATGAGTTTTGTAAAGATCTTAAATTTCTCATGCCCTTCTACGATTCAATACAACTATATTCCATTTATTTTGTATTACATTATTTGTGTGTAATATTAGTTCCCATTTAAAATTTTTATATAAAATAATATTTATTCAATATTCAGGAGGCTGTATGTCTGCCTTTAATTCACACCAATATGGTTATCCATTTCATTTCAGTTCTAATATGGCTCTTACAAATAAAAGGTGTATTTATAGACTATTATACCAAAAAGTATTATTTTATTTATTTCATTCTGTAATGTGCTTGGTGTCTATTTATAACATTGTATTTATCAAAGTATCCTCCCTGATGCACATGTACCAGTTTGTACTCATGGAAGTATTGATGCATATGTCTGTTTTGAAAGTGGAAGCTAAATTGAGAGTACCTAGAGTTGCTCATGCTAAAACCCATTTTCAATTATTTTTAATTCCACAAATATATTATTGTAATTTAATTTAGCTCTCTAATAGCTACCACTTAAAACTGGTTCATAGAAATCTGCTTTTCTATATTTTAGTTACTGAAATAACAACAGAATTAAGTTGATTAATAGAAAATAACTGGCCAAATAGATGGCCAGCTCAAGAAGGGGATTCCAAATCATTAGAATTCAATATTTTGTTGCAGAAAAAATTCTAAAAATCCTAAACGTTTTATATCTTCTGAATGAGAATGTTTGAAATAAAAGTAGCAAACCCATAAAGTTGCAACAACGTTAAAATCTTTGGTGAGCAATGTCATTGAACCTATTACTGAATTCAAGGATGATAAATTGAAACAGTATGAACTAAAAATAAAAAATAAAACCTCAGCTGGAATCACATTCTATATAGTGTTTACTTAACACTAAATAAAACTCTATTTGTTAAATTCACATGAACATTTCCTAGTGGGCATCTCAGTTGTCACATTGTCCCCAAACACCTTCCCTAAGAATTTTTCTATCCCTACAGCAAATAATAAAATGGTGATTCTAGCAAGCTCATTAGCACCGCATGCCATTTGAGTTAATTTTGTTTGCTCATGGTTTTCTTTCGACTAAATAACTAATCAAGTCATGTATTCTTCAAAGACGCAGCCTAGGAGGTATCACAGAAAAGAGCTATTCTTTTTTCCAAATACAAACAAAAGAAAAAAATGTCCAAGAAAAGAAAAAAGAAACTTTGAAGATGGTACTACCAAGTGTGAAATAATGAGAATTCCTAGGCTATGATCATGTTATTTATGATAGTAAATAGAACCTTGATTTACAACAAGATTATATTCTGATAAGCCTGTCATAAGTTAAAAATATTTTAGGTTGAAAATACACTTTAATACATCTAAGCTACCATATATCCTAGTCTACCTCAACTGTGCTCAGAACACTTGCATTAGCCTAGAGTTGGGAAAAATCACCTAATACAAAGACTAGTTTATAATAGAGTGTTGAATTTTTCATATAATTTATTAAATACTGTACTCAGAGTGAAAAGTAGAATAGTTGTATAGGTCAGTGGTCCCCAAAATTTTGGCACCAGGAACCGGTTTCATGGAAGACAATTTTGTGACAGGTTGGTGGGGGGGGGTGGAGAAAATGGTTTAGGAATGACTCATGTGCATTACATTTATTGTGCACTTTATTTCTATTATTATTACATAGTAATATATAAAGAAATAGTTTTACAACTTGCCATAATATAGAATCAGTGGCAGCCCTGAGCTTGTTTTCCTGCAACTAGGCAGTCCCATCTTGGGGTGATGTGAGACAGAGACAGATCATCAAGCATTAGATTTCATTAAGGAGCATGCATCCTAGATCCCTCATATGTACAGTTCACAATAGGGTTCGCACTCCTATGAGAATCTAATGCCACTGCTGATCAGACAGGAGGCAGAGCTCAGGCAGTAATACGATCAATGGGAAGCAACTATAAATACAGATGAAGCTTTGCTCACTTGCTTCTGTGCAGCCCGGTTCCTAACAGGCAATGGACTGATATCGATACTCACCATGTATAGGCACTTACCATTAATATACTGGTACCATGTATAGGTACTCATCATTAATATACACAGCTGAAAGCACACTAGGCCTGAAGAATATTTGAAGCAACAGATTAGAGTTAGTTGCTGGATGATTGGGATGCTACAGTGATAGAGTCATCCATTTCTCTCTCTTCTAATGAGGCTTAAGAATACCTGGTAGAAGATGCTGAGGCATCAACACTTGATGGTTCTTCAAGAAGATAGTCAAGTTTTGTTTGTACATTTTATATTTCCTCTGTTCTTTATATATTTCTTTATACCAAGCAAGTGTATCCTATATCTCCTTATCAGAGTCTGCAAAAGTTTATGCTCTAAATTTTCTTGGTGGTTCGGATATAACTTCTTTCTCTTCCTCAAGTTCTTTATTTCTTTCCTCCTCCAAATTGATCAGCTGCTCTTTGGACAGTTCTTCAGCCTCAGTACCAACAAGCTTATGAATATCCTTTTCATTGATGTCCATTTGTAGCTCTTTCCCAAGCACTACTAACATGATACCGTTTTATCAACAGCAGAATCTTTCTTACTGTCATTGAATGTATTACATGTCTTCAAAATTTTCTTTCAAATAACATTACTGTGTGACCTCATTCTATGTTACAGAAATGTTCCAGATAGCCTTTAGAATCTTTCCCAAACTCAAAATGTGACCAGAATCAGTGATTTTAGCAGCCTGCAAAAATATTCGGTGTACATAGTATGATATGAATACAGCTCTTGCACCTTGGTCCATTGGTCAAATGAGTGTGATTGTGTTCAGTGGCAAATACACAATCTTCATTAGGATACATGTCACCAGTGATGTGCTATGGATGCCCAGAGCATTGTGCAAGATCAGAAGAATCTCAAGAGAGATGTTGTTTTGCCTACAATATTCTCTTGGCTGCAGAGCAAAACAGTTCATAAACCAGTCTTCAGACAAAGCTAATATAACCCAGACTTCCTTGTTATGATAATAATAAATGGGAAGTGTATGCTTACTCTAGGGTTCTTGAATGTTCTAGGGCCCTTCAAGTGATAGCTTAGGAAAGACTTTAATTTGAGCTTGGTTAAATTTCCACCCAAAAACAAAATTCCAGGGTTTTTGAATGCCTTGAATCCTGGCATTGTCTTGGAGTCTTAATGGATGTATGTATGCTCCCGCATGCATTTCCAAAACAAGCTAATTTCATTGACAATAAACATTTGTTCTCGCAAATATTTCTCATCCACAATTCTCCTATGCAGTTATTCCTTAAAAGCTTTGGCACCTTCAGTAATATCATCTGCTGCTTCACCATTGTCCTTTACATTATGAAAATTAAGACACCTTTTGAAGTGTTAGAACCACTCAAGACATGCTATAAATATTTTTATATACATTAGAACATCAGCACACTATTTTAGCATATCAAAAAGACTTCTTGCCTTTGCCTGGATTGTGAGTAGACTAAACAATGTAAACTTGTATATTTTCCATTCATGTAACAAGTAATTTTTCCATATCATCAATCAGTCCAGCTCTTTTGACCCATTTTGATGATTTTACTGCATAACTGATTTTCTTCATATCCTTATGGATGGTCAGGATCATGGATTGCATATGTCTTCATTCATATGCCATGGCCATTCCTGGCTTGTCACCTTAATGCTGGGCTATTATTTTGAGTTTCATCTCCAAAGTAATTGCCTTTCTCTTCTTTTCACCAGAAGCAGGAGACACCAGTGAGCATTTGTAGACACGATGGAATCCAATAACACAAAACCCAATACACGAAAAACATGGGCACCTCAGTCCACAGTAGAGTATTGGTTGTTTACCCTCATGAATCCGTGGCTCACTGGGAGCTGAGGCTCACTGCCACTGTTCTGCATGCCTAAGGCATATCACACTGTATATTATTGGCTGAGGAAAATATCAAAATTCAAAATTTAAGTTTCTACTGCATGTGTGGCACTTTAACATCATTGAAAAGCTGAAAAATCATAAGTCAAGCCATCTGTATTTAATAGGTAGGAAATTAACTATACTTTAGTGAAATTTCTGTCTAAAGTTAATTAATGACCTGTGATTGAAAGTTCTGAAGACAACGTGCTATGGAATAGGTGAAGCTGTCATTGCCATAAACTCGGAAGAAGTCTCACTGAAAGTACTGAAACATGTACATGAAGCTGAGTCCTCAAGCCACTACTCTTCTTATATAATTCGCTCTAAACAAACCATTTTAAAGCAAAACAAATTCAGCTTAATTCTTAGTAATGAGAAACATCATTTTTATTCTTTCCAAGTACATATATAGAATGTCATTTAAAATTCTTGGCCCATAGTCATCATTGCAGGGATTCTTAAAGTAATTGGATAAGAAAATCCAAGCAAAAATTTAAACTGAAGATTTTATTTTTGTACTGCTTGCAGAGAAATGAGCATTGTGAAAATGAATGGAATGCTATGCAATTAAATAATCAGTGCAACACTATTCCACAAATAAAGGAGTGGGTCGATAATTAAAAGTTGCTTATGTTTTCTGTTTGGAACTGAAACTCATTCTCCATTCTATTTTTGGCCAGCTAATTCTCCTTAGGGTTCCATATTCTGAACCAGAGCGAGTTTCTCTATAGAATGAGTGAATTACTGTTCATTTAGTGAGATTTAAAGATTTTTGTCTATTATCCAAAAATGTAAAGTTTCGTCCTTTGTCTTTTCAATACAATTTGTCAGTTTTGTAATTTATATGGAATACATAATGGTGAATGCTATATATATGGTAGCTGTTATCCATTGCTCTCAGTCCAGGAGCCATGCCACATTTAAGCTTTTGATGCTGTGCCAGAAGCAGTGAGAAGTCAAAGGATAAATGTGACTCATATTACTGGAAGTTAGTTTTATCAATGTAAATATAAATGTTTTCTTTTTGTATTAAAATACGAGTATCATATTAAGTCAAAATAATAAAAAGATTACATTTATTAAGGTGAAAGGGGAGAATTTACAAAAATATTGACCCTTTAGTAGAGCATATTAGACTTTAACCCCTACTTTTATCACCATATTAAGTAATTAAATCATATTTAAATTCTTGGCAAAAATGAATTTGCCACCTTTGGCAGAGTCATCCAGGAGAACTTCAATGTAATATCATAAAGGATTGTCAGAATTTGATAAAATAGAAGTTTTTCAGCATAGTTTAAAGGTAAATAGCAAACAAAAACCCATATGCTAAATCCGGCCTACCATGTGCATTTTGTTTAGACAAAATGCAATTTAAATTTTTTGTTTGTTTGTTTTTATTCATTTTATTTTATTTTTATTATACTTTAAGTTCTAGGGTACATGTGCACAACGTGCAGGTTTATTACATATGTATACATGTGCCATGTTGGTGTGCTGCACCCATTAACTCGTCACTTACATTAGATATATCTCCTAATGCTATCCCTCCCCACTCCCCCCACCCCACAACAAGCCCCGGTGTGTGATGTTCCCCTTCCTGTGTCCAAGTGTTCTCATTGTTCAATTCCCACCTATGAGTGAGAACATGCAGTGTTTGGTTTTTCGTCCTTGCGATAGTTTGCCAAGAATGATGGTTTCCAGCTTCATCCATGTCCCTACAAAGGACATGAACTCATCCTTTTTTATAGCTGCATAGTATTCCATGGTGTATATGTGCCACATTTTCTTAATCCAGTCTATCATTGTTGGACATTTGGGTTGGTTCCAAGTCTTTGCTATTGTGAATAGTGCCACAATAAACATACATGTGCTTGTGTCTTTATTGCAGAATGATTTATAATCCTTTGGATATATACCAGTAATGGGATAGCTGGGTCAAATGGTATTTCTAGTTCTAGATCCTTCAGGAATCACCACACTGACTTCAACAATGGTTGAACTAGTTTACAGTCCCACCAACAGTGTAAAAGTGTTCCTATTTCTCCACATCCTCTCCAACACCTGTTGTTTCCTGACTTTTCAATGATCGCCATTCTAACTGGTGTGAGATGGTATCTCATTGTGGTTTTGATTTGCATTTCTCTGATGGCCAGTGATGATGAACATTTTTTCATCTGTCTTTTGGCTGCATAAATGTCTTTTTTTGAGAAGTGTCTGTTCATATCCTTTGCCCACTTTTTGATAGGGTTGTTTGTTTTTTTCTTGTAAATCTGTTTCAGTTCTTTGTGGATTCTGGACATTAGCCCTTTGCCAGATGAATAGATTGCAAAAATTTTCTCCCATTCTGTAGGTTGCCTGTTCATTCTGATGGTAGTTTCTTTTGCTGTGCAGAAGCTCTTCAGTTTAATTAGATCTCATTTGTCAATTCTGGCTTTTGTTGCCATTGCTTTTGGTGTTTTAGACATGAAGTCCTTGCCCATGCCTATGTCCTGAATGGTATTGCCTAGGTTTTCTTCTAGGGTTTTTATGGTTTTAGGTCTAACATTTAAGTCTTTAATCCATCTTGAATTAATTTTTGTATAAGGTGTAAGGAAGGGATCCAGTTTCAGCTTTCTACTTATGGCTAGCCAGTTTTCCCAGCACCATTTATTAAATAGGGAATCTTTCCCCATTTCTTGTTTTTGTCAGGTTTGTCAAAGATCAGATGGTTGTAGATGTGTGGTATTATTTCCGAGGTCTCTGTTCTGTTCCATTGATCTATATCTCTGTTTTGGTACCAGTACCATGCTGTTTTGGTTACTGTAGCCTTATAGTATAGTTTGAAGTCAGGTAGCGTGATGCCTCCAGCTTTGTTCTTTTGGCTTAGGATTGTCTTGGCAATGCGGGCTCTTTTTTGGTTCAATATGAACTTTAAAGTAGTTTTTTCCAATTCTGTGAAGAAAGTCATTGGTAGCTTGATGGGGATGGCATTGAATCTATAAATTACCTTGGGCAGTATGGCCATTTTCACAATATTGATTCTTCCTATCCATGAGCATGGAATGTTCTTCCATTTGTTTGTGTCCTCTTTTATTTCATTGAGCAGTGGTTTGTAGTTCTTCTTGAAGAGGTCTTTCACATCCCTTGTAAGTTGGATTCCTAGGTATTTTATTCTCTTCAAAGCAGTTGTGATTGGGAGTTCACTCATGATTTGGCTCTCTGTTTGTCTGTTATTGGTGTATAAGAATGCTTGTGATTTTTGCACATTGACTTTGTATCCTGAGACTTTGCTGAAGTTGCTTATCAGCTTAAGGAGATTTTGGGGTGAGACGATGGGGTTTTCTTCAACACAGAAATGCCAAACCATAGAATGAAACTACACTGGTTTCTTTAAAGGAGCCATATCAAACATCATATAAATGCAAGCACATTTGGTTTCACAGATTGTGTCACAGTTGCCATTTGTCTGTAGTAAAATTAATAAAACAATCTGAGGAACACTCTTACAAACATTGGATCTTAAAGGGAAGCTCCATTTATAATGGAGTCCAAGTCATCTTCAAGCAACTACCAAATCCAGGTATAAAAGATGGAGGAAGGAAAGGGTGCAAAGATTTTTTTACTAGCCATGCATCAAATGAGAGGAGGGAAAGCGGCTCACAAAATTTAATGATTTCTTGAGATAACAGATAAATGAGGCATGATTAAAATAAGACAATTTGAAATGCCTGTCAAATAAGTCTGGATTTAATTAAAATATGTTTAATTAAATAATTATGCTTAATATATACATTTTGGTACTATGTCCTGACATCAGAAAGGTGTAAGTCAAATTTCAATAGGATAAACTTGAATTTTTTCCTGAGAAGACGAGATTTCATTGGTGAGGCTGTAAGAATAACATTTATTAATGACAGGAAAACCACTTTTTTATGTTTCATAAAATAGTTTTCATAGTTTTCAAAACCTTGCTGAAGGCAAATGAAATTTGAAACAATGTAACTTTTGCTCCTTGCTCCTTTGCAGTAAGTTACAGAAGCTCCTTCACTTTATTAAAGAAAGCAAGAATTGAGAGAAAAATCTTCAAGTGATTTAAAAACTATTTTCTTCTTTCAATGCATGCTGTCTTTCTTTTATCTTCTTTCTGCATACTTCTTTGTCTGTTAGGTTTTTCCTTCTGGGAAGAGATCACTGAATGCTAATGTGTCAGTGTTTGCCTGTTAAAGTTACTGCGTGATGTCCCACGCAACCTACTAGTTCATTAATCAGACTGTTCTGGGAATTTGTATTACAGCTGGGGCCCTTAAGTATAAATGCTAAATGTGTGTATGAGTAGATAGACAGGTCAGGACTGTGATTCCTTATATCTTTTTAAACTTTTTATATTATGCTTACTCTTCTTAGTTTCTTTTCATTAGCATATCTATCCCAAATTAACATGTTCTCTCAAACAAAATATAACTTCAATAATAAAATTTTTCCAATAATATAATTTTCAAATGAGTAGTAGGACTATGAATTATTCTCTCATAAATAGTGTGACTGAGAGATAAATTACCCTGGAGATAGAAAATATGTGAATTTAATCCCTTATGAACCCAGCATACAAACCTCTGTTATTCAGTACATTTTCTGCAGACCTCCTATGTCTAAAGACATAACATTTAAACATTGAAATAAAAGTGTGTGTGTGTGTGTGCATACTTAAAGTGGGGCATCAGAACAAAACTATACAAGTTGTTTCAGTGAAAATGCCCAGTATAAAATCCAGAACCAAATAGAAACATTCTCCCCTTTCAATCTGACTCCTGTTGTCACACAAAAATAGGCTCAGATAGTTAGATAATTCAACATAGCTTCCTCCAGAAAAACTTGGACTCCAGTATTAGCCCTACCTGATAACTATAAAATAAGAATACATTTCCAGAGTTTTATTTCATCACCATACAATGCTTCCCCACAATTAGAAAAAAAATTACTCAAGCAGAAAAGAAGAAAGAAAGAAAGAAAGAAAGAAAGAAAGAAAGAAAGAAAGAAAGAAAGAAAGACACAAAAATAAGAAAAACCACAAAATTAAAATGCCCTGGTTTCATAAAAAAGATTTATTTTATTGCCCTATACTTCTACATCCCCATTTATAGCATTTGCCATATTTAAGAAACAATGACAGGTAAAAATTAGAGTCTAGAGTTAAATATACACAGTGTATAAATGTCTGACATCAAAATTTCTGTTTAATAGAAAATGAAAAATATGAAGCCTTTATAGATTTAAGAATACAAAAGCAAGCACAGAAATGTCCCTGTGTTACTATTTTTATTGTTATTTAAAAATAGCTATGTATTTTTTACAAAAAGAGAAATTCATAATCTAGTGAGGTAAAGTTATAAAACTGATACCACAGAAATAAAAAAAAGATCATTCAAGCCTGCTGTGAACATCTTTATGCACATAAACTAGAAAATCTAGAAGATCTGGATAAATTCCTGGAAATATCTGACCCTCCTAGATTAAACTAGGAAGAAATAGAAACTCTGAACAGACCAATGACAAGCAGTGAGATTGAAATGGTAATTAAAAAGTTACCAACAAAGAAGTCCAGGGCCAGATGGATTCACAGCTGAATTCTGTCAGACATTCAAAGAATAATTGGTACCAATCCTTTGACACTATTCCAAAAGTTAGAGAAAGATGGACTCCTCCCTAAATCATTCTAAGAAGCCAGTATCACCCTAATACCAAAACCAAGAAAGGACATAACAACTTAAAGGAAACTACATACCAATACCCCTGATGAATATAGATGCAAAAATCTTCAACAAAATACTAGCTAACCAAATCCAACAGCATATCAAAAAAGATAATATACCATGACCATGTGGATTTCATACCAAGGATGAAGGGATGGTTTAACATTTGCAAGTCAATAAATGTGATACACCACATAAACAGAATTTTTGAAAATCACATGATAATCTCAAGAGACACAGAAAAAGCATTTGACAAAATTCAGCATCCCTGTATGATTAAACCCCTCAGCAAAACTGGCATAGAAGAGATATACCTTAAGGTAATAAAAGCCATCAATGATAGACCCACAGCCAACATTATACTGAATGTGGAAATGTTGAAATTATCCCCCCTGAGAACTGAAACAAGAGAAGAATGCTGACTTTCACCTCTTCTATTTAACATAGTGCTGAAAGTCTTAGCAAGAGCGGACAAAAGAAACAAATAAAGGGCATCTAAATCAGTAAAGAGGGAGTCAAATTATGACTGTTTTCTGGTGATATGATCATATATCTAGAAAACCCCAAAGACTCACCCAAAAAGCTCTCAGAACTGGTAAATGAATCCAACAAAGTTTCAGGATAAAAAATTAATGTACATAAATCAGTAGCCCTGCTACACACCAAGAGCGACCAAGCTGAGAATCAAATCAAGAACTCAATACATTTTACAATAGCTAAAAAATTACTTAGAAATATAATTAACCAAGGAAGTAAAATACCTCTACAAGGAAAACTAAAAACATTGCTGAAAGAAATCATAGATGACACAAACAAATGGAAACACATCCCATGCTTATGGATTGGGATAGTTAATATTGTGAAAATGACCTTACTGTCAAAAGCTGTCTATAAATTCAATGCAATTCCCATAAAAATACTACCATCATTCTTCACAGAACTAGAAAAAACAATCTTAAAATTCATATGGTGCCTAAAAATATCCTGCATAGCCAAAGCCAAGTAAGCAAAAAGAACAAATCTGAAGGCATCACATTACCTGACTTCAAACTATACTATGAGGCCATAGTCACCAAAACAGCATGATACTGGTATAAAAACAGGCATATAGACCAATGAAACAGAATAGAGAACCCAGAAATAAGGTTGAATACTTATAGTCAACTGATATTTGACAAAGCAAACAAAAACATAAAGTGAGAAAGGACACCCTATTCAATAAATGGTGCCGGGGTAATTGGCAAGCCACATGTAGAAGAATGAAACTGGATCCTCATCTCTCACCTTACACAAAAATCAATGCAAGATAGATCGAAGACTTAAATCTAAGACATGAAACCATAAAAATTCTAGAAGATAACATTGGAGAAACCCTTCCAGACACTGGCTTAGGCAAAGACTTAATGACCAAGAAACCAAAAGCAAATGCAACAAAAACAAAGATAAATAGATAGGACTTAATTAAACTAAAAAGCTTCTGCACAGCAAAAGAAATAATCAGCAGAGTAAATAGATAACCCACAAAAATGGCAGAAAATCTTCATAATCTGTTAATCTGACAAAGGACTACTATCCAGAGTACAAGGAACTCAAATCAGCGAAAAAACAAACAATGCCATCAAAAAGTTGGCTAAGAACATGAACAGACAATTCTCAAAAGAAGATATACAAAAGGCCAACAAACATATGAAAAATGCTCAGCATCACTAATTATCAGATAAATCCAAATCAAAAACAACGTGATACCAACTTACTCCTGCAAGAATGGACATAATTAAAAGACCAAAAAATAATATATCTAACACTTTTACACTGCTGGTGGGCATGTAAACTAGTACCACTATGGAAAACAGTGTGGAGATGCCTTAAAGAACTAAAAGTAGATCTATCATTGGATCCAGCAATCCCACTCCTAGGTAGATACCCAAGGGAAAAGAAGTTATTACACAAAAAAGTTCTTACACATGCATGTTTACAACTGCACAATTTACAATTGCAAAAATATGGAACCAGCCCAAGTGCCTATCAATTAGCAAATGGATAAAGAAAATTTGATATATATCACATTTTATATGGTACTACATATATATACATATGTGGTGTATGATCTATAGATATATATTTGTGTGTGTGTGTGTATGTGTATGTGTGTGTATATATATATATGTATCTCACATCCCGTGCTTATGGATTGGAATAATTAATATTGTGAAAATGACCTTACTGTCAAAAGCTGTCTATAAATTCAACGCAAAAGCTGTCTATAATTTAAATGTCATATATATATATATATATATATATATATATATATATATATATATATCACAGAATACTACTCAGCCTTAAAAAAGAATGAAATAAGAAATTTGCAGCAATCTGGATGGCATTGGAGACCATTATTCTGAGTGAAGTAACTCATGAATGGAAAACCAAACATTATGTGTTCTCACTCATAAGTGGGAGCTAAGCTATGAGGACAAAAAGGCATAAGAATGATACAATAATCTTTAGGGACTCAGGGAGAAGGGTGAGAGGGGATGAGGGATAAATGACTGCACATTGGGTACAGTGTATACTGCTCAGGTATTGGGTGTACCAAAATCTCAGAAATCACCACTAAAGAATTTACTCATGTAACTAAAAACCACTTGTTCCCCCAAAACATATTGAAATAAAGAAATAGATAAAGTTATAAAAATGTGTCACACTGCTGAATAATATGTTATTTGTTTTGTCTTTTTTATTTATTATTATTTTTCAAATTTTATTTCAATAGCTTTTGGGGTACAGGCCTTTTTTGTTACATGGATGAATGATACAGTGGTGAAACCTGAGACTTTAGTACACCAGCCACCTGAGTAGTGTATATTGTAGTTTCTTATCCCTATTCCCCTTCCAACTCTCCCCCTTCTGATTCTCTAAAGTCCATTATATCATTCTGTATGCCTTTACATACTGAGAGCTTAGCTCCTACTTACAAGTCAGACCATATGTTTTTGTTTTTTTTTGTTTTCCACTGCTGTGTTACTTCACTTAGAATAATGGCCCCCAACTCCATCCAAGTTTCTGCAAAATACATTATTTCATTCTGTTTTATGGCTGAGGAGTATTTCATGGTGTATGTATACCACATTTTCTTTATCCACTCATTAGTCCATGAGCACTTAGGTTGGCTCCACATTTTTGTTAATTGTGCTGCTATAAACATATGTGTGAAAGTGTCTTTTTCAAACAATGATGTCTTTTCTTTTGGGTAGATGCCCAGTAGTGGGGACTGAATCAAAATGTAGATCTACTTTTAGCTCTTTAAGGAATCTCCATATTGTTTTCCATAGAGATTGTACTAATTAACTTTCCTACTAGCAGTGTATAGGTGTTTCCTTTTCCCCACAGCTATACCAACATCTATTGTTCTTTGACTTTTTTTTTCTTCTCTAGCTTACTAGTACTATTTATTTTTTATTTATTTATTTATTTATATTACACTTTAAGTTCTGGGGTGCAAGTGCAGTATGTGCAGGTTTGTTACATAGGTATACACATGCCATGGTAGTTTGCTGCACCCATCAACCCATCACCTAGATTAGGTATTTCTCCTAATGCTATCCCTCCTCTAGCCCCCCACCCTGGGACAGGCCCTGGTGTGTGATGTTCCCCTCCCTGTGTCCATGTATTCTCATTGTTCAACTCCCACTTATGAGTGAGACTTTTTAATTACTGCCATTCTTGAAGGAGTAAGGTGGTATCTTATTGTGGTTTTAGTTTTCATTTCCCTGATGATTAGTGATATTGAGCATTTTTTCATATGTTTGTTGGCTGTTTGTATATCTTCTTTTGAGAAATGTCTATTCATATCATCTGCATACTTTTTGATGGGATTGTTTGTGTTTTTTTTCTTGCTGATTTGTTTGAGTTCCTTGCAGATTCTGTATGCTAGTCTTTTGTTGGATGCATGTTTTGCAAATATGTTCTCCGATTCTGTGGGTTGTCTGTTTACTCTGATGATTATTTCTTTTGCTGTGCAGAAGTTTTCCAGTTTAATTAGGTCTCATTTATTTGCTTTTGTTTTTGCTGCTTTTGGTGGGGGGGTCTTAGCCATGAATTCTTTGTCTAGACTGATATCTAGAACAGTTTTTCCAATGTTGTCTTCTAGACTTCTTGTGGTTTCAGGTCTTATATGTAAGTCTTTGATCCATCTTGAATTGTTTTTTGTATAAATTGAGAGATAGGGATTCAGTTTTATTCTTCTACATGTGGCTTGCCAGTTTTCCCAGAACCATTCATTAAATAGGGTGTCCATCCCCAACTTATGTTTTTGTATGCTTTGTCAAGGATCAGTTGGCTTTAATTCAAAGTATTCGGCTTTTATGTCAAAGTATTTAGCTTTATTTCTGGGTTCTTGATTCTGTTCTATTGGTCTATATGCCTGTTTTTATACTAGTACCATGCTGTTTTTTTAACTATAACCTTGTAGTATAATTTGAAGTCCAATAATGTGATCCCTCCATATTTGTTCTTTCTTTACTTAGGATTTATTAGGCTATTTGGGCTGTTCTTTGGTTCCATATAAATTTTAGGATTTTTTTTTCTAATTCCGTGAAAAACGATGTTGCTATTTTCATGGAAATTACATTGAATTTGTAGATTGCATTGAATTTGTAGATTGCTTTGAGCAATATGGTCATTTTGACAATATTAATTCTTCCAATCAATGAGCTTGGAATCTGGTTCCATTTGTTTTTGTCATCTATGATTTCTTTCAGAAGTATTTTGTAATTCTTCTTGTAGACATCTTTTACTTCAATTTTTTTTTTTTTTTTTTTGCAGCTGATGTTAAGGGGGTTGGGTGCTTGATTTGATTCTTAGCTGCGTTGTTTTTGCCAAATAGCCATGCTATTAATTTGTGCATATTGATTTTGTAATCTGAAACTTTGTTGAGTGTGTTTATCAAATGTAGGAGTCTTTTGGAGGAGTCTAGGACACTCTAAGAATATAATCATATCATTTGCCAACAGTGATATTTTGACTTCCTTTTTTCCATTGTGGTTGCCGTTTATTTCTTTCTTTACCCTAATTGCTCTGGCTAGGACTTCCATAACTATGTTGAATAGGAGTGGTGATAGTGGGCATCCTTGTCTTATTCCTGTTCTTAGGGGAGATGCTTTCAACCTTTCTCATTCAGTGTAATGTTGGTTGTGGGTTTTTCATACATGGCTTTTATTATTTTGAGGTAAGTGCCTTTTATGTCTAGTTTGTTGAGAGTTTTTACCATAAAGCAGTGCTAGATTTTGTCAAATGCTTTTACCGCATCTATTGAGATGATTATATGATTTTTATTTTTAATTCTGTTTATGTGATGTATCACTATTGACTTGCCTATGTTAAATGATCCCTTCATCCCTGTGAATGAACTCACTTGATCATGTTGCATTATCTTTTTGATGAACTATTGGATTCAGTTAGCCAGTATTTTGTTGAGCATTTTTCCATCTATGTTCATCAAGTGTACCCATCTGTATTTTTTTTCTCTGTTATTTCCTGGTTTTGGTATCAGGATGATACTGGTTTCATAGAATGTTTTAGATAGGATTCACTCTTTCTCAATCTTTTGAAATAGTTTCAGCAGAATTGGTACCAATTCTTCTTTGAATGTCTGCTAGAACTCAGCTGTGAATCCATTGCTTTTTTTCTTGGCAATTTTAAAATGACCGATTCAATCTCACTGCTTGTTATTGGTCTGTTCAGGGTTTCTATTTCTTCCTGGCTTAATCTAGGAGGGTTGTGTGTTTCCAGGAATTTACTGATTTCCTCTAGGTTTTCTTGATAGTGCACACAAAGGTGTCCACAATAGTCTCTAATGATCTTTTGTGTTTCTGTGATGTGAGTTGTAATGTCTCCAGTTTCATTTCTAATTGAGCTTATTTGGATTTTCTCTCATCTTTTCTTGGTTAATCTATGTAATGGTCTGTCAATTTTATTATCTTGTCAAATAACTTGCTTTTTGTTTCATTTATCTTTTGTATTTTTTTTCTTTGAATCTCATTCACTTCTACTCTGACATTTTTTATTTCTTTTGTTCTGCTCACTGTGGGTTCAGTTTGTTCTTGTTTCTCTAGTTCCTTAAGGTGTAACATTGAGTTGTCAATTTGCACTCTTTCAGACTTTTAGATGTAGGCATTTAGAACTACAAGCTTTCATTTTAGCACTGCTTTTTATGTATCCCAGAGGTTCTGAGAACTTGTGTCATTATTATCATTCACTTCAAATACTTTTTTAATTTCCATCTTGATTTAATTTTTAACCCAGAAGTTATTCAGGAACCAATTATTTAACTTCCATGTATTTGTATAGTTTTTAGGGTTCCTTTTGGAGTTCATTTCCAGTTTCATTCCTCTGTGGCCTAAGAAGATACTTAATATGATTTCTATTTTCTTAAGTTTATTGAGATTTGCTTTGTGGCCTATCCTATGGTCTGTCTTGGAGAATGTTCCATTTACCAATGAGAAGAATGTATGTTCTGCAGTGCTTGGGCAGAATGTCCTGTAAATATCGAAGTCCATTTGTTCTAGTGCATTGTTGAAGTCCATTGTTTCTGTTTTGACTTTTTGTCCTGATGATCTGTTTAGTGCTGTCAGTGGTATGTTGAAGTCTCCCACTATTATTGTGTTTCTGTCTAGTTCATTTCTTATGTATAGTAGTAATTGTTTTAATTATTTTATATATCTGGGAGCTCCAGTGTTGATGCATAAAAATTTAGATTGTAATATCTTCTTGTTGAATTGATCCTTTATCATTATATAATGACCTTTGTCTTCTTTTTTTTTTTTTTTTTTTTTTTTTTTTTTTTTTTTACTGTTTTTGCTTTGAAATCTGTTTTGTCTGGTATCAGAATAGCTACTCCACATTTTTGGTTTCCATTTGTGTGGAACTTTTTTTTCCACCCACTTACCTTGAGTTTATATGAATCTATTTTTGTTGGGTGAGTTTCTTGAAGACAACAGACATTTGGTGTGTGATTTTTAAATCCATTCTTCCATTCTGTATCTTTTTAAGTTGAACATTTAGGCCAATTATGTTCAATATTAATTTTGAGATGTGAGATACTATTCTTTTCATCATGTTAATTGTTACCTAGGTAGTTAGTTTTTTGTTGCTGTGTTATTGTTTTATAGGTCCTGTGAGTTTTAAGCTTTCAGGAAATTCTATTTTGGTGTGTATTGGGCTTTTGTCTCAAAGTTTAGAACTCCTTTTAGCATTTCTAGTAGTGCTCATTTGGTAGTGACAAATTACCTCAGCAGTTATCTGTCTGAAATGAGTTTATTTATCCTTCATTTATAAAACTTAGTTTTGCTGGATGCAAAATTCTTGGCTGACATTTATCCTGTTTAAGGAGGCTAACAGTAGGACCCCAATCTCTTTTGGCTTGTAATGTTTCTGCTGAGAAGTCTATGGTTAGTCTGATAGGTCTTCCTTTGTAGATTACCTAATGCTTTTGTCTTACTGCTCTTAGAATTCTTTCCTTCATGCTGACTTTAGATAATCTTATGACTATATGCCTTGGTGAAAATCTTCTTGCACCAAATAACCCAGGAATTCTTTGAACTTCTTAGATTTGGATATGTAAGTCTCTAGCCAGGCCAGGGAAGTTTTTCTCAGTTATTCCTTCAAATAAGTTTTCCAGCCTTTTTGTTTTCTCTTATCTCTCGGGAACACCAATTATTCTTAGATTTGGCTGTTTTACATAACCCCGTAATTCTTGGAGACTTTATTTGTTTTGATTCTTTTTTTTTATTTTTGTCTGTTTGAGTTAATTCAAAACACTTTGTCTTTAATCTATGAAAGTTTTTATTTCTACTAGTTTGACTCTATTGCTAATACTTTCCACTGCATTTCATAATTTCATAAATGTGTCTTGTATTCCCAGAAATTCTGATAGTGTTTTTTTTTCCTCACGCACCCCTCTCCTCCCACCATGGTACACAGGAGGGAAAACACAAGGGAGGCTGGCTGGGTGTGGTGGCTGAGGCTTTTAATCCCAGCACTTTGAGAGGCTAAGGGAGACAGATATCCTGAGGTCAGGAGTTTGAGACCATCTTGGCCAACATGGAGAAACCCCATCTCTACTAAAAATACAAAAAAAAAAAAAAATAGCCAGGCCTGGTGGTGGGTGCCTGTAATCCTAGCTACTCCAGAGGCTGAAGCAGGAGAATCGCTTGAACCCAGGAGGCAGATGTTGCAGTGAGCCAAGATCATGCCACTGCACTGCAGCCTGGGTGACAGAGCAAGAATCCGTCTCAAAAAAATTAAAAACATAAGAAAAACAACAATGAAAAAACCATAGGGGAGACATGTGTCATGCTTGATGTCCAAATAGACTCTTCTCCTCCCATGACAGACACAACCTGTGTGAAGGACTGCCCAAAGGGCTATTATGCCAATGAGGACAGCCACCAGTGTGCCCACTGCCCCAGCTCTTGTAGGACATGTGAAGGGAGACACAGCCTGCAGTGTCACTCCTGCAGACTAGGCTGGTTCCAGCTGGGAGAAGACTGCGTGCTCCAGTGCAGGGAAGGGTAAGTGCTCAACACATTTTGTCCCATGTAATTCCACAGCCACCCCAGGTATCAGCCCATTTTAAATTTGAGGAAACTAAGATTCAGAAAACATAGAACCACGCTGAAGTCTCAGTTCTAGTAAGGAGTAAAGATGAACCAATTCATAATAACAGAAGAGAAACAGGAGAAGCAGAGTGACCCAGTGAGTTAACACAAAAGGCTGGTTTTTCTTTATAATATCTATTTCTCTAGACAATTTTTCATTTGTATGCTGAACTGCTTTTAAAAATTTCTTCATGGTGGATTTCACCTTTTCTCTGGTATCTCCTTGAATAGCTTAATAATCAATCTTTTGAATTATTTATCTAATATTTCAAAGATTTCATCTTAGGATGCATTGCTGGAGAGCTAGTGTAATCCTTTGAGGGAGTTATAGAACCCTGTTTTGTCATATTATCAGAGTTACTTTTCTGGTTTCTTCTCATTTGGGTAGACTATTTCTTCTAATTATTCTTGAATTTATGTTTGATTTGACTATTTTTTTAAAAATTTCCTTATTCGTCTTAAGAATATGACTTTTATCCTTATAGTTAATAATATCCTAATTTGGTTCTTGATGCTTTCAGGGATGAAGACTTTATAAGAGTTGCTTGGTTATAAAGAGTCATTATTTGATGGCTTTCTCATATGCTTATTTTAGCAACAATATGCTTTGTGTGTCAGCAAAGTTCACTGTCTCTTATGGGGTTGGAATGATACAGGCCTCTTGAAGCTTATCTCATTCCCCCATGGTGTGCACTTCTTATTTATTTATTTTTCCCCAGTATTTTATTTACTGGTTTGATGGTTTGGGCTTCAGGCCAGTAGGGCATGTGTCCCTGCATAAAAACTGTTTGTGGCTAAAGCAGGTGGGTAAATGCAATACCCATGGATGGCAGAAGTCTCAGCCTTGACAGAGGTGGCTGGAGGAGCTCTCAGTGAGTCACACTGAGTTCTTACTAGGGAGAAGACTTGGAGTCACCCCAGTGACTCCTGCCAGGTCAGCAGGAAAGCTATCCACCTCTCAGATATACTCCAGTCCCAGTGCTCTGGCTATTCAGATGAGACAGGCACTTCTTTTCCTCCATAGGAATGTTGATGTTCCAAATAGAGAGAAACTGTGACTCTATCTCTTGAGCAAGTCTGAACCTAGAGGATGCTATTCCTATGGGGATGTAGTCACCCTGACATGTTCCAGAATGGCTATCTATAGTTGTACCCACACCCACCTCCTGTGGGAGAAGCCCCACTGTACCTGTGGTAATGGATGAGGGAAGAAAGATGCCCCCTTCTCCAAGACGCTTCATATGCACCAGAGCTCTCTGATTGTAGGGGTGAGCTCTAGACTCTCCCTATTGAGCTCAGCACTGCAACTGTGCCTCTGCTGAAAGAAACTTCCCGCCACTGGAGAGATCTAATGCTCAAGGCGTGCTGTCCAGATTATTTTGTCACACAGGGTATTCTTTGATGTGGTGCACTCCCACCCCGTCCCCTAAGAATGGGAGTCCCTGGGAGCCAGACTGCTGTGAGTGTTGTTGTTCCTCTGGGTCTAGCCACTCAGTGAAGCTGCCACACTACAGCCTGGAAGTGGGGAATGTATGCAAAGGATCCAGTAATGTTACCTGTCCTCAAGTCTCCCAGCTGAGGGTAGTAGCACCAGCTCTAATGGGGGTAACAGTGGAGTGATGGGGTCTCTGTGCGATTCCTTGGTTAAAGATAGTCTTAGTGTGTTGACTTTCTTCAGTGCTGGTTATAGTGGTCATCAACTGGTCACATGAAGAGACTCAGGACCTCCTGGTTAGCCAGAGTGGTGTAGGTGAAGGTGATAGCTGAAGTCATTCAGCCATTTTCTACTTCCTGAGTAGTGTTATTCCACCAAGAAGTGTTGAAATGAACTGCATTGGCCGCCCTCCAGACAAGAGGTGGTGCTTGCAGAAGAACACCAGCTGTGATAGTAGCAGTGGGATTTTTACTTACCTTATGTAGTCCAGGATGGGTCCTCTTGTATCTCAGGCGATAGGTGGGGCCATATAGCTCCAAAAAGTTTCTAGTCTTTGTGTTAAGCTACCAGGGCAGGTGGTAAGGCAAAACCAGGTGGGGATTGGGGATTGGCCTGTTTGTGCTCTGACTCTCTGCCTTTAGGGAAAGCAGCAGCTCCTGTGAATGTTGGGGGATGGAGGTGTTTCTCTAGCCATTGGGTTGATGTTCCAGAGGGAAATGTTGCTGCCTCTGCTTCACAGAAGAGTTTGTGCAAGGAGTGGAGAGTAGCAGGCCGCAGCAAGCCCCACACAGATCCCACAATTTTGGCTAGGCAGATCCACTCCCGCAGTGTTCCACTGGCAGCAGCAAACTAAGTTTCAGGCAGCCCATACCCAGAACTTGCAACTGCCCCGGGTCATAAGCTTTTCCTGTGGGCATCCCAACTGTGACTTTCATGCCACACCCCTCCCTGTTCACCAGCAAAGCTGGGTGCCCAGCTCCTCTACTTGCAGCTACAGCCAACTTTTTACCTGTCCTCCACCCACTGGCCCTAGCCAAGGGAGTTCATCCCCACCTGAGGTTATATTGTAGAACACAGTTGAGGGCTTCTTTCAACTTGTGACCACTGGCTGAACTATTTGGCTAACCTCTGCAGGGTTCCCCATGAGGAACAATAAGGAATGGCTTCCCTTGGTCCACACTGTGGATTGGGAGTGTACACAAGGGTGTTCCCACCACTGCTCTTACTTTTATACTCCATGACCTTCCCCAGGTTGGTTCCTGTGCTGGCTGGAGAGAGTTGAGGCCATCGACTCTGGAGGGGTGTGTCCCAGAGGCAGTCTCTTCTGCTCTCACATTCTGGGGACTCAGCCCATTATCTGACTTACAGTAAAGGCTGCACCCTGCTGATTCCTTCAAAAAGTCCCTAGATTCATTTGGTTTTCCTGCTCAGTTATTGTGTCACTTCTTAAAAAAGTTCACAGTGTGAATCTCTACACAGTATTTTGTCCTTCCGAGTGAGGTATGTTAGCAATGCCCCCAATCTGTCATCTTGGAAAAACAAAACAAAACAAAAAGAAACCTATTTTGTCTTTTTTTTGAGTGTTTCTGACAAATATACTCTGAGACTATGTTGTGGATAGATTAAAAATATGTTTTTTTACCTATGTAACAAACCTGTACATTCTGCACATGTACTCCAGAATTCAAAATAAAAATATAAATAATAATAATTAAAAAAAATCTTCCACCATTGTGGAAGATAGTGTGATTCCTCAAAGATCTAGAGGCAGAAATATTGTTCAACCCAGCAATCCCATTACTGAGTAGATAGCCAAAGGAATATGAATTACTCTATTATAGAGACTCATGCATGCATATATTCATTGCAGCACTACTCACAATAGCAAAAACATGGAATCAACCTAAATTCTCATCAATGATAGACTGGATAAAGAAAATGTGGTACATATGTACCATGGAATATCATGCAGCCATTAAAATGAACCAGATCATGTCCTTTGTGGGGACATAGATGGAGCTGAAAACCATTATCCTTAGCGACCTGATGCAGGAACAGAAAGCCAAATACCACACATTCTCACTTATAAGTGGGAGCTAAATGATGAGAACACATGGACATATGGGGGGCAACAATACACACTGGGGCCTGTTGGAGGGTGGGGGGTGGGAGGAGGGAGAGGATAAGAAAGAATAACTAACAGATGCAGGGCTTAATGCCTGGGTGATGAGATGATATGTGCAGCAAATCACCATAGCACACATTTACCTATGTAACAAACCTGCACGTGTACCTCTGAACTTAAAATAAAAGTTAGAAATGAAAAAAATTAACTAGAATATATAAAATTTACCAGAATAGAGAGAAAAAAATTGTTTTTTTCCTTTAAGCCCTATCAATGGAATGCTTTTATTTCAAATCACTATTTTTATTAATTATTTACAAATTGATTTTAACTATTTCAGGGTGCATATATACTATTTTTAAGCTATTTTTCACTTTGTTATGTTACTAAGAATGTATTGATGTTTTTATCTAAGAGATTGTATAATTAATTCTAATTGCATTGCATACTCTTTTCATAAGACATCAGAATTATCTTTAAGAAAAGGCTTAAGGATCATTTGTCTTCCCTATTTTATTTTGATTTATCCTCCTGTTTAAAACGACATAATATTAATATATTGATGTTAGGAATACTCTTACTTTTCATCATCATTGAAATAATTTGACCACATATTAAAGACGTTTACATGTTCAAATTAGCTCATTTTAATACCTTAAATATAATTTTGTCCTATACTCCTGTGGAAGCTCGAATTATTATTTTTGGATGTTGGGGAGAAGATGACATCTTTAAAAAGACAAAACTTAAGTTTAAAACTCAAAAAGAATATTAAGAGTTTGATGTTTGAGCAAATTATATTCTTTCTGGGGGTAATTTACTACTTTATTGGTCTTTTTTGATTTGAAAAATCTTTAAAAACATTTCTTTTTTCTTCATGACAACAGTAGCAAGACAACTAAGCAATGGTTAATTACTTGCACTATCATTGGATATAAATGCTTATATCCATTATAAATGCTTATAGCTAATATTTCTTTCCCTGCAAAGAACATTACCTCTCAGAGTGTAGAATATTTATCATTCCATTCAAATAGCTTATTGAATAAGATCACTTTAAGAATCTACTCTGTTTAAACAGTCACAAAATTTTCTCCCTTTTTATTGAGATATAATTAACATACAATACAATTTACCCTAATGTATATAATTCAATATTTTATCTTCACAAAATTTTACAACCATTGCTACTATCTAATTCTAGAATCTTTTCATCACCTCATAGCCATCAGCAATCATACCTCATACCTCCCTCCCACATTCTCCGGGAAGCTACTTGCTGTAGTTTAAGTATGATTTATTTGTTCCCACCATATCTCATGTTGAAATTTAATTTCCAGTGTTGGAGATGAAGCCTAATGGGAGATGTTTTAGTCATTAGGGCATATCTCTCATGAATAGATTAATGCACTTTCGCAGGGTGGAGTAAGCTCTCACTTTATTAGTTCTCACAAGAACTTGTATTTTAGTCAAAATGGACTAAGAGCCTGACTCCTCCCCATCTCCGTTTGGCCTGCTTCTGGCCATGTAATCTCTGCACACTCAGGCTCCCCTTCACCTTCCACCATGAGTAAAACAACCTGAGGCCTTCACCGAAATCACAAAGATGCTGGTGCCATACTTCTTGTACAGTCTGCAAACCACAAGATAAATAAACCTTTTCACCTTTATAAATTACCCAGCAACATGTATTCCTTTATAGTAACACAAGGTGGACTAAGACATTATTAATAAACTTACTGTTTGTATAGACTTGCCAATTCAGAATATTTAATATGAATTAAACCATGCAATGTATGTCCTTTGTATCTGGTTTCTTTCACTTAGCATATTTTCAAGGCACATCCATTTTGCTTCATGCATCAGTAATTTTTTTCAAGGCTGAATAATATTCCATTTTACAGATTAGACCATATTTTGTTGTCTATTCATCAGATTTACACTTGGGTTGTTTCCTGTTTTTGTTACTACAAATAATGTTGCTGTGGACATTTGGGTCTTTCTCTGTGGACATATCTTTTCAGACCTCTTGATTCTATAGCTAGAAGTGAAATTGCTGGGTTATAAGAATTCTATGTAAAAGTTTTTGTGAAAGTAGAAAACCATTTTTCTGAAGCATCTGTAAGATTTTATATTTCCACTAGCAGTCTATAAAGATTCCAGTTCTTTCACATCCTTGCTAACACTTGTTCTTGTCCATCATGTCTAATCATAGCCATTCTGGGTGGTATGAAAATTTTACTCTTTTGATTTTCAATTTCCTAATGTCTAATGATATTGAGCATCTCTTCATGTACTTGTTCATTTGTACCTACCCCTATCCCAGTACTACATAGTCTTAATTAATATATCTTTGTAGTAGGCTTTGAAATTGGAAAATGTGAGCCTATTTCATTTTTCAAGATTTTTTGATGGGGTTATTCTAGGTTTCTTGCATTTACATATGAATTTTAGAATAAATTTGTCAATTTGTGCAAAAGGGTCACCTGACATTTTAATAGAAATTGTATTGAATCTGTAGATTAGTTGAAGAATATTGTCATCTTAACAATATTAAGTTGCAACCCATTAGCAGGAGATCTTTTTGTATTTATTCAGGCTTTCTTATATTTTTTAAACAGTATTTTGTAGGTTTTAGTTTATGAGGGTTGCACTGTTTGTTAAATTTGTTCCCAATTATTATGCTTTTTTTTACATTACTGTAAAGGGATTTTTTAAAATTTTTATTACTCATATATAACCTTCCTTGTGTCTTTAATGTCGCTGTACTTGTTTACAAGCTTAAATAATTGTTTTTATTTTGTTTCTTTGAATGTTTTTATACACACAGATGGCTTTTAAAATTGGAAAGAGTTCTCTTTCTATTTCTGTCTGGATACATTTTATTTATTTATTTATTTGCCCTATTGTGCTGACTGGAATCTCCAGTACAGGACTTTCAGTCTCTTTTTATTGAAGTTTGATGTTAGATATGGGTATTCTTATACACCCTTTAGCTGATTGAAAAAGTTTTTTCTGATCACGGTTATTGAGTGTTTTGTTATGAAAAGGTGTTAGATTTTGTCTAATGCTTTTTTGATGTAACTGTTGGGATAATTGTGTTTTGTTTGTTTTTTCCTTGTTATCCTAATAAGATGGTTTATTATTTTGATCAGGTTTCATATATTGAATTAAACATGCATTCCTGGAGTAAATCTCACTTAGTCATGTTGGAGAAGCCATTTTATATGTTATAAGATTTGGATTGCTAGCATTATGTTGAAGATTTTTCTATCTATATTCATGAGGGACATGAGGGATATTGCTTTGTTTCCTTTCTTGTGATGACTTTCTCATTTTAGTATCAGTGTAATACTGGCTGCATAGAAGCATGGAATGAATTGAGAAGTGTTTCCTCCCATTCTTTTTTTTTTTTTTTTTTTTTGGAAGAATTTTCACAGGATTCTTTTAATCCTTCTTTAGACATTTGGTTAAATTTGCCGGTGAATCCATTTTGTTCTTTGTTTTTACTTATAAATAAAATGGCTACAAGTTAAATCGCATTACTTGTTATGAATCTATTTAGATTTTCCATTTCTTCCTGAATCTGTTCCAGTACTTAGAATCACTCCAGAAATATGTTCTGGGCTTATCTAATTTTTATCATATAATTTTTGAGAGTATACTTATAATTTTTTTTTCCAGTAAGACTGGTAGTAATGTCTGTCTACCCTTTCTGATTGTAAATGGATTTCTATCTCTTTTTTGCTTAGTCAATATAAATAGATTTTTGTCAATTTTGTTAAACTTTTTGAAAAATCAACTTTTGGCTTATCCATTGTTCTTTTTATTCTATATTTTATTTATTTCTGCTATTATTCTTTTTTTTTTCCTTCTGCTTGATTTGGATTTGCTATGTTCTTATAGTTTCTCAAGGTAGAATGGTAGGTTATTTGTTGTACTTCTTTTTAATATAGAAGTTTATAGCTATATACTTCTCTATGAAAAGTGTCTTCACCTTATATGCCTTTATGAAAACATCACATGTACCTCATAATTATATAGACCTACTATGTATCCATAAAAAATAAAAATTAAAAAAACTGTCTTGATTGTATTACATGTTTTGATATGTTGTGTTTTCATTTTCATTGATCTCTAAGTATTTTTCTAATTCCCATTATCTATTCTTCAGAATATTTGTTATTTAGGAGAGTTCCGTTTAATTCTTGCATATTCATGCATTTCCCAAATCTTTTTGATACTTATTTCTAATTTAATTTCAATGTATTCAGAGAACATACTGCATGTGATTTTTTTTTTACATTCATTGATACTTGTTTTTATGAAATAACATATAATCTGTCCCGGAGAACGTTTAATGTGAAATTGAGAAAAATGTATATTCTTCTGTTGTTGGATTGAATGTACTGTTAGGTTCAGTTGGTTTATAGTTTTTCGTTTGTTTGTTTGTTTGTTTGAAATGGAGTCTCGCTCTTGTCGCCCAGGCTGGAGTGCAATGGCACAATCTCCATTCACTGCAGCCTCCGCCCCCTGGGTTCAGGCGCCGGGTTCAAGCGATTCTCCTGACTCAGCCTCCTGAGTAGCTGGGATTACAGGCGCCCGCCACCACGCTAGGCTAATTTTTGTATTTTTAGTAGAGATGGAGTTTCACTATGTTGGCCAGGCTAGCGCTTTTCTGTTTATTTGTTATATCTACTACAGAAATTGGGGCATGAAAGATCCAATTATTATTTTTTATTACTAGTTTTTACTTTATTTTCCAAAGTGTTTTATTTTCTGTTTCAGTTTTAAGGAATAATTTTTCTATACAATACAAAACTTGGATAATGTCGTTTGTTTTGCTCTGTTCTGTTTTCTTTTTAATCCTTTGAATATACCATTCCATCACCTGCTGCCTCCATGTTGTTTTCCGATGAGATATTATAGGATAATTTTTTTGAGGATCCCTTGTCCATAATGTGCTGCTTCTCTTTTGCTAGTCTCAAGATTCTTTCTTTGGCTTTGATTTTGACGTACCTCTATTTGGATTTTTTTTTTTTTTAGACGGAGTCTCACTCTGTCGCCCAGGCTGGAGTGCAGTGGTGCGATCTCGGCTCTCTGCAAGCTCTGCCTCCCGAGTTCACGCCATTCTCCTGCCTCAGCCTCCCGAGTAGCTGGGACTATAGGCACCCGCCACCACACCCAGGTAATTTTTTTGTATTTTTAGTAGAGATGGGGTTTCACCGTGTTAGCCAGGATGGTCTCAATCTCCTGACCTCGTATTTCCCCTGCCTCGGCCTCCCAAAGTGCTGGGATTACAGGCGTGAGCCACCGCTCTATTTGGATTTATTTGAGCCTATTCTATTTGGAATTCAGTGAGATACTTGGAAGCATAAATTAATATTTTCCATAAAACTTGAGAGTATTTGGTCATTATTTCTCCAACTTCTTTCTGCCTTTATATCCTTTCTGAGACTCTGAGTTTGTGTAGATTGGGATGGTGGTTTTTGTTCCAGAGATCTTTTCACTTTTTAAAATTTGTTTTGTCTTTCTGCTTCTCAAACTGGATAATCTTTACTGATCTATTGTCCCAGCTTTGCTTATTTTACCTTCTACCTGCTAATATTTGCAATTAAGCCCCTATTAAATTTTTCATTTTATTTATTGTTCTTTTCAGTTATGGAATTTCTATTCAGTTCCTTTTTGTAATGTCAGTATCTTCAATTGTATTATTTACTTGGAAAAACATTATTCTCATACTCTCATTAGTCCTCTAGACATGGTTTCCTTTTGTTTCTTGATAATATTTAAAATAGTCAATTTAAAGTCTTTGTATAGTCAGTCCAATGCCTCTGCCTCCTGGAAGAAAATTTACATAGCTACTCTTTTTATTTTTTTCTGTATGTATGTTATAATTTCTTGTTTCTTTGCATTTTTTTCATGAATACTGGACATTTTGAATAATATAATGTGGCTACTCTGGAAATCGGATTATATCTCTTCGTCAGGATTTTCTGTTGTTGCTCATTGTTGCTGGTTTTTGTTTGTTTAGTGACTTTGTGAACTAACTCTATACAGCAGTCCTCTTCTATTCATGGTTCCACTTTCTATGGTTTCAGTTACCTGCATTCAACTGTGGTGCAAAAACATTAAATGGAAAATTCCAAAAATAAACAATTTATAAATTTTAAATTGCATGCTATTTTGAGCAGTGTAATGAAATTTTACCTGGTCCATCCACCCAGGTTGTGAATTACCCCTTCGTACAGTGTATCAACACTGTATACATTCATGACCAATTAGTTATTTAGTAGCCATCTTGGTTATCAGTTTATCTGTAATGGTATAGCCGTGCTTCTGTTTATGTAACTCTCACGTTTTTTAATAATGGCTCCCATGCACCAAGAGTAGTTATACAAACAACCAGATATCCCAAAGGAAAGGCATACAGTGCTTTCTTTAAAAGAAAAGGTAAAAGTTATTGACTTAATTAGGACTGAAAAAAATCACGCAGTGAGGTTGCTATGATCCATGGTATAAACAAATTTTCTATTTATTAATAGTATACGTAGGGTTTGGTACTATCCATGATTTCAGGCATCAAGTAGGAGTCCTGGATTGTATCCCCCATGTATTCTATTCATGTATGGCCTCTAAACCTAAGTTAGCTGAGTGGTCAGCTAGTGATTACATATAAATTTTATTAAGTGCCTGGTACCAATAAGTCTCCCAGAACTGAGAGATTCATTGTTTGTTGAGGCACATATTCAATACTCAGCTAGGATGTTTAAACTCTGCCTTAGATTCACTTCCTGATTTTACAGATCCTCATAATTAGCAAGAGGTGATAATGTAGAGACTTTACAGGTTTTCCTGAGCCTTAGAATAGCCCTAGTTATGAACACAGCCTGTGAATGCATATGACTTTCTAGATTTTCAGGAATATTTCAGTGCTTTGAAAGACCCTTATGAAACATCTCATTACCTCGTTTTTCTTTTTAAACTTTTGATTAACCTACTGTTTTCTCAATTTGTTATCAGCCATTTCCATTAGCATTTTTTTTTCTTTTTTCAGGCAGCCATAATTTTAACCAATTGCTTCTGATTATTTTGAGCAGATGCCTCCAGACAAAAGGTTGTTAAAAGGGAAATATTCAAGTCAGTCAAATGAAGACTAAAAGAGGTGGGGTTTTGCAAAGAACCAGAAAATGGGTCAAGTAATGGCAATTGTATGGAAATGGAGCTTTGAAGGAACCCCAAGACATTCTGTTCCCTTAGTGGCTGGAAGGTTGTTGGTTTTCATCGTAGACGAAGGTTATTAGTTTTTAAGGTTACTGTTTTAAAGGAAGTAAGGGGATAGGAGTAGGGCAAGTTAAAATGCCATAAAACTTATTATTCTGATATTCGGTTGTTTTCCTTGATAAATGTTTCCAAGATTGCTGTAAGAATTTAATTTCCAGAATGACAAAAATCTTGATTCTGACATTTTTGCCATTGATTTTGTTTCTTTTACAAAGGAGAGAATTTTTGAATTTTTTATTCTGTTATTTTCACTGTTGTCACCTCATGGTTTTATTACTTGATGACTATAAGCCAAGGATAATATAACAATTACAATATATTCTTATGTCATTTGTACTTTTTTCTTTGATAGTTACTATACAAATGTTAACAAAAAATTTAGCTGCTGCAGGTGAAAGAGAAACCCCCTGTCTGTTGCTTCCCCATCCTTCCATCATTTTCAGCACACACACACACGCACACACACACACAAACCCACTCTTTATGTCCACTCTTAGACTAATGTATTTCATCTTGGAATACTATAGTCAAATGTTGTGCTTCACTGTAAATGTGCTTTTTCCACTAAAAGGAATATATGCTAGATAGCTTTATACATGTTCTAGTATCTCTAAAATTTGAACATAAGTTGACTATATACATGTCTCCTTCTTCCCCATATCAAGAGAAATTATGTCATTATTTGTGCACAGACATATCTCAAATCAGTTAAGGCTCAACTTTACATTATGATCATAATCAACCTGTAAATGACACTTTATTCATGGAAATAAGATCTTTCAGATTAAGTATTATTTTGCAGTTAAATTTTATGTTGTTTTAAGTTAAAATTAGTTTTAAAAGTGATTTTAATCTTTAATTTTATAACAAATAAAAATAGTAATACTCAAAGAAAACCTTTTGAGTGATATAAAAATTTCAAATCTTCATTCATTCATTCAATGTAATTTATTCAAAATTAAGTTCCCTATATTGATCTTAATATCTTACCAATGGTTTTGCAAGAAAGTAACTATTTATAACTATCTTAGATAGAAGATTAATGTGTCTTTAAATATTAATTTAAAAGATTATTTTATACGGAAATTTATTATTTTACCATTTTCAATTGTTACAGGGTATATTTTTGACTAAATATGACAACACACTTCCAAAAGCCATAAAAACAGTTATATTAACAAAACTACAATAAGTAGGATGAGGACTAATAAGTGTATACAGACAGTGCATTAACATTATCTACTAATTTTCCCTAGGAAAAAAATTTCTAAGGTATAGTTTATATTTTAGATCCATGATCTGCTAATGATAACTCAAGGGCTGCCCTTCCACAGATTTTGTCAAATTGGTTTAAAATATTTGTGATAAAGTTGAATCATTCTGTTAAAAAACAACACTTCTTCCAAGAAATAGACTTTTTATTTTTACTGTTTGGAGGAGCAAACTAATCTGTTCCTCATTCCTCAACAGTAATCTTATGCTATAATTGTGTTTACTCTCACTTGATTTTATCTATCATATTACCAATTACATTTATTTCTCTAAACAATATATTATTTTGTTTCAGATGTTTCAAAATAAAATCATGTTGAATTTATTCTCTTGTGGCTTGTTTTCTCTCTATATTATGTTATTGAGACTTATCTACATTGTTGAATGTACTGTTTATTTCGCATTTACTTTCACATCTTTATCGTTTTCAATTGTAGGAATGAAATGAGATGTATTTATATAATCTTCTACCATTTAGACTGTTTCTTGTATTTTGCTATTGAGAATAGTTTTAATAAAAATCATCCTTTTACAGGCTTCCTGGTGAAAAACTGTAACCTTATTTAGGACATACATCCAGATAAGAAACTACTGGATCAGGGTATGTGAATGTTTAATTTTACTAGGCAATACCACTTGTTTCTTCTACATTTAAAAAAAAAACATTATATCTGTATCTTTATATACACCAGGCAAAAATTTTAGAATACTCTCACATCCTTTGTTCTCTCCTTACTACTGATATACATTGATATATATTATAATTGCATGCTAGATTATTATTGCTATATAATATTTTTTGTATGGTCTCATCTGTTTAAGATAATATTTTAAAATGCTTAAAATTATTTAATCAACTTTATTTCACATATTTCTCACAGCATCTTCTGAATTTATTTTATTCTATACATGCTTTATTCAAAGTGGTTTTTGAATATTTGACCATGTATATCAGATATTCAGGGAATTTGTATGCCTGAGCATACGTTTAATATAAGCTCATATTTTAATGACAGTTCTATTGACATTCTATTCTTCCAATATTTATGAAGTTTGCATAAATTTATCTGGTATTATCACTGAAAAATTTTACATCATTCTGATTTTTTAAATAAAAATATTCTTTTCTTCTGGAAGATTTTATAATTTTATTTTTTGTCATTGATATTTTACATTTTACTAGTGGTGTTAAGATTTGAAAATCCTTTTATTTCTCCTCTTTGGCATTTTAAGGGATCTTTAAATATGAAGGCCTACATGTATTTTTTTTAATCTGGTATGATATTTCTCTTATCTATTTAGATATTTCTGATACCCAGTTTTTGATATTTTCTCATTCTATAAGTCCCATGATCCAGGTGTTAAAACTTCTGCATTAGCTTTCAATTCTCTTCACTTTCCTTATATGTTATTTGTTAGTTTTCATTGTATTTCTGGGAGAACTTTTTAATCTACAATTCCAGTTTTATATTTCAATCTAATATTCCATTTTTAAATTTGTTCCTCATGAATAATCATTCTCTAATTATCCTATCTGCCACGGTTTTTAACTCTTTAATTTTCTGTATGTATTTTGCTTGGGTATTTATTTTTTCTTTTCATTTACCATAGTGCTAGTAGATGTATCTCTTTGTGTTTGATTTTTTGCTTCTTATTGAATCTGTGATCCAGCCCATTGATTTTGTTTATATATATATAAACAATATATATAAATATATATACAGTATATAACGCATATATATATGCTTATGAGCTCATGTTTCTTGCAGTAAGCATTAGATAAGGACGACAGGATATCCTACAGTGCGTATCAGCACCGTGACCACAAATAAAGGACTAGGTAAAAATAAGTTCTGGAGCAGATAGACCCAGGTATGAGAAAACACCATGAGCAGCCTTCTGAGTTGCGCTGATTTTAACTCTATGTCTCCTAACTCAACAGGGATAACATATCACCTCTAAGGGCAGGCTCTGAATGTCCTAAAACAATATGCCAATCAATAACACTTCTGGAACTAAATCATTTTGTAATATTATCCAAGTCATCTTTCTAGTTTAAGGAGTCCTACATCCTTGGCCAAATGGAATTAAATTGTCTGCATAGTTGCTGAAAATAGAAAGTAACTAAGTTTACTCATGTCAATTGTTTTCAATCTTGCAATCTACAGGCATTTTTTTGGCCAAAATAACCTTTTCATAATATAATTCAAGTCATATTCTGGACCCCATTATCACAGTCAAGAATAGCTAGCTGAAATTCTTCATGAATCTCCTAGAAACAAAAAATCAAACTATGATGTTATTTGCCTGTGTTGATTATTTAGTTTACAGAAAATTTCTAATGTACTCCATAATTTCATTATCATATACATAGTGATTCATCACATTTCAACAATATGTTTATACACAGAATTTTAATAGACTTTCAGATGAAAGGAAGCACACACCCGTTATTGGCTACTAAGTGTGTATGTATTCTATTATAGCGTCTAAGATAATTGAGGGTATTAAATTCTTCTAAGTATGGTATAATTTTCTTGTAATGTAGCAAATATGCATATAGAAAATATATATTTTTAAGATAGTCTTCAATTTCAGCATTTTAAAAATAATTATCAATTCAAATCAGTGCAGCTCAAATTAGTATATTTAATTACATGTTTGAACATGACATCCTCCTTATTAATACTGACCATATACTAGGAGTGATGTTGCTAGTATAGTCAGTGATGCATATTTAAGGGAAGGCAATATCTAATTCCTGCCTCTGAGAAAAAGAGACTTTGTACAGAGCTTTGTGAAAATGTTCTCTCAGTCACCCAGGTTGACAAGCTGTGCTACATTCAGTCTTTATAGTTATTGCTTAGAAATATGGTCATTGTCAGAAAACTAGACCTTTAGATTCACTTCTACTTTTATTCATCAATAAGTAGTATAAAGAGGGCAAGGCTGATGATGCAGTAAGTTTAAAAAGTGATATGTTCATATGTGAATGATTTACACGTGATGTAAATTTAAATGACTACTGATATATTTAGAGATTCTTGTGTTACAAAATTGGTTTGAAAATTTCAGAGAATTGTAGACACCTCTTTTCTGTTTTTTTTCAAGGTGGTAAAATTTGTATTTTTAAAATATTATATGTGAGAGACTATGAGTGGTATATTAGGTATATATACATATTTATGTAGTTAAATTTAACTGCATTCATTACAGAAAGTATATATTTAATTTTCTTACTATAAATTTATATATTTTTATTTCTTATTTCAGGTTGGTGAGTAATTGACTACCTATGGGGCTCTCTTTAGAGGTATATTTCATAAATAACTACATTTCTCTAGGAAATATCTATTTAAAACCAGGTCTTACAAGTTTTACAGCTCTGAAGCATGATCTATAAAAATTTCATGCTCCCGGGTAGATTTTGGTATTAGCTTCAAATAATCACTAAAAGCCCCTTTTACAGCAGATATAATTTTAAACCAAGCAGCATCTCCCAAGTCTAATGAATCTCTCTTACCTAGTTACTTTCGTGAATCTCTCTCTGATGCACACAAGATGAATCTCTCTTTGATCCTAACATTAAGTGTGTGCATGAGAGTGAGATTCAATAACTATCTCAAATGCGAAGTCTCAAACATCTACTGTTTTTTTTAATCATGAGTTTATCACTCCAATTTCTTTACTTTTTATCATGAGTTTATCTCTTTAATTTCTTTGTATCTCGGATTTAATCAGCAACCACTTCTGGCTACACTAATGCTTTGTTAGCACAATCTTGTTGGTCATAATTCAATAATGAAGAATAGAATTTATTAAGTGACTTTAATTATCCTTATGGGAGGAAAGCAAAAACACATTATTAGAGTTCATTCAGCCTACTTTAAATAAAAATGCATAGATATATGGGATCATTGTATATTTATGAATTATTATTATTTTGCTACCAGATTAATGTGTTATTCTGCCCAAATAATTTACTTGTCAATTGAATGGAAACTTTTAGCATTTAGGAAGGAAAGAAAATGTATAACACTAACTTTTTGGGTCAGTCTTTTCTAAAGAGGATGTTGAGATGCATAGAACTTACATTTAAACATGGCGTATATAAAGAATTCTTCCAAGAATAAAAACTTAAAAAATACAAAAAACTTGCATCTCATGTCATTTCCCAATTTAATCTAGCATGTATCACTGCATTTTGTCCTTCTTTGGGCATCTCTGAAACAGGTAGTATAATGATACAACCCAGGAACATGAGGGCATTATAAGGGTGATAATCAAGACTTATATTAAGAGAGGAAATTAAATTGGTGTACTTCAAATTGGTCCTACTAAGCCACTCCTCATGTATTTTTGTATAATACTGGTAATGCACTGTGTAATTCAGAGCAGACAATCTGAATAACTTTAAATGGCATATTCATTTCAAAAAATTCTTATGTAGGTGGTATACTCTCTTGCCATTATTTTAATATCCTTTAAAAAAAACTTATTCTAGGTTTGGGTTACATGTTTAGATTTGTTATATAGGTAAACTGTGTGTCACATCTAAATTTGGCTTGTTTAAATTAGATAATTTTTTTCACCCAGATAATAAGCATAATGCCAGATAGACATTTTTCCTGATCCTCCTCCTCCTCCCACCCTTCACCTTCAAATAGACCCCACTGCCCATTGTTCCTCTCCTAGTATTCATGTGTTCTCATTGTTTAGCTCTCACTTACTTATAAGTGAGAATATGCAGTTTGTAGTTCTCTGTTCCTGTGTTAATTTCCTTAGGATAATGGCCTTTAGGTCTATCCATGTTGCTGAAAAGGACATAATCATGTTCTTTTTTATGGCTGTATACTATTCCATTGTGTACTTGTACTACATTGCTTTATCTATCCTACCATTGATAGGCATTTATGTTGATTCCATATCTTTGGTATTGTGAATAGTGCCACAATAAACATTCATATGCATGTGTCTTTAGGGTAGAACAATTTATATTCCTTTGGGTACATGCCCAATAGGAGAATAGCTGACTTAAATAATTCTGCTTTGAGTTCTCTGAGGAATTGTCACACTGCTTTCCACAATGGCTGAACTAATTCACACTCCTATCAGCAGTGTATAAGTGTTCCCTTTTGTCCACATCCTCACCAACATCTGTGATTTCTTGACTTGTTAATGGTAGCCATTGTAGCTACTGTAAGATGGTATCTCATTGTGGTTTTTGACTTGCATTTGTCTAATGATTAGTGATGGTGAACGTCTTTTCCTATGCTTGTTGCCCACATGTATGTCTTCTTTTGGAAAGTATCTGTTCATGTTCTTTACCCACTTTTTAATGGAGTTGTTTGTTGCTTGTAAATTTAAGTTCCTTATAGATTATGGATATTAGACCTTTGTTGGATGCATAGTTTGCATATATTTTGTCCCATTCTGCATGTTGTCTGTTTACTCAGTTCATCATTTATTTTGCTGTGCAGAAGCTCTTTAGTTTAATTAGATCTCATTTGTTAACTTCTGTTTTTTGTTGCAATTGCTTTTAGTGTTGTCATCATGGAATCTTTGCCAAGTCTTATATCCAGAATTATATTTCCTAGGTTAACTTCCAGGGTTTTCACAGTTTTCTGTTCTACATTTAAATCTTTAATTAATCTTGAGTTGATTTTTCATATGGAAAAAGAGTGGGATCCAATTTCAATCTTCTGCATGTGGCTAGCCAGGTAAATGCAGCACCATTTATTGAATAGAGAGTCCATTCTCCATTCTTGTTTTTGTCAGATTTGTTGAAGATCAGGTGGTTGAAGGTGTGTGGCATTATTTCTGGGCTCTCAATTCTGTTCCATTGGTTTATATGCCTTTTTCTTTTTACCATACCACACTGTTTTTGTTACTGTAGTCTTGGAGTATAATTTGAAGTCAGGTAATGTGATGCCTGCAGCTTTGTTCTTTTTGCTTAGGGTTGCCTTGGCTATTTCAGGTTCCTTTCTAGTTTCATATAAATTTTAAAATATTTTTTTCTAATTCTGTGAAGAATGTAATTGGTAGTGTGATAAGAATAGCATTGAATCTGTAAATTGCTTTGAGCAGTATGGCCATTTTAACACTATTTATTTTTTCTATCCATGAGCATGTAATATTTTTTCTATTTGTTTTTGTCATCTTCAGTTTCTTTGAGTGGTGTTTTGTAATTCTCATTGTAGAGATCTTTCCACTCCCTTGGTAATTGTATTCTTTGATTTTTTAAATTCTTTTTGTGGCAATTGTGAATGAAATTGTGTTTCTGATTTGGCTCTCCACTTGACTGTTGTTGGTGTATAAGAATGCTACTGATTTTTCTTCACTGATCTTGTATTCTGAAACTTTGCAGAAGCTCAAGAAGCTTTTTAGCAGAGACAATGGGGTTTTCTACATCTAGAAACACGTTGTCTACAAACAGAAATAGGTTGACATTCTCTCTTCATATTTAGATATCTTTTATTTCCTTCTCTTGACTGATTGCTCTGGTCAGGACTTCCAATATTATGTTGTATTGTGCCAGTTTTCAAGAGAAATGCTTTCAGCTTTTGCCCATTCAGTATGTTGGCTGTGGGTTTGTCATAGATGGTGCCTATGATTTTGAAGTATATTTCTTCAATGCCTAATTTATTGAGGGTTTTTAATATGAAAGGATGCTACTATTAATGCTGAAGACCCAGACTTTTATAAAGTCTGTATCCCCGCCAAATTCCATAAAAGAATTATATCCAACTTTGGGGAATTTTAACATTCACACTCTAATATCATCACAGAAGTCATTGAACTAGAGACCAAAAAAGGAATATCTAGCTCTGTACCTCTTGGTCCCCTATCACTATCAGGCATAGACCTTCTTCTTGAGCTCCCCTGATATGTGACTGTTAGTTGGCAATCTCTGAAGCTGGGATGGCAACAGAGCTATATTTGGTGAGTCAATGGAGCGTAGTAAAACTAAATAAATAATTAAACTATAACTTTGACCTTTTTTTACATTTATTTTAATAGCTTTATTTATAATATCCAAAACTTGGAAATAATCTAGATGTTCTTTAACAAGTGACTGGTTAACCAAACTGTGGTACATTCATATCATGAAATAGCATTCAACAATAAATAGAAACAAACTATTAAACCCCACAAAAACCTGTTTGAATCTCTAGAGTATTATGTTGTCTAAAAAATAAAAACAAAACAAATCCGCAAAGGATACTGTTGGATTCAGTTCTTATAATATTGTTGAAATGATAAAATTATGGAAATAGGTAGCAGTTTAGTGGTTGTCAGAAGTTAAGGAGTGGGTAGGATATAAAAAAGAGGAATTCTTGTGGTAATGTAAACATTAGGCATCTTTTCTGTACCAATGTCAATATCCTAGTTGTGATATTGTCATATAATTTTGGAAGATGTTGCCCTTAGGGGAAATGGGGTTGAGGGTACATCGGGTTTTCTATATCACTTATTACAACCACATGTGAATCTTTATCACAAAGTCAAAAGTTTGATTTAAAAAGTAATATGTGTGCTTTTTTTTTATTTTGGGAAATCCTTCAAAAATTTGATTTAATTCTTTTATTCTCTCATATCTTTTACTATGGGAATAGTGAAAGAGAAGAAATGAGTGGGACAATTAGGCAGATGATGATCTTTGTAAAGGTCAACAATCCTGAAGGTATTTTTCAGCATATATCATCTTTAGAGCTCAATAAACAAAAAAATTGTCTGCATTTTATAATTGTCATTTTTTATTATATTTTTCCATATTGATGAAAGATGACATGAATAAAAGACAGTCTTTCATTTCAGAAAGAAAGAAGTAAAATTATCTCTTTTTTCAGATGATATGATCTCATATGTAGAAAGTCCTAGAGTCTAACACACACACACACACACACAAACCTTTTAGAACTAGTAGATTAATTTATTAAAGTTACAGTATATAAAATCAACATACAAAATCAGTTGCATTTCTATACACTAATAATGAACAACTGAAAAGGAAACTAAGAAAACAATCTCATTTATAGTAACATCAAAAAGAGACAGAATAAACTTAACCAAGGATATAAAAGGCTTATACACTGAAAACTACAAAACTTTGATTAAAGAAATTAGAGAAGAGACAAATAAATGAAAATAAATCCCATGTTCATGGATCAAAAGACATAATATTATGGAAGTGTCTACACCATCTAAAGTGATCTATAGAATTAAGGTACTCACTACCAAACTCCCAATGATATATTTTTTAAAAAATCTAAAACTCATATGAAAACATAAATGACCCCAAATAGCTGAATGGGTGAATCAATCTTGAGAATAAATACTGAAGCTATAGGCCTCACGTTGCTTAATTTCAAAACACATTGTATAGCTACAGTAATTAAAACAGTATAGTACTGGCATAAAGACAGGCATATAAACCAATGGAACAGAATAAAGAGTCCAGAAATGAACCGAGGCATATACAGTAAGCTTATCTTCCACAAGGGTGTTAGTCATATACAGTGGAGAAAGGACCATCTCTTCAAAAAATGATGTTGGGAAAAGTGGATTTTCACAAACAAACAAACAAAAAAAGAAATGAATTTGGGACTTTAACTTACACTATACATGAAAATAAACTCAAATTTGATTAAAAACTTAAACACAGACCTGAATCTGTAAAACTCCTAGAAGAAAGCATAAGAGGGAACCCTCATCATATTGTTCTTAGGAATATTTTTTTTTTACTGTAATACCAAAAGCAAAGAAAATAAAAGCAAAAATTAAAAAATGGGACTATATTAAACTAAAAACCTTCTGAACAGTAAAGGAACAATCAAGAGAATTTTAAAAATCATCCTACAAATTAAAATATTTGCAAACTACTTATCTAATAAAAAGTTAATATACAAAATATATGAGGAATCACTGCAACTCAATAGCAAAAAGACAAATAATCTAATTTTAAAATGGGCAAAGGACTCGAGTACACGTTCCTCCAAAGAAGATGCAGACATGGCCAACGGTTATATGAAAAGATGCTGAACATCACTGATTATCAGGAAAATGCAAATTAAAATCACCATGTGCTATTATCTCAAAACTATTAGGATGATCTTGCTATGAATTGAATGGTCGTACCCCACTGAACTTCTTATGTTAAAGCCACAATATGCAGTGTGAAGGTATTTGGAAGTTGAATCTTTGAGAGATAATTGGATAGATGAGGTCATATGAGTGGAAACCCCATGATGTGATTTGTGACTCTTGAGGAGAAACCAGGTAACCTCTCTCTCTCTCTCTCTCTCTCTCTCTCTCTCTCTCTATGTGAGGACAGAGCAAGAAGGTGTCCCTCTGCAAACCAGGAAGGGACCTTCACCAGGAACAGAATTGTCCTGCTCCTTGATCTTTGACTTCCCAGCCTTCAAAATTGTGAGAAAAAAAGACTTTGTTGTTTAAGTCACTCAGTGTATTATATTTGTATCTACATGTATAACAAGTGTTGGTCAATTTGGAGAAGATAGAACGCTTGTTCCTTGTTGGTGGGAATATAAAATGCTGCAACCGCTGTGAAAAATTGTAATTTACATTAAAACAGTAATTTATATTAAAAATAGAATTAACACATGATCCAGCATTCTCATGGAATATATACCCAAAGGAAATGAAATCAGCATGTCAAGGAGCTATCTGCATCTCCGTGTTTATTGCAGCATTACTAACAATAACCAAGGTGTGTCCACTGCTGTTGCTTGGACCAACAAGTGAGAAACCTAAAACACCCTTGGGTCTAAAATTTCAGTTATGAAGAAGAATAAAAACTGTTCTAGAGATCTGTTGGACAACATGTTGTGCTTATAGTTATCAATACTCAATTGTATGCTTACTTTTTTTAAGAGGGTAGGTCTCACATTTTATTTGTTCATGTTTTTTAACCATAATTTTTAAAAGTCACATGAAGAAAAATTTTAAGAAAGAGGCTATGGAGATGAAAAATAGACACAAGAAAATATGTTCAACATAATTAACCTGAGGAAACTAAATTAATGCTATAATGAGATATTGCTACATAGTTATAAAAATAGGACAAAAATTTAAAACATAATTGCACCATATACCTCAAGGATGCAAAGAAACTAGGCCACTTGTATATTGCTAGTAGAAATGTAAAAAACTACAAATAACCACCTTGGAAAAGTTTGGGATGCAGCTACAATATTGCCCAACAAGCACACATCTAAGAGCAATGAAGACAGGTTCATCCAAAAACCTTTGCAAAAATGTTTTCAGTAACTTATTCTCAATAGCCAAAGCATTGAAACAACTTTAGTGTCGTGTCGTTCAATAGACAAATGGATAAACAAATTGTGGCATACAAACACTTTAAAATACTACTCAGCAATAAAAAAGGAGCAAATTATTGAAATATATAAAGATCTGACTCAATCTCTAGAGAATATGCTGAGGAAAAAACAACCAACCACTAAAAACGTATACAGTGTAGGATTTAATTTATGTAATATTATTAAAATAATAAGACTATAGAAAACCAAAAAGCGCTAAATCTATTCCATAGGGAACACATTAGTGGCTCTGAGGGGTTAATGAGGAAATAGGGTAGGAGTGAAGTGAGCATGGCTATAAAAGGGCAGCATAAGGAATTCTTGTAGAAATGGAAATGTGGCACATCCTTACCCTATCAATGTCAATATTCTGACTGTGATATTGTGCTATGCTTTTGCAAGATGCTAGCACGATAGGAAGTTATGTAAATGGTCCTTGGATCTCTTTACATTATTGCTTAAAGCTAAATGTGAATCTACAGTTATCCAAAAATAAAAATTAAGACAAATTAACTCTAGCTTAACATATAAGATTATGTATCAGAGATATGATTACCTAATTGCAAATATCTCTCACTATTGTTTAAATTAATTAAAGCATTTATATTCTTATACAGGATAGCATTTGAGAAGATAACTTCTAATAAATATACTAAAGTAAAATAATAATAATGAGCCAAAAATTCATAAACATAAAATAATAGATATATGTTATTATGAAAATTTAATGGAGAAAAGAGATGTTTGCACTGAAATAGAAAATGTCTAGTTAATTAATGTTATAACAAATAAAATTGAACTATAATATTTAGATCCATAATCTCCTTTGAAAAATAGAAAAATGATCAAACTTTTTTGGAATTAATGTTTCAAGTGTAGAACTCTGAATATTACTGAAAATTAACTTCTACTTAAGTAATGTAAAAATTGAAGGAAAAGAAGGCCAATGATGTTAATTTTCAGCACATTGCTGTCTACCTTGATGAAACTGAAAATGTATAATATTGTTCAATTTCATATCAGCATTTTTCAATGCATGCAATGTACTCAGGAGCTTACTATTCTAATAATAGATGACTGCGATGTGCTGGGCCACTGAGAAACATGCCATAATAATGAGTTCAAACCAGATTCATCTGAGTCATAAAAATATAATGATAATAATATAATGATAATGATGATAAAGTGACTTGCACTAGGTCACTGTAGTGAGTCAGTAGTAAATGTAGTCGAAAACTTAGGTGTTCAGACTATCCACTAAATCATGCTGCCTCTTCAATTTTAAGCACTCAATAATAATGCATATTCATTAAACATGTAACAGCAAAAATTAAAAAGCAATACTTTCTGGCTGCCTAGAGAGGAACAAATGGTTTTTACTTCTGGTCATCTTCTTTCTTCAACTATGGTATTACCTAAGATATTAATCTCCTTTATTATTTCTGGAAACTAACTGTTGGCTTTAACTGACTGCCTGTTGCCAGCTATATCTTTTGCTATGCTTAGAGGAACAGAGAAAATCCAATGGCATTGTCAAATGAGGCCATTGTATTAGTTCAGAAACTTGGTGACTATAACAACAGAAATTTATTTTCTCACATTCTGGAGACTGGAAGTTCAAGATCAGTGGGTTAGCAGAATTGATTCTTTCTGAGAGCTGCAAGGGAAGGGTCTGTTCCAGGCCTCTTTTCTTGGCTTGTAGACAGCTGTCTTTTTCTCCTTGTGTTCTCATATCATCTTCCTTCTTTTGATGGCTGGGTACAACTTACCTCTTTTTAGAAGAACACCAGTCCTATCAGATTAAGGCCCACCCAAGATACTTCATTTTAACTGAATTGCCTGTATAAAGATTCTATCTCCAAATATGGTCACCTTGGGAGGTACTAGGGGTTAATACTTCAACATATAAATTTTTGAGGGTGCATAATTCAGCCCGTAAGAGACAAAACTTCAAATTTTGTTTCATTTAAGATATGAGAATAAGAAGAAGAAACTCAATAAAGAAATTTGGAGCTTTTCTTTAAAATCACCATCAAATGTTAGATATAAATGTCTAACTTTACAAAGGTAAGAAATTAGGGATGTGTTTAACTTTGATAGTGATTTAGCTATCTTATAGAACTGTAAATGACAATCAACAAAATATTAGAATTCTTCTCCATGTAATACAAATCAATAATTGGAATACATAATTTTACTAAGAATGGCTAGGTAAAAATTAACAACATTATGGCAATAAATTCTTTCATTTAAAATATAATTAAGAGCTACTGTTGCCTTATTTACAGAATTACAAAAGACAACCAATAGCCATGAATGTTTTCTGATATATCTCTTTTTGAGGGATGGAATAGTCATTTGAGTTAAATGTTTCCATTGTTAAAGATTACTTTGAGAAAGTAATTATATTATATTGGTAAAACAAAAGCATGGTAGAGAGAGAGAAATTAATAATCTTACAAAAAGCAAAATGAGCAGTCAATTTCCAATATGATTAAACTTTTGTTTTAGCATTACACACATAGCATTGCAAAATGTATGTACTTTATATACAAGATTCTTTAAAGGTCAAAAAATCAATCAGCAGTATTTTACTTGTCATGCCTGCTGAGTTTAACCAATATAATATAATGGATACTATTCTGTGTTTTAGTTTCGCCCCAGCCTGATTGCTTCTTTATCAACCCATTATAAAGGTCAGTATATTGTAGGTCAAAGAACTATTTTGTAAGATGGAGAAAAAAGACGGCGGAGGGTAAGAATAAGTACATGCAATCTGTGGAGGTATAGATTTAATCAACCTACATTTTTAAAATGTAGTAGCAGTAGTTCCCAAGAGCCTTGTAAAATATTTATGTGGCATAGAATTTTATAACATGGAGAAAACTTTCCTCCATCAACTTTTTTTGTAGCCTGAGGACTGAAACAGTCATTTACAGGTTTGAGTATTTGGAACATAAAAATATAGTAAGCTGAGCAAGTGGATTGAAGGAGTTGTGATATAATGTGCCTATGCCTATCATAACCAACTTCTAATATCATACTATATTAAACAATCTGAAGAAGCAAAATAGCACTTGTAATATACAACATAAAAGGACAAGAGCTAGTCACTGCTTATTGTCACTGTTTATACAGATATAAAATAAAGACTACATGCATCATATGTTATAGAATTTCTTTTAGAATACACAGGAAATAAGATGGATGCAGTTTATGCACTAATTTAGAAAATCCCACCTTGACATGTATTATGGTTTCTGGTCCTCCTCGGGGGGCATAGGTCCTAAATGAAAAAATATATATATAATATATATTAAATATGTAAATACATATTTCTTTATTTAGCACTAGCCTGCATTTATATAGTGTTTATTAGATTTATTTATATTATATTTATGAGAAAATGATTTTAAATGTTTTATAGTTATTATAGGGTAGCTAATTAGTAACAAAACTTCAAGTGAAAGCTCATTTCTTCCCACAATTAGTTTGAATTTCATTGGCACTTTAACACTTTGAATGTGCTTTTGTATGTATTAACATCGTTGTTATTTCTGTTTCTTAGAAGGCAAGATTGTGTGTCTTACTAAAAGCCCATAACTCCTTGAATGCAATACTGAAATACAAAAATAATTCAAAAAATTTAATTTAATTTTTTTTGCAACTCTATAGGCAGAAAAACTGACCTGAGTTGACATGAGACAACTTACAGATTAGTCTGAAAATCCAGCCATTTTACTAAGAGATAGAAATATGTTGGCTGCCACAGATCATGCTGGGTCTATTTTATGGTAGATAAACTTAACATGGAGAACAAAGCAAAATAAAATGGAATTCTAAAATATATATATAGCCCCAAAGGATTGGAATAAAAGACTGGCTATCTTTTTTCCATAGAAATATGAGGACAGCAAGGCTTGTAAAGTTTGAGTTGCTCAAGATCTTGTTATTCACCTCAATTCAAGATACTAGTTTTTGCCATTTACATTTATTCATTGTGAGAGAATTAAAACCAAGGGTTTAAGTAATATGTCAAATATCCCACACCTAAATATTGTCTGTAGTGACAATAACATTTCTCTGTGACAATCAGCTCACATTCTTAGTAGTGTGCTATCTTGCCTTTCGGGGATTTTATTTCTTGGATTTCTGTTTGTTTCTTGTTGGTTATTTGTATAGATTATTATGCAGACCCCATGTAATTGCTATACAAATGTTATTTCTGATGTGGTTAAAATAGATTTTACATCAGCTAAAGTAAACTTGCTAATTTACTTTAACTGATTTGCTAATCAGTTATCCACACTGAGTTCTGTAAATTAATATAAGCACCTTTAAAAATGTATTCAACATTCCTCACTGTCACCTCTATCACACTTTTCTATCATACCCTTATATATCCTCAGGTATTTCTCTTTAAACCATTTCAGCCATTTACAAATTCCTGTTTTTCCTAGAACTTTGTTATCTGACTGTGCCACCTGACATAGTTTAAATTTATTTGTCTTTTTGCTCAAATATGATATCAATAGAGAAGACTACCCTGTATATCCTCAGTAAAATAGCTTTCCTCCTATTAACACACTTTCTCCTCTCACTTTAATCTATTCGGTAATAGTAATTCTTACCTTAAATTATATTGTCATGTTATTTATTTACTAGATAATTATCATTTTCTTCTGCCTAGCCTGTCAGCCTGTTGAAGGACTTACTTCCATGAACTTCCTTATGTCCACCTGTCATATACTAGAAGCATGATCTAATAAGTTGGCATTAAATGAATGAATAATCTACACCATCATCAAGATAAAGAATTTTTCATCAACAATTTGCCTACTGCAATTCACCTTCTAAGATATGTATTTGGATTTATTTATGTGGACCTCCCTGCAGCCTGTTTTCTCCTCCTATGGCCAGATTAATAATTTTATAATAAAGTTGATTGTTTTTCATCCAATGTTCCATCCATACCAAGAGCTCAAGCACTTCAGTGTCTTGTTATGAGTACTTAAGATGTTTCACAAGGCTCTACACTGACCTATTCCTTCCTGCTTCTTCAACTTACTTACTCTCATCTGCTTACACCTTTTAATTCTTTTTGTTCCAACCTCGGTAATCTTCTTTAAGCTTCTGTTATACTGTTTTCCATGCTTTCTCCATATAGGCTACTGTCAAAGGGAATTCCTTACTCTAGAAAAATCTTTTCTTCTTACAATATACCCCTTTCTCTTAGATAACTCTCTACTTCCAATCTAAATTTTTAAATCAGTTTCTTTAAAGGACATTTATTTGATTCCCTGGAAAATGTCATCTTTCTCAATATGCATCCAAAGCATAAAAATTCCCCTTTGTGCAGTTATCTCAGTTGTAGTTTTGCATGTGTGTGTACGTACATATATGTGTGACTAGTTGACAAATGCCTATCTCACCCATTAATTAGTAAACCTCATCACAATAGATGTTAAGTTTTTCCTTTAGTGTGCTTCACTGTTTCATCACACAATGTCCAACACATACAGAAACTCAATTACTATTTTTAGAGTGAAGGAATGATATGTTGAATGAACAAATAATATCCTGGTCTGTAGGCATCCATTTTGCTACAAAGGAAGAAACTGGCATGCTAATATATACTGATTCTAACTTCTCATTTACATGAAAAAAGCATAAATAGAAAAATACACTTAAAAACGCGAACTTTCTACACAATACTTTTTCTTTTTTCTGTTACATATTTTTCAATTCATTCAATGTTTTCACTGAGTTTACAGATATCTTGTCATTCTTTGGGAGGGTAGTCTTCCTACTAATGTAGAGCTAATGATATAGCTTCAACATAAATCATAAACACAGATAAGTATTTTAGGGAGCAGAAAAGTATAAACTATATAAACTCCAAATGATATCATTGATGTTTCAGTATGTATAATAATAGGATGATGTCCTCCAATAAAATACAAAGATAAAAGTCTAATTAATTTATCTCTTCAGTGGACAAATCGGACAAATAACTTGTACAAGACAAAGAAATAGTAGGAGAAAAAGTATAAAGCAAGTAACATCTCAGAAGGTAGAACATATGTATGATTCAACTTTTTCACACATGCACATATATAAAAAGCCACAATTTTAAGCAACAATTCAGTAATGAAAATATAAAATATAACAAAATAAACCATACACACACGTGTGTGTGTGTATATATATATATATATATATATATATATACAAAATTAGAGTATATGTAAGTAATTTTAATTGTTGAAATACTTGTTTGGCAGTATCTATTTATATCCTGAGTTTCATGGCTTAGGAGAGGTTTGGGAATGCACCACGTTTCATAAAAAGAGACTGCCAAAATCACTTGTCAATCACTCCCATAAATTTTATAATTTTTTTATTTTTTACAGACAGAGTATTAAATTATTTAGTTTTTCTTGGTCAATAGTAATTCAATAATTATTATGTATAGGGTTTCCTGCTTTTTAAGCAACAATTCAGTCATAAGAATAGAAAATAAAGCAAAATAAACCAAATAATATGTATGTCCCCTCAATCACCTTATTTTTAATAGGACCTGTAGCAAATGAGGGATTAGAATACATTTAACATGATTATTGTATTAATGAAAAATTTTAAAACACAAATGTGAGATTCCAGTTTTTCTCTTTCAGTAATGGCAATTCAAGGTATTTAATTTAGCATAGTCAATTTAGCATCACATGGAATGAATTATAGATGTAAAAGTACTAACAAATATTTGTGGGTATCTAATGCTTTGAGTCTTGAAAAGATACAGCCCTCATTTCCGTAAAACTATGCCAGTACTTCCAGTACTATGTAAAAGGTAGTGGTGTAAGTAGGTAACCTTGCCTTGTACCATCTCTTAGAAAAAAAGCTATTTGTTTTTCTCCATTGATTATGATATTAGCTGTGTGTTTTTCAATGGCCTCAATTGCTTTGAGGAAATTTTCTTCCATGCTCAATTTGTTCATTTTTTATTTTTTTATGAAGAAAGGGCATTTAGCTTTGGTTAAATGCTTTTTCTGCATCAAAGTGATCTTTTTTTTTAAACTTTCAGTCTGTTAATGTAATAAATCTCACTGATTTATTTGCCTATGTTAAACCTACCTTGATTGACAGAGGTAAATTTCTTTTGGCTATAATGTAGAATCTTTTTAAATTCAGTTTGCTATATTTCATTAAGAATTTGCACATTAATGTTTATCAGAGATACTGGCGTGTGTGTGTGTGTGTGTGTGTGTGTGTGTGGTGGTGTATTTTGCTTGTGGTATCCTTTGTCTGACTTTGGCGATGCTGGTCTCATAAAATGTGTTTGAAAATATTTCCTCTTCTTCTATATTTTGGAAGAATTTAAGAGATATTGGTATTCTTTTTTGAATATTTCATAGAAATCAGCCATGAAGCTGTATGATCCTGCACTTCAGTTTGTTGGGAGATTTATAAATTACTACTTCAATTTCTATATTTGCTATTTGTCTGCTCATGCTATTTATCCTAATTCAGTCTTGGTAGATTTTCTTAAAAACCTAACCTCAGGAAATTTTTCTACATCTTTATCAACCTCCCTTACATCATCCAATTTGTTGGCATATAATTCTTCAAAATATTCCCTTCTAATAATTTTTGATTTCTGAGACATCTGTTATAATGTCTCCACTGTCATTTCTGATTTTATTTGAGTCTCCTCTCCATTTTCTTAGGCTAGCTAAGGATTGGTCAATTTTATTTATTTTTGAAAGCAACTATTTGTTTCATTTTTGTTTGTTTTTCCATTCTCTATTACTGTTCTGATCTTTTTTATTTCCTTCTCCTGCTAACTTTGAGTTTAGTTTGCTTTTCTTTCTATAGTTCCTTAAAGCATAATGTTAGGCTGTTTATTTGGGATATTCTTTTATAATGTAGGCATTTATTACTATAACTTTCTTTTTTGGAACTTCTTTTGCTGCATCTAATAGGTTTTGGTATTTTGTATTTTCACTGTAAAACTACGAGATACCAACTTTGAACCCGTGATTGCCCCACTGTTTGTTCCCCTTTGACACACTGGTTGTTCACGAGCATGTTTTTCAATATATATATAATTACACATATTCCAAAATGCCTTCTGTTTTTGATTTCTAGTTTCATACCATTGTGGTCAGAAACAATACTTGATATGATTTCAATCATATTAAATTTGTTATCACATATTTTGTGGCCTATCGTATGGTTTATCTTCGAGAATGTTCCATGCACAGTAGAAAAGAATGTGTATTTTGCTCCTGTTGCATGGAAAGTTTTGTATATGTCTACTAAGTTTATTTCCTCTAAAGTGAAGTGCAAGTTCAGTATTTTCTCATTAATTTTCTGTCTGATTGATCTATCCATAGTTGAAACTGACATATCGAAGTCCCCTAGTATTATTGCACTACAATCTGTCTTTCCATTCTTTATATATTTAGGTGTTCTGATATTGAGTACATATATATTTACAATTGTTATGTCCTCTTGATATAATGACACCTTTATCTTTAAATTGCAACCATCTCTGCCCTTTGTGACAATTTTGAAATTGAAATTCATTTCGTCTGATATAAATATAGCGATCCCTTCTATCTTTTAGTTATTTACATGGAATAACTTGTTTCTTTTGTTCACTTTCGGTCTATGTGTATCTTTATAGCTAAATTGGATATATTGTACATAGCATGTAGTGGTTGTTTTTGATTTTTAGGTTTTTTTTTTCCCACTTTGTCACTGTATGTTTGTTGTTTGGAGAATTTAATAACATTCAAGGTTATTATTGATAGGTAAATACTTACTACTGCCATTGTGATCATTATTTTCTCTTTGTTTTATAGATCTTTTATTCCTTTCATCCTCTCTTGTTGTCTACGTTTGTGATACTGTGTCTGTAGGGCTAAGCTTTGATTTTATTGTCTATCATTTGTCTGGTATATTTTTGCTTTGTCACTATCCTGAGGCTTACATAAAACATCCTATAGTTATAACAGTAGATTTTACATTGTTAGAAATTTGACTTCAATTGCATACAAAACTCCAGACTTTTACCATCTCCCCCATAATTTATATTTTTGATGTCACAATTTATATCTCATATGTATTGTATATTATTTAACAAATTATTGTAGTTATAGTTTTTTAACTTTTTTATCTGTTAACTTATACAACAAATATAAATGATCCTCAAACTATCATTACAGAATTAGAGTGTTCTAAATTTGACTATATATTTACCTTTATCATTAAGTACACTTTCATAATGTTGTCATGTTATTTATTAGTGTCTTTTTGTTTCCACTTAAGAATTCCCTTAAGCATTTCTGTGTGTGTGTATGGGTGGGTGTGTGTCAGGTCCTATGTGATGAACTGTCTCAGCTTTTACTTTTCCAGAAAATGCTTTATATCATCTTCATTTCTGAAGAACACATTTACTAGGTTCAGTATTCTTGTTTGGCTTTATTTATTTATTTTTCAGCACTTTTGAATATATTACCTCATACTCCTCTGGTCTACAAAGTTTCCACAGAGAATTTCATTAATAGTCTGATGAAGAATCCGTTGTAGTACCACGTCACTTTTCTCTTACTGCTTTGAAAATTCTCTCTTTGATGTTGGCTTTTCTTTTTTTCTTTTTTTTTTTTTTTTTTTTTTTTTTGAGAGGGAGTCTCCTTCTGTCTCCCAGGCTGGAGTGCAGTGGCGCTATCTGCTCACTGCAAGCTCTGCCTCCTGGGTTCACTCCATTCTGCTGCCTCAGCCTCCCGAGTAGCTGGGACTACCGGCGCCTGCCACCACACCAGGCTAATTTTTTGTATTTTTAGTAGAGATGGGGTTTCACCGTGTTAGCCAGGATGGTCTCGATCTCCTGACCTCGTGATCCGCCTGCCTTGGCCTCCCAAAGTGCTGGGATTACAGGTGTGAGCCAACGCACCCAGCCCCCTGATATTGGCTTTTTACAATTTGACTATAATATGCATCTGTGAGGGCCTTGGTTGATCCTTCTTGAGTACTTTTAAGCTTCATAGATCTGGTTGTCAATACCTCTCCCAAGACTTGAGACGTTTTCAGGAATTACTTTATTAAATAAGCTTTCTGATAATTTCTCTCTGTGTTCCTTCTGGAAGGGGATATCTTTTAACTTAAATAGACTTTCTTCATTTTTTTTTCTCTGACTGGAAAATTTCAAAAGACCTATCTTAAAATTTATACATTCTTTCTTCTGGCTGGTCTAGTCTAGCTTGAAGCTCTCTCTTTTTTTATTTTATTCATTAAATTCTTCAGCTCCAAGATTTCCATTGGTTCTTTGTTATGATTTGTAACTTTGTTGAATTTCTCATTCAGACTATGAATTTTCTAGTGATTTTATTGAAGTGTCTATCTCTGTTCTCTTTTATCTTGCTGAGTTTTCTTAAGATTATTACTTTGAATTCCTTTTCAGGCATGGATTAGTTGTTGAAGAATTTTTGCATTTCTTTGTCGATGCTATGCTTTCTTGCTTTTCTATGTTTGTTTTGCCTTTGTATTTATATCTATGTGTCTGGTGGAGCAGTCACCTACTCCAAACTTTACAGATTGGCTTTCATAGAGAGACTTTCACTTGCACATGGGTCTGAGGATGCCTGTTGAACGGGCTGCAGTGGCTCTGGTTTTGGGTGGATGCGGTGATATAGTGTCCATGCAGCTTTGTCAGCTATGATCAATCTCAGTGATGCCTGCAGGTGCCTTGGTGTCCAAGGCTGCAGAATTTTGTAACAATTGTGGCAGTACATGAGGTATTCATTTCTTTGGTCACAAGGATGTTTTGCGGGTTCCTGTTCCTCTTTTCCCTATAGTGGGGAACTCTCAGCTGAGAGCATCCCTCTTGGTATCAGGTCTAACATGTCCCACAGGTTGCTGAAACAATGTTAGATTCTAGGGCACAAGTCACTGGAGTGGCTGTGGGAGCCAGCATCTTTAACTCAGGGTCTCACAGAACTGCAGTGTCACCTAGGACTTGGGTGTGGGTTCAATCTCTCAGACAGGTAGATGCAGATCCCCACACAGCCATGATCTGTGATTGCAGGTATACCTCAGCAGCTCAGGCCCAGAGAGCCATGAAGCAGAGGTGCTGCTGATCCTGGGTTGCACCACTGGCATATTTCTGGTGAAGAAGGGGTATTCTGGAGACTTGGACCCCTCAAAGTAGGGCACAGCGGCAATTAAGTTCTCAGACCTAACAGGGCACAATGGCAACTCAGGTCTTGGGGAATGAGACACTGTATAGTGATAACTCTGGATCTTGAGACATGGAACATGGCAGTATCCCAGTTTCTGCAAGGCTGAGTGCATTAGCATCAAGGACCCAGGACTGGTGGGGTGTAGCTATGTCTCAAGCCCAAATGACCTCACTCTTTGGGGAGGAAAAGCACCACAGCAGCTCAGACTCTGGAAAGCTTGTCCAGTTTTCTGGAGGCAGTTCACTGTGATTGTTCAGCTCACAGGGCAGGGTTATTTAGCTCAGTCAAGACTCTGTTTGCCTGGGATGCAAGGCACCATGTCAACTTGGCCCATAACTTTTGAGCTTGGTCATGATCCTATTTCCCAAGGTGGTAGGTGTCATGTCAGCTGACATAAATTATTTTTATCAATAAGGAAAAAAATCCTATAACTAGATACAATGACAAAGTACTGAAGATTTATGTCTCTGGAATACAGCATATTGAATACATTTTTTTGAACTGATGCCTTGTTATTCCAACACACTGTCTCACCTGAACCTATATCATCAGTCCTCCCTCCGGGAGCTTGTAGTAAATGTAGAATTTCAGATCTACCTCAGACTTACTAAATAAGAATCTGCATTTAACAAGCTTCTAAGCTGATATGTATGCATATCAAATTTTGAGAGGCAGAGTTCTTAAAGGTAAATGACAAATGGTAAGCCCTCTACATAAAACTTACATTTATGAGAATAAGAAATAAGAGGTCAGAAATTTTTTGGAGTTATGAAGAAGAAAAAGGGGGGGTCCACAAATGCAAACTAAATGGAAAATAAGCCAAAAAAGAATGCTGGATTTATATGATTTATAATATATTCATACTGCATTTTTCTTCCTCTCAGGAAATATAAATACCATCTTCTCAGATAATCAAACTACAAATCCAGGATTAACTGTTAATCATTCTCTTTTCTGCACATCCTAAATCTAATCCTTCAACAAGTAGTGCTAACTCTACCCCTAAACTTAAACTTCTTTCCATCTTCACTCTAACATTGAGTCCACATTTGTCAAGACCTGACATGAAGGTTGACATTTATATTCTATTTTATTCAGATTCAAAAAGTCTCCGTTACCTGTAAGACCCTGATGTACAATTTTTACCTTCAATATTCCAAGTAAGATAGGAAGATATATGCAGGTACAATCTAGTTAATAAAACCATTCTGGAGATTTTCTGGTAGAAGAAAAAGGTAAAAATTATGCCAGACTGCTAGTGGGGCAGGGGTAAGTCAGAAAATAATTCATTGCAGATCTGATCCTTGAACTGTTAGAACATTTGTAGGTATTTCATAGACATTTGCGAAATGAATCCATACAGCTTCTGGGGAGGGAGGGTTTTTGGGGCTTAGCACATCCTAGGCACAGGGAATTACATGCTTTTTTTTAAAGAAAAAGTTTTGAATGACAGAAAGCTCTATGGACAATGCATATTAAATGTTTAAACTTCATCCTGGAGACATTTGGAAGCTAATACAGGTTTTTCTTATAAAATATTCCCCCAGTTTCACACTACAAAGATTCATTTTTTGGCTGGATGCGGTGGCTCATGCCTGTAATCCCAGCAATTTGGGAGGCTGAGGCAGCTGCATCACCTGAGGTCAGGAGTTCAAGACCAGCCTGGCCAACATGGTGAAACCCCATCTCTACTAAAAATATAAAACTAGTCAGGCGTCGTGGCACACGGCTGTAATCCCAGCTACTTGGGAGGCTGAGGCAGGAGAATCCCTTGAACCTGGGAGGCAGAGGTTGCAATCAGCTGAGATTGTGCCACTGCACTCCAGCTTGGGAGACAGAGGGAGACTCCATCTTAATATATATATATATATATATATATATATATATATATATTTTTTAATATATAGTTTATATTAAATTTATATTTTATATATTATATATTATATTATATTATATTTATATTAAATTTAATATAATATATATTTAATATATATATTTAATATATATTATATTAAATTTAATATATATTTAATATATATTATATAAATTTAATATATATATTATATATATTTAATATATATTATATAAATTTAATATATATATTATATATATTTAATATATTATATAAATTTAATATATATATTATATATATTTAATATATTATATAAATTTAATATATATATTATATATATTTAATATATATATTATATAAATTTAATATGTATATTTAATATATATTATATATATATTTAACCAATGTGTTGGGTAATTCTCTAATAAGATTGGAGGAAAGGGGAATAATTGAGGCACTGCTTAGCAATGTAGGTGAGACCTGATGAAGATTTAAGCTAAATACTAGTAATGAAGATACAGAGAAGAGGAGTTAAATAAAATCAAGAAAATAAAATGCACCGTACCGGTAAACCTGGATATGCTATTTGGAATTATTTTCAAATTTACAGCTTCTGAGATTTGGCAAAACAATGGCACATTTCTCTGAGGAGACAAAAATGCAAGAATATAAGGGTGATTATAGACATCCTTAACAGTAAATACATATATTTAGTGTATATATATTTATATTTAGTGTATATGTATACACACATACCTTTTCTGTGAATTTAATAAGAGATTGGGGTATGTTTACGTCTGTTTAAAACGTACATTAAAATACATATGAATACCCAATAGGCATCAGGATCAAATGCAATCAAGGAACTTCGCACACAAATAAAGATGTGTAACAAATAAAAAAAGACATAGTATGAAATAACAAAATACATTATGCTATAAATAAAACCATTGGGAGCAATGAGATTAGAAATTTGTGTGCCTTGTAGCTGTGTAGGATGAGACTTTGGATCAAATGGGAGACATTATTAGCTGTACACTAAAAAATAGACTATATATAAAGCTGCATGTTTAATAGAAGGCCTATTGCTTCGCTTACAAGTGAGAGAAAGAAACGTTGAAAGTATATTTGATGACAGTAAAATGTCAGCAAGAAGTATGAATATACTTTCTGAATTTGAAAATCAACAAAAAAGAAAAGAAAATGGAAATGTAAAAAATTACTAGATAACAGGGTTATTATGGGTGAATTGCATATAAACATAAATTAAAAAGTGTATACATACTACTTTTACAACATTTGAAATGGAGATATAAATTATTAAAAAGAGTCTCTTCAGATTTTAAATTTTTAAACAGAAAGGTTTTTTTTTTTAATGAATACATCTGATTTACCAAAAGCAGCTATGGACTTGCTTCTTAAATATATTGATTTTATTGCTGTAGAAATTTCATCTGAAATATTTTAAGTGGCATTAAGTCTCAATATTTTGTAATAGAAAATCAGCATTGTGTTTTGATTTTCCAAAACTCATTCCAAAAATATTTTTGATGGAATCTTATCAACATTTTGAAGTGGCTTTGAGAACTGTTTTTATAACACCAGTTACAGTGGTATCATGTGAAAAAAGTTTCAGTCAGCTGAAGTTAATTTAAAAATATATGATTGTTGCTTGGTAAAAGACTTGGTGTCAAATATAGCAAAATCTCAAGTGAAAATGAGCAAGTTAAGAAGTAGATTTTGAAAATATCACTGATAAGTTTGCTCTCATTAAACCGAGAACATATAATTGTAATAAATTATTTTTGGTATAAATGACATATTTGAACTTAATGTATCTACTTTAATATATCTACTTTTTAGTTTTTATTTTTTCAGTCACTTTAAGATTATGGGAAAATTAACTATTAAAATTCATTAAACCATATGTATAGGGCTTCATACTTTTCATTTTGTCTCATGCTCCTATATAGTTCAGCATGGTGTTATTTATAAGAATGGTGTTATTTATAAGCAATAGTTAATAAGTAATAGCAATAGTTCAGCATGGTGTTATTTATAAGCAATTTATAAGTTGTTATTTATAAGCAATTTGTAAGCAATGTAAGGCAACACTGAGATGCATAAATTAATTATTATAGTTTACTAGTTTATTATAGTTATACTTCCCAACGGAAATAAATGCCACTATTTTATCATAAAATCAATGTTGGACACAAACCACATTTAAGTGCCTCTGAACATATTATCACCAATAATGCTAATTTATATAAGTTCCTATAGTATACTAATCAAAACAGTTTAGGTAGGCTAACAGTCATCAGAGAGCAGCAAAATTCAGTAACCTAATACAACAAGGTTTATTTCTTGTGCACACTACATGTCCAGTGCTAGCCAGAAGGGAACTTTGCTCCATATCGATCTACTCGAGGACTCAAATATATGGAAACCGTTAAGTGTTTGAATGGCACCGAGGCAAAGGAAGAAGGAAAATCACATTATCTCTTAAATGTTTCCAACTGGAAGCAGCATATACTCCTGTCTCATTGATTAGAACATATTACATGGTCACATCTTCTCACTATAATGGGTTAGAGAAGTGAGACTCTCTTTTATTTCCAGAAAAGTATACAGAAACTTTATATTAGCAATCAGTTGTAAGAACATGAGAATAGTCTGTGAAGTCGTTTAAAAATATTTCAAACACATGTTCATACATTATCAATTAACAAATAACTGCAAAATACACAAGGGAGTTGTTATCTTTATACATGTGTAAATGGAAGAATCGGTACCTTAATCTTAGTTTTCACGTCTTAAATCCTCTATTCTTTCTTGTAGAGCAGGAGTTTAAAATGTAACTTTAGTAAGTCAGAAATGCTATCTCAGATATCAACTGGTAACCTGAAACAAATAATTATTGACAATCATAAATGTATCCAGGAACAGAGAGTATAAGCCAGATAATTTTACCTTGATTCCACTCAGAATTAAATAGTTAAGTCAGCCATAAATACTTAATTTAAAAATTAGTAAAGCATTATCTTCCATGTTTGTTTTAACGTCAGCATTTATGTAAACCTAACTATTGCTACACCATTAAAAACTTTACATTATTGTGGTTAAATACAACAATAACCTGCTTTTTCTCCTAGTTCTATGGTTTGGCTGTGTGGTTCCTCTACTGTTTTCTCAGGATTGATTCAGATGGTTGCATTTATCTGGAGGTTCAGCTACCCAAGAAGGCCTCATTCTTCTCTGGTAGATAGTGCTGGCTGTTAAGTGCCTCACTTCTCTTTCATGTTGATTTCTTACTCTTGTTATTGGGAGCCTAATAATAAATAAACATCATGTTTGATGTTATAAATAAACATCATTTATATTGTAGATATAATGTATCTACAACATGAAGATATTGATATTGAATATCTTCATATTGTAGTTTCAAGGCAGCCTTTCAAGAAAAATAGAAGATGCAAAACCTCTCCAGGCCGGGCTTCATATATCCTCCATCACTTTCACCAAATTCTTTTGGTCAAAACAAAAGGGCAACTCAGATTCATAGTATATGGAAATAAAGAGGTATGAAAAATCTTGTGGCCATTTTAAGCTACTGGAGGGTTTATTCTTCTAATTTTGTAGGTAAGCAATTGAGTAAATTATCTAGAATGATAGTTATTTCAAAATATTTTTAAACTATTGACAGGTAAAACTTATTTGATGATAACTAATAAATTAATGCAACATGGGACTGGAAAAACATTAGACTTGAATTCCTGCATATGAGTGCTATGCCTGTGTGTGTGTGTGTGTCTGTGTGTGTGTGCACAAGTAATAGAAGGAGAGAGACAGAAAGACAGAGTGAGAGAGAAGAAGAGTTTTTATTTAATGTTTGAGACCATATTTTCATTCTTGCTTTTTAACAATGTGAATCAATAAAATATCTTTTGAAATTGTGCTTTCATTCATGACTACAGGGCTTTTGAGGGTTGGTTTGCTTGCAATTAGATAATTTAGCAAAGCTACACAGCAGTTGTTGGAGTGTTCCATTGTCTTCTGTAAAATATACCACATTAAGGCCAAATGAGGCATGTACATGTAAAAGTTTCTACCATCAGTAAATGATATGATGCATTTATGAATGCTAGGTGATCTGAAATATATTAGGGTTCTTTTCACAAACTGTTCTACATTTGATTTTCTGGAGCAATGGCCACAAGTTGAATTAACATAAAGGAAAAGATTAAATGCTGATTGTAAATGAGTAGACAAGCATCACAAATTGCTTATATCCAAGTGTCCTAGCAGATGATTTAGATTGACAGATATTTTGGAGAGCTGCTAAAGTGGGACCATATGGCTGATAATTTCAGGGTGATGACAGTTGAGAAAAGTGAACATTGCCTTGACTGGGTAATAGAACTTGTGAATATCAGAATCTCTGTCAGAAACTTGAAAGGCACAGACACATACTCCTCCACACGAAGCCAGAGGCAGATTACAGCATTCAATTGAGCATCGCATGTGACAACTCCATGACATCGTCAACCTTTGTTATGTCTTTTTGGTTTTTGACTAGACAGAATCACCGGCTCCACCATCTGATCATGAGAAATAGAACTTTCTTATCATCACTTTGGATTGACATATACCTAAAACCAAAATTTTAACAGTACAATTTGAAAATGGAAAAATAATTTATTTTGTAATATTTTAAAGATTGAAGTAGACTTATGAAATAGTTCTAACACAGAAATGTAAATAATAAAAATATTACATGAATCATTTTTAAAAGCTTGCGTAATGTTACAAATGCAGGTAAAAAATACCAGATGCTATATTTATTAGCTTTATGTGCATTTATGGAAACAAATTTGAAGGGGCAAATTTTAAACCGTCTTTATCTCCATTAAACATAGAGTCTTAACATAGATAAATCCTTAAATGCAAGTTTCACATTAAAAATGTACTAGACATACTTGAACAGAAATATTTTCTATGGCAGTAGGAGTCGGTGAGGATATGTTTTATCTACACCTCTCTATAAAACCCAGAAGCTACTAAAGTATTGAAACTTAAAGCAAGAAGTATATTAATAAGACTACCTTCAACAGGGAATATTTTATGGAGATCACATTTGGAATTGGATGAATTTCACTTTAAACATACTTAAGATTGCTCGCTGGCCTTTAAATGGTAATGAGATAGAAATGTGATCCTGGAACTCACTAAAAGGTAGAATTAAAGACATGGTGTTTGAAAGCACAGTTTCATGAGCCACTGGAATAAATCATATTAGAAAGAAAGAGTATGCAGAATGCAAGAAACACTGTGATTTAAGCTAGGATCCCAGAAGACTTAAAAATTAATTTAAAATATTTTATGGTAATACTGATAATATGAGACAGATGTAAACACTTTTTAGCAAATTTAAAAAAGTGTTTACATCTTCTTATAAGAAACTGGGAAAGTTTCTTCTAGATTATTTCAGTAACAGACTCTGGATTAAGCACGTCTCTCATGTATAAGTGACAGTTTCATAATCTTAGTCACTACCTGGCTGCCTAGTGTCCAAGACTGTAAGACTTAGAGCCTACATGAAAAAATGTGCAGCAAAGCAAAGTAAGCCTTGGAAAAATAAAGAGTGAAGCATGGTGGCTTACAATGCCTTTATAAATGGCCAATCTAAAAAAAGCATTTAATTATTTTCTATATACATAAACATTTCTCTCATTTTATAATTCATAAAGTGTCTTAAAAATAGGCTTATTGTTATTAATTACAGAAATTATTAATGCAAATTGTAGAGTACATAGGTGGGGCATGGTACTTAATTCTTTTCAACCTAAGTTTTATCCTCTGAAATAAAGTGACTCTATAAATTATCTCAAAGAATTGCTTTGAGAATATATATATGTATGTGTATATATATATATATATATATATATAATTTTTGAAATGTCAAAATTGTAAAAATGAAGACTAGACTAACAATTCCAGAGGTTATGTATTGTGAATTTTTGAAATATCAAAATTATAGAAATGAAGAATAGACTAACTAATTCCAGAGGTTATGTATTGTGGATGGATGTGTCTATAAAAAGATAATATGAGGCCTTTACTTATTTTATACATATATTTAGACATGTATACAAATTACTTGCATAGGTGTGTACACAAACACACACCCATTAAAATTCTTAGATCCTGACGTATTAAAAGATTAATATGTAATAGGCATTTTTTTCATCAACTCAATAATATTTTTGAAATGAATAATGACAATAATAATAGTAGAATACTGGGAGAATAAAGGAGTAATGCTAACACAGCCATGCCTTGAACAATAACCATCATTTTCCGAAGCAGAGAAAAGGGTAAGAAATAATTTCAATCCAGACCAATTTACTGTCATCTAGTACAGTTCTATAAACATTAGCAACATCCAGGAAACAGAACAAAGGAAACAGTGATCATAAAGAGCAGCACAGAGGATTGCTACAGCAGAGTTTCAGCATGACATCAACGCACAGCTCTTTATCACTAGTATTGAATTTGTTTCATATTGAAAAAGTCATCCATGAGATCCTCAATCACATTGATTCAGAAAAAGATAGTAAACAGATCTTTAACTAAAATAACTTATTATCCTAAATTGTCAGCCTTGAACATCACTAAAAACAGAGAGAAATGGAAAGGAAATGAGATGTGTTAGAGATATGAGCAAATAATATAGCATGAATCATTTGTAAAATAAAGAAGCTCTTATACCCAGTGACAGAGTATCTATGACAGATATATTTAATATAAAGGGAAATCTTAAAAACAAAGCTGAAAAATATATTGAAATATCCAAAAGCTACAAATTAGATTTAAATTTGCAGTTCAGTAATGAAAGTTTAAAAGTTCATCACAATGTCAGTGTAAAAATTCAAGAATACGTATCAAGGATTATCAGCACTTTTTTTCTTTATGTGTGCCAAATTATGTAACAAAATAAGAAAAATAATAATACCAGCCATTATAGTCTACTGTACCTCCCCTTTATCTAAGGCATTAAATGAGGATTTTACATTAATAAAATTTTCTAATCTCAGCCTTCCAATTTTTACAGTTCTATGTCCATTCTACAATCAGAGATAATTCCTATAGGAGAGGCTAATTGTCTTACCCATGACAAGGTAGCTTTTGTTTTATTATAGGAGGAGATCGATAAATAAAGAAAAAGCATGTTATACACTTTCAAACAGAGATAAAGGTGTATTTGTATACTGGAATGCAAATTTACACAAGCTTACCCCCCCAAAATGCAAATTTATTTATCTCTATACATGTTCATTTATTCACATATAAATTTTCTGAATAATTCCCATTTACTAGATATTTCACTAGATAGCATTATCTGTTTCAATTCAAAGATTAAAGTTATTAACCACTCTGGAATTCATTCATATATAAAATAGGAGTCGTATTACAAATCATACACATTGCTTTTTTGATCAAAGAGATAATGTGTACAAAGTGTCTAGCATGGGATATATAAAACAAATATATGTTTGTAAAATATTATTTTAATAAAAATGCATGCAGTAAACTTAAAATTGGAAAAATACTGTATAATATTAAAGGAAAAAATATTTATCTCTGCCTACTGTTTTCAAATCTCATATGTACTTATTTTTACTACATCACTGTTTAGTTCTTAGCATATTATAAAACTGTCCTGTCCAACACTGTAGTCACTATTTAAATAAACTGGAATAAAATAAAATAAAATAAATTTAAAACTTCAGTTCCTAATTCTGGATGTTCTATCATTTATTTCTACATTCACCTACTAAAGGACATCTTGGTTACTTCCAAATTTTAGGTAATTAAGAACAAAGCTGCTACAAACATCCATGCATAGAGTTTTTGGGGACATAGGATTTCAATACGTTTGGATAAATAACAAGGAGTGCTATTTTTCAGATTGTATGGTAAGGAGTATGTTTAGTTTCACAAGAAACTGCCAAACTATTCCAAAGAGGCTGTGCCATTTTGCATTTCAATCAGCAATGAAAAGAGTTACTGTGGGTCCACACCCTTGTCAGCATTTGGTGGTGTCAGGGTTCTATCTCGTGGTTATTCTAATGGCGTGTACTGGTATCTTCCTGTTTGTTTTAATATTTATTTGATGACATATGATATAGAGTATCTTTTCATGTGTATTTGCCATTTGTATATCTTATTTGTGGATATGTTTGTTAAGGTCTTTGGCTCAATGTTTAATGGGTTGTTTGTTGTCCTATGGTTGAGTTTTACAATTTTTTTGTATACTTTGGATCATAGTCCGTTATGTAATATTTCCTTTGCAAATATTTTCCCCAACCTGTTACTTTTAATTCTATTGACAATGTCTTTTATTATTATTATTATTATTATTATTATTATTATTATTATTATTATTATACTTTCAGTTCTGGGATACATGTGCAGAACATGCAGGTTTGTTAACATATGTATACACTGGCTATGGTGGTTTGCTGCACCCGTCAACCTGTCATCTATATTAGGTATTTCTCCTAATGCTATCCCTCCTCTGTCACCCCCACCCCCAACAGGCCCTGTTGTGTGATGTTCCCCGCCCTGTGTCCATGTGTTCTCATTGATCCCCTCCCACTTATGAGTGAGAACATGTGGTGTTTGATTTTCTGTTTCTGTGTTAGTTTGCTGAGAAGGATGGTTTCCAGCTTCATCCATGTCCCTGCAAAGAACATGAACTCATCCTCTTTTATGGTTGCATAGTATTTCATGGTGTATATGTGACACATTTTCTTTATCCAGTTTATCAATGATGGGCATCTGGGTTGGTTCTAAATCTTTGCTATTGTGATTAGTGTTGCAATAAACATGCATGTGCATGTGTCTTTATAGTGGAATGATTTATAATCCCTTCGATATATACCCAGAAATGGGATTGCTGGGTCAAAAGGTATTTCTGGTTCTATATACTCGAGGAATCGCCACACTGTCTTCCACAATGGTTGAACTAATTTACACTCCCACCAACAGTGTAAAAGCATTCCTATTTCTTCACATCCTCTCCAGCATCTGTTGTTTCTTGGCTTTTTGATGATCACCATTCTAACTGGCATGAGACGGTATCTCATTGTGGTTTTGATTTGCATTTCTCTAATGACCAGTGATGATGAGCATTTTTTCATGTTTGTTGGCTGCATAAATGTCTTCTTTTGAGAATTGTCTGTTCGTTTCCTTCACCCACTTTTTGTTGGGGTTGTTTGTTTTTTTCTTGTACATTTGGTTAAGTTCTCTGTAGATTCTGGATGTTAGCCCTTTGTCAGATGGGTAGATTGCAAAGTTTTTCTCCCATTCTGTAAGTTGCCTGTTCCCTCTGATGATAGTTTCTTTTACTGTGCAGAAGCTCTTTAGTTTAATTAGATCCCATTTGTCAATTCTGGGTTGTGTTGCCATTGCTTTTGATGTTTTAGTCATGAAGTCTTTGCCCATGCCTATGTCCTGAATGGTGTTGCCTAGGTTTTCTTCTAGGAATTTTATGGTTTTAGGTCTTATGTTTAAGTCTTTAATCCACCTTGAGTTAATTTTTGTGTAAGCTGTAAGAAAGGGGTCCGGTTTCAGTTTTCTGCATATGGCTAGCCAGTTTTCCCAACACCATTTATTAAATAGGGAATAATTTCCCCATTGGTTGTTTTTGTCAGGTTAGTCAAAGATCAGATGATTGTAGATGTGCAGCATTATTTCTGAGGCCCCTGTTCTATTCCATTGGTCTATATCTGTTTTGAAACCAGTACTATGCTGTTTTGTTTACTGTAGCCTTGTAGTATAGTTTAAAGTCAGGTAGTATGATGCCTCCAGCTTTGTTCTTTTTGCTTAGAATTGTCTTGGCTATATGGGCACTTTTTTGGTTTCATAAGAAAAAAGCACAATGAGATACCATCTCACACCAGTTAGAATGATGATCATTAAAAAGTCAGGAAACAACAGGTGCCAGAGAGGATGTAGAGAAATAGGAACACTTTTACACTGTTGGTGGGACTGTAAACTAGTTCATCCATTGTGGAAGACAGTGTGTTGATTCCTCAAGGATGTAGAACTAGAAATTTTACTCAGCAATCCTGGGTATATACCCAAAGGATTATAAATCATTCTACTATAAAGGCACATGCATCTGTATGTTTATTGTGGAACTGTTCACAAGAGCAGTCTTGGAACCAACCCAAATGCCCATCAATGATAGAGTGGATAAAGAAAATATGGCACATATACACCATGAAATACCATGCAACCATAAAAGAGGATGAGTCCATGTCCTTTACAGGGACATGGATGAAACTGGAAACCATCATTCTCAGCAAAGTAACACAAGAAGAGAAAACCAAACACCACATGTTCTCACTCATAAGTGGGAGTTGAGCAATGAGAACACATTGACACAGGGAGGGGAACATCACCCACCGAATACCATTTATTTCTTTCTCTTGCCTGATTGCCCTGGCCAGAACTTTTAATACTATGTTGAATAGGAGTGGTGAGAGAAGGCATCCTTGTCTTGTGCTGGTTTTCAAAGGGAATGCTTCCAGCTTTTACTCATTCAGTATGATATTACCTGTGGGTTTGTCATAAATAACTCTATTTTGAGATACATTCCATCAATACCTAGTTTATTCAGAGATTTTAGCATGAAGGGGTGTTGAATTTTATCAAAGGCCTATTCTGCATCTATTGAGATAATCATGTGGTTTTGTCATTGGTTCTGTTTATGTGATGGATTGCATTTATTGATTTGGATATGTTGAACTAGCCTTGCATCCCACGGATGAAGCTGACGTGATCATGGTGGATAAGCTTTTTGATGTGCTGCTGGATTCAGTTTGCCAGTATTTTATTGAGAATTTTCACATCGATGGTCATCAGTGATATTGGCCTGAAATTTTCTTTTTTTGTTTTGTCCCTGCCAGGTGTTAGTATCAGGATGATGTTGTCCTCATAAGATGAGTTAGGGAGGAGTCCCTCTTTTTCTATTATTTGAAATAGTTTCAGAAGGTATGGTACCAGCTTCTCTTTGTACCTCTGGTAGAATGCAGCTGTGAATCCATCTGGTCCTGGACTTTTTTTGGTTGGTAGGCTATTAATTACTGCCTCAATTTCAGAACTTGTTTTTGGTCTATTCAGGGATTTAACTTCTTCCTGGTTTAGTCTTGGAAGGGTGTATGTGTCCAGGCATTTATCCATTTCTTCTAGATTTTCTAGTTTATTTGTGTAGAGATGTTTATAGTATTCTCTGATGGTAGTTTGTATTTCTGTGGGATTGGTGGTGATATCCCCTTTATAATTTTTTTATTGTGTCTATTTGATTCTTCTCTCTTTTCTTCTTTATTAGTCTGGCTATCAGTCTATCAATTTTGTTGATTTTTTTTTTAAAAAACAGCTCCTGGATTCATTGATTTTTTGAGTGGTTTTTCATGTCTCTATGTCCTTCAGTTCTGTGCTGATCTTAGTTATTTCTTGTCTTCTGCTAGCTTTTGAATTTGTTTGCTCTTGCTTCTCTAGTTCTTTTAATTGTGATGTTAGTGTGTTGATTTTAGATCTTTTCCGCTTTCTTCTGTGGGCATTTAGTTATAAATTTTCCTCTAAACACTTCTTTAGCTGTGTCCCAGATATTCTGGTATGTTGTGTCTTTGTTCTCATTGGTTTTAAAGAACTTATTTATTTCTGCCTTCATTTTGTTATTTACCCAGTAGTCATTCAGGAGCAGGTTGTTCAGCTTCTATGTAGTTGTGTGGTTTTGAGTGAGTTTCTTACTCCTGAGTCCAAATTTGATTGCACTGTGGTCTGAGAGACTGTTTGTTATGATTTTTCCTTTGCATTTGCTGAGGAGTATTTTACTTCCAATTATGTTGTCAATTTTAGAATAAGTGCTATGTGGTGCTGAGAAGAATGTATATTCTGTTGATTTGGGGTGGAAAGTTTTTTAGATGTCTATTAGGCCTGCTTGGTCCAGAGCTGAGTTTAAGTCCTGAATATCTTTGTTAATTTTCTGTCTCGTTGACCTGTCTAATATTGACAGTGGGGTGTTACAGTCTCCCATTATTATTGTGTGGGAGTCTAAGTCCCTTTGTAGGTCTCTAAGAACTTGCTTTATGAATCTGGGTGCTCCTGTATTGGGTGCATATATATTTTGAATAGTTAGCTCTTCTTGTTGCATTGATCCCTTTACCATTATGTAATGCCCTTCTTCCTCTTTTCTGATCTTTGTTGGTTTAAAGTCTGTTTTATCAGAGACTAGGATTGCAACCCTTCTTTTTTTTTTTTTTTTTTTTTTGCTTTCCATTTGCTTGGAAATATTCCTCCATCCTTTTATTTTGAGCCTATGTGTGTCTTTGCTCATGAGATGGGTCTCCTGAATACAGCACACCCATGGGTCTTGACTCTTTATCCAATTTGCCTGTCTGAGTCTTTTAATTGGGGCATTTAGCCCATTTACATTTAAGATTAATATTGTTATGTGTGATTTTGATCCTGTCATTATGATGCTAGCTGGTTATTTTGCTTGTTAGTTGATGCAGTTTCTTCATAGTGTCGATAATCTATACAATTTGATATGTTTTTGCAGTGGCTGCTACTGATTTTTCCTTTCCATATTTAGTGCTTCCTTCAGGAACTCTTATAAGGCAGGCCCAGTGGTGACAAAATCTCTCAGCATTCGCTTGTCTGTAAAGGATTTTATTTGCCTTTGCTTATGAAGCTTAGTTTGGCTGGATATGAAATTCTTGGTTGAAAATTATTTAACATTGTTGAATATTGGCCTCCCACTCTCTTCTGGCTTATAAGGTTTCTGCAGTGAGACCTGCTGTTAGTCTGGTGGGCGTCCCTTTGTGGGTAACTTGACCTTTCTCTCTAGCTGCTGTTAACAGATTTTCCTTCATTTCAACCTTGGTGAATCTGACGATTATGTGTCTTGGGGTTGCTCTTCTTGAGAAGTATCTTGGTGGTGTTCTCTGTATTTCCTGAATTTGAATGTTGGCATGCCTTGCTATGTTGGGGAAGTTCTCCTGGATAATATTCTGAAGAGTGTTTTCCAACTTGGTTCCATTCTCCCCATCACTTTCAGGTACACCAATCAAACGTAGGTTTGGTCTTTTCACATAGTCCCATATTTCTTGGAGCCTGTGTTTGTTCCTTTTTATTCTTCTTTCTTTAATCTTGTCTTCATGCTTTATTTCATTAAGTTGATCTTCAATCTCAGACATCCTTTCTTTCGCTTGATCAATTCAGTTATTGATACTTGTATATGTTTCACGAAATTCTCATGCTGTGTTTTTCAGCTCCATCAGGTCATTTATGTTCTTCTCTAAACTGGTTATTCTAGTTAGCAATTCCTCTAACCTTTTTTCAAGCTTCTTAGCTTCCTGGCATTGGGTTAGAACATGTTCCTTTAGCTTGAAGGAGTTTGTTATTATCCACCTTCTCAAGCCTACTTCTGTCAATTTGTCACTCATTCTCCTTCCAGCTTTGTTCCCTTGCTGATGAGGAGTTGTGATCCTTTGGAGGAGAAGAGGCATTCTGGTTTTTGGAATTTTCCACCTTTTTGCACCGGTTTTTCTCATCTTCATGGATTTATCTACCTTTGGTCTTTGATGTTGGTGACCTTCAGATGGGGTTTTTGGGTGGGCACCCTTTATGTTGATGTTGATGCTATTCCTTTCTGTTTGTTAGTTTTTCCAACAGTCCGGCTCCTCTGATGCAGATCTGCTGGAGTTTACTGGAGGTCCACTCTAGACCCTGTTTGCCTGGGTATCACCAGCGGAGGCTGCAGAACAGCAAAGATTGCTGCCTGTTCCTTCATCTGGAAGCTTCATCCCAGAGGGGCACCCACCAGCTGCCATTCAGAGCTCTCCTGTATGAAGTGTCTGCAGAAGCTGGAGGTGTCTCCCAGTTAGGAGGCACGGAGGTCAGGGACCCACCTGAGGAGGCAGTCTGTCCCTTAGCAGAGCTCAAGCGCTGTGCTTGGGGATCCACTGCTGTCTTCAGAGCTGGCAGGCACAAATGTTTAAGTCTGCTGAAGCTGCACCCACAGCCACTCCTTCCCCCAGGTGCTCTGTCCCAGGGAGATGTGAGTTTTATCTATAAGCTCCTGACTGAAGCTGCTGCCTTTCTTTCAGAGATGCCCTGCCGAGAGAGGAGAAATCTAGACAGGCAGTGTGGCTACAGTGGCTTTGCTGAGCTGCAGAGGACTCCACCCAGTCTGAACTTCCAGGTGGCTTTGTTTACACTGTGAGGGGAAAACTGCCTACTCAATCCTCAGTAATGGTGGATGCCCCTCCCCTAACCAAACTTGAGTATCTCATGTCAACTTCAGACTGCTGTGCTGGCAGCAAGTATTTTAAACCAGCAGATCTTAGCTTGCCAGCCTCCATGGGAGTGGAATGCACTGAGCTAGACTACTTTGTTCCCTGGCTTCAGCACCCTTTCCGGTGGAGTGAATGGTTCTCTCTCGCTGGTATTCCAGACACCACTGGGGTATATTAAAAACTTGTGCATCTAGCTCGGTGTCTGCCCAAACAGCTGCCCATTTTTGTGCTTGAAACCAAGGTCCCTGGTGGTGTAGGCACCTGAGGGAATCTTCTGGTCTGCAGGTTGCAAATACAGGGGAAAAGTATAGTATCTGGGCTGGAATGCACCATTCCTCACGGCACAGTCCCTCATGGCTTCCCTTGGCTAGGGGAGAGGGTTCCCCAACCCCTTGCACTTTCTGGGTGAGGCAATACCCCACCCTGCTTTGGCTCACCCTCCATGGGCTGCACCCATTGTCCAACCAGTCCCAATGAGATGAGCCGTGTACCTCAGTTGGAAATGCAGAAATCACCCATCTTCTGCATTGATCTCGCTGGGAGCTGCAGACCAGAGCTGTTTCTATTCAGCCATTTTGCCAGCCACTGACAATGTCTTTTACAGAGCAGATATTTTTATATTAATGAAGTCCAACTTGACAATTCTTTCATGGATTGCACTTGTGGTATGGAATCTAGAAAGTCATCACCAAACCCATGGTCATCTAGATTTTCTCCTATGTCATCTTCTAGGTATGTTATAACTTTGTTTACTAAAGTCAGATCTATGGTTCATATTAAGTTAATTTTGTGAAGGATGTAAGCCTGTGCCTAGATTTAGTTTTTGCATGTGTATGTCTAGTTGGTCCAGCACCATATGTTGAAAAGCCCGTCTTTTCTTTATTGTTTTTCCTTTTCTCCTTTGTCAAAGATCAGTTGACTATATTTGGTGGATCTCCTTCTAGTCTCCATCAATCTGTTAGTCTGTTCTTTCACCAATACCACAGTCTTAACTACTATAGCTTTACAGTATGTCTAAAAGTTGAGTTGTGTCAATTCCCAAGTTTTGTTCTTCTTCTATAACATGTTGGCTATTCTGGGTCTTCAGCCTCTTTAAATAAACTTTAGAATAACTTTGCTAATATCCACAAAATAACTTGCTAGATTTTGACTGGGATTGCATTGAATCTATAGATTAGATTATTAAGTAATAAATAACTGACATCTTGATAATATTGATTTTTTTATATCTATGGGCATGGGCTATCTCCTCATTTCTTTAGTTCTTCTTTGAATTATTTTATCAGATTTTTAAATTTTCTTCATATAAATATTCCATATTTATCTTAATATTTTAGTGGGTTCTAATGTAAATTGTATTGCATGCTTAATTTCAAATTTCACCTGTTTATTGCTGGTATTTAGAAAGGTGATTGACTTTTGTTTATTAATCTTATATTCTATAACCCTGCTATAATTGATTACTGGTTCCAGGAGGTCTTTTGTTTGATTATTTCTGATTTTCTATATAGACAATTATATCATCTGTTAACAAAAAGTTTTGCTTCTTAATTCCCAATCTGAATACCTTCTCTTTTATCTTCTTGTCATATTGCATGAGTTAAACTTGACATGAATTCTAGGATTTCTTTTTTATTTCTTTAAAAAATGCCATTGGGATTTTGATAGGGATTGCATTAAATTAGCAGATCACTTTGAGTATGGGCATTTAAACAATATTACTCTCCCAACCCATGAATACAAGATGTCTTTCCATCTACTTGTGTTTCCTTTCTATGACTTGTGTCATCAATGTTTTCTTGTTTTCATTGTATAGGATTTTCACCACCTTGATTAAACTTATTCCTAAGTTTTTAAAATTATTTGAAGCTAATGCAATTGAGATTGGTTTATTAATTTACTTGTTTCTATGTTTAAACCACCACATGAGGAAAGTGGTTCATGTTTGGGTTCTATTTCTTTTAATCAGAAATAAATCATCTGTAAATATTAGATGCACAAATGGTAGGAAGATGCTCGTACTAAGAAAGGCATGAAGAAACAGATGTTGCAAAGAAGGGTTCTGCCTTCCTTTAAATTCTAAGTTGAAAGGAAGCTCTTTAGCAGCATGCACTATTTATGAATTTATAGTAGGTTTGCTTTCTTCCACTCTTTTTCTCTCTTGCACTTTGTCTTTCTCCCTCTCCATCTTTCCTAATTATTTGTAGATTATTTTCATTCAGTTAAATGTGTTTCTCACATGATTCCACCTCTAATTCTTGGTTTAGCCTACTGTTTGTTCACATGTATGATACGTATGAACTCCCTAACAAAAATATTTGAAAATTTGGAATTTAAGTCATGTATAGACACATGTCCTTCATTTTTTTAAAAACTTTTGCCACCAAACTTTTAGAACTAGCACTCCTGAAACAAATCACAGAATGTCTTCCGGAAGAATCTTTCTTGTCTTCTGTCTCTCTCTGTCTGCCTAAGTGCAGATAACTTTGTAAATGGTCTGTCTTTTGGTATGCCTGTGATGAGGGTAGACATCTAGGGGTGGTGCTAAATAAGATCAGTATTTTTATGAATAGTTTTTGATTAATAATTCTTTTAAAACTGGCCTTTAAAATTGTAAGCTTGAAGAAGTCCCACTTTTTCACCTGGGTGAATAAGTCACACCTTCTTTGTTTTCTTCTTCAGTACATATTAGGAGTTCATTCTAAGTGTATACCTTCTGATATTTCAGAGAACCACCTTCAAGTTTGAGATTCTTTCTTCCGCTTGGTTTATCCTGCTATTAATACTTGTGATTGCATTGTTGTGTTGTGTTATTCAGCTCTGTCAGGCCCGTTAAGTCCTTTTTTTAATCCTGGCTATTTAGTCCTTCGGCTCCTCTGTCGCTTTACTATGATTCTTATTTTCCTTTGATTAATTTTGCTGTCCTCCTGAAGCTCAATGGTCTTCATTTGCTGTATTGTTTACCCAGAAAATTGTAAAAAAAAAGTTCTGCTTAATTAATAGGCCTTCCTCTTTTATGTCATTATATATTTTAAACATTTTATTTCTCTCACATTTATCTTTTTACTGTCATGGCAATAGAAATTTCAGAGGGAAAGAACAAATATGCATGATCACTCTGCTATCTAGATCTAGAAGCTGAACATAACTTTAAAGCATTTTATTATTATATGAAATTATACTCTATTATATGGATATAGTGCCTGGGCCAGCAACTTGTATCTAGTGCAAGTTTTTCTATAAAATGGTGTTCAATCTCTTATGAAGAGAAATAAAAATGCTAGGAGTGGCCAGGCACAGTGGCTGACGCCTGTAATCCCAGCACTTTGGGAGGCAAAGGAGGGTGGATCACCTGCGGTGAGATGTTCAAGACCAGCCTGGACAGCGTGTTGAAACCCTGTCTCTACAAAATTACAGAAATTAGTTGGGCATGATAGTGGGTGCCTGTAATCCCAGCTACTCCAGAGGCTGAGGCAGGCGAATCGCTTGAATCCAGGAGTCAGAGGTTGCAGCATGCCAAGATCACGCCATTGCACTACAGCCTGGATGACAGAGCAAGACTCCATCTCAAGAAAAAAAAATGAAAGATGCTAAGAGTTTTACGTTAACCAACTTTCCTGGAGAGGAGAATACAAAGTCCAGTTCTTTGCCTTGATAAATGAGGTAAAATTTATTCTTCAGGGCTCCACACAGAATCAGACTGAGTATAGGACCTAACCTGAAATTGCAGGCTTGCTGGAATTCCTTTTTTTTTTTTTTTTCCTATTCTGTTTTCTGCAATCCTTAACTGGTTTTTTTCTGAGACCATTTATTTCAGGTATTACTTGTACCTGAATCTTTGGCTCAGGATCTGCTCTGTAAGAACGTAGCCTAAGAAATCTGTAACTGGAAGTGGTCCCAGGAAGCAAACTCTAAAATTGGGATTCTGTGGGTGAATCACTCACCAATTAGATGTTAATGAATCTCTTGTGGTAGGTGAAGTAATGAAAACCTGGGTATCCTGTTATGCTGAAGATTTGCAGTTGCTAAGAATCTCACTTATGTTGAACTAGGATACACCCATGCCTTGCTTTCCCACACACACTGCATTTGAAAGGTATGGTAGGGATACATCTGTGGAGGAATGGGTATTTGTTGCTTAGTATCCTTGATGCATTGAAGAGAGAAAACAATTACTCAGGTAGGTCAATTACCAATGTAAGGCAAAGTGTGAAAGTATAGTGCATCCAAACTATCATATAAAAACTTTCAGATTATCAGGAGCTGGAGGGCACATAAGGAGAAGGATGAGTTTTCAACCTTATGATAAAAAAGGAGAGAAAACCTGAGACTTGTTAGATGCATGTATACTGCATGCATAATATGCATACTGCACTTTGCAGTAGAAAATTCAACTCTCAGATTACCCTGAACCTTTTGGGAGTAGACTTTGAGAGTGCTGGAATAGGGGACAGAGTTGGAAAAAAGTAAAGTTGAATACAGAAAAGTTTTTGATATGGAGGTACTATTCCAAGCCTCAATATTTTACACCCTGGAAAGATCCTCTAGAGCCAGATTTGATAATCTGGTAGATGGCTCTTGGAAACTCAGGAAAAAGCAATAGTACATTAAATGAAGTGAAGATGTTTAAAATGACATGGAAGAATGTGGGTTTGGGAGAGGGGATGAGGAAGAAGAAATATAATGGTTTTGCACTCATAGACTAATTTCTCCCTTCCTTCTTGAAGCCAGAATGGGACTCCCATATTTAAATGTTTATGTAAAAATAAGGCTACTGATATCCTTTTAAAATATAGATTAAGGTCATTTAGTATTCTATCTGCAGTTGGTATACTTTGTCCAAAGACAGACCTGTCCTTTTCCACATGTGTCCTGCAGGAACAAGAATGCAATTTATTGTCAATTTAGAGTCTACCCTGTAGTTGAAGCTGCCATAACTTTTTATACCTTTTTAGGAACAGTGTCTCTCCATGTTGGTAAATCTGGTCTTGAACTCCTGGGCTCAAGTGATTATTTTGCCATGCCCTCCCAATATGCTGGGAGTAGAGGCGTGAGCCACCACACCTAGCTGCCATAACTTTTTAGAGAAGATATGGGTACATTTTTCTTTTTCTTTCATTGGTCAGTAAAAAAAGACTTCTAAATACAAATGTGTATAGGTTTTTTGGTGATTTATTTATTTATTTTTATTTATATATAATATTTGTACATATTTATGAAATACATATGATTTTTGTTACATGCACAGAATGTGTAAAGATGATCAATTAAGGGTATTTAGGATATCTATCACCTTAACCATTTATTATTTCTATGTTTGGGGAACATTTCCAAGTCCTCTCTTCTGGCTACCTATGGTCACCTTACTTTGCTAGGGAAAATTAGACCTTATTCTTTCATCTAACTGTATATTTGTACACATTAACTAACCTCTCTTCATCCCCGGCCCCCACACACACCATTTCTAACTGCTGATAATTATCATTCTACTCTCTATCTCCATGAGATGAACTTTTTTTAGCCCCACATGTGAGTGACAAAATTCAATGTTTGTCTGTGTCTGACTTATTCCATCCATGCTATTGCAATGACAGAATTTTATTCCTTTTTATGGTTGAACAGTATTCAGTTGTCTTTAAATATGTGTGGGTTTTTAATCAAGGATAACTACCAGGTAACCTTCTCAAAATATTTTAAATGGATTTTTTCTTAATTGTAGATAACTAAAGACACAAAGAATGTATATACTATCATTTAAAATTCATCCTGAAAGATAATCTAACTATGATAATATCACTTAATATTAGATTTAATTATAATATGCTTAATCAAAAATGTAATTTAAAATATATTTTCTAGTGCCATAATAAATGTATTTTCTTAGAAAAAGAAACAGAAAAATTTTATCTCTGAGACATGTTATACTTTAGCTTTACTCCTGACATAATCTCTGTCTGTTCTGCTTCTTTATTTCCATTTGCTAAAAAGCCAATTCATTTGTTACACTCCTTTAGGTATAAAGGGGGAAAGAAAGAGTCATCTCTGATGTCTGAAAATGAATCTTATTTGACAATTTTCACACGCATCAATTTCATTCTGCCCTCCTTTCAAGGTGGTTTTGAGAAAAAATTTTTACTGTTTTGTTTTACTTTACCATTTCAGCTACTCATCATGATAAAAATAAATATTAGCCTCTGTTTTTTTTTATTTCTCTCATGCCTCTCTTATTGTATTTTTGCTAAGCTATTAACCATTAAAGAGCCCTCTGTTATGAGACTCAAGTGAAGTAAATAAAACTTTTACTATATTTCCATGATTTAAAAATTGTAAAAAATTAGTCCTTGTTAATCATATAAGATATATACATACATCACTTATTTGCATCTTAAATGAATTATGCTTACTTTTATATGTAGATTAGTACACGCGCCATTCTGGCCTACTGGCCTTAGATGAACAATTCTCAATATGTTACCCTCAGTCATATCTGAGAGCTGTCTATATATCTGAGAACTTACAGGTTTTTCTGCTCAATCTGCTCAAAGTTTCTCATCCTCCTCAGTATTATAATCCTTAAAATTAAAAACTCCATGGATTAACTATTGACTGGATATAGGTTTTTATTTTATTTTTACCGAGACTATTATAGAGAAACTCAAGCTTGCCTCAGAATTGAGAATTTACTCTCACTAATTCCACAAAATATTGAACCAATCCATACAATATAGCAAATAACTGGCAATTGTAAATAAAAGTAATCTTTAGGGTTTACAAAGTCTTAAAACTAACCTCTAGCATCAAACTAGCTGCCAAAGACTCCCAAGATTGGAGCCACCTCAACCTTCATTCTTCTAAAGAATATCTTCAGTTATCTCCAGTACTTAAAGAACAGGTCTAATTAAAGTTTTCCACACATTAAGAAATTCTTTCTGCTCCTAGTTCTAGTCTTTGTTAAAATTGGTTAGTGAAGAAAGGGTTGGATGAGATTATATTTCTTATCTTTATCTTTGGCTGGGCTTATGCTCTCTGGTGAACAAAACGTTACAAAAATACACAGCTACATTGGCCAAATTTTTTTAAAGTTATTTTTAAATATAAAATAATTTCAGATTTTAAATAAAAAATTATCTAATCTGTATGATTATATCACATTTAATTTATAAAATGACTTTTAACATGTAATCTGGGCTCCGTGTAGTGGCTCACATCTGTAATCCCAGAATTTTGGGTGTCCAAGGCAGGCACATTGCTTGAGCCCAGAAGTTCAAGATCAGTCTGGGAAACACAAGATTCTATCTCTAAAAAATAGGAAAATAAAAATTATCCTGGTGTGGTGGCTCATGCCTGTGATCCCAGAAACTTGAGAGGCTGAGGTGGCAGGCTTGCTTGAGCCCAGGAGTTCCAGAGAAGCCTAAATAAGAAAAGGAGACCCATATCAAAAATAAATAAATAAATAAATAAATAATAAAGCAAAATAAAATAATGTAATCTGAAATATCATTGTTAAAAATTTTTATTTTTCTAAAGGAATGGGTTGATATTTACCTTTTATCTGGTGACTAGAGAGCTCACTACTCAGCTCTCTCCCAGAATAAAGAAAAATGTAGTCTTAGGACTAATTATGTTTTCCAGTACAGAACACAGAAAGCATTCACAATATCCCACTGGCAGAATATCAACTTTAGGAAGTATGAGATCATACCTCCACTGAGCACTTTATTACACTTTTCTGCCTGGCTTCCTTACTTACGATACCTCTGTGTCCTAGAATGCTATTAACTATTACCCTTCTCTTTCTGTCACAATCTGTTAAAGCCCACCAGCAATGTCACAGATGCAGTGAATCTCTTTAATCTTCCTCACCAAGAGAGCCCACATCATTCTTAACTACTACAGTCGTATTGAAAGTTCATGCTATAAAGTGCCAAATCACTTGATCTTTAAGGCTCTGAATAAACAAGACGCTATCTAATTTCTGGCCTCATCTCAAGGCAGTCTTCTTGCTTATGTTTCCCAATCTTTAATTCTCCTAGCCTCTTTTCCCTCAAGACTTCTGCTCATGCTCTTTCCTTACCAAGTTTCTTTTAACTCTAGCACCCCCTTCAGGGTTGAGAAGCCCTTCATGGCTGGAGTAGATAAAGTTACTTTGGCTATACCATGTATCAGGCTGTATTTTAATTTTTTCACTTATGTCATAGTTATAATTTAATAATTTTGCATCTATCATAAGTACTGTTTCAGTCTCAACAAATAGTCCAGTTTTTGGGCTGTCTTATATGTTCAACAAATATTTATAGAATAAATACATGAGTGAATAAACATCACATTATATTTAATATATGCTGTTTTTATCATAATTCTAATTGTAATACATTTATGTATCTTATGTAGTTGAAGTGTTTAAATACTACAGTAGAAGTATTTTCAAGAAAAAGAAGAGTTTTTGCTCTTCAAATACTTCAGAAGAGTTAAGTTTAGGAACAAGACATCCATAAGACTAAAATTAGTTATGTGGTTGATAATATTGTTTGTAGAACCATAGTCTATTAGTGGAAATAGAAGCTCCACTGAAGTGGACTGAGCAATAAATGAGAAGTGAAAAGGAGGATCATAGGTACTATCTTAGAAAGTACCTGAATTTATGAAGTATCCTGTATGTGTATTTTCTGTGTATGTGTACATATGTGTGGACATTTACTTTTATACAGAAAAGATGTGAGTATATTTAATGCTATGAAACTAAGCCAATAGAGAAATTGGAGCTATAGAAGATAGGCAAAATAATAGATTCACATCCCTGTGAAAGAGGACGTAGTTGAAATTCATTATTTGAAGAATTATTCTTAGTTGATGATACATTCATTCATTGCAGTAAAAGGGGAGAAGAAATGTGTAGGTAGGATTGCAAATTCAGTGAGAAGATACTGGGAGATTTCCGTTCTTATAAAATATATAACAAAGGTAATGAAGTTGGGTTAGGAGCTAGTGGAGAAGTATTGCAATCTATGCTGCATTAAATTAAAGCATGAGCTGTCTATAGTCATATAGAATTCCTGGGTAAAACTGATGGGGTTCTTTTCCCCTCAGTTAAGAGACAAAAATTTTGAATGTTCTCAGTCTCTATGGTTATATATTTTTCTGTAATAGTGTTTATGAGCTCAAAAATAAGGTCAGTCAAGATAGGACCAGAAGGCTGATATTGACCATTGAGTGCTTGAAGTTGTAAACTTTGTAGATGCATGAAGAAGGAAGTACACAGCAAAGAATTAAAAATTTTAGAACAAGTAGAGACATAAAAGGTCAAATGACTGTTTTTAAATCAGATTTTTAATGCATTCACTAAGTATAAGTATAGTTATAAGTATAGTTATTAGGGTGATATTTGTTATGATTTCTTAACATGACACCCCTATTTTTGATTGTTGAATAGTTTTACATGTATGGGATTTTTTTCATTTATTAATTTTTAGAGAAGAAAAATACAGAACAGTAAGAAGGACTATTTTATTTCCACATTTAGATATTTAGGCACATACAAAAGGAAAAAAAAATCCATCCCGTGTAATTTTATTGCTCTAAAGTTTATATTTGACACCCTTGTAGAGAACAGGAAGGAAATTATGTGGTGAGAAACTGTAATGGTTTGTATGTTTTTATCTATCTGATGTTTCATGTGTGGATATTAGTGGATGCAATTCTTTCAGTCAACTTTCCTTCCTGCTGCGAAGAACTGGAAGGGGTCTATGTGAGAGTAGAACTGTAAGTAATACTTAAAAGAAAATGAAAATTAATTCCTATTGAAATTGTTAATTAGGAAATTCTGAGAAGTGTGTTTATTTTTCTTGTTTATTCAATGGCCTGAGATTAGTTGAATTATTGTATTCTAAATTATGTAGCCACAATTAATAATAAAAGTAGCTATTTTTTTTTTTTTTGAGATAGTGTCTCCCTCTCTTGCCTAGGCTGGAGTGCAGTGGTATGATCTTCGCTCGCTGCAGCCTCCCTCTGCCTCCCAGGTTCAAGCAATTCTCCTGCCTCAGCCTCCCCAGTACCTGAGACTACAGTCTCACGCCACTGCGTCCAGCTAATTTTTGCATTTTTAGTAGACACGGGGTTTTGCCATGTTGGCCAGTCTGGTCTTGAGCTCCTGACCCCACGTGATCCACCCGCCTCAGCCTTGAAAAGAGCTGGGACTACAGGCCTGAGCCACTGCGCCCAGCCAATATTTTTTGAGTATTCATTTTAATCTGGCCACTGTGCTAAGAGCTTCACATAGATTATTTCAATTATTACTACAGCCTTAGTGGTAGGGAGCAATTTTATCAAAACTCTGTAGATAAAAACAGTAAAGCTTGAGAACTTAAGTAACTTTCCCAAAGTCACAGTTAGTAAATATCAGGAACAGAGAGGGATTCAAATCCCCATAGCAGTCTACAGTTTACATTTTCCTTGTTAGAAGTCTGTAGCAGCCACATACATCTCTGCATTATTCACAGTGGTCCCTTTAACAGATGAAGCCAACATTATTGCTAGCTCTCTGTGAGGGTAAGAAATGGCTCCCTAAGAGTGGTTTCCAGGCCAGCAGCAGCTGCTCCACCTGGGAATTTGTTAGGAATGCAAGCTCTCAGGCTACCACCCCAAAGCAAGTGAATCAAGAGCTCAGGCTGCTGGCTGAACTAATCTAGCATGATTCAGAAACACAACAAAATCTAGGAATTTCTGGTGTAGGTTATGGTCACAGTTCCTGAAGTCATTTGATTTGTTCCACTGATCGTCTAAGACAGGGTTACTCAACAGGTAAGAACTTTGGATTCTGTGATTGGACATTTAATTCCCACACAGGAAAGCCCTATTACAGTATTGTTACACATGAAGATCAATACTTAAATTAATCTGATCTCATTTTCACGGAATCATTTAGATATTCTTAAAATTTCATGAACTGTTAATACTGTTCTCATCCGCTATCTGGTGCTGATAGTAAAAATTACCTGGCTTAAAAAAACTCTTGTCATTTCAATGAAAGAAGATGTCAAGTGATAATTATAAGTTCTCTGATAAATATAAACGCTCTTTGTTCCTCTCCCTTTTCTATGACACCATAATCATTCTGCAACATTCCCCTGGCGCTCCTCATTGGACCTTACTTTTAAAGAAGGCTCTTCTATACAATTTTATACTCTATTTTCTCTAAACAGAATTTACAGCCCAGATGGTACTCTAAGCTTTGTGAACAACTCCAGTCAATATCTAATAAACAAGGATTATTATTTTAAAAGAGTTATGAGAAAGTTTGAAATCCATCCTGTATGGTTACTGCTGGTATCTTTCAGACAGTTCTGTGGGCTAGTTAAACTGGCAAAGCCTTAGGATAGACTTAGATTCTTACCTGCTCAGAGTATTCCCATTTTAGAAGACAAAGTTTTCAGGATGTGATCATTTTCCACTCCCAGGAAATCACTTTTCCTTGAAAAATCTGCCTATTATTTATAATAAGTTGAAAGAAACTAGGAACAAATACCATTAAAATACTATTATATGTTATAATGTATCCATTGTTCTCATACCCTAATTTTTATATGATGTGTTCTCTTTTCTCTCCTTACCAATATTTCTCTTAAAAAAAATCGGTTGTTCTTGTTAGAAAATATGTGTCAATGAAAAATGTTTCAAAATAGCCTATTTGGGGCTTGACCAGGAATATAGTATAATATTTTTGTTCCTTTGCATAGAAAGCTTTGCTTTGTTTGTAAGGTATACACAGGTATGCCCTACAGTGGACTGCAACCCAGTTATTGACAAACTGATTCCAGCCAAATTTATATGTCAATTCTGTTAGCATTACATCTCAGTGTAAATTTACATTGTTCATGTCTACCCTACTAGTTGCTAAAATGTTTTAAAGCAATCATGAGACTATATAATGAGTGCTACTTGTCTTTTATGTCTTAAAAATGTTTATAAAGATAGATATAACATTGTTAGTAGAGAAATTTTTGCTCACTGAGTAAATCACAGCCATCAATAACAGGCTGACTTGGTTTTGATATGCTGAGAAATTCAATCTCAGAGCACTCTTCACACTGTAAATAACTGATTAAAAAACATTTCACTTAAGACTGTAAAATACAAAGAAAAATAACTGTTGGTTTAAATAAAATGTGCAAATTTTTATTTCTGCTATGGCAAGTACCATAAAAACCTCTGTCATGTGCTGTGATTAACATAAAATGGGATTGCAGGCCTGGCGCGGTGGCTCAAGCCTGTAATCCCAGCACTTTGGGAGGCCAAGGCAGGTGGATCATGAGGTCAGGAGTTCGAGACCAGCCTGGCCAACACGGTGAAACCCCGTCTCCACTAAAAGTACAAAAATTAGCTGGGCATGGTGGCGCGTGCCTGTAGTCCCAGCTACTCGGGTGGCTGAGGCAGGAGAAGTGCTTGATCCCAGGAGGTGGGGGTTGCAGTGAGCCAAGATCACACGATTACACTACAGCCTGGGTAACAGAGAAAGACTCCGTCTCAAACAAACAAACAAACAAACAACAACAACAACAAACAGGAATGCGCTGGGGTTTTACATAATAAGAAAAACCCACAGGTGTGAATTAAAACCTTTTAGTGATACAACAGCATAGTCCAATGAAGTATTGACTACATTAAAAATAAAAACATTTATTAAGGTACATTTTCAGTGATTGTTTTAGGATATGCCTCATAAAGTTTGTAGTTACTATCATATTAATTACAGCTTTTGTTTAATACATCAACACATCTCTAGGCTTTGATGAAACCTAATAGAATTCATAACAAATATTATTGAAGCACCAAATGTGGATGAAAGAACAGATCTTTTGGCCCTAAGACTATCAGAAACTAAAATAACTTAATATTTGTTTGTTTGTTTGTTCTTAGGTCATCTAGTGCTAAATAAGCCTGATAACTTTCCCCCTGCTTAAGATTTTTAGGAGTATATAACTATCTAAATATAAGGCTGCTTTCTTAACAAAATAGTATGTTACTGTTGGAAATCACTTTGTTAACATATCTATAAATGCAATTGATAGGCCAAAACAGAAAGAAACTAGATTTTTTTAACAGTTGTTTTTAAGGTTAATTAGGTCACAGAAAAAATATTTGCAGAAGTGATGCATTTAAATTGGTTTATTGATATCTTCATCATGATAACCTATTGTTAAAGGAAATAAATAATATGACTTTCATCCATGCTAGAGGTTACTTCAACAATATTTGGTTTTATGGTTTAAAAAGTAAACTGAATATTTTATAAAGAAAGTCAAGTTACATTTATTACTGTTGCCTGTAACAGTGCTACAGCATCAGTTGGTACTTTTCTGTTTTTGGTTTTTACTTTTATCTCAGTTACCAATTAATACGCACTTTGATACAGTATTTTATCATATTTAATTTATATCTTACTTTTCCAAATAATCGTATATATATGATACATACATTTAGCGTATGTATCTATAACTACATGAAACAGATATAAACATTAAATTCATTTGATTTAAACTGATAAGTGCTAGTGAAATTTAAAATTTCTGAAAATGAACACATTAAGCAAGGATGGCTTTATTGAGAAGGCCTATTGTTTAAAATATCACATTCATTTATTTAAACAGGAATAATTTGGGTTAGAGACAAATTTTGCATATATACTATTATTGCTCTTTTTTTTTTTTTGAGATGGAGTCTTACTCTGTCGTCCAGGCTGGAGTGCCATGGCGTGACCTTGGCTCACTGCAACCTCCACCTCCCATGTTCAAGTGATTCTCCTGCCTCAGCCTCTCAAGTAGCTAAGATTACAGGCGCCTGCCACCACGCCCAGTTAATTTTTATATTTTTAGTAGAGGCAGGGTTTCACCATGTTGGCCAGGCTGGTCTTCAACTCCTGATTTCAGGAGATCCACCCGCCTAGGCTTCCCAAAGTGCTGGGATTACATATGTGAGCCACTGTGCCCGGCTCTCTTATTGCTTTTTTAAAAAAATAATTTTAGTTCTCCTTGTATTAAATACTTGATTTTTTTCAGAATATGCCGTAACACTTCTATGTCTTCTTCAGCTGGCTCCTAATTTTAAGAACATTCATTCCTAAGCAACAAATGGAATATAATCTGTAAGTCTGTGGTGCAGTTTGAATGATAATTCATGCCTCCAACATTCTAAATGCACCTGATTGCCTTATGTGCATTTGACTATCCCTTTGGGGTTGAATGTCATGATAATGGTATAGCTCTTACTGTCTTAAGGATCTATATTAGTCAGGATTCTCCAGAGAGACAAGAAATAGGATAGATATTTTGATAGCTGAAAGTCAGATAGATAGATGATAGATAGATAGAACAGGGGATGTATGATTTATTTATTAGGGAAATGAACTCACGTGATTATGGAGGCATCTACAAGTTGAAGACCTGAAGATGTTGGTAGCATGGCTAAGTCCACATCCAAAAGCTTGAGAATCAGGAAGATCAATGGTGTATTTCTCAGGTGGATTCTGAAGGCCAGATAAACCAGGGGGGATACTGGTATAAGTCCTGGAGTCCCAGGGCCAGACAGCCTAGAATTCTGATGTTCAAGGGCAGAAGAAGAATGTCCCAGCTCCAGAAGAAAGAGAGAAAAACCTTTTCTCTCTGGCTTTGTTCTATGCAGGTCTCCGGTTGATTTGATGGTATTTGGAGGATAAATCTTCCATACTCAGTTCTACAACTCACATGCCAGTCCTCTCTGGAACACCCTCACAAACACACCCAGAAGTAATGCTTTACCGATTCTCTAGGCATTCCTTTATTCTATCATGTTGACACCTAATATGAACCATCACAGGATCTTATCACGGTCTAAATTCTTGTCTATTTGTCTCTCCTTCAGTAATAAAAGGATAGAATTGGAGAAATAATACTTTAAAAGATTGAGTTACAGAGGGTGGAGCAAGGTGGCAGAATAAAAGTCTCCACTAATTGTCCCCCATCTGCAAATAGAAAAGCACTTTCAAAAAACCAAAAACTAGGTGAGTAATCACAGTACCTAATTTTAACTTTTTATCCCTGAAAGAGGCACAGAAGAGGGTAGAAAAGACAGTCTTGAATCACTAACTCCATGCCTCTTTCCTTCCCCTGGCAGTGGCTGTGTGGCACAGAGAAATAATCTATGCACTTGGGGAAGGGAAAACACAATGAATTGAGGACTTTGCATTGAACAGAGTGCTGGCTGCCACAGTGGAAAGCAAAACCGTGTTGAACTCAACCAGCACCTGCTCATGGAGAAAAGATTTAGATCAGTCCCAGCCAGAGGGAAAGTGCCCATTCCAGCTGTATGAGTTTCAGTTCCAGCAAGCCTTGCCATCATGGGCTAAAGTGCTCTGGAGTCATAGGTGAACTTGAAAAGCGGTATTGAACATAAGGGCTGCATCTTAAACAAGTCATGATGCTGTGCTGGTCTTATAGCCAGTGGACTGGGGTAGTGCATGACTTAGACACAAGACAGGGTGACTTGGGGAATGCTTGTGCCTCCTTTTCGCCAACCACAGATAGTACAGCTTGCAGCAACAAAAGTGATTCCTTCCTTCTGCTTGAGGAGAGCTGAAAGAGAAGAGTAAAAAGCACTTTTTCTTTCATCTTAGATACTAGCTCAGCCACAGTAGGATAGAGCAACAGGCAGAGTCTATAGGCCTTCATTGTAGGCCCTAGCTCCCAGATAACATTTTGAGATACAGCCTGGGCCAGATACAGATACAATGGGAACCCATTGCCTTTAAGGGAAAGACCCAGTCCAGGCAGGATTCATCACTTGCTGACTAAGAAGACCTTGGGACCAGAATAACCAACAGCAATATCCAGGTAGTATGCCATGGGCCTTGAGTGAAATCCTGAGATTTCACTGGTACTTCAGGTACCAGCTCAGCTATAGTGAGGTAGAACAGCAAGTAGGCCCTTGGGGTCATAAATTCCACACCTAGGCTCTTGCGCAGCATTTCTGGGCCTGCCCTGGGCCAGAAGGGAGCCCACTGACCTGAAGAATGAGTCCTAGGCCTGACAACATTCACCAAAAACTGACTGAAGAGCCCATGGACCTTAAGCGAAGATTGACAGTGAAATGACAGAACTCTCCATGGGCTGATAATGGTGACAGCCATGAAGCGAGGCTCCTTACTTGTAGAAAGAAGAGAGAAGAACAGGAAGGATTCGTCCTGTGGTTTGAGTGCCAGCTTTGCTACAATAGAATAGAATATCAGGTGGATTTCTAAGGTTTTTGACTCTAATCCCTGGCTGCCAGACAGCATTGGTGGACCCATCTAGGGGCTAGGGGAACTTGCCACCCTGAATGGAAGAATATAAACCTGGATGGCTTCATCACCTGCTGATTGTAGAGCCTCAGGGCCTGGAGCTGACATAGGTGGTAGTCAGGTAGTGGTTACAGCGGGCCTTGAGCAAGACTCGGTGCTGTGGTGGATTCACGTCTGACCTAGGGCAGTTCCACTGGTGGTGGTCTCAAGGGTGCTTGTGTCATCCCACCCCCAGCTCCAAGCAGCTCATGATGGAGAAAGAGAGAGAGAGAGACAGAGAGAGAGAGAGACAGAGACATGCCATTTGTTTGGGAGAAAGTAAGGGAAGATAAGAAGAGTTTTTCCCTGGTAGTCCAGGTAATTCTTCTGGACCTTACACAAGACCACATAGCTGGTACCTCTATGAGTCTATGAGAACAGCATCATTACAGGGTTTGGAACCCAAGTCCCTTTGAATACCTGGAAAGCATTCCCAAGAAGGACAGACATAGATTGTGAAGCCCAGATTGCCACAATAAATTTCTAACTCTTTAATGTCCCAACACCAATGAACATCAACAAACATCAAGGCCAGCTAGGAAAACATTAGCTCAACAAATGAACTGATTAAGGTACCAGGAGCCAATCCTGGAGAAACAGAGATATTTGTCTCTTCAGACAGAGAATTCAAAATAGCTTAGGAAACTGAAGAAGCTATTCAAAATAGCTGAGGAAACTCAAAGAAATTCAAGATAACACAGAGAAGGACTTCAGAATTCTGTCAGATAAATGAAACAAGACATTGAAATAATTAAAATTAAGCAGAAAATCTGGAGTTGAAAACCACAATTAACATACTGAAGAATGCATCAGAATCTCTTAATAGCAGAATTGGTCAAACAGAAGAAAAAAACAGTGAGCATGAAAACAGGCTATGTGAAAATACATTGTAAAAGGAGATAAAAGAAAAGAGGATAAAAAAATAAAGCATGCCTGCTAATATAATAAAACCCATACATGACAGACCCACAGCTAGTATCATACTGAATGGGGAAAAAGTGACAGCATTTCCCCTAAGATCTGGAATAAGACAAGGATGCCCACTTTCACCACTGTTACTAAACATAGTACTGGAAGTCCTAGTTATGCAATCAGACAAAAGAAATAAATAAAGAGCACTTAAATTGGAAAGGAAGAAATCAAATTATCCTTGTTTGCAGATAATATGATCTTATTTTTTTTTAAAGTAAGCACTTCAACAACAAAAAAGAAACTCTGCAATCTGATAAACAAGATAAACAAATTCAGTAAAGTTGCAGGATACAAAATTATCATACATAAATTAGCAGCACTTTTATATGCCAACACTGAACAATCTAAAATAAATGCAAAAAGTAATTATATTTACAATAGCCACAAATAAAATTGAATACTGAGGAATTAACATAACTAATGAAGCAAAATATCTATACAGTGAAATCTACAAAACACTAATGAAAGTAATTGAAGAAGAAACACAAAAATTGGAAAAGTATTTCATGTTCATGGATTGAAAGAATCAATATTGTTAAAATGTCCATACTACCCAAACCAATGTACAGATTCAATGCAATCCCTATCAAAATACCAATGACATTCTTCACATAAATAAAAAACTATACTAAATGTATATGGAACCACAAAAGACCCAGAATACCCAGAGCTATTCTGAACAAAAAGAACAAAACTGGAGGAATAACATTACCTGACTTCAAATTATACTACAAAGCTATAGAAACCAAAACAGTATAGTACTGCCATAAAAACAGAAACATAGACCAGTGGAAGAGATTAGAGAACCCAGAAACAAATTCATACATCTACAGTGAACTCATTTTTTGACAAAGTTGCCCAGAACATGTATTTGGTATTGAAAGTAATGGCAAAAACTGCAATTAATTTGTACTAACCTATTACATTGGAGAAAAGACAGTCTCTTCAAGAAATGATATACAGAAAACTAGATATCCATATGCAGAAGAAGAAAACTAGACTCCTATTTCTCACCATATACAAAAATCAAATAAAACCAAATGAAAATGGATTAAACACTTAAATCTAAGACCTTGATTTATAAAACTATTACAAGAAAACATTGGAGAAACTCTCCAGGATAAAGATGTGAGCAAAGATTTCTTGCATAATACTCCACGAGCATGACCACCCAAAGCAAAAATGAACAAATGGAATTACATCACATTAAAAAGCTTCTGCACAGTAAAGAAAACAATCAACAAAGTAAAGGGACAGCCCATAGAATGGGAGAAAATATTTGCAAACTACCCATCTGACAAGGGATTAATAACCATAATATATAAGAAGCTCACACAAGTCTATAGGAAAAAAATATAATAATCCAATTAAGAAATGGGCAAAAGATCTGAATATACATTTCTCACAAGACATACAAAAGGAAAACAGGCATGTGAATAAGTTCTCAACATCATTCATCATCAGAAAAATGCAAATGAAAACTATAATGAGATATTATCTGACTCTATTTAAAATGACTTTTATCCAAATCACAAACTATTCCATCAAAAAGTGGGCTAAGGGCATGAATAGACAATTCTCAGAAGATGTACAAATGGCCAACAAACATACAAAAAAAATTGCTCAACATCACTAATGATGAGGGAAAGGCAAATAAAAACCACAATGCAATACCACCTTACTCCTGCAAGAAAGGCCATAATAAAAAAAAAAAAAATACTAGGTGTTGGAATGGATGTGGTGAACAGGGAACACTTCTACACTGCTGGTGGGAATGTAAACTAGTACAACCACTATGGTAAATAGTGTGGAGATTCCTTAAAGACCTAAAAGTAGAACTACTATTTGATCCAGCAATCTCACTACTGGATATTTACCCAGAGGAAAAGAAGTTATTATACAAAAAAGATACTTGCACACACGTTTATAACAGCACAATTTGCAATTGCAAAAACGTGAAATCAACCCAAATGTCCATCAATCAACGAGTGGATAAAGAAACTGTGGTACATATATATGATGGCATACTATGCAGCCATAAAAAATAATGAATTAATGGCATTTGCAGTGGCCTGGATGAGATTGGAGACTATTATTCTAAGTGAAGTTACTCAGGAATGGAAAACCAAACATCCTATATTCTCAGTCATAAGTGCGAGCTAAGCTATGAGGACGCAAAGGCGTGAGAATGACACAGTGGATTTTGGGGACTCAAGGAAAGGATGGGAAGGGGGTTTGGGATAAAAGAGTACAAATAGGGTGCAGTGTATACTGCTCAGCTGATGGGTGTACAAACCTCTCACAAATCACCACTAAAGAACTTATTAATGTAACCAAACACCATCTGTTCCCCAATAACCCATGGAAATAAAAAAAATAGTAAAAATACGTGAATATATTATAATGAAAAAAAATGGAAGAGATTCCACCATGGAGCCCTGGAGAACTCCAACATTTGGGAGTTGAGCAGAGTAAAAGTTGCTGACACAAGAGATATTCTGTCTAGTGTTCAGTGAGGTGGGAGGAAAATTAGGAGGCCATGGTATTATGGCCAAAGAAGAGCACTTCAAGAATGGGAGTGGTAAACAGTGACCAAATATGGTTGAGCTATTGAACAAGATGAGACCAGATACACCCTATTGGGTTTGATGTCATGGAGGCAATTGACAAATGGTACTTCAAAGAAGAGAATGGAAAGTGATAAAGACCGCAAATGTAGACAACTAATTCCAAAATTTGAAACAAAACATAAAGTGTTCTAGGGGACATGGACTCAAAAGAGAGTTTCTGAGATGGCAGATACTATAGTATGTTTGTATAATGTATGGTGATGAAAATAGTCCAGTGGAGAGGGAAAATGAGGATATGGAAGCATGAGAAAATTGTATGAATGATGACTGTGAGAAGTGGAAAGAGGATGGAATCTGGAGTACAAATGAAAAGACTCATCAAAGTTAGGAGTAGACATACTTCAATCTTAACAGGAAGAAAGACATTAACTGTGGAGTAGATTCAGGTACTCTGATGGATTTGATCATAGATAAGAATTCTCACCTTCTATGAATGCCTCTTTTTCCACCCACTCCCCTACTATCACTGTGCATAATCAATCTTATTGATTTTTAAAAAGATAATTGAAAACTTGTATCTCCATTTAATTTATACATATATATATGATTTTAAGAAGGTAGAAACATTTTGCATAGGCCATCTGAATTTTTAAAGCTTGCTAATTAATCTATATTTGTTGTTTTTTCATTCAAAAATACACTTCTAGAGTATAATCATATTGTTTGTACCACAAAGCATAAATGCTTGAGGGTATGAATACCCCATTTTCTATAATGTGATTATTATACATTGTATGCTTGTATCAAAACAGCTCATGTATCTATAAATATATACACCTACAATGTAAACTCAAAAAATAAAAAATAAAAATTAAATTAAAAAACAATTTATCTCATATCCAGAGATAAGTTGTAATGGTAGGCTGTACAAAGTTCTGTACTATCATGAACTGAGAATTGAATGGCTTTTTTTAGACTAACTATAGATGGTGTTATAAAATATATAAAACTAAACATAACAATGGAAAGAAAATCAAGAAGCTAAACAAAAGAAACTAGTTGGAGCAATGATAAGAAGCTGCAAACTTGGTAAACACAACAATAACTGGTTTTGTAAGATTTAATCATAATATTGGAATAATACTTCAAATAGAATGTAGGAAAATGAAACTTTCCTATGGCCTGGTCATGAGAGGGACTCTGGATTTTTATTAGTTTGAAATATTGCCCAACGTAAGAAAAAAGTAAATAATGACTTTAAGTATTGTCTTTATATCTATGGAGCATATTGGGATCAGAAAACAATGTATTCTTGTTAGCTCACTAAGCAGGTGAGCTAAAAAAAAATACTTGTCTGCAACTTCACTGAATTCAGAAATCCATTGACTATTGAATATAATAAATCTTTCACTCAAAGGTCTGTCAACTGAATTAATTGAAAATCCATTTGCAGTTAGCAGTACTTGATGAGCAAATTTATTTGGGATATTTATCATATTGTACTTAACTCTTAGAAATATATAATAAATATTTGTATAATAAGTTAACCTTGTGTTTCCCAGAGCTATTTGACAAAATAATATATTCTAGACATCTATTAACACAATGAAACACAATTTTAGAAATATGGACATAGGGGAAATATCGTGGGGGTACTTAGGAACAGTTTTAGACTAATGCGAAAGGAATTCTATTTAGGAATGAAGCTTGTTTCTGTACCTTTTCTAATGTTCTTCCACGGCCTGGAAATTCTAACAGGAAAACAAGAAGTGAAATAAATAAGTGTTCAGTATTTATTGTGTGTGTTTATCTACTGGGATGCTTCTTGTTTTTTTTTCCATCAGAAAAATAACCATAACCAAAACATGATGTAGACTATGGATATGTTGATAAGATAAAAATCACTACTAAGGTCTAAGACTCTCATCAATACTATTAGGTTGGTGTAAAAGTAATTGTTAAAAATAAAAGTAATGGCAAAAAATGCAATTACTTTTGCACCAACCTAATAGAAGATACCATCTTTTTAAATTTCCCCTAACAACAAGAAATACAAACAAATTTTTTTGTGGAAGGTTACCTCCAGAAGAGCTGAGCCACAGGTTTATTGCTTTGTATAAAAAGTCACAGGAAGAGAATATTTCGTAGAGAGCTCTCAGGATGATACTTAGGTCAGGGACTTGCACATTATAGACTTTAGGATTTCTGTCTGGAACCAGTTCCTCTATCTAGCAATGAAAATAGTTGGAGTAGACCCAGCATAAACAATAATACAAGGTTTGACATATTGCCTCCTAGATTATACATAGAATATATAATCAAATATTTTTCCAAACTAACACTATTGCAGTCTAATTAATGAAAATGTGCCTGAAAACAGATATTTCCTTTTTCTATTCTTATTCCTTACTTTCCTCATGTTTTCTCATCAGTAAGATCCCAAAGAGCTACTTGTTTGTCATCTTTCATGAAAACCTGCCTAATCGTCATTTCCTATTACTTCCTTATGATTCCAAAATATACGAATCTGAAATTTTTCTGGGATTCCACTTATTTTTATATTTAGAAATTTGCCTCTCCATATTTTTAAAAGGTGTAGTAATGTTCACATAGTTCTATTATATTTAGTGTCATTATTTCCATTTCTAACCAACATAATAGTCTATACTTTCCCTTTTATTTACTATTATATAGTTTCCTTCCAAAGCCCTACCTCCTAGGGCACACTACTTTTTGATAGCTACATTTACAATTTGTCTAAAAGATAATTTCCTTTTCCCTCAGGTTAGGACAATATAAAGATTTTAAGACAGATGAATAACATGACTTACAATAGTTTCCTGAACTAACATTCCATCCTTACTCATTTTACAAACCTATTTGTAAAAGAAAAAGTAAAGATTGAATATCACTTTGGAGAAAGTATTTTCTTCCATGTTGCCTCTCTCTTCTGCTTTCCTACTATCTGTTTATCACCTACAACAGCCTCATTCTTACTTTGCTCTAAAGTTTTAGACATTGGGAAGCAAATAACTCACATCAAGTCAAATGAGGTAGACACATTCATGATAAACCGGAAAAGAAAGCACCAGTCTAGCACTCCACTTATATACTCATTCCTTCTTAATAAAATATCTTTAAGAAAACCACCATTTCTCCAGTAACCTGCATAAATGCAACCTTTACTCGCCTCCCTGAACCAATTTCATTTTAAAGTGATGATATATCAAAACGATTTTTCATGTAATGAAACCACCATGAGGTAAACAGCATTTGAAAAACTATGACACTAAGTCCTTTCTCTACTTTTTCTATCAAAACACAAATAAAAACACATAAAATTGTAGATTAGAGAGTATAATGGAACAACCCACTGGTTTTCATTCACTCTAAGATTTCACCGATCATCAGATACACTGATTTCAGACGTGCTAAAATGTGAAAAAAATGACAAATTCCTTTGAAAGCCATCATCAATTTTAAGATTCATCCTGATTTCAGAAATGGCAAAAAGGGGAAAAAGTTAAGAACATCTTAGAATTTCTTTTGAGTAGTCAGAGTTGGTCTCTCGGGAAATGGCATATTATTTTCACATCTTAGGTATATTAGTTCATTCAATGGTCCTCTTGTCTCCTCTAATGCTACATGAGATTGCCTTTTCTGGGCCCCTTAATTGGAATTTTATGCCTTTCGTTTCCTTTTTTCAACAGTGTGCCAACTAGTAACAGGTAGAACAACCAAACTGCCATCCTGGCCATCTTTATTACACAGGCACATTCCTAAACATTTGTCATATCTTTAGTACCTCCACACTGAACTTTCCCACAGTCTTCTTCCATGTGGTTGTTCTTAATTCTACAGCCAATGAGATTACTTAATGCATTCAAAATAATCTCTAAATTCTATATAGTTCGAAGTAGTTTTAGTAAAATGGGAGTGAGACTAACATAGATACAACACATTAGATTTCAAAGCGTAGAACTCATAAAAATAAAAATAACTTACTTTTTTTTTCTTTTTTGAGACAGAGTCTCACTCTGTCACCCAGGCTGGAGTGCAGTGGCGTGATCTTGGCTCACCGCAACCTCCTCCTCCCGGGTTCAAACCATTCTCCTGTGTCAGCCTCCTGAGTAGCTGGGACTACAGGCGCGAATCACCACGCCAAGGTAATTTTTGTATTTTTAGTAGAGACCGGGGTTCCTCCATGTTGGTCAGGCTAGTCTTGAACTCCTGACCTCAGGTGATCAACCCATCTTGGCCCCCCAAAGTGCTGGGATTACAGGCATAAGCCATCACGCCCAGCAAAAAATAACATACTTTTAAAAAGGAGGATATCAGGAAATCTCTTTCTGGTATCCATAAGGTTGTAGAATATACTAGTTTGTGGCTTTTTACAAAGGTATGGTTTCATGAAGTTTTCACAAGGTTAATTGCACTATGCCACAGGAGATATTTCTTATTTCATTGCATAAATTGAGATTAAGATAGTGTATTAGATTTATTAAAAACTGCTCTGGGCCGGGCGCGGTGGCTCATGCCTGTAATCCCAGCACTTTGGGAGGTCGAGGCGGGCGGATCACAAGGTCAGGAGATGGAGACCATCCTGGCTAACAAGGTGTGAAACTCCGCCTCTACTAAAAAAATATAAAAATTTAGCTGGGCTTGGTGGCGGGCGCCTGTAGTCCCAGATACTGGGGAGGCTGAGGCAGGAGAATGGCGTGAACCCGGGAGGCGGAGTTTGCAGTGAGCCCAGACTGCGCCGCTGCACTCCAGCCTGGGCGACAGAGCGAGACTCTGTCTCAAAAATAAATAAATAAATAAATAAATAACTGCTCTGCTAATATGGTTAAAATTGCACAATAGAGTTATACCTAATTATTTTATATTTTGGTGTTATCGAAAATGGCCCCTTGGAATTTACATTTTCTAATATCCACTGCCAGTATAAAGAAATACTAGCTTCACCTCGCTCATTCTGCTGGATAGGCATAAAATCATCAATATAATAGGCCAATGTTATCACATGTCAGATGAATTTATGATCTAGATTCCTTCTAATTATAGTATGACATACTTGAAAGAATTAGTATAACCTGGGACAAAATTATATATGAATATTTAGGACAGTTCAAGTGAATGTAAACTCTATCTGATTTATTGATAAGAATAGAAAACAATTAGTTAATCAAACCCATAGCTATACAACTCGTACCTGAAGCCTTATCCTCTAGCATTGATACTACATACAGCGCAGCAATCATGGCTACTAATTGTTAAGCTTTAGGTAGTATACATTCTCTCTCTATTTTTTTAAAGGACCATATTGGCATTTTAAATAGACTGATGAAAGGAACCACCATCAACCTTACTTTCTTCTGTCTGAACATTAAGGATGACTCCCATTTTCTGTCTGTTAATTTGGGTCTGACTGATGCCATGCTCTGTTAGCAATACTACTTAGGTGGGTGAAACCTTTGGTTGGTTCTAGGTTTTTCCCAGTTGTCTCTATCATTGTGGTCTGCTGCTTCTATCAGATAAATACCACTACCTGGCCTCTGTTATTTTGAGACCTCACCATTTCCAGGGCTATTAACAAGCTTAACTCTACGACTGCTACCTCTGCCATAATCCCTGACCTGGAGAAAAGAGCCACAGCTGAGCTTTTTAGGGACGTTGGGGCCCCATTCACCATTATATTTCTAATAGACTCCTTGATATAAAGCAACTTCAAATACAATTTCAGATGTCTTCTACTGACTCCTGATAGTGCATACTAGCTACTATCTTTTCAGCTCTTTCAAGGTGAAATTTATCTCCTTTCTCAGGTCCCAGCCAGACTATGCTTGGAATTAACCCTGCTTTTCAGATTGGTGTCTGAGAGAGGAAGCAATTGTTTCCTTGAAAGATGGTGATCTCTGAAGTATCTTCTCTCATGATAAAAGTTCTAGTTCCTAATAGGGAGGATGGCTCAGGAGGCATCTGCAGAAGCAAGATCTTTGTGGAATCTAGCTAGATGTCTCCATCTCATGTCTCAGTGTCCCAGATCTTCCCAACAGAAACCTTGATCTTCCCATAATAAAGCTGCCTTGGCTGGGCATGTAAGCTTCTCTAGAACAGACACTTAAGTAGTCAGACTGTTCCTCAGTTTGTTTGCTCTCCTATTGAAAAATATAAGGATGTTTTTATAATCTACAAAAAAATAAAAAGGCCTCTAGGTCTTGTATTTAGCCTTGAACTATTTATTAAATAATTTACACCTGTTTATTGCCTTAAATTTCATGTTATCACTTGTTACCACTCTCCAGGGTGTCAATACTACTTAGTAATGATGAGCCAGCTTGGCTGATCTCATAGGCATTGTTAATCCCATATGACTCTCAGGTGTGAATCATTCCACTTGTAATCAGGGTGTTTTGCTGGATCACCTCTGGTGAAATCTTCAGCACTCAGGCTTTCACTTTGAGCCAGGGAGAATTTGTGTCTTACACTCTACTCAGGATGCATTCTTCCTTGCAGTACAGTGCAGTCAGAGCTGGCAGTCGGTGATCTAGACCCTGAGCACTATTTAACTAATTGTCTTTATTGACCTCTCCTGGGTACAATTATGATCAATTCTGGTCATTTGAGAAACAGACAACCTGATGGAATATGACGTGCAGGGGAACTGTTGTGGGGAAATACTTGTGAAGAATGAAGGGAGGAGAAGCAAAGAGAGTCTTCAGACTGTGATACAGATGCCACACCAATGAGAGGAGAATGGAAAGAAAAGAGATTATGTGAAACATTTCAGACAGTAGTATGGGACAGAAATGTTGGCCAAGCTCATAGTGAGTCCCGGTGTCAATGTGGTTCACTGATAGAGTTCCACATAAGATAGCAAAAGCCTGGGTCTAGTACTGTGTCCGGAATTGGTGGTTTCTTGGTCTCACTGACTTCAAGAATGAAGCCGCGGACCCTCGCAGTGAGTGTTACAGTTCTGAAAGGCGGTGTGTCCAGAGTTGGTTCCTTCTGGTGGGGTTCGTGGTCTCGCTGGCTTCAGGAGTGAAGCTGCAGACCTTCACAGTGAGTGTTACAGCTCATAAAGGCAGTGTGAACCCAAAGAGTGAGCAGTAGCAAGATTTATTGCAAAGAGTGAAAGAACAAAGCTTCCACAGTGTGGAAGTTGACCCCAGCGAGTTGCCACTGGTGGCTCGGGGCAGCCTGCTTTTATTCTCTTATCTGGCCCACCCACATCCTGCTAATTCGTCCATTTTACAGAGAGCTGAGTGGTCTGTTTTGACAGGGCGCTGATTGGGCGTTTACAATCCCTGAGCTAGACACAAAGGTTCTCCAACTCCCCACTAGATTAGCTAGACACAGAGTGTGGACACAAAGGTTCTCCAAGTCCCCACCAGAGTAGCTAGATACAGAGTGTCCATTGGTGCATTCACAAACTCTGAGCTAGACACAGGGTGCTGATTGGTGTATTTACAGTCCTTTAGCTAGACATAAAGGTTCTCCAAGTCCCCACCAGACTCAGGAGCCCAGCTAGCTTTACCCAGTGGATCCCGCACAGGGGCTGCAGGTGGAGCTGCCTGCCAGTCCCGCGCCATGCGCCCGCACTCCTCAGCCCTTGGGTGGTCGATGGGACTGGGCGCCCTGGAGCAGGGGGCGGTGCTCGTCGGGGAGTCTCGGGCCGCACAGGAGCCCAGGGAGGGGCGGGGAGTCTCAGGCATGGCAGGCTGCCTGTCCCGAGCCCTGCCCCGCGGGAAGGCAGCTAAAGCCCGGCAAGAGATTGAGCACAGCAACGCTGGCCCAGGTGCTAAGCCCCTCACTGCCTGGCGGGCGGTGCCGGCCAGCCGCTCCCAGTGCGGGGCCCGCCCAGCTCACGCCCACCGGAACTCGCGCCGGCCCGCAAGCACCGCGCGCAGCCCCGGTTTCCGCTCGCGCCTCTCCCTCCACACCTGCCCACAAGCTGAGGGAGCCGGCTCCGGCCTTGGCCAGCCCGGAAAGGGGCTCCCACAGTGCAGCGGCAGGCTGAAGGGTTCCTCAAGTGCCGCCAAAGTGGGAGCCCAGGCAGAGGAGGCGCCAAGAGCGAGCGAGGGCTGTGAGGACTGCCAGCACGCTGTCACCTCTCAGTACCACCAATATCATGATTATTGAATGAGGTAAGCTCAGGGAGGTATGGTGTTATTGGGAATGCCGTGGTGGGTATAAAGCTGTGCCAGGTAGGGCTAGTAACTCATTGGCACACTCTGTGGCATTATCTCTTTCAAACTGGATATGAGCAACATTCTAGGGCTATATGTCCAAAGATACTGGGAGTGAATGGTCCACCTGTATGTAGGCAACATCAGTCAGTTATTACTATCTCTATGTATAAATAATTCTAAACAATATCAAAAATAATCACATTTCTGCCTCACTAGCCTCTCCCAATGGTATGCTACTATTGTGTAGAATTTTTTTTTATTTCCACATATTTTTAATTAACTACATGCTCTGAACCACTGGGACACAGAAATTAGGAGACAAAACCCCAGCTGTATTTGGTTGCACTTCCTGAGAAAATGACCCGAACGTGTCACAAAGAAGTTGCTAATACAAAATTCTGCACAACAAAAGCATTTCAATTCCTCATGATATTTATTATAATAGGAATTTCCCTGAATTAGAACATATTCTCAGAATGTTTTCTCTCTAGTAAATGTTAAATACATATTTATAGCTTTAAAAGTTTTATTTTTTCTCTAAATGCATCCCTTTATAATTTTTTGAGTACTAGGTGTCTGCAGTATCTTCAAAAGGCACATTTGAAAATATTTTGCATTGAACAGTAGAAAACATAAATCGACATATTATACGTATTTATTAGACATGGATTTAAAAATATGAAGTGCAAAGAACAGAAAATTCATCTGAGGACACAAATAAATAACTTGACCTACAAAGAAAATTTGTATATTATTTACCTAATGCATAATTTTTTACAGATTGATGCATTTAAGAAATAGTTTAATACATACTAAGCATTTAAATTGGATATAAATCTGCTACATTAAAAGAAAAACCTCTAGCCATTCTGTGATGTTTTTAAGATAATCAGACATTTTAGAGTACCATAATAACTAGAAACAAAGTTATTATTTTAACAAAGCAAGATATGCAAATATTTCTCTAAATAGCTACCACAAAGCCATATTCTACTTTGGTAAAAGAGAATAATATTATTAGTAGGAAAATTAATATCATTCTACCTATTAATTTACACAGTCATTAATGTTAAAATACTGGGAAATTATAAGAAAGATAATTCAAAATTATATCACAGGGTAGAAAGCATAAGTAAATATGTTATAGCTAAATGAACAAATACTTTATACATACAGTGAACATTTTTGCTTGTGTTAACTGCTTACTTATTCTCATAACTTAAATGAAAATATAGACATAAACTCTTTCCCTGATACCACTTATTTATAATTATTTCCTTAGAAACTAGTGGTGTTTATTTAAATTTTATCATAGGAACTAAAGTTCCCTTTTATCTGAGGTTGTTACATAAACAGAAGGTTATTATAAAATTTCAAATTCTGCCAACAAAAATAAATAAATGAATAATCAAATGAAAATAAATAGAATAATCTTGTGGTTTAAAAGCAGGTTTTCATACTTGATTTTAAACCAAAGAAAATACGCTTTTAAAATAGAAACATGAAGAAACCGTATACCAAAACAATTAACAGCAACTATAATGGATTTTTCTATGGATTGTTGAAAAGCTCTGTCTCATAGTCTCCTGTTCATCACTTACGATTCATTTGAATTTGGAATCAACTGCAGAGTTCAGATAATATATATTTTACTGGAAACAACATCCTTCTCTCTTTTGATCATTTCCAAATATATATTAAATTGATTATTTTATTTGAAAAAGAATGAGTACTAGTGTAATGCCTTGGGTCCTTCTTCATTCAAGCTCTGATCAGCTGCCCAATATACTTGGCATGTTGCTTTAAGGGTTTCATTCTTAGAAGACCTTGATTTAGCTCATTTTATGTCTTCGAAGTAGAATTTTAAATTTATTTCTTATAATAATGATTTCTCACAATGATGTTGGATAATTGAATTATAGTTGAGAATTGATTTTGGATGAAAAAATCAATCAAAGCACATTAAATTTTAATTGAATGGGGGAAAAGGGAGAAGCAACAGAAATGACAAACCACAAAGAAGCTTAAAACAAAATATTCAATACAACAAATTCAAATCTTGTTTGATAAGCAATGTAAATATAGCCTACACTATTGTTATTTTATCCTTCTCTAACACAGAGGTACTTTAGGGATGATATAAAGTAAATAATGTATAACCTCTAGATGACTAGTGGTCTCAAGGGTTAATTTCAAATGGAACATAAGCTATTGGATACGTTATATATTTCTGGATAGTTCATAAATATGCTTAACTGATTTTTATTTTGATTCAAAGGCAATAAGTCTTTGAAGAATCACTGGTTTAGTGTCTAAGATCACTTTTCTTCTGCTGGAGCATGAGAGTTATTCTATTTAAACTATCTTTCAATCACTTTCATCTGTCTTTTGACTGTGTTTTGGCCAGTGGCAAATGTTCTTGATAGCTACTCAGAGAATTAGCCAACAAAGGGGACTTGAGTACTTTCCAGTGAGCAATTTCCATCAGAAACCATTACTTGTAACCTTCAACCTCACCAACTTCAACTTTCCTCCCAGAATTCTATTTTTCTTAACATTAGAGTAGTTTACATTTTAATTATGATGCCAGATGATAATATTTCTAGAATTTAGTGTGGATAAAATTTTGAGTAGGATGTGTTCATGGTTGTGTGCATGCATGTGTATATATAAATTTTGACAACCTAAAATGTAAGATATTGCTACAATGAAAATGTGAATATTTATTTATTAAAATAAATTGATATTTGTAATCAAACACTTACTAGGCTAAACCAAAAACATATTGAGCATGCTTTCTTTTTTTTTTTTTTTTTTTTTTTTTGAGACAGAGTTTTGCCCTGTTGCCCAGGCTGGAGTGCAGTGGCACAATCTCTGCTCACTGCAATCTGCCTCCCAGTTCAAGCAATTCTCTTGCCTCAGCCTCCCAAATAGCTAGGATTACGGGCACATACCACCACGCAGGCTTATTTTTGTATTATTCGTAATGATGGGGTTTCACCATGTAGGCCAGTCTGGTCTCAAACTGATCCGCCCACCTCAAGTGATCCTCCCACCTCAGTGGGCTCAAGTGATCTGCCCACCTCAGCCTCTCACAAAGTGTTGGGATTACAGGTGTGAGCCACCAAGCCTGGCCGAGAATGCTCTTTCAATAAAATTTCATAAGGGCTTGTCTAAGGATAAGAGTATGATTTTTTCTAGTAGTGTGATCATTTGAATGACTAATTCCTCTTAATCTTAAAATTGTAATTTTAAAATTGTAATTAATATAAATATGTAATATTGGAGTAGTAATACAAGTTTGAGAGAATCTTAAAGAAATTTTGCACATCGAAATATAAAATAACTACTATATCATGGAAATACTGGGTGTCATAAAATGATTTAAAGCTAGTAACAATGATTACACTACTGCATTCACATAATTTTTAACTTTAGAGATTAAGAAAAAGGACTCTGAAGTCACATACACATTAATATAGATACTGGTTCTCTTTGAAGACATGCGGTCAATTACCCAACTTGAGTAAATTACTACCTTTGTGTAACCTAAACATTTCCAAAATTTCTAGGCCTTTGGGATTATTCTTTCCTTTAAGATCCAAGTAAAACTTTAAACCTAAATCCCATGTTACCTTTGGAAATGCAACCTACTTCACAGGATTTCTTCTGAGTCTTGTGGATGGGTAAATGAAGGGGTATTTGTGCTCTCCTTGTGGTTTTCTGTCTCTCCTTGTTTGCTGATAAATAGATGTAGCCTGTACTTTAAAATGTGAGCACTTGGGAGCAGGAATCACATTATGGCAGAGGAGGAGCTTGCTAAAAATGTTCATCTAAAATAATTTTAAGTGTATAAAAATTTGAAAGGTTTCAATTTCAGGGCTCTGGAAATCAATGAAAGATTCCAGCAAAATAAGAAGAATTTATTCATAGAAACAGTTAAACCTTGGGTAAGAACAGCGGAGGTCCGTGAATTTATGGCCGAGGGCTGCCGCTGTTCTCTCCCAACAGTTCAGTCCACACAGTAGTTTTACCAGGGCAAGACAAGCTGTGAAAACCAGACGCTTGCTGACTGAATGGGCTAATGTGATTTCAGATGGAGCTGAAACAACTCCACGCCCTGATGCATTTTCAGTGACAGTGGTAGTTTTAGTGGAAAATGAATGGAGAAGGCCAGGTACTCAGTTGCTAGTCAGGATGGTAAAAGACTAGTAGAACAGGCAGAAATATAACACAGATCTGGACAATGAAACAGGTATGGGGTCATGGAGAAACTCCTGCAAATATCTATCTGACTAAAAGGCTACATGTATGTACTAAACTTAACTGAAATATTAGAATTAACAATAATAACGGAGCTAATATTTAGAGCTAAAGTTAATGAAATAGAACACGTTTACAATGAGTTTCAATAAATGTTATTTGCAAAGAATATTAATATTTATAAACCTAAGTGAGAACAATTAAAAAGAAAAACCCCACCAATATGATTAAAGAGAAAAAATAAACACATTACAGATCATATTGAAAAAGATAAAAAGAACAGTATAAATTTTATGTTAACAAATTTAAACATCTAAGTGAAATTGCAAAATTATTTTAAAAACACTACTTAGGAAAACGGATATAAAAAGAAATAGAAAAGCCTAAAAGTTCTATGTCAATTTTAGAAATTAAATTTTTAAATAAAAACCTTTCAAGCAACGAACTCCAGGCCTGGGTAGCTTTAACATTTAATTTTACAAATACATAACGATAGGGATATAAACCAAATTGGATTGAGTCCCAAAATACAGTGTTCTGAAGACACGTTTGCATTAGTCCATTCTCCCACAGCAATGAAGACATACCTGAGATTGGGTAATTTATAAAAGAAAGAGGTTTAATTTACTCACAGTTATGCATGGCTAATGAAGCCTCAGGAAACCTACAATCATGACCAGAAGGCAAATGAGAAGTAAAGACCTTCACATGGTGGCAGGAAAGAGAAGTGCAAACGGGAAATGCCAGATGCTTATAAAGCCATCAGATCTTGTGAGAACTCACTCAATATCATGTGAACAGCATGAGGAAAACTACCCTGCCATGATCCAGTCACCTCCTACCAGGTCTCTTCCTCAACACCTGGGGATAAAAATTCAATATGAGATTTGGGTGGGGACACAAAATTTAACCATATCAACGTTTTCATTATGTTACAATATACAACCAAACTTTATCATTTTTAGAATTGATTGAGTTTGTCATCTGTCATTTTATATAATGCAAAGATTTTCTACTCTAGGAAAGAGAAAGAGTATTTTTTTAATCTCTTGCAGGTAGCTGTTTGAGTTTCTTTGCAGGCATAATTATTTTTGATATCTATATCATATATATGCATACTACTAGACAAAAAATTATACAACTTTTGCCAATTTTTATCAGTCCATATTTCAATATATTAGGGTATTATATTCGGACTTTCCAAATTATTTTTCTACCCTTATACCATGAACAATGCTCTCATCTACTTTACTGGTGATGGCCAGGTACCTAGATGCAATGGTCAAGGTGGAGTCTTTGTCTTCTTTGTCCTATCAGAAGCATTTGACATATTTGATCATTCCTTCTTTTTTCTTTGATATGTTTGCTATACATGGCCTCATAGCCTAATTTTAATTCTACCTCACCAAAAGTTTATTCTCTGGTTGTGCTTCAAGTCCTATTTCTTCTCGTTAATTTTTTAATGTAGGAGCAGCTTTAGGGCTTCAGTCTTGGTACATTTTATTCTCTATCTTTATTCTTTGCTTTTGTAATTTCTTCAAGACTTCTGGCTTTAAATAACATCTATAGGCCAATGACTCCCAAACAGGCTCTCCTCTAACATTTAGTATGCTACAAAACTACATGTGAAGGTTCAAATATCAATTGCCTATTTTAAATTATACCATTACAAAATTAAGATATTAAACTTTTTTCCAACTTTAAGATAATAAATTCTTAAATAAAACTTGTTGTAATGGCATAGTGTGGCATATTTAACTACAGAAAACATGAATGGCCAAATTTGAGTTTAAACATCTTGGAATGATTTATAATAGCAATATGAGAATTTGGGGCATAGCCCCTAGCCTGTGACACACCACCATATCGCTCCACTACTGGTTTCTTCCCATGCTAAAAAAGGCTTCACATACATGTGTCTGAATACACCTCAGTGGAACTCTAAACTCCATCTATCACCCTGAAAACAGTTATCACTTGGATGTTCTCTGAAGTTTAGACTCAGGAAAAGACCCACACACGCCTTGTAAGAATGCCTGGGACATTTAAGCAGAATATTCTGGCATGCTAAAAAAGTGAAGCAAGGTTTAAAAAGAGCTTTAGGGATTCCAGGTGACCATGAACCCTTGACTGCACAAAATATATGCAATAAGGGAAATTGAATAGTCAGAGGAGCAAGACATGTCGCCCTCTAAGTCTTGAAGTTCAGGACAAAAGTCACTTTTGTAGTATCTAAGAAGATCATTGCCTCAAAATGAGATTTTCCTGGCTTGATTGCCTTGCATATGTACTTGAGTGCCCAACAGTCACCTCAAACTGAAAACTCTCCAAAGCATCTCACAACTTCTAGGATAATAAAAATCAAGTTCCCAAAAATGACCTTCAAAATTCCAAATAACCGCAGCTCCTATGATATCTCTGAATTGTATTGTTCTCTCTCCTTCTCCCAGTCATTCTATGTATACAATCCTTCTACATATTCCAAATGCACCAGGAATATTCTTGCCATAGTGTTCTTGCTCTACCTTGTTCCTTTGCCTCAATGTCACGCATTCAATATTAAAGAAAAAATGTATATGACACAAAAAAGCAAGAAAACATAACCAATTTTCCTGAAATAAAGCAACTAACAAAATCCAATTCAGAAATGGCCCAGGTTAGTGTTAGAGTTATCACATAGGGGGTTTAAATTTACTATGGTCAGTATGTTAGGAAACATGTGGGCAATATGCATGAACAGGTGAGATATTTCAGCAGAAATACAATTTAAAAAATCAAATTGATAGAAATTAAAAACACATGATATTATGATACTGAATATGATAAATTGTTTCTTTGGATGTAATAGAAAATTTAAACATCTGAAAAAGATAATAGGAAAATCAGAAGACAGGTACATAAAAATTATTCAAGCCAAAATGAAACATGAAAAGAAATTGAACAAAGTTGATTTATGGCATACAAGAGCTATTGGATGATACCTAATGATAAAGCATGCATATAGCTGAAAGTTGAAGAAGAGACAGAAAAAAATGGGCAAAAATTTTATTTGAGTAAAAACAAAATAGATAATAATCTAAAATTATTGAAAGACAAAATATACATACTCAAAAAGCTCTGCGATTTCTAAGCATAATAAAACACACACTCACAGACATCATAGTCAAAATTAAATTTAAAACTCTGAGCTATTTCTTTTAGTTTCTCATTTGACACCAGACTAACACAATTTAGTTATTGTTTGTTTCAGAATGTGTTTATTGGTCAAGAAAGGTAAAATAAACAGGCATGTTAAAATTACATCGTTATATTGAATTATATGCTAGGTAAATGATAAATGTAGATTACCAGAGTAATATTTGTATAGTCACTTTTCTAATAAATTATTTTTCAATATTCATAATGCTAATGGAATCAAAATTCACAAGAAACACAAAGCTATGTCTAGAAAGATGAAAAAATTTGAACTAAATTGTGGCTCAGTTATTTGGTGAGAACTTTGGGATGTAATTTTGATAGCCTATTTTATAAATCACAATTACTTCCTGCCATACTATCAACTAAAGAAAGGAAAAATACATGCTAAAGTTACCATCAAAAATGAATCTTCATATTGAATGTATTTTAAAAGAATGTATGTCATTCATTTTTCTTTCAATATGTAGTAATTGGTAGGTGACATAACATTGACACTGAGTGCTTTCAAATTATCTACCATATTTAGATCTTCAATATTAACATGATGGGCAGTATAATATTAAATACTTTATCAAAACAAAATTAGACACCAAAGTATCAGTTTTCTAGATATGCCAATTTTAATCTTTTTAGAGTCTATTGATAATGGATGTTTAGCAATCTTGTCACAAAACGTGACATCCACAACTCCATTTTTTATATCTAGTAAAGACGTTAAGACAAGAAACACTTGTCAAAGATTAAATAATGAAGAAAATGAAATAATTAGGTCAATGTTTTAAGAATAGGCATTTTTCCCGCATTGTCTTCAATGAAACTATTATGTTTAAATATAGTTATTGACAATTAAATGTTAATAATTTAAAATTGCTTATTAAATTAGATTTCAATCAATGAAACTTAGAGTAATTTTATGTAAATATTGAATATTCGAGACAAATAACTCCCTGAATATAAAATGGATATGCTTGAAATCCTAATATTAATATTATTGATTTTAAAGGTGGTTTATTTTATAATACTGTTTTAAATGTCTGAAAGGAGAGCCAAATTTGTTTAGTGCCCAAGCCATATTTGATTTAGTTTTCATTTAACCTTTTGTAAAATACTGACATTTTAGAAAACCTTAGTAACTTATCAGTTACTCCTGAAACATACAAAAATAAATGTCTTTAAATAGAGTATCTCATTTACGAGTAAAGAGCAACTTAATTTTTTGAAAACTGTAGGTTAACTATGGTTAACTGTAATAGTCACAGACTTATTTTTAATTTGGATTTTATTTCTAAAGAGAATCTTATGGTAATGAAAGAAGGACATATAAAAAAACAACAGAAGTCTCTCATGTACGGGGCATACTGTCCAAAACCCTCAGTGGCTGCCTGAAATCCTAGATAGCCCCAAGTCCTATATGTATATAGTAGGACATATATATATATATATATATATATATATATACACACACACACACACACACACACACACACACACACACACACACACACACACTGTTTTTCCTATATATATATATAGATATATATCTGTAATAAATTTTAATTTAGAAATTAAGCACAGTAAGATTAAAACAATAATAATAAAAAGGAACAATTATAACAATATACTGTAATAAAAGGTATGTTAATGTGATCTCTCTCTCTCTCTTAAAATAACTTATTGTACAGAAATTGTTACACAATGTGGGCTTTGATCACTTGGCGATTGACAATCCAATGACCTCAACCAAGAAGTATTTAGCATGAGGATTTTATTACTTGTATCAAATAAGGAGGACACTGGGATAGTTCCCAAAGCAGTTTCTCCCTGAACAATGGTAAAAACAAGGCTTTTTTGGTCTGGTTAGCTGAGTCCTTGTATGTAGAGGTGGAGTAGAGGCAATGCAGCTGCAGTCACCCATCATTCTTCTTCATACATTATATAATATATAAATATAATATATGTAATATATTTACATAATGATATAACAAAATATGCATTTTATTTTTTTACATTATGATAAATATATATATAAAGCAGACTGCACCAATGAATACAATTTGAAGAGATTTGACAAAAGCATTACAAGGCTCCACTCAAAATATATAGAACACATTGTACTCCATCACCATGTAAATTTATTTTTGACTCTTTCAGTCAACTCCTCATGAGCAAGCCTTGTTTTATTTTTATTAGTCTAATTCAGTTCTGTTTAATATTCTTCTGCCTATAAATGGAATAGAATACTGTATTATTTTGTGACTGGCTTCTTTTCCTTAGAATATTATTTTGAGAATGATCTGTGTTGTTGCATGTACCAAAAGTTATTTATTTATTGTTTTGTTATATTTAATAGACATGTTACAATTGGTTTATTCATTCTACTCTTAGTAGATTTGAGATTGTTTCCAGATTTTAGCTATTATGAATAAAACTACATACAAGTGTTACTGTACAAGACTTTTGTTGGCAGACATTATCATACCTCTTAAGAATATAGGAATAGAATTGCTGGGTCATGGAGTAACTATATTTTCAAATATATGAGAAATGCCAAAGAGACATTTAAAATGTTTTTTAATCCAATCAGTATTGTACGAAATGTTCAGTCCTTCCTTATTCTTGCCAATATATGTGGTTATCTGTCTTTATAACTTTACATCAGAATGAATAATCTTGTTGTTTTAATTTGCATTTTCCTAATGGCTTCAGGCGCTGAGCACATTCTGTTTGCTTATTGATCAATTGTAAAAAACTCTTCTTGTGAAATGTCTTTTCAAATTTTTGGCCCATTTGTGTTGTCTTTTTTTTTTCTTGTTCTGACTTTCTAGGAATTTATCAATTACCTAAATTTGCTTGAAGTTGTTTAGCTTCTAAAGTTGAAAAGCTAGATACTTGATTTTAACCTTTCTTCTTTCCATTAGAAAAGCGTTTACAGTCATATATTTTTCTAATCACTGCTTCATGTCAACTCCACACATTTTGATGTATATATTTTTTAATTTTTCAGTGTGAAAAAATGTATTTTAAGATTTTCTTTGTGATCCATTCTTTGACACATGTATCATTTAGAAGTGTACTGTTTAAATTGAAAACATGTAGGGATTTTTACTGATATTTTGTTGTTTATGATTGCTAATGGTATTCCCTTTTATTCACATAAGATGAAATGTACAAATTTCAATGTTTGAAAAATTTTGAGATTTATATTAAGGGTTGGCATATGATCTATCCTACTAGGCATTTCATATGCCTTTAGTGTTTTGGGAGTGTACTATTACATAATGTCAATTATACCAAGTGTGCTAATTGACTTAATCTTCTATGTTTTTAGTTAATGATTTATCTAGTTATTTTATCAATTACTAACAGAGGAGTATTATATTATCCAACATGATTATGCTTTTGTATATATTTCTTATACAAATTTTGTCCATTTTTACTTCAAATATTTTTAAACTGTTACGGGATGTAAGTCTTCTTAATTAATTCAAATATTTTAAAACTCTGTTACAGGATGTAAGTCTTCTTAATTAATTCACCCTTCTGTATTGCAAGAAATTCCTCTCTGCCTATGGTATTACTCTGACTTGTAGTCTAGTTAGTGTAGTATAAATATCACCAAACCAGACTTCTTCTAATGTGGTCGCATGGTACAATTTTTTCTACTCTTTTTATTTTGTTGTATCTGTGTCTTTATATTCAAGTGCAATTCTTTACATACCTATTTTGTCCTCTTAACCTCCCATTGAATTGGAGAGTTTAAAGTAAATATAACTTTTGACATAACATATTGATTAATCTAATATTGAATTTTTTCTGTTTTTCTATCAGTTTTATTTTTCTATTCCTAATTTCTAGCCTTCTTTTTAATTAAATAATTTTTAAATGATTTTTAAAATTCTGTTTTACTCCCACTATTTGCATTTTAGCTACACCTGTAGATATATATTTTTGTAGTTGGCCTAAGGATGACAGTATATATCTATAACTTAACAAAGTTCAACATAAAATTAATGATGCATTATTTCATGTAAAATGTAAAAACCTTATAACACCATAAGTTTATTTACCACCCCATCCCTTGATCTGTTCTTACTAGGTATTCAACTTCTCATACATTGTAAATTCCAAAATAAAATGCTAAATTATTTATATCAACAATCATTGTATTTAAAAAGACAGAAGATGAAATATTTTATCTTTACTTACATATTTCCCATTTACAATGCTTTTAATTTCCATCTGAAGTTACTGCCTATTGACCTGAAGAACTCTCTTTAGTATTTCTGGTAGTATGGCTGCCTTTGCACAAATACAAATACACACACGCAAAAAAAAAAAAAAAAAAAAAAAAGTTTTTCATTTATATATACGTATATTTCACAAATATGCACATGTATGTATGTATATATGTGTATTGGTATGTATATAGGTATGTATACATATATAATTTTTTTCTTTCATTTATCTTAAAATATTTTTACTCCATTTTCTTTCTGTAGGATATTTTGAATGAATATATCATTTGGGATTGATAGTTTCTCTCCCCCTCTTCAACACTGAACGATCCATTGCCTTTTGGCCTATGTTGTTTTTGATGAGAAGACAGTCATTATTTGTATCATACTTTCTCAGTAGTTTCTTTGTTATAATTTCCTCTTCTGATCACAGAAGTTGTCTTAAGATCTTCGATGTTCAGCAGTTAGACTATGATAAGCCTTGGTGTGTGTTTTTTAAAAAATATGTTTATCCTGCTTGAGGTTCACTGAGTTTCTTGGTTGTGCAGTTTAATACTTTTCACTAAATTTAAAACATTTGTGGCTGTTAGTTTTTGCTTTAAACCTATTTTTAGAGCTATTTTAAGTTCACAGCAAAATTGTAAGGTATAAATTTCCCATACACCCCTTCACTTACAAAGGCATAAGCTCTTATATTATCAAAATTCTCCTCCAGAGTGGTAAATTTCCTAAAATTGATGAACCTACAGTGACACATCATAGTCACACAAAATTCATAGGTTACTTTAGGGTTTACTCTTGGTGTTTTACATTCTGGGGGCTTTCACAAATATATAATGACATGTGTTCATATTCATTCATCATAGTATTATACAGAGTATTTTCCACGCCCTAAAAATCCTCTGTGATCTACCTATTGATCTCTCCTTTCCCCCAACCTCTTCAAGTCACTGATCTTTTTACTGCATGCATAGTTTTGTCTTTTCAAGGATGTCATATAGTTGGAATCATACATTATATAGCCTTTTCAGATTGGCTTATATGTGTTTAAATTTCTTACATGTCTTTTCAGGCTTTCTAACACATTTCTTTTGGACACTGCATTCCATTGTCTGAGGTACCAGTCTGCTAATCAATTCACCTACTGAAGGACATCTTGGGCACATCCAAGTTTTGGCAATTATAAATCAAACTACTATAAATACTTATGTGCAGGATTTTGTGTGAACATAGTTAATTTTCAGCTCCTTTGGGTAAATACCAAAGGGTAAAATTGCTGAATCATATACTCATATAATCATGGTAAGAGTATATGTTAAATTTTGTAAGAAACTGCCAAACTGTTTTCCAAAGTGGATGTATCATTTGTTACTCTTACCACCAATGAATAAGAGTTCCCATTGCTCTGTATCCTCGTCAGCATTTGCTACTGTCAGTATTTGGGATTCAGGCCATTCTAATAGGTCTTTGGTGGTATCTTGTTTTAATTTTCATATTCTTCATGACATAAGATACGGAGAATTTTTTCACATGCTTATTTGACATCTATTTATCTTCTTTGATATGGGTTCCATTAATATCTTTGGCATATTAACTTTTTTTCTTGCTGAGATTTAAGTGTTCTTCATATATTTTGGTAGCAGTTTTCTCAAATGTGTCTTTTGAAAATATTTTCTCCCAGTCTGTGGCTTGTCTTCTCTTTCTCTTGACATTGCCTTTCCAAATCAGAAGTTTTTAATTTTAATTAAGTCTAGTTTATCAATTATTCTTTTCTTGTATCATGATTATTAAATTTTTAAATAATAATTATTCTATCCTATTCTCTTCTTCTGGAGCTCTATTAATACATATACGTTATATATGTTAGATAACTCAATATTGTCCCATGGGTTATTGAAACTTATTCTTTTTTTGCTTTTTGTTTATCTCTGTTCTTCATATCAATAAGGTTTATTGATCTGTCTTCAAGTTCAATGACCCATTCTTTTGCAAGCTCTAATCCACTATTAAACACATCCAGGGAATACCTTATTTCAAATTTTGTACTTTCCAGTTTTAGAATTTTCATTTATCTCATAGCTCAATTACTCTGCTGAAATTATCTATCTGTTAACTAATTATATTACCTTTTAAATTTATGTCATCAGTTTCATGATAGCGATTTTTAAATCCAGGCGTGATAATTTCAACTTCAGCATCTCTGTCGTGGTTAAGTCTGTGTTTCTATTGATGGCTTTTTCTTCTGATTATGAGCTACATTTCCTGATTCAAAAAATGCCTGGTAACAATTTGATTTCATGTTAAACATGGATGATACATTATAAATTGCCTAGATTCTGGATTTATCTCTTTAAATAATGTTGATTTGCTTTTTCTAGCACTCAGAAAAACTACTGATGATTTTCTTGGATCCCAGGATTACTTTTATTCTTTGTTTGAGTGAGTCCGTTTTAGTTTTGTCTCTACTTCTAAGACATGATCCTTACTCTAGGGTGTGGCCCTTATTTTTAAAGTATAAACCTTCTTCAGACTCAACTGAATGCTTGAAATACTTAGGAAGCTCTCTTACCCTGTCTGGCCTGAAATACAATGTGCCCTAGGATTGCATAACTAACATCTTCATTCAGCCTCTCAGCTATTTTCCTTTCCTGTAAGTCTTGTTGAGTCCTGTCCTGTGTGTATGCATAGCAAGCCTTATTCAGTGATACATAAGAAAATCCCACTGAAATTTCTGGACCTCACTTCTTTTACATGGCAGACACCTTTCTGTTTTCCTGCTCACTAAATTCTAGCTATTTCAATAGCTCTGATGTTCATCTCTGCCTTTACACACCTTGTGCACAAGAACGTCTGTGCTACATCCTTATATTGCAATTGAGAAACTAATTCCAGAATTAAATGTAGATAAACTGTAAGAGTGAATTCATGGATCCATGATCCGTATTCTCAAGGATCATGCTTAATTTAGGCCTGAAAATACTTCACCCAATTTTTGGTTTTATACTGGGAGGAACAGTCTGATACGCTTTATTGCAGCATGACAGATGTGAAAACAAAGGTATATAATTTTCGGTATTATCAAGTAATTTCTATTCTATTAATTAAGTCATTTAAATATATATAATACTTTTGTGTTAATTACATTGAATATTTTAATACTGCCGTCATGAATATGTATAACTATATTCTTGAATTTGTATAAAAGGATAATTAAAATGGACTACTTTGTTATATTAGGTCATAGAAATTTTGAAAAATATATAATTTCCTTAAGAGTGCTTCATGTCAAGCAATAGACCCTAATCAAATGCATATGATTATAGGATTATGGCTTCATGTATATTTGTGTAGTTTTACAATAAGAGTATTTTCTCAAAGGAGATCAGACTTCTATCATTAATTTTATTTATCTTGTCACTACTTTTAATTATCTGAGCTTTAGGTTAATTATCTGTAATTAGAAATAGTAAAATTTTTGCCCAAATATTCAGAAATTTGCTAAATAAATGAAACAGTATCTTTATTAAAACGTTTGAGTGCCTTGTTATTACCGAAGTAATGTTTCCTTTATAATTTGTATCCTTAAAATGCAAACATAACTTGGATGGGTGAAAAACATTTAATTCAGAAAAAAGATCATTCAACCTACTGATGTACCATTTTTATGAGTGAATTTATTTTATTTTTTGATTGGTAAATATAATGATAAAATATTTATTTGAGTATTTCAGAATGTGCCAAGAAATCAAATAATAATGCCAAAAATCCATTGATTTTTAAGGAAAATTTCCTAGCATTAAGTAATAATTTCCAGAGGTAGCCAAGTTTAACATAAGATATAAAAGCATAATATAATCAATATAATAATATATAGAAATAAAAATACATTTATATTTTTCAAAATATCTCATGTATTGAGATTTTATGTATTATGTAGTTTTTCTTTTCTAAGGTTTTGTTTTATATTTCAAAATATCAATTTCTTTGAAATGTACTTCCTTAGTATTTTAAAACACATAAAATACATTCATATTATGTTTGATTTGTTTTGAAAATGTATCTACTCATATAATCAGAAATAAAACAAAGAGATGGAGCATTTCTATCAAACTACAAAGTTCTTTTATGTTTTTTGCCAGTCAAATCCTCACTCCCAGCCCTAGGCAACAACTGCTTTCTTTTCAGTCACAATAAATTATTTTTTAATGTTCTAGTCTTTTTTGCTTGCTTTCTTTGCTTAGTATACTTTTTTTACAGTCTTCCATGTTTTTGTATACATAAGAAGTCATTGTTATATAGATGACTAATATTGCATTAAGTAAATAAGCCACAATTTATTCATTCAATTTACTCTTTTTTGTGTGTGATCTCATCCAAATTTATGGCTTAAAACAACATTTATAAATCCCCAAACTAGTTCCTCAAATCCAGATTTCTAGATCTCACTACCTATTTTGAAATCCTACTTGGGCATCTAACAGATATTTCAAACTTTGTGTTTTGAAAATTTGACTCATATCCCCCTTCCCTTTCTCCGTTCACAACTATCTCAGTTACTGTCAACTGTATTCTTGCTATTAACCAATTACAAATGTTGTCTTCATCCTTGACTCCCTCACACTATCCATCAGGAAGTTTGGCTCTACTGATAAAGGGTAGTCAGTTTCTCAACATTAATCATCATGTATGCATTACCTTCCTGCTCTTTGCTTCTTATCTCTTTCCCAGATTACTGTAATAGTCCCCAAATGAGTTGGTACATTCCTGTCTTAGCACCTCTCCTACTGAAATGTTCAACATAACACTTACAGTGATCCTTTAAAAACTAAGTCCACCCATGTCCTGCTAAAACCAAAATCTTCCAAAGGCTTTTCATTTCAATGTGAGTACAAGTCAAGTCCTCACAGTGGCCTACAAGGTCATATATGATCTGGAAGCTTACCACCATTCACCCCTGTCATTACTGTTTTGGTCTCACGTCTTTCATTTTCTCTTTATTCTAACCAAATTGACCTAAAAACTATTTCCAGAATATGTTACATGCACTCCCATCTAAGTTCTTTTATGCAATCTGGCCTCTGCCTGAAATGCTCTTCTTCCAGAGAGGTACATGACTACCTCTTTTGCTCAAATATTAACTTCTTAGTATGGTCTACTCTGACAAACAGCAACTCGCTTGAAGATCTCTCATTCCCTTTTGTAGTGCTCTAATTTTTCTCATTGCAATTATCATCCTCTAATATAGTGCAAACTTTATTATTAATGAATTTTATTATTGAACACTAGAATAAAAGCACCGTGAAGGCAAAACTCTTTGTCAGTTTGGATTCCTGATGTATTCTAGATGCTTATGTTAGTGTCTGGCACATAATAAATATTCAACAAATAAAATTTAAATTGATCAGAAGAATAAACGCATGAGTTGTTGATATACAGCTATTTAACAATGTTTATTACTCATCTAAATACATCTGAAAATTACATTTATATTTTTATTTTATATGATTTATGTTTTGCATTTAATAAATATTGTTTAGAAAAAATATTTAAGTTCTAATGACAATTATAGTTCCTATGGAAATCCTTTTTCAAGTGAAAAGATAAATTGATACAACTTAAAAATAGTTTAACAATAATAGTTAACGTGACTGAAATATGTATTATGTATTAGACTCTTTTTAAGCCCTTTAACAGATATTTATATTTAAGGAAACCTATTTTTAGTTCATACAATAACTGTATTTTTGTACATTAAACTTAACATTATATCGTTGAAGTACTTGAGCTTCAATTCTCTTAATATCAGGATTCAAACACACATCTGCCTAGTAATGAAGTTCATTGTTGTTTATAACTCATGAATTATAAAAGAATAAATGTGAAAGAACATAAGCAGTAAGCATGTCATATTTTGCATGTTTACTTAACTCACATACATGTTTACTTAAAATATTATCTGCTGTTTAAATAAATGTAAATGTTTCTAGTAAAGCATTAAGTTGTTTCTATGGTAGGTATTTTATACATGCAAAAATGTATTTGCTGTTTTTATTTTTGTGCATAATGTATACATCGTAATTTAGTAAAATTGGTTGTAATGACAATAAACTGACACACAATTCATAATAAGATTAATGATTTATAATAAAATATATACATTAATACTTGATCAGCCTTGTGGATAGCAGTAAATATACATTAGTTTGTGAGCATAGCATATGGTAAAATCTAGCCTACATTGCAGATACAATAACATGCTAGCTATTATAAATAATTCTCAATCACTCTTTCTGTAGTATTCTTTACTCAATCCACAGCTAAAATGCTAGTTTATCAAAACTTGAGTGACAGCAAGAAAGCAGTAGTCAATCAGGGACTATAACCTTCCTTTCAGGGAAAACTCTGCTATATCTTTTGAAACTTACCACAATTATTATTTCCTCTTTGAAATCTTTCTTGGAGACCCAAATAGTCATGCAATGAGATAACAATCCATGTTTTGCAAACCTAAAACACTTTTCACATTTATTTATTATAGAACTTACTGTATTATATTGTTTAAAACAAGTCTGCATGTCTTATATCCTCCCAGACAGAAACAAAACAGCAAATCAATTATTAATGTATGGCTACTCTTTTGCATCCTCAGGAGCAAGTGCAGAATCTTATGGAGAATTGTTGAAATAAAAAAATGTTTCAGAACAAATGACTAACTGTGAAAGAGGACTGGATATCACATTCATGCACAACACATTTTAAGAATTCTGTGTTTATTGGTGGTAAAAGGATAAAGTAAATTCTGCAAATTGGAAAATTTATAAGCCCTTATGTCATGAGCAAAAACAGAAACATCTGGCAACACCTAGGTTGGAGTCAAAGAAAGATAAGAATCAGGAATTTTTGGTGGATTTCAGCAAATGGAACATATTGTATTAGGTAAAACAATTGTCTCTTGGCTTTTAGTGTCTAATCTTATAATATGTGATATTTGAGAGATCATTTATCCAGCAAATTTAAAAAAATCATTCTAAACAATCTCCTAAATTGAAACCCAGTATTTATCACAATCCCATGATCCTACAAAGCTATTCCAGTTTAAAACAAATGAGAAAATTGGAACACAAGTTGCCTAATATCTAAAATCTCACTTTGTCTTGAAGGAAGCTTAGCATCCTAAGAAAGGAGATTAAAAATCACTGAACATCCAAAATCCTACTATTAAAGATTATATCTGTGAAATTAAGACACCAGTAATTTTACTGATTTATTCCAATTATAGTTATTTAGGGTAAGAGCTGATACATATAAAAATAACTTCAGATTCTAAGCTCTAGTCATTATTATTTGAGAATGAAATATGGGCCTTGTTCAAAAATAGAATGCTTCATATTCTAGCTTACTACATATTCATTCTATGGAATTAGAAATAGATTTAGCAATAGAAACTATTCAAATGAAAACATAGAAAAGATAATTAAAAACAATCATCAGAGCATCAGTGAGTTATAGGACATTTTAAAGAGGCTTGATATGGTGGTAAAAAAAAGGAAATGGGAGAAGTGTTACATAAAAATGTTTCAATAGATAATATCTAAACTTTTCAAATTTAATGACATTATAAACTCGGAGATCCAAGATGTCCAACTAACCCCTAAGATAAGAAATGTGAAGGAAACTAAACTAATCCAAGGCATATCATAACCAAATTGCTAAAGACCAGTGATAAAAAGAAAATCTTGAGAGCAGCCAGGTTTGGGTGGGTAAATAGGCAGTACATTTTACAAAGGAACAAAGAAAAAGAAGATGGCCGATTCCAGTCAGAAACAATGAACACAAGAAGATAGTGGAGCAACAAAACAAAACACAGCAACATAAAATGTATTCTTCATTAAAATTATCTTTCAAAAATGAGAAAAATGTAGATTTTTTTCAGACATACAAAAATCAAAACATAAGTTATTACCACCAAACACATACTACATGAAATGTTAAATGAAGTTCTTTAGACAGAAGAAAAATGATTCCAGATGGACATAAAACTCTATACAAAAGAATAAACAGCAGGGAAAATGAAGGTGATTATTACTGATATTGAACATAAATTATGAAGCAAACCTTGGAATAAATAAAGCAACTTCAGTTTTTCTCATCAAATGCAATTTTATAGAATTCAATAGTAAGTATAAAAGACAAAAATTCAATCTTGGGTTATAAACAATCGGCAAAGCCAAACAAAACTACTGGTGGCTATGTTGTGAGTGGTGTATTCACCAGAACAAAAAAGGCAGTGGACATTTTGCAGCACATAAATGTCGTCTACTTTTATCTATAAATAGATGCTATGTGTGTGTGTGTGTGTGTATGTGTGTGTGTGTAAAAACCTATCAAATTGTATGCTTAAAATACGTACTTTTAATGTATGTAAATTATAACTTTATAAAATAACTAAAAACTAAACATGAAGCATAAGCCCACATTATCAAAGTAAATCATTGCTCAACTGAGAAATGATAATCCAATTCAAAATATTTAAAAAATAACCTGTATAAGGAAATATATCTCCAATAAATTATGTTGGAGTGAGATTATGAAAAACCATATGTTGAATATGGAATGTTTCCTGTGGGCAGTGAGGGTACTTCCATGAATGACAAGCATTTAAAACATTCAAGGAACAATACAAAGTAAAAGGGATTATGTTATGACTAAATTTCAATTTAATCTATATTATTTTTACATGGCTTAATGCCATTATATGGTTTCTTTTTCTCTAAAACCAATAAAGGGAAATACCAAACATAGTAACTTCAAGAAAACCATTGTAAAAGTTAGTTTTGTCCATTTGTCAGCATGTTATATTAAAATTAATACTTTTATTCCACTGAGTTATTTGGAATCAATGGTATTTCTCAGTTTATCCAGATCATCACAAGGACTATCACCCTGCCTTGTGGGAAAATCTTATCATTCAGGCTAAGGTGAGAAAAGTGTCTGTATGAGACAAAAAAGATCACAATATTGTAGTAAGTTTCGAGATTACATATGTGCCATGCAAATAAAGGTAATATAGATACTAATTTATTGTGGGGACCAACTTTTCATGCAGGCCAATGGCTGCTTGCCTTTCTAACTAGTGTTGTACAAATGAGTTTCTCTATAATAATTTTAGTAGTAATATTGAAGGAGATTAACATTTTGGTCAATTTTCCTGACTACATTTCTAGAATTTTAAGTTTTAGAATTATATAACTTTCTAAGGATCATCACTTCAAAATCATGTACCACAAACAGAATAGGGTGGAATGCAAGAAATAAGGATACTGTCTCAGTTTTATTCCTAAATAGTTGCATGAAAAATTGAGTAAGCTAAATGAGCAAGTTCTCTATTGACTCATCTTAGAGCAAGAGCATCAAGCAGGGTAGCTTCTAAAACAGTGGTCACTAGCCTTTTTGGCATTAGGGACTGGTTTCATGCAAGACAATTTTTCCATGGACCCAGAGAGGGGGAGATGGTTTTGGGATGATTCAAGTACATTACTTTTATTGTGCACTTTATTTATATTATTATTACATTGTAATATGTAATAAAATAAGTATACAATTCACAATAATGTGGAATCAATGGGAGCTCTCAGCTTGTTTTCCTGTAATCAGACGGTCCTATCTAGGGGTGATGGTAGACAGTGACAGGTGATCAGGTATTAGATTCTCATAAGGAGCTCACAACCTAGATCCCTCTCATGTGCAGTTGACAATAGGGTTTGCCCTTGAATGAGAATCTAAGGCCACAGGAGGGGAGCTCAGGCAGTAGTGTGAGAGTGATGGGGAGGGCTATAAACACAAATGAAGGTTTGTTCCCTGGCTTGCGTTCACCTCCTGCTGTGTGGCCCAGTTCCTGTGTTCTAAGATAGTTGAGAAAACATGTACTCCAACTACATATTTGTTTTGTTTTGGATTTTTATATTCAAGGATAATTAATAGAATATCTGTTTGAAAAGAAAAAAGTTATTTTAAATCTTATTATAAATATTCTATTTTCATCACACTTTTTCTAGTGAAAGAACTTACTAAATTTAATATTGTAAAGGAAAACACAATGGAAGTTTAAAAAATTTCTAAATTACCTAATGTTCTAGTATATTATTGTTTATTTACTGAGAAAAAAATGTCAAATAAAATTGAGAACATATGAGAAGTTTTCAATGTAAAAGCCATTAAATTTTAGTAGGGTTCAGTCTTTTGACTGACAGATAAATTTGCAAAACTACAGTTAAATCTCACTATTTTATTTGTTTTTTGTTAGTTTTTTTTTGTTATTGTTTTTATTTTTGAGGCAGAATCTTAATGTGTTCCCCATGCCAGCCTCAAACCCCTAAACTCCCAGACTCAAGCAATCCTTTCACCTCAGCGTCCAGCAATCCTTTCACCTCAGCCTCCCGAGTAGCTGGATTGCAAGCATGTGCCACTTCATCCAGCTTTAATTTACTTTTTTGGAATGTGTGATCATAAAGCAATTTACTAAATATGGGTACTTTTTGTTCATATATATATATATAAATACATATATAAATACATACTATATATATGTATATGAGCTCATTTAACCTTATTTTAAAAATGTAACTTTCCCTCACTAGGAAAGCTATTGATGGAAATACAAATATATTTTCAGTAATGGGTTAGTGCTGCAAAAAATAAAGGGTAAAACAAAATAAAACAAACATAAAATTTAGGGTCAATAGACTTATTTAGAGAAATATAAATTCATGAACTCTCTGCAACCTCAAGCAGGGGCAGCAAAAATCTTTGTTTTACCTGAGGCATAGACAAAGATCAACCTTCCTAGCTTCGTTTTCAATTAGGTCATGGCCACATGACTGAGTTTTGGCCTTTTCACCTTTGCAAGGTGAAACAAAGAGTTTTGTGCAACTTCCTAGGACGTAAGATTTTCCATGAGTTATCCTCTCTCTTCTAATTTTGGCCACCTATTAATTCCAAAACTGATTCTGGATGCAAGTGTTGAACATCTACACCACATAACACTGTGTAAATTGAAACCTAGTTGGCAGTATTTCACTGTTAATCTGTTGTGTTTAGAATTACCTTAACACATGAGAAAATTATACTTTGAAACGTGGTGCTGCCAAACAATCACAGAATCATTAAATGCTTGGTATCAAATTAGTAGTCACATAGCAAAGGAACTGATATCAGAGAAGTTCCTACCTATGCAGTGCCAAAACATTTGAGAAAACTGTTTCCTGTGATATCCTGAAAGGCAGAAATGTGTCTATCGATCCTGTAGCTTTCTGAAAAGTGGCTGGAAAACAGATTGTTAGTTGTGGATGTGTGTTGTGATCAGATTGCTTACGATGTTATCAAATAAAAGAGATTACTTTAGGTAAGAAATGGTTGGTCTCCAGGAGAAATAAAAAGGAATATATCATGTCTTGTCCTTAATGAGTTAGGGAAACCCACTGTAGCAGCACAAAATAAATATGAAAAAGCACTATTAAGACCTAGCTTTTAGGAAAGATTAAATAAGGAATGAGTTCTTAAAAAGCAATCCTAATAGCTTCAAGGTATATTATTTAATCTGATACAAAAAGGCACTTCAATACATAAGCAAAAAAAATAAACTTGACAATTACCTTTTGTTAAGAACTCTGCTACTGGTGCAGAGAAATGATTAGAAGCACACAGATCATAGGCTTAAGAAGTCAGATTGCATTATTGCTTATGCTACATATTCCACATTCATGTAAGAAGATTATGCTTTCCAATTCATTACTCTGTAAATTTTAGTGCCCTGGTATTTTGTATACCTCCCTGCTTCAATACTATTGAGTTTACTTTGGCCAGTGGAATGTGAGTGGACATAACACATGTCATATGACAGCAAAAGCTTTAAAAGCCATTGTGCATTCCAGTCAACACTCTGGCCATTCTGCCATGAAAATGGCATGTCCCAGATACAGATTGCTCCAATAGGCTGGGCCCAGAATAAAAAAAAAAAAGAAAAAAAAGGTGAAGCCAATCTGAGGCTTATTTGTAAATTGGAGCCAGATCAGAGCTGCTGCTGACTGCTAGTCAAAATGTGACATGATCAAGAAATAAACCTTTGTTGATGTCAGATGTCAAAAGCCATTGAGTTTTTGAGGGTAATTTTGAATCACAGAAAAATTTTAAAAAAATGAGTAATGAACTTCTAACATAACTAGCTAAAAAAATCCTTTTTTTCCTTTTTGAGCACTAAAATGACAGTAAACTAATATGACAGTAAACAAGATGGGAAAGGACAGCAAGCTATCAGTCACCATCATCAGCTATGCCCAACAGTTCAATAAACAAAGAAGGATCTCCCAGAGTGCCATGTGAGTGAGTAGAGAGCAATGAATAAGAACTTTCTTTCAAGATCAAATCCAAAAATTACCTTTACTGCCAAAGCAGATGATTGTCAAAATGCCTGCCTGTGACAAATAGACCATTGTATGTATATTGGACAAAAACTTTTTTTTTTTTTTTAAATAGTCATTGACAAACTTTTTCTTATAGGGTTACTCAGTATTTTAGGCTTCTGGGCCATACAGCCTCTGTCACATCTGCTGAACTCTACTCAACTTTGGTACTGTAGCACCAAGGTAGACATACACAGTATGTAAACACATGTAGCTAGGTTTCAATAGATCATTACATTAAAAAATAGACAGCTGAACCACAGACCATTTTGAAGACTCCTGCTTTAAAACAGTGGCATGTGGGAGCTATGTAAGGAACTGATAAAAAGGAAATCATGTGGAAATACTGGTCAAACAGCAGACGCTGGCATATTCATTTATGTTGGGCAAGGAGGGTGGACTGCGTTTTTTCTTTTTTCTTTTTTTTTAGTGGGAAGAATGAACAGAATAAAATTTGGTAAAGATTGCCTACATATTTTAAATAGGGCATACAGGTAGACTTTCTTCCTTATTCTTTCTGCACTTTGATATGGCCTTGGAACTGTCTTTGGCTGTGGAATGTGGGCAACAGTGAAGTTCATTTTTTTCGAACCTTTTCCCATAAAGATATTTCTTGGATTTTTCTTATTTTTCTTCATCTTTTTGAAGATGTCGACCCCTATGTCAACATCAATAATGTGCCCATAGAAAGTGAAATTTAGTCATCCTATCTACATTTCTGAATGACAGTGTGGATTATTGATTGTGAAAGCCTATTTTTGAGTGTGATTTAAGTTTATTGGTTAATAAATTGTTTTTTACCTTAGATAATTTAAGACAATTTTTATTATATATGGCTTGTACTGAAATATCCTCCAAGTTATTTTAGTAGTACCAGGCATAAAGTATTTGAGGAGGACATTTTGTTTGGCAAATGTATTATTGAGATAATTTGGGCCATTCTCTAGGTAACAAAAGTGTGTTGTATAGGAAGAGAAAGGCAATTATGAAAAACTCAGAATCCTATTTTCCCCATATTCATGTTTGTTTTGAGCCAAGAGTGAGCCAAATACCTTTCAGAGTTTCCCTGTGTCTTTAATTTTGTATTTGCTTTTATTTATTTATTTACTTTTGTGGTAGGCACACTTAACGTGGGATCTATTCTCTTAACAAATTTTGAAGTACACTTATCATTAATGATAGGCACTATATTGTACAGCAGATCTACAGAGTATATTCATTCAGCATAACTGAAACTTTGACCATCATCTCCTCATCTCCCTCCAGCACCTTGCAACCACTATTATATTATTTACTTCCTCTGAGTTTGTCTGTTATAAGTACCTAATATAATTGGAATCATGCAGCTTTTGTCCTTCTGTGATTGGCTTATTTCACATATCATAACCCTCAAGTTTCATCCCTGATGATGAAAATGTCAGGATTTCCTTCTTTGTTAAGACTAGATAATATTCCACTGGGTATATATACCACATTTTCTTTATTCATTCATCTTTGTATGGATACTTGGTTTGTTTCCATATATTAGCTATTGTGAATAATGTTGCAATGAACAAGGGAGTGCAGATATCTCTTCAAGCAATTGATTTCAATTATTTTAAATATATATCCAGAAGGTAGAATGTAGGATCTTATGTTAGTTTTATTTTTATTTTTTTAGGAAACTTCATACTGTTTTTCAAAATGTCTGTACCAATTGACATTCCCATCAACACTATATAAAGGTCTCGATTTTCATAGACATCTGAAAAGTAGTAGATTTGCTATTTGTCTACATTTATAGAAACTATAAATTTCCTAAGGACAAAGGTTATTATAAGTAATTTTCTCCAGTTTTTATGTTCCCAGAAGTTAATATATACTGGTACATAATATTCATGCTTTAGCTAAATAGTAACTAAATTTAAAAAATAGCTGATAAAAAAATATATTGTCACCTAGAGAATTTTTTAAATTTTAAATTATATATTAATTATATAATGTTCTTATATAATGTTACACATATTTTTATTTAAAATGTTAAAAAATATATAATGTAAACAATAATGTATGGCATAATCAACTTTTATGAAAAGAAGAGTTTTCTAATTTATTTTGTTCAAGATAAATACTGTCATATGGATCTAGGATAATTTGTATAATGTTGCTGATATTTTGCAATCTGCAAAAAGAAGTTTCTATAGGGATGTGGTTTTTAAAAGGATATGTTTTTATTATATATTTATTACTCCTGTTGTGTTGATCTATTATAAAACTTGAATATCTTCTTTCATCTGTTTCATCTGTGAATACTGTTATTAGAAGTACTGATTATTCATTCTATAAAGAGTTATTGAAGAGTTTGGCTAATTAGAGGCTATTCTATTTATAATTTGATAATTCGTAATTAAGTTAGTATTTGAGGCAGCTTGGTGTCTGAAAGAGCAACAGGAAATCACTTTACTTGATATTTTTTATGTCAGCAAGGAAAAAATTCATGACTGTCCAATTTGCTTTTAATATATTTTTTAAATGGGAATTTATGATATGTGTTAATATCAGTGTCCCTGATATTGTAAACACAAAGCAAATCATGATGCAATCAGAAAGATCAGATGATCAAAAAATGTAAACTGAAGAAAAGAAATATTTAGTTAGTGTTGAATTGATTCAAATGTGCATGCAGCAATTTCCTAATCAAATAATTGAAATTGGAAGGAGAGTTAAACCAATTAATATATAATCAGTCAAATATTTATATTGTAATATTAATTTAAAATAGAAAAAATAACATAAAAAGCATGTCCTACTTTCATAACAACAAAACTCTATATATATATCTCATCACTGATACACACACACTTGTATTTGTGTACATATATATATACACACACATGCATTATACATACATAAGGCTTTATTAAATTATATTTTCTAGGATAATATTTAAATCATCTCAAAATATCCTTCCATTTTTCTCCTTCATTTTTTATATTTAATCTAAATTATACATTCTTGATTCAATAATATTCTATTAGTCCTCACCTTTTTATCACCTTTAACATTCTCACTTTCCTTCCCACTCTGTCGGTAACAAAGAATCCAATTTTCTAAGTCTTTTCTGGCTAATTTCCCCCTAGCTGTGTACTTTGTTGTTTTCTTTTATTACAATCATTTTCTAAATGATAACTTCCATGTCATTTATATCTTTTCTTAAAAGTTTACTCCAGATTAATTTTACTTTAGAAAGCCCTAGTGAGTTGAAAACATACTGTTTGCCAAATATGCCTTTTATTAATTGAAGCTATTTGTATTAGAATTGTATGAGAAAAAAATGAGTTTAACATATAGTCAGAGGAGTGAGGTGCAGAGAGGAAATTTCTGATTGAAAGTTTTTTTGACATTAAGGGAACTTGTGATATCTACTGCCCAGAAGGATTTTAAGAATTGAAGAGACTCATCTTTCTGATAGATTAGGTGCAATTTTGCCTGGAGGTAGGTGACAGAAGAGATAGCCTGTGTACTATGATATAAAATAAGGAATAATAGGTTTTGAGTACTTTATAACAGCAGTTCATCCCTTTTTTCTTTCCTGAAATTTTATAAGTTGTCTAGACTTTGGATATAGAATTGTGTCATCAAGCAACTTTTGAATTTAACTAAAATTTATACAGATCTGGCTTTATCAGGATTTGTGAAATATTACACGATTTGCTATAGGTGCTGAAAGTAATTTCCAACATTTAGGAAAAATGTAAGTTTTTTAAATATTGTATTTGGTATCTATAATTAAAGGTAAATGAAAATAACATTTTTACAGTTGAAAAAATCCAAGTGAAGAAAATATACTAAATCAGTCATTCATAAGAACAACTTCTAACTTGATAACTATTTGGGCATTAAAGTTATAGAAAGGCATTTTTTTCTCATTTTATTCCTCATTATAATTCTTATACATATTCTCATCATCTTAAATATGCAGGCCCCTTCATTATATTTCCTGCTATAATAAGCCACATAATCTTTAAGAGTCAAAGAATTAGTAATAAATTTTTAGGGAAAATAAGAAGCCAGGGTATAAAATTTCCAGGTTTTTATATCTAAAATAATGTGAAGCAATAACTGTTTAAAACTCAGGAATACATTCACCAGCAGCAGCTTAAGAAAGCATCAAACATAACTGAGATCATCAGTAATTTTATAAAAATGGCATCCAGGAAAAGTAAAAATATAACAGAAATTTCCACGAGGTAAAATGCCCCTACCCACCACCCCCCCAAAAAAAACAGAAAGTGAATATAAAATAAGCTACACAGTCCTAAGACTTCTTATTAATAATTTCCAGTTGGAAGACAATGGGCTTAGGAGGAAACATGTTTGCAACTGAATGAAAAACGTATGAAGAGAAAATAATAATACCTACTCCTTGAGCTCTAAGCAGCAATGAAAATCTAAGAAGTTTAACATTTTTCTTTCTCCATGCTGGGAGTACAGTGGTAAAGGAAGCAAAACAAACTATAATTACTCAGAGATGATTATCTCTAGCATTGCACATAGATCAGTATGAACATCATTGGGACAATTGAAGAAATGTAAATATTGACACCACATAAAATATTAGTGTTTATTTAAATCAATATTAAATTTTCTGTGATTCGTGTGTATTGGACTTATGTGAGACAATGTTTTTGCTTTTAAGAAATACAGGCAGAAATGTTTAGGAATGAAAGACATTATGTTGTCTACAAATAATTTTGAAAGCTTCTGAAAATATGTGTGTGGGAGGAGAGAGAATGAGTGAAGGGACACTAATATAAGAAAATTTTAAGAATTTTCTAAATCTAGGTGAATGATATATAAAAGCTTATTTTACTAGTCTTACAACACTTTTTAAGGATTTATTTTAATTAAAAATAAGTAATAAAAATAAAATGACAGAAATAATTAGGCTACATATTGTGTGAGGCTGCAGAATTTGATTTGCACATTCTGTAGAGTATTTGGAGGATCTTAGTAAGGGAATTACATAATCTGATTTTCTGATTTTAAAATATCTCTCAATGTTGTGAAAAATAGATTATTTGGGGAATGATATATGCAGAGAACCAATTATGAGGCTATTGTAGTAGCCCAGTAAGGAAACATAGACTAGAATAAAAAACCAGAATGATACAAAGTAGTTGTGCTTAGCTTTACTAGGTAGGGGAAAAATAAATATTTGGTTCTTGCCCATGGAAATGGCAGATGTATCATTTCATTAAGTGAGATAAATTTGAAGGGGCAGTCTTATAAGGTGAGTGCAAGAGTTGTGTTTGGATATATATACAATGTTAATTTTCATGTGTCTTTTAGAATTTTGAGGAAGTTGCATGTTTGTAAGTTCAAAAGTGAAGAACGAAGGAAATTAGAGAGACATGTATTTGAGATTAATCATCATAAAGTGGAATTTAAAGCACCAGGACTATATGAAAGCAAGTAAAAAGAAAAAGAGGAGATAGAAATAATACTTAAGAGATAATCTTGGGAAATTGGGAAATTCCAAAATTTAGTGATCAGGAAAAAAAGTGTATATATATACGTATGTATATACACACATATATATGTGTATATATATGCGTATGTATATTTATATACACATATATGTGTATATATATACACATACGCATATATATACGCATATATATACGTATGTGTATATATATACACATGTGCATATATATACATACGTATAATACACATATATATACACATATATATACACACACACACACACACGTACACATATACACAAGCAAGTATGATAAGGAAGAGAATCAGGAAAAGATAGGATAAGAGATTTTCAGAGATGTGACTGCTCAAAACAGGAATATTCTAAAATAAAAAAGAAAGATAAGGATGTAATTCTATTCAGCTTTGTACTTGAGATACTGACTGGGGAATTGGACAAAGAAAAAATGAAGAAAACAATGCAAATTTATATAGATTGGAAAAATTAAGCTATTTCTGTTAGAAAATTATAAAATCTTGTATATGGAAAGTTTTTAAAGATCCACTAAAAAAGCTATTGAACAAATAAAGGTATTCAGTGAGGCTAGTGACTAAAACATTAATATACAATATACAGTATCCAGAAATAAAATTTGTAAAAAGCACTTTCATGTAATATAACATGAAAAAAATACTTAGGAATGAATTTAACAAAAGTGAAACACGTGTACACTAAAACAATAAGATATTCTTTAATTCATAGATTTTAAGGAAATGAAAAGATACCCTACATTTAAATCAACAAACTGAATATTGTTAAGATTGCAATACTCTTCAACTTGATCAACAGATTTATCACAGTCACTAACAAAATATGATTTGTCTCTTTTGGGGGAAGTTGACAAGCTGACCTTAAAATTTATATAAAAATACAAGGAAACCAGAATAGCTAAAATAATGTGGAAAAGTAAAAACAAGGTTGAAAGAGTCATTCTTACTGATTTAAACACTTAGTGTACAACTACACTAATTCATATAGTCTGGCACTGGCATAAGGATAATGTATAGAACACTGGAATAACATTGAGAGTCCAAAAAATGCATACATTTGTAATCAACTGATATTCAATAAGTGTACCAAGACAATTCAAACATGGAAGTTATAGTCTTGTCAACAAATGATGCTGGGACAATAGGATGGACAAAGGAATGGAGTTGGATACCTACCTCATACCATGCACACAAATTAACCCAAAATGTGTTATTGGCCTAAATATAAGATATAAAACTGTAAAATTATTAGAAGAAAACAGAGAAGAAAAATATTCATGACCTTGAGTTAGTTAACGTTTGGTTAGATGGCTCTAAATGTATAACTAACAAAAGAAAACCTAGATAAATGAGACTATATCACTTTAAAAACTTTTGTGTTGCAAATCATATCATTAAGAAGGTAACAAGACAACTCACAGCCTGGGAGAAAGTATTTGCAATCACATATCTATTATACAGCTTTTATTCAGAGTATACAAATAAGTATAAAACACAATAAAATAAAATAATTAAGAATGAGTAAAATATATGATCAGCCCCCTTTCTAAAGAAGAATATAATTATTGTCAATAAGTATGTGAAATGATTCTCAACATCATTGGCCACTAGTCAAATGCAAATCACAATCATGTAGAGATACTGCTTCTCGTATACTACAATGATTATAACCAAAAAGGTAGATCTATAAGTGTTGGTGAGGATGTGGAGAATTTGAAACTATCAAACATGTTAATGGAAATGTGAAATGTTGCAGCCATTTTGTAAAACACTTTGTTAGTTTTTCAAATTTGTAAACATAGAATTATCATATAACACAGCAATTTCACTCCTAGGTATATATCTAAGAAAAATTAAAACATATATCCACACAAAATCTTGTACACAAATGATCATTATCATCTTGTTTATAAAATCCCCAAAGTAGAAACATCCAAATGTCTCTTAATAGATGAATGTCTAAACAAAACTGTGGTTTGTCCATATAATGGAATATTGTTAAACCAAAAACAGGTGCAGAATAATGGTCCATGCTATAACATCAATAGACCTTGAGAACTGTACACTAAGTGTGAAACTCAAGTTGCACATTACCCATATTTTATTCTTTCTTTTATATTAAATGTTAATAATAAGCAAATTTATAGATACGGAAAGGAGATTAGTAGTTGCTTAGGCCTGAATGGGGGAATGATGTGGGTAAGGAATGACTGCAAATGGGTGGAGGATTTCTTTGGGAAAAGATGAAAATATTTAAAACTGATTGTGGTAATGGTTATGCAACTATGTGAATATACTAAAAAACTTTAAATTGTACATTTTAAAGGGGTGAATTTTGATTTGTGTATTATAATTTACTAAAGATATTGTTTTTAAAGAAGAGGATAATCTCTCATTATGTCCTATGGGAATTCAATTTAGAAAAGGGCTGTAAATAGACCATTAGATCTAAAACGATAAAAGTAATTGGTTGTATTGACAAGAGAAATTTTTTAGGCTAGTAAAGTTAAAAGCTTATTTTTTGTCACTCAGAAATGAAATAGAAGTTTAAGAGTAGATATTAATGACTATAAATAAATTTTAAGTATATTTTCTATGAGAAAGACTAGGTATAAAATAGATGTAAACTTAAGCACATGTAGGATATTGGAGAGGTGATTTAAATAGTGCATCTTAATCTATGCTTTTATAATGCTTTTGTTTAATTTTTAATTGACATATGAAAGTGTATTTATTATGTACAGCAGGATTTAAAGTATATACATTGTAGAATAGCTAAATCAAGCTAAATAACAAATGTATTACCTCATGTAATTGTCATTTTTTGGTGAGATCACTTAAAATCTACTCTCAGTATTTTCCAAGATATAACATATTGGTGTTAACTAAAGTCACGATTTTGTCCAACAGGTCTCTCGAACTTGTTCCTCCTAACTAACTGAAATTTTGTAACCTTTTACCAACATCTCTCCAACCCCCTCCTCCAACACTGTCCCAGCCTCTGGTAAACACAATTCTATTCTCTACTTTTATGAGATCAATGTTCAATAAAATTTCCAATGATCTAGTTGGAGGGGGAACACAAGGTATAAAATAGATTTAGTCATGTAAGAAATTACATGATTCAGCCAAAGTAAAAAGATCAGCTTTAGATCAAAGCTAGGAGTGCTTTTATTCACGTGGAAAAAAAATAGATAGATTACTGGTAAAAGTAGTGTGATTCATTTGATGACAGAAAAATGTAGCAGTTTTTATCTAATAGATTCTTTCCTCAATAGAATTTTAGATAAGAACAAAAAAGCGTATAGAAATAATGCTTATAGATCAATACGTTAAACACATGCCAATAAATCATCCAAGTAAAAGGGGCAACATATTATTTTTTAAAATATTTCAGATTGCAGGGTCAGTGTTGAGTACCCATCAGTGATTCATGATCATAACATTCAAATTACGTGACTCCCATACATTTTCAAACTTCTCCAACAGTATTGTAGACAAGGATTAGAAATTCACAAGTACTGTCCTTTTTTATTTTTAGCAATTATTGCAGAAGATGAGTAAAGCAATGCGTCAAATTATATTAACAAGGGCATGAGTTTATTCAAGAAAATGGAAAATAAATCACGTAAAACGGAAGTGAGGAAATGAGATCGGGAAGCTTGTTTTCAGGATTAGGTATATCTTTAATACCCAATACTTTAATTGGGTATTGCAGAATTACTGGAGTAGTAAAATATTACAATGAATGTTTGAAATGGAAAGTCAAGAAAAACTTTTGATCTCAGGAAATCAAGAGAGTAAAATGCCAGTGTAGATTAAGCAGTTGTCAAGAATACTGACAAAAAGAGTTGTGGAGCAAAAATGGAGAGCAATTTTATCAAGTTAACAAAAAATTATGTTGACTAAGAGTTTTATAAACGATAGAACTATATAATAGGAATAGTTATTATTTTCTGCTGGCAAATTATCTGTGGCTTTTGAAAGCGAAAATAAGAAAAATATTTTGGAAGAAGTATAGCAAAGAGAGCACCATACCCTAATCTAGACGTTAAAGTCCATGCGATGTATGTATGGGTAAAATTTTATAAAATGATTTATTCAAGGTCAGTCAAATTTCATCTAGAACAAAAGGTAAAATCATCATTTGAGAAAAATTTGAGGACATAGGTAGTGCTTTAAAATTCTAGTTGCCTCACACAATATCCATTCTTCTCCTTTTCTTAAATAAATAGACCGATATTTTATTTGGAAGGAATCACTAGTACTTCTAGCCTATGTGTTAAAAGGGTACAGACTTGACTGGGCATGGTAGCTCACGCCAGTAATCCTAGCACAGGATTATAGGCTGGGAGGCCAAGGCGGGAGGATCACCTGAGGTCACGAGTTTGAGACCAGCCTGGCCAACATGATGAAACCCCATCTCTACTGAAAATACAAAAAAAAAAAAAAAAAAAAAATTTGCTGGGCGTGGTGGTGCATGCCTGTAATCCCAGCTGCCTGGGAGGCTGAAGCAGAGGAATTGCTGGAACCTGGGAGGTGGAGGCTGCAGTGAGTCGAGATTGTGCCACTGCACTCCAGCTTGGGCCACAGAGCAAGACTCTGTCTCAACAACAACAAACCAAAAGTGTACAGACTCAGTGTGTGTATATCATATATATATATATATATATATATATATATATATATATATTTGTCTTTCATTATTCACTTCTTTATGTTTCAAAAACAGATGCAATTCCTGGAACTGATGGAGCATCTTAGTCATGAAGGAAGCCAAATTCTAAGGATAGAAAAACCAAAAGCCAAAAGATAAGGATTTCCTGATAGTATCATTGAGTCACCATAATAAGTCTGTCCTATCCAATCACTGAATTTGAAACCAGAGATAAACAAATCCACATTTGGTTAAATAACTTGTTTGAATTTTGTCTTAAATGCAAGTGAAAGAAAATCTTGCTAGTATCAGTAGATTTTTGCGTTTCAAAAGGCACAGTGACAGGGCTTGATGAGATAGGCTAGAGCAGTGTCTGTCTGAGCTGCTGTAACAAATTACCATTTATTGGCTAGCTTAAACAAAAAACATTTGTATCTCAAGTCCTAGTGGCTGAGGAATCCAAGAGCAATGCATCAGCAGATTCCGTGTCTGGTGAGGGTTTACTTCCTGGTTCACAGACACTTTCCGATTCACAGACACTTCCTTATGCACAGCTTTCTTACTGTGTCATCTCATAGCAGAATAGAAGTGAAAGAACTTTCGGAGGTGTCTTTTGTAAGAGCATTAATCCCATCATGAAAGTGAAATACTCATGATCCATTAATTTCCAAGGGCTCCATCATCTAATACCATCACATTAGGGTTAGAATTACAAGACATGAATTTTTGGGAAAACAAACATTCAATAGTAGGTGGGAAATGAGTTTGTTAAAAACAAAAACAAAAACAAAAACAAAAAACCAGCATAGTCTAGGTTTCAGTGCCCAGAGGGATAGGTTGTCTCAGAGGCTGGCTGTTCAGGAAACAACTAGGGTAAGAAAGCATATTAGGCGGGATGCAATTAACTACAGCAGTTTCTTAAAAAGAAGGATGAGACCCAATTAAAATTATACTCCAGATATTTCTGGATGTTATGAGGACCCAAGAAAGCAAATAGAACTTCAGAGTATATGGTGTGTCAGCCAGAATATGCCTAATTGGAGAGTTATTTTATAATGATCCCTGAGCTTTTCTAGCCCGGGAGGGTCTATTTTACCTTACTGGCAGCCATTCTGTTCTCTACCATAGAAGATGATACAAGTAGGAGAGCAGAATAAAAAGAATAAAAATGAAATATTGCCGCTTAGTAAATAAAGGACAAGAGCAAAATAAATTCAAGAAAACAAAAGGGCAAAAGTGGTTAAGATAATATGAATTCATAAATTAGGGAACAGATACAGGTAGAGTGACAGAATCAATCCAGTTGCTGGTTCTAACAAAATAAATAATATCCTGGGCAAATCAATAAAGAGAAAAAATGGAAAATTATAGACTCCAAATACAACATATTAAAAATACAAAATAGGAAATTACTAGGGGTATTAGTCTATTCTCATGGTGCTATGAAGAAATACCCGAGACTGAGTAATTTATAAAGAAAAGAGGTTTAACTGACTCACACTTCTGCATGGCTGGGGAGGCCTCAGGAAACTTACAAAATGGCAGGAGGCATCTCTTCACAGGGCAGCAGGAGAGAGAAATGAGTGCCAAGCAAAGGGGGAAGCCCCTTATGAAACCATCAGATCTCGTGAGAACCCACTCACTATCATGAAAACAGTATGGAGAAAACTGTGTCCATGATTCAATTATCTCCACCTTGTCTGCCCTTGACACATAGGAATCATTACAATTCAAGGTGAGATTTACGTGGAACCACAGAGCCAAACCATATCAAACCTCCCAAACCAGGGAACAGTGAAATAATCTTAAGAGAGTTTTGCATCAAACTCAATGTTTCTGTGAAACCATAAATTATCAATATTGAATCCACATTCCAGCAGATGAACAATCAAGAAGGAAACTGGAGAAACTATCAATTTTATTTCTAAATAATCTCTGTACTTAGTTATTTTAACAGGTGACTTTATTTATAGCCGACATGGTTATTGCACATTAGAATCAATTATCAGGGAGGGATAACTGAAAACGATACTGATGCCTATGCCTCCCCACAAGAGATTCTTACTTATTTCTTTTGGTAGAGACTTCTAGTATTATTAACAAACACTAAATTTCTTAAAAGAAAATGGAATAAAGAGAATTCTCCCCCAAACATATATGTAAATAGTTAGATGAATAATTTTTATAAATCTATAATTAGATATCAGCTACTATCTTGATCTTCAGCCTTTATTTTTCCCTAAACTTTTGGAGAGAGAAATAAGTGCTGAGTGAAGAAGGAAACTACTTATAAAACCATCAGATCTCGTGGGAACTCACTCACCATCATGAGAACAACATGGCAGAAACTGCCCCCATGATTCAATGATCTCCACCTGGTCCTTCCTTGAAACATAGGGATTATGGCAATTCAAGGCGAGATTTTATATGAGATTTAATCTTACTGATATGTGATTTAATGATCACACATCAGTAAGACATCAAGGAGGGAACACATTAATAAGTATGTAAGCTTAATTTCTTAAAACGTATTACTTTTGGAAAATTCTAATAATACTTTTTTTTTTACCATAAGAGTGTTTCTGCTTTGATTTTGATTTATAATTTCTGAACTATTTTGTTGAATTCTAGAAAAAAGATATAGCATCTTAGATCACACCTACTATTGCTTGTTTTGATCCCGAGTAGAAAATAAAAGAATCTCACAGGCTCAGTATTTCTCATATTTCTACAAATTTAATCCTCTAAAATTAAGATTATTTAACTATGACAGTCTCATAGAAAGAAGGATAGGACACAATTAAAATTATAGGCCAGATATTTTTCTGAATGTTACAAAGATACAGGAAACCAACCGGAACTTGAGGTATATGGTGTGTCAGTCAAAATGTGCCTGATTGGAGAGTCAGAATCATAAATTATCTATCTATATGTAGAAAAGTAATTTATCTCATTGTATTTTGAGCCTTAGATGAAACAATTTACATCAAAATATATATAGATAGTAAAAGTGTTTTGCCTAATTCTTTTGAGTTCTTTGTTTGTTTGTTGAAATGAAGTCTTGCTCTGTCTGCCAGGATGGAGTGCAGTGGCGAGATCTCAGCTCACTGCAACCTCCACCTGAGTTCAAGTGATTCTCCTGCCTCAGCCTCCCGAGTAACTGGGATTACAGGTGCATACCACCAAACCTCATCTATTTTTTTTTTTATTTTTGGTAGAGACAGGATATCACTACATTGGCTAGGCTGGTCTTGAACTCCTGACTTCAAGTGAGTCACCCGCCTCATCCTCCCTTAGTGCTGGGATTACAGGCGTGAGCCACCAAGCCCAGCTTCTGTTTTGCCTAATGCAATATGGAAGTAACCTCACAGTACAATTCATTAAATTTTTTCCTGAAAATGTTTTTAGAACTTCAATTTATTTTGAGTTGGTTTTGTGTCTTATATAAAGGTAAAGCTAAATATCTGTCTTATATACTTTAAAGATAATTACAATAATGTATGTTGTCACACTAACAAAAGCTTCACATACTTATAGTGTACTTTTAAATAAACTCTAAATATTTAGAATATTTGGTTCATTTCTAGTCTGTGAGTCTTTGATATACAATTTGGGATACTTCCATTTGGAGTGATTTCATTTTTTTTAATGTAGTTTTCTTTCTGCGTTGTTGATGTTGTTTATATGTATAGCAGATGGCAACAATCATAGAAATCAGTACAGCAATCAAAAGGATCAGTGGTATGATGCATCTTTGTCAGGGTCACAGGATGCACCCACTGGGAAAATAGCGACAACATCTGACAGCCAGTGCTGAACACTGCTTAGTAATCAGACAGGATCAGGACCGAGGGTGACCTAGAGCTGTTGACTGAAATAAGAGAGGATAGAAAAGGATGTCAGGAGATTTGCAGCAAGAGGATTACATAGGCAATATGCAAAAAAATTAAAAAAATAATCTTTTTGCTACTTCAATAATGTAATGTCTGTTGCATTCTTCATAGTTGCATGTTGGTTGGGATAAAATGCTAAATTGCTTGAACTGAAGGGAAGGTAGGTATGATTTGCACAAAAATATTCTCAGCTTCTTACTAATGACTACACTGATGTATTTTAAAATCTGAGCATTTCTAAGAAATCATCTTAATTCAAATAGTGTTGATTGTTCTCACCATTTTATTTGTGCAAACTCATCATGGATAAATTTGATGAAGATTATACTACAAATTTCTATGGAACTTTTGATTTTTTTCAAATAATTTTACTTTTGTTTCTTCCCCCACTCTTCCTTTGCTTTCTAGATCTCTTTCTTCTAATGCCATCAAAAAATGAAGGTTTCCCAATTTTAGAAAATCAGTCTTCTCTTTATCTCAGTTATTCAACAGTAGTGATTCACTCATTCTCACATTTTTAACCTCCGTGATTACAACTCTCAGTTGTTTATTTCTAATTCTGATTACCCTCTGCTACATGATTTGCAAGGGTCCTTGAATTTGACCTAACACTTGACATTATTTACACAAAGAATTCCTCCTGTTTTACTTTTATCAGTTAATGTAATTTCTACAACAAACATTCTTGAAATTTTGTTTCATTTCTAATATTTCTATCTCTCTTCACCATATTTAATTACTTACAATTTTTTCATATATCAAGTATGTTTAAATATATATTTAATTTAAGACTTATCAAGCCAAACTCTGCAACCATTCAATAATTTTTTGTTTTAATTAGCTTATGAATGCATTGGATACATTATCAGTTATGTAATTGAATTTTCTGAATTTAGAAAACAGATTTATGTTTATTACTTTTTATTCTACTTAGTTTGATGAACATCCTTATACATATTGATTCGATTATGTGGCATAAGGCAGTATAAACTGATCAGAGACACCCCTGCGGTGAAAGGTAGATGACCTTTAGATCCAAATATATCTGAGTTCAAAATCCTGTCTTTTAATATCCAATATTATATAGGTAATTCATTTTATATCTGTAAACCTAAGTGGATATGTTAAAGTGGTGATATATTTGATAAAACAGAACAGTGGCAAAGCTTAGAGCATATTGGGACAGATAGTTATTAACATTATTAGGATCTTATTCATCAGTTTTAAAATCACATGGCCTTATTTTGGCACATGTGGTTAATATGGTGTTAGGATGTTTTCCAGTTAAGGTATTAAGATATTTGTGGTGGAGGTTGGAGCTCCAATATTAGCCTATGGGAGACTCTTAAATTTATCCAATTACTTGGGGCACTTGGTTGTCCCTTTGTTGATGACACATAAGAATGTTGAAGTCTTTGGACTGCAGGGTTTATATTAGCCAAATTTTAGGGCATGTGGGCCTTAGTATTTGCTGTAATTGGTTGAAAGAGAGGTTTACTTGGAGCATTTGAGCCTTCATATTGCAAAAAAAGGAAAGCATCCAGACCAATATTGATAAGACTAATCGCCAGCAGAATTGTGTGTATGTGCCGTGACAAGCTTTTGTTGTCTGATATTGATTTTCTTAGGCATGCATTAAACTAAAGTTGTCTGCTTTCATCATTATGAGATATGGTGTTGATTTCATTATTATTTACAAATGTGATTTTATTTACTAAGTGGGATTTCTTATTTCTCTTCTTGTGAGTTCATGTTGTGAGAACAACACTGAAGCACTAATTTTAATTCTTTGGAGGAAATTATAAGGAGAGTTGGAGTAATTATCTATTTCTTAGAACTAGAATATTGAGGAGGATTTAGGGGTGGTGGAATTTTGGGCTCAGATGGGTTCTGTTTCAGATGGAAAGCATATGGGACCATATGCAGGACAACATATGGTTAAAGGGTTATGGAAATATTTCTTTTTTTACTGTTTGTGTAATGTGTAAGTTAGCCAAAAGTGCCTTGAATTTAGAGAAATTAAAGCCTGGAGCAAGATAGACACCAATTTAGGGGTCCATTTGGTAAACAGGAATTTATAAAGGAGTTTGAGAAAATCATTGTGTCATCTAATCCAGTATCTATTGGGAATATGAGAGTTTTATTGAATGTCTTTTCCAGGAGCCTAGCATTGTGTACTCTATATTCTGAGAAGTGAAATGAGTTCCTTGGTTACTATCATAGTGTCTGGAACTCTGAAAGAAATATATTACCCTGTTGAGGGCTTAATATTATGGACCTAGTATATTTAGACATGTGTCACCTTGATATACTGAGTGTCTGCGAGGCAAGAGATTCCCAGGGACTTTACCCTGAAGGGGGCAACTCTTGGACAATGACCCATAGTTTGTAAAAATGTGCAGATGGAGCACATTTTGTGCACTGCTGACCAGAGCATCTAGTGCTAAAATGACAACCTGATATTTGGGCAACTGTGCAGATTCTTGGATCTTGTCCTATATCAGGGACATCCTAGTTTAGAAATGGAAAACAGTTATATTCCACAGAGCTCCATCATTTGTGACGAAGGCAATGCCATTCTCATAAACTATGAACTCCTATTGCTGTTTACTCAGTTGATCCTAAGGGGCTCTTTAGGTAGCCAAGGGGTCTAGGAGAAGACTAATATCCTTCAGGACTATGGTATGTGTGAAGGGACTGAGGACAAGTGAGGACCCTCCCTCCTGCAAGTGGAATATGCCAAAGGAGAAGAAGGGTGCAAGAATGGGATATCCCTTTTCTTGCCCCAAAACTCTTTTTGAATTAAACACTGGGCTACTGGTCTCCAACAGTGCAATTCATGTGTAATCATGAGGGTCTGGGAAGTATGAAGTTGGCTGGCCATAGCAGTGAGGTATACAGCAGCAAAGAAGATAGGTAGACCCTATGCCCATTGGGCAACAGGGACAAGGAGATATTTATATACAGTGGAGAAGTCCAACCACCACCTTTCTGCAAAAAGAGCCTGAAACACAGGAACAAACCAAAGCTTTGCCCCAAATAATAGTTTTTTAAAATATCATCAACAAAAAGTGAAGGGCATCTAGAATAGGCCTCTGCCAAACACAGTGACAACAAACACATCTGAACGCTCTGACCCAGGAAAATACAGCTCTAGTACCTATCCCTTAATCTTTGGCGGGGGGAGGAAGTATGAAGAGACTGGCCACCACCTACAGACACAACAGAAAGCTACAAGGCTAAAGAAAGCAGTTCTGTCTCAAGCCATTCTTGAGGTGTTTTGGAACCATTTAGTAACCTAAGTGCACCCCCACTTGCACCTCCTGCTTCCTAAGAATCAATGGTCATGGCTACACCACCTTGTTTAAAGTGTCAGTTGTTTCATAGGATTTATAAATTCCTTCATGGTGTGATCCAATACATTGACACTTGGATAGATAAAAGGCAGAATTTTTTATTACTTACAACTTCAAATGAGAAAAGACCCCAGGCAAGCCTACCAATATAGTTGCACATGGGACAGGATAACAATCATCTGGAAATGTTAGGGGAAATAAATGTGTAGCAAATGAGCTAAAGGGGGAAGAAATCTAATATCAAATTCCAGGCATTAATGGCAAGCAGGTTGGGGTTAGCTGGGTTTCTCAGAGGCTCCCTGTGAGTTGGCTAATTGGATAATTTCACAAACTCCTGGGCATAGGGACTGTTTCTAATTGTCTGGTACCTAACCATGCAGCAATTAGAGTGAATGGCTAGTGCCCTGGAATATGACAGTTTGATAAAGGAAGTGATTAGGATATAGAGTTAATCAGCTGCTAAGAAGAGGAACTGACTGGCTTCTAGGCAAGGCCTCAAAACTGTATTGATAAAGAATTTAAAAACAAAAACTATATCACAGGATGGCAAGGAAAAAATATCTCAACATATCCAAAAGACTTATGAGGACAAGTCTTGCCTCATCTGTTCTGGGGGCAGAATTTGTATAAGCTGTATGATCTATAAACTTTATGCTAAAAATAAACATAAAACATTACTGGGTTGAAAATACCCCAAAAGCCAAGAACAAATTAATACAAATTACAAACTCTGACCTTGTAATTAAGACTCCAAAATGTAAAGTGCTTCACAAACGTCCTCATAATTCAAATTATAAATAAACCGTCAATATAAACAGTAAAAATAAAAAGAATAGAAACAAATTACAGAATAGTAAAGAAAGGAAAGAGGTCTTAATTATCATAAAAAAGGTATAGAAGAACTAATAAGTAGCAGTATTGGGTGCCAGAAGATCTAAGAAAATGGATTGAATAAAAGAAAAATGTTAAAATATGCATATACAAATAATGGTTACAAAACAAAAAATATATATAACCATTAAATTAAACATAATTATTTATTCAATAAGTTAAAATTCGTATTACACAAAATTCCGATTAGTCAGCCAGAACACAAATCTGAGGAAAAAATAAATTCCGCATAGAATAAAATATAAAATAGATTAAGAGAAATGGAAAAGAGAAGAAATCCATTGTCAAATTCCAGCCATTTATCACAAACCAAACTACAGTAACAATAACTTCAAATATATAAATCAAAATGCCAGCCTAGCAGAAAGGAATTAAACAACACTTTATAATTGAAAGCCATTCACATAGTTCTCTCTTATTTATTATCATATCAACAATAAGATAATTAGTAACAATTTGGAGGATTTAAACAGCATAATTAATACTCTTGATTTTTGTGAATACAGTGTTCTCAATTACATTGGGAATAAATTTGGAAATTGATCATAGTTTAGGACATAAAGCAGGTTTCAATAAATTCCAAATAATCCATATCACACAGAATACAATCTTGGGACAAACTATAATTGAAATAAAAAATAAACCAAAATGTTGCTACAAAAAAATACTTAAAACACAAAAATTTAAAAATGTTCTAAATAGTAAATCAAAAGACAAGAAATTGTAATGAAGATGACATAGACTTTATATAATTATATTTTAATGATTAAAAACAAACTACTAAGCGTACTGGTTGAAAATAAAGAGATAATGAAAATATAGCATCAATTTCTTATAAGAGAAAATCTTAAGAAAGAAAAGTGAGAATGGAATCAAAGAAAACAGAAGAAAAATTTAGTTAGAGCAGACCAAAGGTATGAGGAAAAAATTTAAAGAAGAGAATTATAAAAGAAAAAAAAAAAAACACCAAAGCATTTTTCATGAAGATGCAACCTTCAAATCATTGATAAAGAGAGGAAATAGAAGAAGCAAAAATGACAAAGTGGGCATTAATACAAAACCAGCAGTGATTTTAAAATAAAAAATTTTTTTTTTACTTTTAGAAATAATTTTTTTATTATTTTTAGAAATAACCTCTTAAACCTTGAATTACTAGAAAACAATTTCTTTTCTAGAAAAAATTCAAATTATAAGAGCTAGCTCTAAAAAAGAAAGAAAATCTGAAAGTGACTCTAAAATTTTATACTTAGACACATAAAGATCATGCCAAAAACATTTTACAATCAACTGTTACTGAATTTCAAAGGAAGAGACAATTCAAACTTATACCACTATAGACAATTTAGGTAGTCTCTTCAATTACTCTAAAATAATATCTAGGCTGGGAACAGTGGCTCACACCTGCAATCACAGCACTTTGGGAGGCCGAGGTGGGTGGATCACTTGAGGTCAAAAGTTCAAGACCAGCCTGGCCAACATGGCGAAACCCCATCTCTACAAAATTACAAAAATTAGTCTGCTGTGGTGGCGGGTTCCTGTAATCCCAGCTACTTGGGAGGCTGAGGAGGGAGAATTGCTTGAACCAGGGAGGCAGAAGTTGCAGTGAGCCAAGATTGTGCCAGCCTAGGTGACAGAGCAGGATAAATAAATTAAATAAATAAATAAATAAATAAATACTGTCTAATTTATTCAAAAGAGCTTAAAAATCTTACCTTAATGATTCGATTTAAATTATAAATACATACACATCACAAATAAAATATTGAAAACTAACTCCACATACATAGACACACAAATTGCTGTTTAAATACGTGTCTGTGTTGCACTATAGACAATTTCAGTTATGACTTTTTTTAATAAGAGAAATGATGTGATATTTGATTAGGAAATCTATTAACATGTATCTTAATAAGAGCTAAAATAGCTTAATAAGGCTCAAAAATTTTATATGATAAATTACCTTCACAATCTACTAATAGTGATCTTAGACATGACATCCAGAAAAGTCCCTTAGAAGTTATAAATAATATAAAGGTAATCTTTAGATAAAAATACATCTATCAACAAAAATCTGTTAAATCTATTACAAGGGGTAAAAAAAACACTCAAGGCTTGAAAAATCAGAAATGCTATTTACTTATGTAAGTGTTTACATGCAATATATATATATATGTATTTTTGGCAGATCATATCATTGTATAGGTAGAAAAATCCAGAAGATTCAAAGAATGAGTAAATTAGCAAAATCGGTGAGTAAAGGGTCAATATTCAAAGAATTATTTGTATTTTTACATGGCCAACAAGGAAAATTAGAAAATAAAATTTAAATCATGAATGAATTATAAGTGGTATCAAAAAGTATCATAACTAGGGGTATAACTTTAAAAGATATTCAAGATCTCTATGGAGAGAATTATAAAACATTGGGAGATATTATGCATACTCCAGAAATGAAGTGATAGTATATGTCATTTTTATGCAGAGAGGCCAGAGAATGGAGCATTATGTAAGACTGATAGAACAGTCTCCTTTTAGTAGCTCAGGCATACAGAAATACTATGATTAGTCTATGTGTCCATTTTTGGTTGCATATATAATAATCATTTCTATATTTAACCATTTTTATTTGTTCACATTTTTAAATAATTCAACATTAAAAGCATGCAAGATAATTCAATTAAAAGTATTATAAAATTTATAGCAAAATGATATGGCATATTCTTAATTTTTTTCTTTTCAATTTTTGTGTGTACATTGTGGATGTATGTATTTATTGGATACATGAGATGTTTTAATATAGGCATGCAATTCATAACAATCACATCATTGGAGAATGGGGTATCCATCCCTCAAGAATTTATCCTTTGCATTGCAAACAATCTAATTGTACTCTTAGTTATTTTTAAAATGTACAATTAATTGTTGTTGACTGTAGTCCCACTGTTGTGCTATCAAATAATCAGTCTTATTCATTCTTTCTATTTTTTTTGTATGTATTAACCATCTCCACATCCTCCCCACTGCCCCACTACTCTTCCTAGCCTCTTGTAGCCATCCTTCTACTCTCTATGCCCATGAGTTCAATTCCTTGGATTTTTAGATCCCACAAATAAGTGATAGCATGTAATGTTTATATTTATGTACCTGGCATATTTCATGTAACATAATATCGTCCAGTTACATCCATGTTGTGTAAATGACAGGATCTCATTCTATTTAATGGCTGAATAGTGCCTCTATTGTGTAAATGTACCCCATTTTCTTGATTCATTCATCTGTTGATGGACACTTAGGTTGCTTTCAAATCTTGGCTATTGTGTACAGTACTGCAACAAATGTGGGAGTGTAGATATCTCTTCAATGTACTAATTTCCTTTCTTTTGGGTATATATCCAGCAGGAGGATTGCTGGATCCTATGGTAGCTTAACATTATTTGCATAAGCAAACAAAAGAATAAGAAAAAAACTAATGAAATTCTAAACTTTGACTCTGTCCTCCTGCTTTTTAAGATTTTGTTGTTTTTTTATCTTATTGTGCTGTCTATGTCTTGAAAAGTTGCTGTACTTATTATTTTGATTGGTTTATCATTTAGTCTTTGCTCTTACCATAAGAATAGTTTACACACCACAGTTACAGTGTTATAATATTCTGTGATTTTCTGTGTAGTTACTGTTACCAGTGAATTGTGTATCATGAGGTTATTACGTATTTCTCATTAACGTTCTTTTCTCTCAGATTGAAGTATGCCCTTTAGCACTTTAGCCCAAGGTGGTGAAGAGGTTTGCAGGAACTCAATTTCTGACTGCTGGGTTTGGCAATTTTCCTCTGGCTAGCCGTGGTTTAAATGTTCCCTCTGTGTGTGGGCATCAGCTGAGTTTGGTCTGGCGTCCCTTTCTACTCTAATAGAGCAGCACTGAGTTCTGTGTCTCACAATTGCTATGCTCTCCCCACCTCAGCACACAGAAATGCTCTCAGCAGAACACTGAGGTAAAGAGATATGGAGGCTGAGAACTGTCAACATAATTTATCAATATGGTTATCTTAGGTGATCTGGACATACTGTTGGAGTGGTGTTCTGCATAAGCATGATTGAAATTTATTTAATAAATGAGGTGAAGAGAAAGAGATATGTCAAATAACCACTTTAACCATAAAAGAGAATACAAAGATAAGGCTGGAGATGGGAGTAAAAGTGAGTAAAAAGGAATTTTCTACATGTGTAACGTGTGTGTCACTCAGATCATGTAGGACTGTAATCATTGAACAAACGAACCCTTGATAGCAGCTACACCATTAGGATGTCCTGATACAACACCGAGGTCGTAAACCCTATTGTCGATATGGACTCTAGAATAGGATTGTGCTGTTATCCCTAGAGTAACTTATTCCCTTGAACAAGTTATTGGAGATAAGAGCATATTTGATTGATCATGAGAATAAGTTAGTAGAGATTTTAAAATATAAAAGGAGAAAGAGTGAATTGTTTGTGCCATGTACTTAATAAAATAGAACAATATAGAGTCCTGTAAGCACACAGAGGGATTACTTTTAGGTAGGAGTTGGTTAGGTGTAGCTAGCTTGTTTTTGTGGCTAAATGGGCCTGCTATCCAAGTATCTGAGTATGGCTGCCCAGCCACTTGGTCTTAGGCATGTTGGATATATGACCTCTATGCTGTTGAAAGAGCAAGGAAAATCCTTGCTCTTTGCAGCCCCTATTACTTTCAAGGAGACAAAAGGACAAAGCGGTCTATGTATGCTGCTCCGTCTTCCATCCCCAAATTTACAAATTTTCCATGTTCACTTAGACACAGTCAGTAGGGAATAGTAAGGAACAGATGTTACTTCTGGTTATCTTATTATAATAGGAAGAAAGCATCAGGAGTAGTCAGAATTTTCCCCCATTGCTAATGAGCTTTTCAGATAGAAATTTTGGGATAGTAGCAGTTTTTGTATGTCTATGCTCTGTAAACTTTGGTAAAGATTCTTATATATGATAAACTGCTGCATTTTGATTATAGAGGGATTTGTTTTTCCTTGCTGTTATTGTGTGTTATTTTAAACATTTCTAAGTTTCCATAACCAGTAAAACTAGTTAAAAATGTTATGATCTGATTACAGTTTGAATTATTTAATTAAAAATCACAATCATTGCATCGTTTTTTTTTTTTGTCACCAGGAGGAACTGTTAAATCTAAACCATCAATTCAGAAATACTAAATATAAGGGACATAAAGAAAATGCTAGATGCTTCAGTAAAGAAAGTGTCATTGTCCACACATGTGATATTTCACTCTGTCTTCACATTTCATTAAATTCAAAAGAGATGATTATCATAGTTTATAAAACTAATGAATTACTGAGATTACAAAAAGGTTGAGAATTCTCCTTATTTTTAAATAAATTCTATTAGGATTATGAGAAGCTAGCTGTAGATAGATGAAGAGAGAGACTACATGCTGTTTCTGGGTGTGTCAACCATCTAATAAAACATGTTGTAGCAACATATGGCAGTAGCAAACAGAACAAAACACACAGCTTTGTTGAAGATTAGTGACACTGATGACTGCCAAACACAATATTAGTGCGATCACTCAAGCACAGTTAATAGTTAGGAACTAAAGGAATAAGAAATTTAATTTACAACAGTGATGTATAGTACAGAATAAATTTCATAGGATTGAAAAAGAAATAACTTGCAAACAGCTGGGAAACCCACCAGAAAACTGTGAAGCTCATTGGCAATTTTTGAAATTCACATAAGTTTTTACTGCTGAGTTTATTTTGGCATAAAATTTTTATATAATTTTCATGAAGGCATATTTGCTCTATTGCTGAGTTTAAGAGATGTTTATTAAGATAAATAAGGAACCAAAATTATAATGATCTATTATGTACAGTTTTGCTTTTTTTAATATGTTATTTGATGTGGAGAGTAAGTGATGTCTCCAATTCTGTGAAAGTTCATGGCTGATGGTATGTTAGTCATTTTCTAAATTCTACATTAGATTCTTATAAAACAATTTTAAAAGGTGATTAACAAATAGTTGTTAAGAAATTTCAGATTGTTCTATGGCAAAACACAAACTCTAATTTAGAATACATGTTTATTCCTAAGTAGGGACTGGTTACAAATTTTGTTTTGATAATATAGCATGCTATATTTACACTTAGTTTAAGGGAAATGGGAGTACCTTTCAATTACCATATTTACTTTTGGAGTAGGGCCTGGATTATACTAACTCAAAAATGCACATATTTGAATATATATCTACACACACACACATCTTGAAAGTGATAGCAACTTAAATATCAATCACATAACTCCTTGACAGGGATACCCTGTAGCAGTTAATTGACAGAAAAAAAATGCTCTAAAGCATGGTATAAAATTTGTTTGGGTAAGAATTATAGAATGGAGGACTAAAACCAGTGATATTTACCTTCTCTGAAATATTTTACGTGAACAAATTTTTACACAACAAAATGAAAATTATTTTGAAAAAGTGGATCAGTAAATAACTAATTTAGCATTTTTATGAAGAAGATAAAATGTTTTATTTTTATATTTTCTATAGTCTGATATTGAATAATTTTAAATAAACTTTGGAATAAATTTTTCTTTGATCATAGTTCATATTGTCAATCAAGTTATAATCCTGATAGATACATGTATTTCCTAATGTATTTTCCTCACAAATTCAGCTTTGGAGCCTAACTATTCAACTATGGGGTTTATAAAAAAGAAGTCAGGAAAAGAACAAAAGAAAAAGATTACTAGTTTAGAAGTGCCCTAAATTTCGATGTGGAATTTTGGTAAGATGTGCTGAACAACATGACCCAGCCTGAAGTCCTTTAGAGAGCCTATCACTTCTATAAACCAACACCCAAAGCCAACTTCGGTCAGCTACATCAGAAGACATACACTCAAAGGGGCCAAAGTGGCATGTAAAAGAAGATACGGCCATTTCTGTACACTTTCCATTCAGCTAGTGGCCTCACCTACTGTTGCCATGACAAAACATAGTATAGAATCCCATATACAAATTAGTATTCTTTCACCATCATGTATAGAAATAAAAAGATATATATGTATCTATTACAATTTTAAAAGTTATAAATATATAAACATTTATGAGTCTATGAATACCATTAAATACTATTAAATTATTGTCATTAACTTATGCATTTGTGAATATTATATTTATGAATGTATGAATATTGATATATATGTGAGAATCCAGATAGATAAATCAGTTAAGAACCCTATTCCTGTGTGTATACCAATATTTTTATCATTAGTTTTTCTGTCTCCAATATGTTTAAATACCTTGATCTATGTTTATCAAGCATAGATACACTTTTAACTTATCAGCTCTTAAACTCTTACATTATTCTGCATTAAAGTAATCACTAATTATATATATTTCTTTGTGAAATTTCTGTGGCTCTTCTACTTCCTATATACCTGGTGAATTTCTGTTTTGCCTCTAAGATCAAACTTAAACTTTATTTTAGTTGTAAAATTTTCCCTGTTGCCTGAAAAGACCCTTCACAATCTGACCTTGTGTTTCCTTTTCCAGTCTTTCTCAACTCCCACCCCCAACACTGTGTTCTAGCCACACAGAATTATGCTAAATTCCCCAAATCCATCTGGTGTTATCTATTCTTTGAAGTTCGCTATGATCTCTTGAGCAGAGTTAAGCTCTTTTTCTCAGTACCTATGCATGCTTTACTTATTGAATATTTCTTTTGTTAACACTTATAATTGTCTATGTATTTTCCAGTGGAATGTGACTGTGGTTTTTTCCAGCATCTTCCCTAGATTGGGCAGAAGCTGGGGCAGGCATGAGTAACGCTGTGAATCCCTTGTTGATAAGCATTATGTGGTGCATTTTAAAGAAGCCAAAGGTAAATTGATAGAGGCTGGAGTTTTGGCATTGTTAATATTACTAGAATTTCTTGTAATACCTAGAAAATAGTAGGTACTTAATACTTGTCTAATTGAAAAAAAAGAATACAATTGCATGTTTTTGCAATTTTTACTTTGTTTTCTTTTTTTGATCCTCTTTTCCTTTTCTCTATTTGATAAAATGCCTCCTGTAGTTCAAGTATTAAAACAGATATCACTCTTTATATGTAATGTTTGCCTAACCTGCTAAGCAGTTATTTCCTTGTCTTGCTTTCTGCTCCCGTAAAAATGTGCATTATCACAATGATGTCACTAATTATACTCTAATGTAAACTCATAAAGGTTAATAAAACTGCTTTGAATTCAGGCATACTTGGGATCAAGTCACAGTTTTGTCAGTTATGGTAACATTGGGTACAGAGTCATATTGGTACAAATTGGAAATATTAGTAGTTACTATCTTGAAGTGGCTTATTTTTAAACTAAATGAAATGCAGATAATGTGTGGAAGATACTTCACCACACAGGCATCCAATCGATGTTGTCTCATGTGAAGGTTTACATGAATGAATAAGAAAATTCTGGGAAAACAAATGGTCACAGCAATTTTCACAAGCCATCTAAAAGTAAATAAAGTACCATAGATATTTTTCAGCACTCAAAAATGAAATTCCATTTTTAACTTATATTATTTGAAATTTTATTACCAGAACCTCATTATTTTAATTATGATATGCAAATTTTATTTAGGGTTAACTATTACTTTTAAAAATAAGTCATTGTAATTATATACTCTAAAAATAATCAATGTGTGTAACATTTCTGAGGTTTTGCATATTGGGCATACATTTTTGTATGCCACTTTGTCATTGAATATGTTAATATGTTGTCTTATTGAATTACTAGATTTTATATGTTTACTACCCATTTATTACAACTGTTTATCTTTTTTATTATTTAAATGGTATACTATCAGTTACTTTACAAGTCTTTTCGTGATTCATCCTAAAATTATATGGACTAATAAGAGGAAAATTTTATTTTCCTTCTCCTAAAGATACAAATAAACACATCACCAAGTAAAATTATACTTAGCTGGAGGTGCTTGTCAAACAGTGTATATATTATCATTTTCATGTGCAACTGTGTATTTGTGTATAAAGGAAATCACAAGCAAAGTAGATTATTTTCCTGTAGCACAAGTTACAGTTTGGTTCACAGCAGAGAACTGTAAATTTATAGGTTAAAACCTAATTTCTAAGTTAACTTCTTTAAGTATATCATGCTAAGTAGTATGTCATTTACCCAGTGAATCATAAACTCTAAAAACATAAAACAGAGTAATTATAGAGGAGACATGATAAATAGACGATTGGGTTTTAAGAACAAATGTAAGGTTGAGTCCCCAATTCTTTCCCTAATCATTTTCTAGTTGTTTGCTGTAGTTCATAAGTAAACAAATCAATAGATACAGAAGAAAGAAGTATTTCTCATACACTATTTCCTCATTTTCAGGGATAGATGGATTTTATACACTTATATGTAGCAAGTATTTCAAGTTCAAAATAATAGGATTTTTTTTCTCATGACTTTTAGTTTTTCAGTATACGTTTAAAAAGCATTTTTTATTCTTTCATTAATTCATAATTCAATCCTCTCAACCAGGAATGCCTTTTCTCAAAAACTTTGAATATACACTATATGCTATACTCTAGAATAAAACGGTGAAAACTGCTTTTCTTTTAGAAATAAACTGACTGAAATCCAAAAGATACATTTACTTGGCCAATATCACATAACAGCAGGGTCCAATATACATTTATCCTGATCGCTAGTTTACTATGAATTCCATAAGTGATTGCAATATTTTAATTTCTGTTCTATTAATTTGTTTTAATTTTTAGGTATTATTTAGTTACTTAGCTGAGTAGAACTTCAGACTGTTCATTTTGCAGAATAAATTGACCACTCTTGAGCAGCTGTTAAATGGGGGATTGATGGATTATTTTTCAACTATTAAAGTGTTTGAAAACACAAATAAACATCAGCATGCTGAAAAAGGAGGCAGTATACATAACCTAAGACATTCATATAAATGCATTAGGTGGATTTGAAATGACAAATAATTTCAGATATACTTGGTCTTTAGAAAACACTGATTATGACAGATGATGTGCACAATCCTTCTTTTAATTATTTTATTTGCAAGGTCAAAGCTTGTTGATTCATGAGACAGTAAATTTGCCAAATACATTTAGAGAATGAAAAATAGCTTTAGTGCACAGGCACTCATACTCTTTACCAGACATTTTAAAGCTATATAGAATTTAGTGTCTGTTCATAGTAATTAGCAAAACAAAATCCACCTTGTGGTACTTCACAAATAAATGCAGATTAAAAAGTTGTATACAATTATTCCTATGTTTAAAATGTGGCCTGAAATTAGAAGTATTTTTCTTGCATCATTTTTTAAACTTAAAAACAATGAAGACAGTATTATCAAGAAAGGCATGTTTATTATATGTTTATAATTTTGAAAAATATGTTGCAATAATTCTGGCTAAACATAGAAAATACAGTGTTTATACTGAATACAGGACTCCCTATCTCTCCATCTCCTTGCTAAAAATTTCTCAAAATGCTCATACATGAAATTTTGTAAGAGTCATTCAGTGCAATGACTGGGAGATCAGAAAATATGACGATAGCTGACAGAGGTCAAATAATTCTCGAAGCTGGAATGCATGTAAATACGGATAAGTTATTATCATAGCAAAGAAGGTGAGAGTCATACCTATAGTCTTATAAACAATCTTAAACAGTTTTTGGCCTAAAACCCAGAATGTGCTCAGGAATGAAAGGAAAAAGTTGCCTCTAAAAGCAGAGGTTGGGGGGGGGGTGGGGGGGGGGGGAAGAAAAGATTGGTAAAATGGAAAGATTGGTTAAAAACATCCACACAAGAAAAAGAAATCTAGGTAGCTTCTACTACTGCACTGTATAGTCACAGAACTATCTATTTGTGGTAGATGGAATAGTGACCCCTCTCTCTGAAAAGTTAAGTCCACATCCTAATCAGTGAAATTTGTGAATGGCATCTTAAAAAATGTAAATTAAGGATCTTGAGATAAGAAGATCATTCTGTATCACCAGAGTGGGCTTAAAAACCAATGACAAGTATCCTGGTAAGAGAAAGGCAGAGAGAGATTTAATGGAGAAGAAGACACAGACAAAGAAAAAGAAAAGGTGATGGAAAAATGGTGGTAGAAATTAGAGTGATGCAGTCACCATTCAAGGAATGATGAAAGCCACCACAGCTGAAAGAGACTAGGAACAGATTCCCTGTTATAGCCTCTGTAGGGAACAGAACTCTGTAGTCGCCTTGATTTCAGACTTCTGGGATTCTGAACTGTGACAAAATAAATTGCTTTTTAAGTCACAGATGTTGGGTAATTTGTTATAGCAAAGGCAGGAAATGAATACAGCAACCTTCACCCTGATAAAAGGATGGAAGTTTATTCTCTCAGGAAAGATTGATTCAGAGAGAATCTGGGAACCTGAAGCAACTCTGAAGGCAAGAGAATATTCAAAAATAAGGAGATTAAATGAAAAAGTACACACACTGAACAGTGAGGCATTACCTCCCCCACATGCCACATTTCTGGTAATGTGGGAAGAAGCCTCGTGAGCTCTAATACACAAAATGTTCAATTTCTTTCTGAGAAACAGTCTAGCTCAGAAGAAAATGTCAAATGTTAATGGTGATTAATTTTTTAAAATTTAAATAATTGGCCCTAATTTCAAGGAATTGATGGTGAATGCTCACCAATCACAATTTCAACCACCAAACATGAAGTTCTTTTATCATGTCTTTAAAGACATATCTTAAGTGTAGGGGAACCACTGATTTCTAATATGTATTTGGAAAAAAAATTGTAAAATAAAAGAAAGAATAAAGCCAAGGGGAAAAAAACACAAAGCAGTAAAACATCTAAGACATTGTGTAAGAAAAAGAAAAAAAAAATAAAAGACTCAAGTTTATAAACAGGCTATTGCTTTATTGACATAATAATATTGTATATAATGTAAAATTTTTATATAATAAAAAGGATTTTTTGCAAATTAAAAATAAGTTACAAAAAGTAAACAATTTATAGTCATAGAGCCCAGACTTTAAAAAAATTTCACAAAAAAGAATTACTAACTAGAGAAGATAATGAGAATATTAAGCTAAGAAATGTAATAATTAAAGGAGTCACAAAAATTGAGAACAGAGAAAATTTAGGAGATGAAATTATCAAGAACATAATAAAACCTTCTCCATGTTAAGGAACAGTCAGACCGAAGGGGTCTAATGAAAACCCAACACAAATAATTTTCAAAATTCCATATCAAAACATAGCATTGTAAAATTAAGTCTGAAATATGAGAGATAAGATAGAATATTCTAAAAGCATCCAGAGAGAACAAAGAGAGGGAGTGGGAGAGAAAGAGAGAGGAAGGGAGGAAGAAAGAGAGAGAGGCAGATAGAGAGGGAGAAATGAATGGATAAATAATTGAGTAATAAAAATTTTAAATAACTTATAATAATACTACAAAACACCTTATAAAGAACGAAGGAATTTAAAATTCAGAGGGCTGTTGTTTTCTATAGCAGAATTTTATACTAGTCCTATAATGAAACAAGTATGATTGTAAAATAAATAAATTTTTTGATAGGTGCATACAATCAACACTCTGACAATTGTTTAAGTAAACAGGTGAGATTGGCTGGAAAAAAAGTTTCATCCATATCATCCACAGTATTTAACTAATATTTAATTCCAGTTTTGAAAACAACATATTTATATTATCAAACATAGATATTTCCATTTTAGATCTTGACACTCTGAAAATTGCTGAAAGATACCCTACAAAATGATAGTAAACAAGAAATAGGAAGCTATGGAATCAGGATCTACAGCTTTTAGCACTAGAGATAGGGAGAGAGACTCCCAAGAGGATGCTGAAGGGTAGTCCTTCCAGGTATTGTTCACAGCAGGCCTGGAGAGCACACAGCTCCGACTGGAGTAAAACTTCAAAATCATCATCAGGATATACAGCTTTAGGATAAAGAATGTGCCAATCATTTAGTAATAAATAGTAAAATTAAGCATAGACAAGTGTTAGCAAAAAACCTAGTAAATGAGAGAAAATAGAGAACTGTGCATGTCTCAGCTGTGAATAATATCTAAAAAGTCATAAAAGAGGCAAACTCTGAAATCTGGTTGAAATAAAAATTGTGTTATAAGTAAACAGGTAAGATTGGGCTGCAAAATAATTTAATCCATGTCATCCACAGTGTCAAGATCTAAAATGGAAATATCTATATTTGGTAATACAAATACATTGTTTTCAAATTTGGTATTAAATACTAGTTACCATGAGAAACTGCTAAAGAGAGAGAATAGCTGATTACAGGAAGAATACCTTTAACTTAGATATTTAGATCAGAATTTTAAATCAAAATCTTTTTTGGATAACATGCTGACCATTAAGCTAATGGAACAAAGATGTCAGTGACCAAGAGACCATAAATGACAAAGAATACAGTCTTTACAAAACTAGGTTAGAAAAGTATGTAAACAAACAGCTAAAACTCACAAAGCAGTGATAATCAACTCTAGGGAGGTGCATAATCTGACTTCCAGAATTACAATATTATAATACTGTAATTATAATTTTGTAATTTTGGTAAAAATGTCCAATTTTTACCAAAAGAAAATGTGAACCATAAAGAGAAACAAGAATGTATGGACCACTCACAAGGGAAATAGTCAAAGCATTCTTTTAAAGATATTTTCTAACACTGAACATTTTAATTTCTCATTATCAGTTACCACTCTTGCTCAAACATAACAAATAAATAAAAAGATTATGAAGGAAAGATGAAATAATACACTGACAGAAAGCTCTCAATATCCCCATTTTATTCCTCTCCACACTGTTTTTTGAGATACTTTTCTGTCTTCTCACAAACGTTAAGAATTGAGAATTACTGAACCATTCTGTTTCAGGAAGGAGGGGGAATGTATGGAGTGTGGGAAAATGTAGGAATTTAAGACTATACAACAATAGCCACCTCTGGAACATAATAGAAAATGGACTACTTTTCACAGATACGCTGCTTGTATGTGGGTGCTTCTAAACAATTTTCTAGGGAAGGTTTTGAAGTATTAAAGAAGAAAATGATTTGCTATCTGCTTCTCTTCCCTTTTTCTGTTACTGAAGTTGTGCACATGTACCCTAAAACATAAAATATAATAAAAAATAAAATAAAATAAAATACAAAATAAAAAAAAGAAAGGAAGAACAAGGAATTCTAAAAGAAATGTCCAAGCTCTAAGAAAGAGGAAAATAGAAATAAAATGAATGTGAACACTGTTCTTATTCATTTTAAGCTTAATTGTTCAATTAAGCTAACTAAAATTTACACAATTTTTAATAATAAAATATAGGTCTATTCTTCCTAGTAGATTAAGTACATTGGACAGTTTATCTGTATTTTCTCAAAATGTGATCACATTCAGTGTAAAATCAAGAAACTTCACAATGAAAACAAATATACAGATACAGATTTATATCCTGATTAACACAAATTTATGAATTGCAAAGTAAGCCTATGGCTGTGATGGCTCATGCCTATAATCCCAACCGTTTGGGAGGCCAAGGCAAGAGGATCATTTGAAAACACGAATTTGAGACCAGCTGAACAGCATAGAGAGACATTGTCTCCTTTTTTTTTTGTTTGTTTTTTAAGCAAGCTTATCTAGAATCAACATGCTACTAATCAAAATATTTTAACATACTTGTGAGATTTTCAGTCAGTCTTTAATTGTGTAGTAACGCATGTCTTCATTAGCAATAGAATGAATTAGGAAGTGACCAAAAGTATGTACTGACATTCTACTATATACCAGATACAATATTAGTTTCAGCTATTTTGTAATATTAGACAAACAAATATAAAATGTTTTCCATCCATAATGTGAAATTTTATTATAGCTGTATTTTAGGCTAATCAAAGACATTTCACTTGTGGGCACAATGGTCTGTATTCAAACCACAATTGTTCCAGGATTTACTCTTTGTATTGTTAGTGGAAAATTCAGTGTAATTGAAATATTTTCTCATTGTGATTTGATTACCTACGTAATATATTCATTTTTATAACTTCAAATTGTTTAAAAATGTTCAACATCTGAAATAATAAAATCTAAGTAAAAATCTAGTATGATTTTAAGTGCAGAAAAAATATGGTAATTGCATGGTCAAGCTAGATTTTAATGATAGAAAATACATGTTTTGCTACTGATGTCATCTAAAATAACAGAGTAAGAAACTCCACATCTTTCCTTCCACCAAAGCAAAAATTAGGCTGGCAAAATTTCTCAGACTAAACTTCTTAGATCTGTGTAATAGAACCAAAATCTTACAACAACCAGGGAAATGCTTAATAAGGAAAGAAACTGCCAAATTTTCAATAAAAGAGTAGGCAACATGGATCTTTTGCTTAAGGAATAGTGGTTGTGTATTTCGATTTCCCTGGTGGTTTCCTGGGACTTTGCTTACCTTTGTTTTATCTACTTAAAAACATTCTCAAGGCATATGTTGAAAGCATTTAAAGGAAAATATAAGAGCTGCAGGTATTGAGCAAGGGATAATAAATGGAACAAAAAAGTCCTGAAAACAGAGATTGAAGACAAAAATAGATAAGAGAGCTTTCACTTATACAGAGGAGTACAGAAGGCAACATGCATTCCTGGGGCTGAATGCAAGCGCATTAATGACCAAAGAAGATGCTATTCTTTCACCTCTTGCTCACTTTTAGGCTCCATGAAAGCAGAATTTGACAGCTAAGGCAGGGTTGTAAAGGGGCCAACTAGCACTGAAAACACATGCTCAACACAAAAGTAATTTCAAAGAGTAGGAGTTTATTTTTTATTTTTAGTCTCTAGGTGTTCTAGGAAATCTGTTTTGAGTAACATGCTGACCATTAAGCTAACGGAACAGAGATATCTGTCAGTGACCAAGTGACCACACATGACAGAGAATACAGTCTTTACGAAACCAGTTTAGAAAAGTGTTTAAACAAACAGCTAAAACTGACGATGATAATCAGCTCTAGGGCGGGGCAGAATCTGACTTCCAGAATTAAAATATTATAATATTCAATATATCCAATTTTTTACAAAAAGAAAATATGAACTATAAAGAGAAACAAGAATGTATAGACCACTCATAAGGGAATAAAGAAAAGGAATTACTAGAAAATGTATGGGAGGAACCCCAGACATTAAACTATCTAGACAAATATTTTATATCAGGTATCTTTACTATTCTTAAAGAGTTAAAGAAAATCAATGAAATCAACTAAAAAAAAACAACAACAACAAAAAAGGGGGAACAATCTCACCAAATATAGAATCCCAACAGAAAGAGAACTTATAAAAATAAATCCAAATAGAAATCCTAGAATAAAACATTTTATAACTGAAGTGAAAAATTTACTAGAATTTAACAGCAAATTTGAGTATACAGAAGAAATAAGTAAACTTAAAAATACATTAATTAAGACTATTATATGAGAAGCAGAAATAAATAGAATAAAGAAAATTTATAGGGCCTAAGAGGCCTGTGGGACACCATCAAGCACACCAAAATACACACAATGTGAATCCCAGAAGGAGAGATAAGAAAGGGCCAGAAAGAAAAAACATAAATAGTAGATGAATACTTTCTAAATATGGTGAAAGACATCAGCCTATAGATCCAAGTAGGTCAATGAACTCCATGTGGAAAAGCTCAAAGAGAGTCATACTGACATGTATTATAATTATGTTGTTAAAGCCAAAGAAAAAATGAGAATCTTGAAAGTAACAAGAAAGAAGCAACTTATAACTTATGAGATTAACACACAATTTCTCATGAGCAACCCTGAAAGCAGAGGGTAGCAGGATGACTTATTCAGGGTGATGAATAAAAGCAAATATCAACCAAAATTTTTTAACCAGCAAAACTGCTCTTAAAAAAATTAAAGAGAAATTGAAAACATTCTCAGTAAAACAAAAGCAGAGAAAGTTTGTCAATAGTAGATCTGCCCTTCAATAAATACTCAAGGGAACTTTTCAGGATAAATTGAAAGTACATTAGGCAATAACTGAGGCCAAATAGAAATAAAGCACATTGGTAAATGTGACTACATAGGTAAATATAAAAACCATCATTATTTTATTTTTGGCTTTCACCTCCTCTTTTTTTCTTATGTTATTCAGAAGACAATTGTCTGAAACAATAATTATAAATCTATACAAGTGGATATATGATATGAAAAAATAATGTTTTAAATTTTGCTAATAAAATTATTTGTAATTTCTTCTTCCTTGTTATATAATACCTATATATAGTCATTTGTTTTATCTCTTGGCCTATGAAGCCTATTTACTCTGTATTCCTTTACAAAAAGCACTTGTTGGCCCTGTTGTAAACATCATAATACATTAAGAAAAATGTCTATAGAATAAAAGTCCTATTGTATTGCCAATATAATTTTTAAATGACCGATAAATACAGCACCGGTACATAGCCCTTCTAAAATTCCAATCAGCTTCTCTTCCTAGACACAAGTCATTGTTTCTTTATCTTGAACATGAGATATACGAGTTGTTTTATAAAAGTTACTCATTTTATGAATTTATATACATATATATAAACTTCTTTTATCATGTGAACATAGTCATAAAGTTATACTGCACTACTAGGAGTATAATGAGAAAGAGCCACCCCTGCTGCATAGTTTCCTCCTCTTAATTAACATAGCTCAGAGGCATCCTTCCCAACTCAGTAGGTATTTATTTTGGAATGTAACTCCATAGTTATAATAGCATTCTTACAATATTATATCATAATGGAACAATTTTAGACTACTTCAGAGATAGTGGTACATACGTTGTGGTGATTTGGCACTTGACAGCATTGTCTATTTCCTGAAGTGAGTATTTCTTTCCTGTTTTGTCTAACCATCTCCAAATACTTCCATATCCTTTACTATTGATAGAATTGCTCCTAAAGGAAGATTCCCAGAAGATAAAGAGGAAAAGCCAGTGGTAATCATCATTCTCTCTAAAGACTTTTCAAACCCCCTTTTATTTTTTTTTCTTCCAGTGAAGGGCTTCATGCTTGCCCTTGCTGTCCCTAAGAGCCTGGAGACTAGGTTATTCTTAGTATGTATCCTGTGAAGAATGATCTATCACTTGTACAGGAGACCCTTGAATTTATTCTGCTTAATGCTTTGGGAGAAGATGTCTAGAATAAATATGTAGTAGTTGTACAAACTTTCAGAAAATCCTCTTACCAGTTTCATTACTTTACACGTATCTATAAAGATATATCTATAAATAGATGTGTATATATAAATAGAAACCCCGTGTCTGCTAAAAATACAAAAATTAAATGGGTGTGGTGGCACTGGCCTGTAGTCTAAGCTACTTAGGAGGCTGAAGTGGGAGGATCACCTCAGCCCAGGAGGTCAAGCCTGCAGTGAGCTGAGATCAAACCACTGCACTCGAGCCTGGGGGACAGAGCTAGACCCTGTCTTAAAAAGAAATACAGTTTAACTACTTTATACGTATCTGTAGATAGTGCGGTGGTTCAGCCTCCTGAGTATCTGAGACTACAGGCCAGTGCCACCACGCCCATCTAATTTTCATATTTTTAGCAGACACGGGGTTTCGCCACCTTGCCCAGGCTGATCTGGAACTCCTGACCTCAGATAATCTGCCCACCTTGGCCTCACAAAGTGCTGCGATTACAGGTGTGAGCCACCATGCCCTGCCTCTATATTTTAATATAAGTGGTGATGACAATATTTTAGACTGTTTAAAAGTCTCTAGGCCGGGCGCGGTGGCTCACGCCTGTAATCCCAGCACTTTGGGAGGCCGAGGCGGGCGGATCACGAGGTCAGGAGATCGAGACCATCCCGGCTAAAATGGTGAAACCCCGTCTCTACTAAAAATACAAAAAATTAGCCGGGCGTAGTGGCGGGCGCCTGTAGTCCCAGCTACTTGGGAGGCTGAGGCAGGAGAATGGCGTGAACCCGGGAGGCGGAGCTTGCAGTGAGCCGAGATCCCGCCACTGCACTCCAGCCTGGGCGACAGAGCGAGACTCCGTCTCAAAAAAAAAAAAAAAAAAAAAAAAGTCTCTTAAAAAAACTTGCTTTTTTTTTTCTTTTTTCAGAATCACTTGTACCTGTGTTATTAAAACAATAAAAAGTCTCCATCTGTTTTTAGAAGATTTCCAATTACTTTCTCTCTTATCAGTAGTAGTTACCTCCACTTCACTTTATTCTTGAATGTTTCCATTATTTAAAATTTATCTATTACAATGTTACTTCTGAAGGAAATACTGGCAAGTGAATGCATCCTGTTTCTCATGTATAACTAGAAATTTACAATATATTTCAGAAACTCTACAATCTGATATTTTCTGACACTACAAAAATCTTCTGGGTTTTCCCTTCCGTTTTCATCAGATTACTTGGCAACACAGCACAACTACATTTGAATTGAGTTTCATTTCTTAACGTGTTGCTAATCACAAGTTCAATGATTTTTTAATTATAAATAACAACAAAATATGTCTTGCTGAAAACCAGTAATGCCTTATGGAGAACAACACCTGCTTTTGATAGCTTCAGGTAATAATTTATTTTACAGTTTATTTTCTATTTAAAATAAACAGTGTTCTATAAGAATGAATAAAAGAAAGACTTATGAGTCCCCTAGTTGGCAATCCCTCCCAGTTTGACTTATACAGAGAAGCTGTTATTTGTTTGTTTCCCTCAATGCTTTTTAGCAGGATCCATGACAGAGCATGAAAATGACAGCAAACAGTTTAACAACTATTCTGATTCTTTAAAATGGCTGATCTGAATAGAATAAAAATTGTCAGATGCTTCAAATGCAATATAAAAATTGGACTGGTATTAAATTTATCCAAGCTTATTGAAATGATTTTTTTTGGTTGAGCTGAAATTAGTTTTTATTTATGTGATAAAACAACTTAGCACTTGAGAAAAATATAGGATTTTATATTGCAATAAACAAAAAGACTAAATATTGCACCTTACATTACTATAAAATAAATCACCACTATCTCTGGTTTATATAGAGAACTTTGCAGCAGAGTTAGAGATATTGTCCAGCATTATATTGAAAGAAACAATAATTTTCAACTGCATTGAAATTTTTGTGAGTGTGCATACACATAGGAATAATTTGAGAGCATCAGCATCTCAACATTGAGGATTGCATTGGTACAATTGGAGATTATATATTTTACACAATATTCTTTTAGAAATTTTTACTTAACAATTTACCTATTCTTATCCTTAATTCTACTCCAAGGAGCTGAAGGCAAACATGTCTCTTTGTTCTCTTGTTTCTTTTTAATCTTGTAGAGTTAGTTATTTTAGATTGGGACATTCAAGTAATAATGGAAGAACAGATATTTTCTATTAGCAAGCCAATAAATGTTATTTAATGTTGTTATAATAGTAACAGCTATTTCATGTAACTTAACACTTTTATTTAGCAAGCTCCCTAAGGCTATTTCAGAGGGATTTGATTCTATTCAGATGGAAAATAGTTCTACTGTAAACAAAACCAAATGTTGTTAAAAATTTATATAAATATAACAAAAATCATGGATGTAATAGAAAATAAATATACTTAATAGCTCTGAACATTAAACTCCCTTCTTATCATTGACTCTTTTGGGTAAAATGGTGATATAATAATAATTTACTTATGTTTTCAAAGTTATTATATGTGTATTATTTTAATACATTCATCAAAATAATCCAGTTAGGTGTATAAGAGGGATTTGATAACGAAAAATTTTATTTAAGGTATTCTAAAGAAAATTAACAACAGACTATTTGGTAACTTTTTTTTTCTTTTTTGTGAAAATTATCCAATATCAAGTTATGAAATGTGGAAGTCAGCCTGAGATTAAGAAAGAAAACTAATAAAGGGCAGTCAGATTACTTCATTTATTGAGCAACTAAAATACAAACAAACTTTAAAAATTGCAATTGAGATACACAAGTAAAGACTGACCCCCTTGCTGAATTCTTGGTCAGAATGAAACAGAGCATATAAAAAGAAGCATATAATAAACATATGTATGGAAACCATAAATTAAATACATATACATGTCAAATATTTTAGCTGATAGAAAGTGGATAGGAATAATACACTGTGAGAATAGTGATATTTGAGATTATTATGGTACAAATTCAAAGAAGATATTTATATTTAGAATAATTTTGTGAAGAAATAGGTAAGTGGGAAAATAATAGGAAGGAATACCCATAGAAGAGGATAATAGTCTGCACGTTCTCACTCATATGTGGGAGCCGAGGAAATGGATCTCATGAAAATAGAAAGCAGATTGATAAAGGGGAGGGAGGGATGACATGTTGATTAGTGGGTACAAATATATGGTTTGATAGGAAAAATAAAACCTAGTGCTTGATAGATCAGAAGGGTGACTATAGTTTACAATACTGTATTGTTATATTCCAAAATGGTTAGTTTATGCTAGTTATGTTTCCAGCATAAAAGACAAATATTTCAGATGATGTATATCCCAAGTATACTGATTTGATTTTTACAAACTATATACATGTATTAACTTATCATATGCATTCCAAAACTATGTACATCTATTATGCACAATAAAAGTTTTTAAAAAAAATTAAAAAAGAAAAAAATGAGAGAGCAATAGTCAATAAAAGGTAAACTTAGTAGTCTGGATTGCTCAGACTCAGCCCATTCCAAATATAGATCTATTTTAAAAAATGAAAAAGTACCTGGCCAATTGCTGGGAGATAACCCTTGTTCCCTTGAAATAGTCTTCCCAATGAGTCTTTTTATATGCCTGAGGCCTTGGGTCACACTTTACTTATGGCAAATGCCTGCTTTTATATGCCTGAAGCCTTGGCCCATGTTGTACCAGTTTGACCAGATAAGTTTATTCCACAAATGCGATGTATTTTATACAGGTCATGTTGGTCTGTGGTCAGGTGCTGAAGTCTGAGCATCTGAGGTCAGTCATGTGCCTGACTGACTCAACAAAAACACTGGCCATCAAGAATCTGGTGAGCTTTCCTAGTTAGCAACACTTAGCATGTATTGTTATACATCGTTGCTGAGAGAATTAAGTGCATTCCTGTTTGACTTCACAAGTGTGGACATCTAGATGATTTCTCCTGGACTTTAGTCCATGCATTTTTCCCCTCTGCTGGTTTTAATCTGTATCCTCTCAATGAAATAAGCCATAACTGAGTGTAACAGCTTTCCTAGCCTTGTGGGTCCTTATTAGCAAATCCTTGAGCCTAATAGTGGTCTTGGGGATGACTGACACAGTAGCTTTAAAAGTACAGAGTATAAATTGATAGTTTCAAGATTCTAATGTTCTCTAAGTTGTGAATACAATACATTAAAAATATTAAACCTTTAAAAATTATTTTAGAGGTGAATCTTTATAATAGTATTCATATTAAGCATAGTTTCTTTATGTAAATTATTTCATGTTCCAATCTAAAAACACTATTTGAATTAAAGGAATCAATCAAAATCCATGGCTATAATTATGTAGCTATTTGAAATAAGGCTATCTTACATATATTAATAAATAAAATAACTACAACTGATAATTTTTGAGTGCTTATTATGTTTCAGACGATTTTCTGGGTACTTTATATGTACTATTTTATTCAGTTTTCATAAGCCCCTTTAGCATAGTTTACTAGTATTATTCCCATTTTATAAGAACTGAGAGTAAAAGATATTAAGAAACTTGCCCAAAGTCACGAAACAACTAGTTGATGGTGATAAAACTAGAATCTTAAGAATTTTGGATTTACAATCCTTATATTATGCATTTCTGTATGTCAGACATGATACTGAGTACTTTAGATACATAATTTATTTACCCTCAAAATCACATAAGAAAGTTTTCACATTTTACAAACAAAGAAGGAGGCTCAAAAGGATTCAGCAATTTATTCAAGGTCACTGGACTAGCAAGGTACAAAACTATAAATCAAAAGTATTGGCCTGTATTGATGTTATTCATTGATACAGTTGATTAGGGCTACTTGAAAGGAGAGAGAGGCAAGATAAAAAAGATTATTTCAATAGTGTTAGGTCAACAAAATCTAAAACAGTAATAAGATGAGTAAGAAAAAGTGCAGTTAATTTAATTAAAAGAAACAATATAAATCAATTTGTAAAAAATAAAAAAATAGAAGTGTAAAAATCAATCCTGCTTTAAAACAAAACCAAAGAAAACAAAGGAATATATAGACTCAAGATAAGACTTTAAAGAAGTGCCTGTAGCAAATAGTAAAAACTATCCTTCTTATGTGAACTAAAAATGATATGTTGTATAAAATGTAAAATATATTATATCAGACACGTTTTAAGACTCTTTATATTAATTATTTCATGGACTTATTTCCCTGAACAAGAAATAATTTTTAAAAAAAGTTGTCAGCAACTGAGATAATAGTTTTTTTTGTTGTTAGCTTATTTGTTTTAACTTGCATGAATTTACTCTGGAGTTGAGTGTAACATTCCCAATTCAGCAAAATAAGCTTGTAATTGTTCATTTTCTAATTTTTTGATGGACTTTAGACTTTGAATAACTAAACTATAAACTCAAAAAGACATTAAGATTTAATAGGGATAGAATAATCATTAGAATAAATTTAAGACCATACTTTTGATAGTTTTTAATCTAAAAATCTTTCTTCATTGCTATCCTTTCTCTCTTTTTGGTACACTGTAGCTCCCAGTGTGAAGTTAAGTCTTAAGCAGCACACTTCTATTTCGAGGCAGAGATTGATTCTGAGATGTTTCTCCTACACTGCTTAACAATTAAGAAATGTTCAAGGGTTATAAGCTTTCTTTCACTTATGGTTTCATTTACTATGTTGCAATAATTTGTTCTATCTGAAAAATATGGCTGTTTATTTTATTCCTTACCAAGCCTTATCATATTCCATCCCCTTGTCTGAGAAAATTTAGCTGTATAGCAAGATATTATTCAAACTTCATGTATTCCTCTCTTGTTCTGACTCCAAAGAAAATAATACTTTTAGTGTTTTTTTTTGTAATCCCATGGCATGAATAATAAGAATTTTTTAAAAAAAAAACATATACACCTACTCTATATAAATTACTCACAGAAGTTGACATTTTAAATGATACATTAACAAATAATGCATTAAATATTCAGCACATATTGATGGGCTATTATTTGCCCGTTTCTAGTGTTAACTGAACAAGATATAATTCTCATTCTCAAATAGCTTGTCCAATATGGTAATCAGGTAATTGAGATTGTGAAATTTATACCCCTATGAAAGAACAAAAGAGAGAGCCCTAAAATAACTCTGAAAATCAGGGGAAATTTCTTTCATAAAATGATTTGGCAAATATTTAAAGAAAGGAAATTGCCTGGGCAAGAACTAAATGGATTTGTTTGTAAAGGGGGTGCCTATTATTATTCTAGTGTTACTTTAAACAATACCCAATATTTAATTAAAGATTTTCAGCCTAAATATTATGTAACCTCATTTTTATTTATGTAATCTGGCAGGTTCACAATTGAAGTAAAGAATTGCTGTCATAATTGTAAGGAATTGGGAAAAATGCAACTGCTTTCTGTTATCTTTAATCAGCTTCTAGAATGGTGTTATTATACTAGTGATCATGTTCATTCTGTTCATTTGTAATTCAAATTTAATGAGAACTACCCAATACCAATACTTTTGAGAAGCACTAAATATAGAGGGGAATTTCTAAAGCCAATTAGAATTAATACATAAATAAGATTCTACATCAATTATCTATGAATGCATACCAAATAATCACAGAAGTTTGCAGTTTAAAATAACACAATTATTTAAAATTTATCTTGTTTCTGTGGGTTTGAATTTTACAAGCAGCTTGACTGATTGGGTTCTCTCAGGGTCTCAAATGAGGATTCTGTCAAACAATTAGCAAAACCTGGAATCATCTTGAGGGCTTTTTTACTTGGAAGTCTGATGTCTGAGCTGGGAAGACTCAATAAGATGGAAGATGGGACTGCTTACTGCTTGAAAACCTTCCTCAGCATTCCTCTCTACCTCTAAGTGGGTCCTCTACATAGTCTGTTTTCAGGGTAGCAGCGTCAAATAACCTAGAATCCTTATATGAAGGCTTAGGGCTTTCAAAGAAGACAATCTAAGAAATCTACACAAAAACAATCTTTTCTTCTGACCTAGCATGTAAAGTCAAATAATGTCACTTTGCCATATTTCATCTGATATAAGGAAATCATGAAAGAAAGTTCATACTTAAGGAAAAGGAGTTTATACTCCGTTTACACTCCATCTCTTTTTTTTTTTTTTTTGAGACGGAGTCTTGCTCTGTCACCTAGTCTGGAGGGCAGGGGCTTCATCTTGGCTGACTGCAACCTCTGCCTCCTGGGTTCAAGGGATTCTCCTGCCTCAGCCTCCCATGTAGCTAGGATTACAGATACCCACAACCACGCCCAGCTAATTTTTATATTTTTAGTAGAGACGGAGTTTCACCATGTAGGTAAGGCTGGTCTCAAACTCCTGACTTCAGGTGATCCACCCACCTCGGCCTCCCAAAGTGCCGAGATTACTCCAGCTCTTAAAAAAAAAAAAAAGAATGCACCTTTAGTAAGGAAGGTTATAAAACATAGTCAGAAAGGTAAGGCATGTTGAAGATTGTCTGTGAAAGTCATGAAAAATGTTTTATAAAAAGGAATTTATGCAGGAAATGTATGATTTTTGTTTTGAAGGTCTAAACATGTTCTAAAATGTTAAAAAAAAAAAAACAACTGAAGAGTTCATGAATATCCAGGTATATTTTAAATCAAGCACAGAGTTCTAGTTACTATCTAGGATGTGGAAAGATGGAAAGACTAGAGACTATCACTCCCATCTTTACAAACAAAGCAATAAAAGTTGAGTGAAACAAAAAGCCACAGTTTTGTTGAATCTGAGAAAAAACAGGGAAAACTAACTCTTCTGAAACCTACAGAAACACTGGGGCCTAAGCGGAGGGGGAGAGAGAGAGAGAGAGAGTTGGAGACCTAGGATAAAAGCAGTCAGATACCAGTAAGAAGAATTCACCAGAAGTTGTTAATGAATAGATCAAAGCCAAATATGGCTTACATCCAAAAAAAAAAAAATTTGCAAGATCCCTGAGAAAACATCCATCATAGTATAGAGAAGAACAACAGCTGTTGTAAGAAAGACGTGGAACCTATCAGATTGGTCTCCCTTATCTCCTCTATGGGGGAAAAGAGCCTTAAACTAAAGAGAGAACAACAAATATTGTTATCCTTAGGGCACAAGGAAAAATCCATTGTAGCTGTGTAGAAGGAATACAATATAAGGTGTAATCCTAGGGAAAGGAAGGGCATCAAGTATATGTGTTAAACTCATATCTACATTTGGGTAGGGAGCGAATATTGACATTGAGAAAGCAAGACTCCTGAGATCTGCCGACCAAATGCCTGCCTAAAACTAAAACTAAAGTTTTACAATCCCCATCCTCTATCCTTTTCCCACCCTCAGCTAACAAGCTGTTCTCAATTTATAGGGGAATGCTGCTGAGAGAACATCCCTCTGTGAGGCACAGTGCAAATGGGAGACACAAAATTAAGGATAGACTAGTTATTGAGAAAAATCTTTTGTCAAACAAGCTTCCACCATAAAAACATTGTCTTTTGAAGGAATTTAAAGCTTATGGTGCCCTGAGATTAATCATAGCAACGACAACAACAAAGCTCAAACTCACCTCAACTCCTGACTGCATTGACCAAAACATTGCTATTAATGGCCCAAGGCAAAATGAGTTGGTGATTTCCAAACATCCAAACATATTTATACAAAACTGTGTAAATATAAAATATTGCCCTACACAATATTTCTGAAATTCAGCCAAAAATTGTGAAGAGGTAAGAGATAACTCACTACCATGAAACAAATCAATCAATAGAAATAGACTCAAATATGATATATGTGCTGGAATTACCAGAGAGAAAATTTAAAATATTGAAAAACATGTTAAAGACTAATGGAAAAGGTTGACATGCAAGATTGCATGGGTAATGTGAGCAAGAGATGGAAGTCAAAAGAAATGCAAAATATGAAAATAACAGATGAAGTAAGCTGATTACTGAAAGCAACATAGCTGAGGAAGGAATCAGGGAACTTGAAAATAAGTAAATGGAAATTACCTGAACTAAAACACAAATAGAAAAATAGTAAAAATATTTGAAAGCTATGAGATAATATACAAAATACTTAATACTTTTATTACTGTAATCACAGAGAAAAAAGAATGGGAACAAATATTCCAAAATTAATAACAAACAGCAAAGTACAAGTGAGACACCTATAAAATAGCCAGGGTGAGGTAGGCTGGAATGAGGTGTGGATATTGCATACATAAAAACAAAGGATAGAATAACAGAGATTTCTCATAAACCAGGCAAGGTTGAAGCAAACAGAGTGATATATGTCAAGTGCTGGGGGAAAAAAAAAAAAAAAAAAAAAAAAAAAAAAAAAAAAAAAACTGTCAACTCAGGATTTTAGGAAAAAAAATGACAAATGAAGAACAAATAAAGAGTATGTCAGACAAAATATAACAAAACAAAAAAACCAACAGAAAGAAACTGCAACAAATGAGAGATTCACTTCCAGCAGACCAGCACTACAAGAAGTTAAAAGATAAAGGAATAAATGTGCCATCAGAGAGAATTTTAGATCTTCACAAACAAATGAAGAGCACAGAAAACAGGAAAAAATGAGAAAAAGGTAAAAAGTAAAACTAAAATTTTATTTATATTTCAGTTGCTCTAGAAAAATACTCATTCTTTAAATAAAACATAGTAGTGATATACTACATATTTGAGCATAGGTTTAACTTACAATTTATAACAGGAATACCACAAAGTACAAGGTAGGGGAAATGGGAATTGATAGATGTTAGATCCTTAAACTACATATGAAGTAGCATAAATTTATTTGAAAATAAATTGCTATTTATTACAAGGTATATCACAAATTATAGGGAACTACTAAATATTTAATATGCAATGTTAATAATCCAATAAGAGAAAAAATCAAATTAAAACATTGTCAATGTAAAAGCAGAGAGTACAGTAGAGAATAAAGAATCAAAGAACAGAATAATGAATAGAAAACAACTAACAAGGTGGTAAATATTACCAGTAAGGTTCATGTTTACATTACATGAAAGCAATCTGGAGGCACAAATAAAATGAAGAAATTGTCAAGTTTGGATAGCAGAAGCAAGACCTAATTATATGTTGCCTAAAAGGAGCCCTCTTAAATATAAGAGCATGAGTTAAATGTCCAAGAATGGTGAAAGTTATACCATGGAAGCACTAATCAGAAGAAGTCTGGAAGAGCTATATTGATACCAAAGTAGATTTTATAGCATAAATATGAAAGGGATAAAGGAATACATTAATAAATAAAGGTAATAATTCTATAAGATATAACAGTCTTAAATATGTATGCACCTAAAAGAGAGCTTCAGAATTTATAAAGCAAATTCTGACTTCACCTGAAGGATGTAGAGACCTGGAAAGAGCATTGTTCAAACAATTAAAACAGCAGAAGAAACTACAGATTTCTGACATTTCTTGAATGCATCGAATAACTGAAGTCACAGGGCAAACAACTAACATCCTATCTTGAGAAAGACCATCTCATGCACGGAAAAACAAAATTTCAGGATTTGCTTATCTTGTGCAAATACTGGCAAAAGGTATATACACTAGTGAAAAAGTCAGAAATTTTTAACATACTGCTAAAAACTAAATATAGGCTAGTGTGATTGTTTGAAGAATCTGGTAGTCATCGACAGAGGGAGGTTTGCACTCTCTTGCAGGCTTTTCCTCCAAGAAACTTACCAGGTAGTCACAAGAAACATAGCAGAGGATCCTAAAAACTTCTTCCTGATGGTGGCTAATTAAGGGAAAGAACAGCCACTGCTGAAGTTCCGTTCAGACTTATTTTCTCCAATCACTACCAGACACACATATTCCTTATCTCTCTTACAGAACAAAAGCGCTAATCTGCAGGGGAAAGGCCATAATATCTGTAGCCCGAGGCTGCTGATGGAAACTCAGTGCAGCAATGGCAGGGGAACAGGTACCACCACCTCAACTTTGCCCAGACATTGTCTTCCATGTTTTAGATTAATCTAGTGCTTTGTTTGTTTCTTAATTCTAGACATTTTATAGTTTATAGTATGAATCTAAACTGATTACAGTCTATCTTCAAGTGATGTTATACCACTTCATTTACAGTGTAAGAATTTTATCAGAGTTGACCGTCATTTCATTCCTTTAAGTCTTTATGTTATTGTCATTCTTTTGCTTTCATATATAATATAAACCTCAGAATTCATTGCTATTATTTTTGTTTAAATAATTATATTAAAAATAAGAAAATCATTTTCTTATGGTGTTTCTGGTTTTAATCATTATATATTTGGATGTGGTATCATTATTCTTCTGCCTGAAATACATTTTTTAACATTTCTTTTGTCTGTGTGTGTGTGTTTATTATATTTTAAATCCTTGGATACATGTGCAGAATGTGCAGGTTTGTTACATAGGTATACACGCACCATGGTGGTTTGCTGCACCCATCAACCCATCATCTACATTAGGTATTTCTCCTAATACTATCCCTCCCCCAACTCCCCACCCCCCAACAGGTCCTGGTGTGTGATGTTCCGCTCCCTGTGTCCATGTGTTCTCATTGTTCAACTCCCACTTATGAGTGAGAATATACGGTGTATGGTTTTCAGTTCCTGTGTTAGTTTACTGAGAATGATGGTTTCCAGCTTCATCCATGTCCCTGCAAAGGACATGAACTCATTCTTTTTTATGACTGCATAGTATTACATGGTATATATGTGCCACATTTTATTTATCCAGTCTATCATTAATGAGCATTTGGGTTGGTTCTAAGTCTTTTGTGAACAGTGCTGCAATAAACATATATGTGCATGTGTCTTTGTAGTAGAATGATTTATAATCCTTTGGTTGTATACCCAGTAAAGGGATTGCTGGGTCAAATGGTATTTCTGATTCTAGATCTTTGAGGAATTGCCACACTGTCTTCCACAATGGTTGAACTAATTTATACTCTCACCAAGAGTGTAAAAGCGTTCTTATTTCTCCATGTTCTCTCCAGCATTCGTTGTTTCCTGACTTGTTAATGATCACCATCTCACAATGAGATGGTATCTCACTGTGGTTTTGATTTGAATTTCTCTAATGAGCAGTGATGATGAGCTTTTTTTCATATCTTTGTTGGCCACATGAATGTCTTCTTTTGAGGAGTGTCTGTTTAGATCCTTTGCCCACTTTTTAACGGGGTTGTATGTTTCTTTCTTGTAAATTTGTTTAAGTTCATTGTAGATTCTGGATATTAGCCCTTTGTCAGATGGGTAGATTGCAAAAATTTTCTGCCATTCTGTAGGAGGCCTGTTCACTCTGATGATAGTTTCTTTTGATGTGCAGAAGCTCTTTAGTTTAATTAAATCCCGTTTGTCAAGTTTGGCTTTTGTTGCCATTGCTTTCGGTGTTTAGTCTTGAAGTCTTGGCCCAGGCCTATGTCCTGAATTGTATTGCCTAGGATTTCTTCTGGGGTTTTTATGGTTTTAGGTCTTATGTTTAAGTCTTTAGCACATCTTGAGTTAATTTTTGAACAAGGTGTAAAGAAGGGGTCCAGTTTCAGTTTTCTGCATATGGCTAGCCAGTTTTCCCAACACCATTTATTAAATAGGGAATCCTTTCCCCATTGCTTGTTTTTGTCAAATTTGTTAAAAGAGGAAGTCAAATTGTCTTTGTTTGCAGATGGCATGAGTGTATATTTAGAGAACCCCATCGTCTCAGCCTCAAATCTCCCTAAGCTAATAATCAGTGCCCCAAAATCACAAGCATTCCTATAAAACAATAATAGACAAATATAGAGCAAATCATGAGTGAACTCCCATTCACAATTGCTACAAAGAGAATAAAATACCTAGGAATACAACTTACAAGGGATGTGAAGGGCCTCTTTAAGGAGAACTACAAACCACTGCTCAAGGAAATAAGAGTGGACACAAACAAATGGAAAAACGTTCCATGCTCATGGATGGGAAGAAGAATCAATATCATGAAAATGGCCATTGTCCCCAAAGTAATTTATAGATTCAATGCTATCCCCATCAAGCTAACACTGGCTTCTTCAAAAAATTAGAAAAAACTACTTTAAATTTCACATGGAATCAAAAAAGAGCCTGTATAGCCAAGACAATCCTAAGCAAAAAGAACAAAGCTGGAGGCATCATGCCTCCTGACTTCAAACTATACTACAAGGCTACAGTAACCAAAACAGCATGGTACTGGTACCAAAACAGATATATAGACCAATGGAACAGAACAGAGGCCTGAGAAATAACGCCACACATTTTTTAGCATTTCTTTAGAGAGAGTCAGCTCATGGTGGATTTGCTCGGCTTTTGTAGCTCTGAAAACATTTTTTATTTTGCCAATGTATTTTTTCTGGGTATTAAATATTCAACTAATTTTTAATTTTCTCTCAATACTTGAAAGGTGTTTTACACTCTCATCACTTATATGGTCTTCAGTTGGAAATCTAGTTTCATCATTATATTCATTTTCCTATGACATATTTTTTTTCCTCTTTGACTGTCATTAAGATGTTCGCTTATTATAACTAAATTTTGAGCAAATTGATTTTATGTTGTCACTTTCTTTCCATTTCTTGTGCTTTGGGTTGGTTTTTGGATCTGTAAATTTAAAATTTCCATTAAGTCTAATACATTTTTGATCATTATATTTTTCAATATTTCTGTTTCCTTTCTATCTTTTACCCGTCAGGGACTCTAATTACCTATGTAGTAGGCCGCTTGAAGTTGTGCCACTGCTCACTGCAGCTTTGTCTGTTTTTTAAAAATTTCTTTTTTATCTTTGTGTTTCATTTTTTGAAGTTTCTATTTCTATAAGCTTATTAATATTTTTCTTTGCAGTGTCTGATATGGTGAGTTTTTCATCCCAGTTATTGTGGTTTTCATCTCCATAAGTGTTTTTCTATCATTATTAAATCTACTAGATTTTTACTTAACTTTTGAACATATGGAATGAAGTTGTAATAACTGTTTAAATGTCCTTCTATACTAATTATAACAGCTGTGTAAGCTTGGTTCTCTTTCTATTGATAGTTTTTCTCCTTATTGTAGGTCATTTTTCTCCTGCCAGCCTGAAATTCTTTGATTAGATGCCACACATTGTATATTTTGCCAAGTTGAGTTCTAAGTATATTTTGTATTGCACGTGTTTCATTAACCTGTTTTTCTGAAATCTTGAAATAAAATTATTGAAAGGAATTTGATGCCTTCCTATTTATCTTTTATGACTTGTAAGCTGGGCCTAATAAGTGCTCAGTCTTGGATTAATTATCTCCTACTAATGAAGCAAGACTTTGCAAAGTAGGATACCCTGTAAACTAGTTTTCCTTTTTAATTTTAGCTCATGCCAATGGGCACCATATCCAGCCCTCTGAGTGTGTTAGAGACTATTACTTATAACTCATTTGATGAAGTTTTTCTTTGGCTTGGATAATTCCTTCATAAATACATTGAAACTATTCAATACTTGATGAGGACTTTTTACATGTCATTGGGGTTCTCTCTGTACAAATATCTATTCTCCGGTACACCATTCTGTTAGCTTTTACTGCCTCACTCTTCCTGGACTCTTAGTTCTGTCTCAACTGAGGGAGTTGTCCAGGTTAATCTCAGTTACTCCTGCATGCCCAATAAACCTGCAAAATCTTTCAGGGCAGTAAACTGCAACAATTGTAGGGTTCAGCATGTTTGTTTACAATCTTTTTTTTTTTTTCAGGATCACTGTTCTTTTCTGCTTGATGTCCAATTTAAAAGATAATTTATATATTTTGTCTGTTTTTGTTTTTGGTTGTTTTGGGAAAGAATGTGTGTTTGGTTCTTGCTATGCTATCTTGGCTGGAATTGGAAGTTGACAGTGGTTAACTTTTAAATGTCTTCATCAGAATACAAGATTCAAATATCAGATTAAAATTAAGTTGGAGAGTAATCAACACACAAATGTGAGTGAGAGGTGACAGCGTGCTGGCAGCCCTCGCTCACTCTAGGCGCATCCTCGGCCTCAGCGCCCACTCTGGCTGTGCTTGAGGAGCCCTTCAGCCTGCCACTGCACTGTGGGAGCCCCTCTCTGGGCTGGCTGAGGCCAGAGCCAGCTCCCTCTGTTTGTGGGAAGGTGTGGAGGGAGAGGTGCAGGCAGGAACCAAGGCTGTGCATGGCACTTGCAGGCCAGCGCGAGTTCTGGGTGGGCATGGACTTGGTGGGCTCTGCACTTGGAGTGGCCGGCGCCACCGGCCCCAGGCAGTGAGGGGCTTAGCACCCGGGCCAGCAGCTGCGGAGGGTGTGCTGGGTCGCCCAGCACTGCTGGCCTACCCATGCCACACTCGAATTCTCGCCAGGCCTCAGCTGCCTCCCCGCGGGGCAGGGCTCAGGACCTGCCACCTGCCATGCCTGAGCAAATCCCCCCAGCCCCAGTGGGCTCCCGCGTGACCCGAGCCTCCCCGACGGGTGCTGCCCCCTGCTCTGCGGAGCCAAGTCCCATCGACCACCCAAGGGCTGAGGAGTGCGGGCACACGGTGTGGGACTGACAGGCAGCTCCGCCCACGGCCCCAGTGTGGGATCCACTAGGGGAAGCCAGCTGGGCTCCTGATTGGGTGGGGACTTGGAGAACTTTTATGTCTAGCTGGAGGATTGTATATGCAGCAATCAGCACTCTGTGTCTAGCTCGGGATTTGTGGATGCACCATTCGGCACTCTGTATCTAGCTAATCTGGTGGGGACTTATATCTAGCTATAGGATTGTAAATGCACCAATCAGCACTCTGTGTCTAGCTCAGGGATTGTAAATGCATGAGTCAGCACCCTGTGTCTAGCTCAAAGTTCATAAACACACCAATTAGCACTCTGTGTCTAGCTAAAGGTTTGTAAACGCACCAGTCCGTGCTCTGTGTCTAGCTAATCTGATGGGGACTTGGAGAACTTTTATGTCTAGCTAGAGAATTGTAAATGCACCAATCAGCACTGTGTGTCTGGCTCAGGGATTGAAAACGCACCAATCAGCACCCTGTGTCTAGCTCAAGGTTTGTAATTACACCAATCAGTGCTCTGTGTCTAGCTAGTCTAGTGGGGACTTGGAGAACTTTTGTGTCTAGCTCAAGGTTCGTAAATGCACCAATCAGCACCCTGTCAAAATGGACCAATCAGCTCTCTGTAAAATGGACCAATCAGCAGGATGTGCGTGAGGCCAGATGAGGGAATAAAGGCAGGCTGCCAGAGCCAGCAGCTGCAACCCACTCATGTCCCCTTCCACACTGTGGAAGCATTTTTCTTTCACTTTTTGCAATAAATCTTGCTGCTGCTCACTCTTTGGGTCCACACTGTCTTTATGAGCTGTAACACTCACCACGAATGTCTGCAGCTTCACTCCTGAGGCCAGCGAGACCAAGAACCCACCCGGAAGGAATGAACAACTCTGGACGGGAGGAAGGAACAACTCCAGGCGTGCCACCTTCCACCTTAAGAGCTGTAACACTCACTGCGAAGGTCTGCAGCGTCACTCCTGAAGCCAGCGAGACCACGAACCCACCAGAAGGAAGAAACTCCCAACACGTCCGAACATCAGAAGGAACAAACTCCGGACACACCATCTTTAAGAACTGTAATACTCACTGCGAGGGTCCAGGACTTCATTCTTGAAGTCAGTGAGACCAAGAACCCATCAATTCTGGACACATGAGGACAAGGTCTGATGGAACTTTAGACAATGTTATGACTGCATTTAGTTAATTGATACTGACAAATACGAGTATTAACATTTCTTTATTTTTGTTTTTGGCAATAGTGTTGTAGTAACTTATTACTTTAAGGTTATCGGAACTATTGATCATTGTGGCCTATTAAATCCTAGGAGATTTAATAGGTCCCTTGGATTATCAGTTCTACAATGTGTTGTGGGTGAAATTCATAGAAGGCAATTAAGATCTCCTCTAGTAATTCCACAGATTTTCTACATACTTAACACCCTGTATTAAGTTCCTGTGTTAAGTTTACTTCTGTCTAAAATGTATAGTTTTAAAATGTGTTTGTTTCCTGTGTTAAACCCTAACTTTATAGGATATAAAATTATGTAACCAATGTGTTATATCCAGTTGATTTCTGAATTTATGGTTTTCAAATGAAGGTGGAAAATAACATTGGGTTGGGAGCTGAGCATTTGACTAATATTCTCAAAGAAGAGTACTCTTGTGGTAGATGGATATATGAAAGGCACATTTGTATATCACAGTTAAATGGAATTTCTATCTACATTGGTGTAGTCAATTTAATTTTACTTTTATGATCATATTATACTAAAGTAATTTTCAATGTTCTTTATTACAATATATGCCATACACACACACACACACACACACACACACACACACACGATCCCTTTCACAGTTTGGGAGAATATGTGGCAGTCAGTACTAATTTTTAGTGACAAAAATTGCTTTTTTCTTTTCATTTAACTTCAGAAACTTTTTTTGAAGGAAGTTAGAAATACCTCCACCAATAATTGAAGTCAAGGTAATGTTTTAAACCAGTATTGTTAGGAATAATTTTGTGTAGACCAGAATAATTAAATATTTCAGAAAGATACAAAATTTTTCTTACCTCATTTTACTAACATAGCTTGTTTTCTAGTTGCTGGAATTGTGCAAGACCATTAAATGGCTTTTATAACACTGGATTATTTGCTTTCTCTTTTTATATTCACTGAATACAGTATTTAGCATTTATCATTTAGCATTTATCATTTTTACACTTGATTTTGTTTTTGTGTGAATCAATAAACTTTGAGCATAACATATCTATTCAATTGTGAGTTGTCTGTAATTACATAGAAACTTCCTAGAATAGGTTCTTGAATAAATAAGCTTATAATTTTAAATTCTCAATTTTAACATCTTCATTACTATATGTTCTCCATTAAAATTTACTTGCTATTTCAACTTGGAACACTTAAATTTTTATATTAAAAATAGCTATTGTTTTTCTATTTTGTCTTTAGTAATGAAAAAAAATTCCTTTCTATCACTTCACAGTTTTCTCATTTAATGATTTTAAACTATTTTTTAAAACTTTATTTCACATTATTAATTAATTTAAATTTGACTAAACTCTATCACTTTATTTCTATATCGTCTGTAGGAAGATATGTATTGGTATATTTATCCACAATACTTCATAAAATACAGACTTGCCCCCCATAAAAGCTGGAAGTATTTAATTGGAAAAAATAATATACATACAATTTTTTTCAGACTTCTCTAACAAATTTATAGCAGTATCATTTATTATAGGTGGCATGGGAGATAACATTTTTTTAATTTTTACTTTGTTAATATTTTCAAATTGTCGGGTTCAAATGTTTTTAAAAGTAGGAATTTAGTGACAATGAGATACCACTACACACCTATGAGAATGTCTAAATTCAGAATACTGACTCCATCAAATGCTGGTGGGGGTGTGGAGAAGCAGGAAATTTCGTTCATTGCTTATAGGAATGAAAATGGTAGAGCCATCTTGGAAAACTGTTTTGCAGTTTCTTACAAAACTAAATATATTGTTACCATGTTGCCCAGTAATCAAACTCCTTAATATTTTCCCAAATAAGTTAAATTTTTTGTCCATGCAAAAACCTGCATATGGATGTTTACAGCAGCTGTATTCTTAATTGCCAAAATTTGTAAGCAACCAAGATGTTCTCGAATGAATAAATAAACTGTGATACATCCAGACAATGGAATATTATTCAGCTCTAAAAAGAAATGAGCTAGCGTGAGGAAAATATATAGAGATAACATAAATGCATATTACTAAGTAAAATAAGCAGATCTGAAAGGTTGCATACTGTAGGATTTTAACTATGTGACACTCTGGAAAAGGCAAGATTTTGTAAACAGTGAAAAGATCAGACTGGGCGCGGTGACTCACACCTGTAATCCCAGCACTTTGGGAGGCCAAGGTAGGCGGATCATGAGGTCAGGATATCAAGACCATCCTGGCTAACACAGTGAAACCCCATCTCTACTAAAAATACAAAAAATTAGCCAGCTGTGGTGGCACGTGCCTGTAGTCCCAGCTATTCCAGAGGCTGAGGCAGGAGAATCGCTTGAACCCGGGAGGCGGAGGTTGCAGTGAGCTGAGATCATTCCATTGCACTCCATACTGGGTGACAGAGGGAGACTCTGTCTCAAAAAAAAAAAAAAAAAAAAAAAAAATCACTGGTTGCTAGTGGTTAGGGGACATAAGGTTGAATACACAGGGCACAGAGTATTTATTATAATATATGACAGTGAAAATACTCTATATGATAATAGACATTACAGATAAAAGACATTATACATTTGTCCAAACCCAAGACATACATAACACTGAGTTAACCCTAATGCAAATCAGAGACTTTGGACGATACAATGTGCCAGTGTAGGATCATCAATTGTAACAAAAGTACCACTCTGGTGGAAGCTGTTGCTAATGGGAGAGGCTATGCATGTGCGAAAGTAGCAGTTATATGAGTATTATACCTTCACCTAAGAACTTGTCAGTTACAGACATAAATATATTGCTTTGAGAAATTATTTGAAAATTACACAATTTAATAGTGTCCTAGAATTTGAAAAACAAAGATAAAAATGACTATGATACAATAACATTTGAGAATAATATTAAAAGAAAATTTTAAGCCAATTTCTATCACATATGGAGAAACAAATTCTGTAAAGAAATTATTGGCAAACTGAATACAGCAATGTAAAAAATTATAATGCCTTATGGTGAAGTCATAAAATTATCAGGAATAAACATTAGTTTTAACATTAGAAAATATCAGTTGATTTAACATTAGTTAATCTCTCAGTGTGACTCACTGATTAACAGATTAAAAGAGAAGCAAATCACTTTAATTATGTAAACAAAAACTTACATCTTGATAGATTTAGATAAATTATTTGAAAACATTCAATATTCAGTCATGATAAATAAAACTTCTTAGCAATACTAAAAATCATAGAAAAGTTTGTTAACATAAAAAGGTTAATTGTATTAAATATTTATAGAAAGTAATTATGCAATAATAAAAACCTACACTTTGATATTAAGAACAATTGAGAATGGCTACTATTATTAAAGTTCACCTCTGTGTTATATTGGAGGCTCTGTTCATTTTAATGAGAAAAGTAAATAAATAAGAATACAGTAAAACACCAAAAATTGACAAAAAAATTAAGTTTTCATAGACAGCATTAGAGTGTATGTAGACATAAACAAAATACTTATAATATTAATATCTAATGATTGTGAAATTGAAATTTAACTGAATAATGTATCTTTTTTTAATTTAAGAAGTAAAGAAAAAATCTAAATATTTCTGTATTTGAAAAGGAAACAAAAATAAAATTTAAATGAAAATATTTTTAAAAGCAAAAATTTGTAGTAACTAGATCTAAATATAAAGTAGCTTGCCTAAAACCTTTATGGAGAAAATAATAGAAGTTTAATGAGAACTGAAAGAGACTAACTAAAGAGAAAAATATGACATATTTATGGATGAGGAAAAAATTGATAAAGCTAGTAAATCTTTCCAAAGTGATCTAAAAGTTCAAAGTAATCACAATCAAAATCCCATTAAAGTGACCTATAGATTTAAAATACTCACATTGAAAATGTAGAGTTTATCCGGGCATGGTGGCTCACGCCTGCAATCTCAGCACTTTGGGAGGCTGAGGCGGGTGGATCGCCCGAGGTCAGGAGCTTGAGACCAGCCTGGACAACATAGGGAAACCCTGTCTCTACTAAAAATACAAAAAATTAGCTGGGCTTGGTGATGGGTGGCTGTAATCCCAGCTACTCAGGAGGCTGAGGCAGGAGAATTGCTTGAACCCAGGAGGCGGAGGTTGCAGTGAGCCAAGATCACAGATCACGCCATTGCACTCCAGCCTGGGCAACAAGAGAGCAACTCGGTCTCAAAAAAAAAAAAAAAAAGTTCTAGTAGATTTGGAACATGAATATTTAGCGAGCTTATTTTAAACAGTGTATACATGGGCAAATTGCCAAGAATAGAACATTATTATGTTCTATCATATTGTAACATTATTTCCTATCATATATTAAGGTTTTTAATAATTTTCAGAAAATTGAGATGATATATACCAGTACAAAGGTGGCCACATTGACAAATACAATTAAGAAAGTGTAGTAATTACCCTGGGTCAGTTAACTGAAATCATTCATAAAATTTCACATAACACTCTCACATAACACTTTAAAAAAGGTAAAGGGTATAGTAGAGCAGGAGAATGTTCAGGCAAACATCAGAGAGGACCAATAGAAGCAGTCTCATATTCTCAGTTGTGCAGGCTGTGCAACATACATAAATCAAAGAAAACTACCGATCTTGTCCCAAGAGGAATCTTTCATACAATTCTAGCTGGAAAGAAAAATGGGCTGCATGACCAGGCTGAAAGTAGATACCAAGATAATACAAATGACACTGGGTGTACAACATCAATCAGTACATTTTCTATAAACAATGCCGATGAACCAATATAGGTTTTGCTTTTGTCTGTCTTGGAAAATAGAATGGAATTATATTAGGCATTATGTAATATTTTTCATTCAGTTTTAGACAGGTTTTGTTTACTGGTACCTCTCAAGAATCTGAAATTGTTTTTAACGTAAAGTAATCAATAAATACTTGTTAAAATAATTCACACTAGTGAAGTGAGAATCTGTTGTGTTTCAAGCACCAAGCAACATATTTTAAAGCAAACTATCTTATCCAGTCAACTTTATATTTTAAGAAAACAGCTCTGAGAATTTAAATTATGCCCATAATTTTAAATTTGGTGTTACAGTTCAGGCCAGTTTACATTACAGCAGAATTTATATTGTTAAACAAATGTGGTAAAGAAAGAAAAAAAAAACAATTTTCTTCTGGACCAACAGAGTGTATGCCTTCCCTTTAATTTTCCATCTTACCATAATCTGTTGTGTTTTGATTTTTTAATAATAGCCATTCTGACTGGTGTGAGATGGTAGCTCATTGTGATTTTGATTTGCATTTCCCTTATGGTCAGTGATGAAAAACTTTTTCATATATTTTTTGGCCACTTGTATGACTTCTTTTGAGAAGTGTCTGTTCATGTTTTCAGCACTTTTTAAATAAGGCTGTTTATTTTATGCCTGATGATTTGTTTTATTCCCTTATATGTTCTGAATATTAGATCTTTGGCAGATACATAGTTTGCAAATATTTTCTCCCATTCTTCAGGTTGTCTGTTTACTTTGTTGATAGTTTCTTTTGGTATGCAGAGCTCTTTAGTTTAATTTGGTCCCAATTTGGTTGCCAACTTTTTACAATTTGGTTGTCAATTTTTGTTTTTGTTGCAACTCCTTTTGGGGACTTGGCCATAAATTATTTGCCGAAGCTAATTGTGACAAGGCTATTTCCTAGATTTCCTTCTAGGGCTTTTATAGTTGGAGGTCTTACATTTAAGTTTTTATTCCATCTCAAGTTAATTTTTGTATAGAGTGAAAGGAAAGGGTCCAGTTTCAATCTTCTGCAGAAAGCTAATCAGTTATTCCAGCATGATTTATTGAATAGGAGGTCCTTTCCCATTGTTTGTTTTTGTTGACTTTGCCAAACATCAAATGACTGAAGGTGTGCAGCTTTATTTCTGGGTCCTCTAGCCTGATCCATTTGTCTGTCTATATGTTTTTGTGCTAGTACCATGTTGTTTGGTTACTGTAAACTTATAGTTTGAAGTTGGGCAATGCGATGCCTACAGCTTTGTTCTTTTTATTTAGGATTGCTTTACCTATTTGGGCACTTCTTTGGTTACATATGAATTTTAGAATAGTTTTTCTAGTCATTAATTCTGTGAAAAATGGCATTGGTAATTTGATAGGAATAGAATTGAATATGTAAATAGTTTTGGGAAGTATGGCCATTTTAGTGATATTGATTCTTCTAATCCATGAGACAAAATATCTTTCCATTTGTTTTTGTCATTTCTGATTTATTTCAGTAGTGTTTACCAATTCTCCTTGTAGAGATCTTTTACCTCCTTGGTTAGCTGCATTCCTCGGTATTTTATTTTTTTGTGTGGCTATTGTAAATGAAATAATGCTCTTGATTTGGTTCTCAGCTAGAACATTATTGGTGTATAGAAATGTTACTAATTTTTGTATACTGATTTTGGACCCTGAAACTTTGCTGAAGTTGTTTTTCAATTATAGGAGCATTTTGTGATATTCTTTACAACTTTGTAGATATAGAATCACATCTTCTGCAAAGCAATAGTTTGACTACTTTTCCTGAATTATTTTTATTTCTTTCTCTTGCCTGATGGCTCTGGCTAGGTCTTCCATTAATATGTTGAATAGGAGTGTGAATCCTTGTCTTGTTCCTGTTCTCAAGGGGAATGCTTTCAGCTTTTGCCTGTTCAGTATGATGTTGGGTGTGTGTTTGTTATAGATGGCTCTTTTTATTTTGAAGCATGTTCTTTCAATGTCAAGTATGTTGAGGATTTTTATTATAATGGGATATTGCATTTAATTGAAGGCTTTTTCTGAGTCTATTGAGATGATCATATGGTTTTCATTTTTATTTTTATTTTTTAGATGGTAAATCACATTTGTTGATTTGTGTATGTTGAACTAAACTCCCATCCCCCAAATAAACCCTATTTGATCACTTGACCATGATGAATTAACTTACTGTTGTGCTGCTAGATTCAGGTTACTAGTATTTTTTTGAGGATTTTTGTGTCTATGTTCATCGGGGTATTGGCCTGAAGTTTTCTATTTTTGACGTTTCTCTGCCAGATTTTGGTATCAGTCTGATGCTGGCATTGTAGAATGAATTAAGTAGAAGACCCTCCTTCTCCATTTTAGGAATAATTCAGTAGGGTTGTTATTAACTCTTCCTTATACGTCTGGTAGAATTTGGGTGCGAATCTATCACTCCAGGGCTTTTTATCAGTATTTTTAAATTTTGTTTTATTTTTTATTACTTATTCAGTTTCACAACTTGTTATTGGTATATTCAGGTTTTTACTTTCTTCTTTGTTTAATAATGGAAGGTTGTGATTTTCTAGGAATTAATTAATTTTCTCTAGATTTTCTAATTTATGTGCATAAAGGTGTTCATAATAATCTCAGAGGATCTTTTTTATTTCTGTGGGATGAGTTGTAATGTCATCTTTGTCATTTCTGATTATACTTATTTTGATACTGATTCTTCTTTGTTAATCTAGCTAATGGTCTATCAATTTTATTTACTTTTTGAAGAACCCACTTTTGGTTTCATTGATCTTTTGAATTGAGTTTTGAATTTCAATTTTGTTCAGTTCTTCTCTGGTTTTAGTTATTTCATTTCTTCTGCTAGCTTTGGGGTTTGTTTGTTCTTTTTTTCCCTAGTCCTTATATATGTGTTTTTAGATTGTTAATTTAAAATATTTCTAACTTCATGATGAAGGCATTCAGTGCTATAAATTTTCCTCTTAACACTGCTATAGCTGTTTCCAAAATATTTTGGTAAGCTGTGTCTCTATTTTCGTTAATTGCCAAGAATGTTTTCTTTCTGCCTTAATTTATTTTTTTCACCTGAGTTATTCAGGAACAAGTTGTTTAATTTCCTTGTATTTGTACGGTGTTCAGAGATCTTCCTGATATTGTTTCTATTTTTATTACACTATTATCCAAGACTGTGCTTGGCATGATTTTTTTTTTTTTTTTTTTTTTGTATTTTTAGAGACTTGCTTTATGACTGACTATGTGGTCAATCTTAGAATCTCTTCTATATGTAGATGAAAACAAAGTATATTCTGTGGTTGTTTGGTGGAGTATTCTTTAGCTGTCTATTAGGTCCAATTGATTGAATCCAATTTGTGTCCAGCTTTTCTGTTAGTTTTCTGCCTCTATGATCTGTCTTAAGCTGTCAGTGGGGTGTTGAAGTATTTCACTACTTTTGTCTGACTAATTCTTTTCCTAGGTCAAAAAAATTTTTTTTATGAATCTGAGTGCTCAAATACTGTGTGGGTATGTAGTTAGAATCGTTACCTATTCTTGTTAAAATGAACCTTTTATCATGTAATGTCCTTCTTTGTCCTTCTTGACTATTACTTACTTCAAGTCTGTTTTATCTGCTGTAATAATTGTGATTCCTGCTCTTTTTTGTTTTTCCTTTACATGGTAGCTCTTTCTCCTTTCCTTTACTTTTATCCTGTGGGTGTCATTACATGTGAGACGGATCTCTTGAAGTCATCAGACAGAGTCTTTACTTTTTATCCAGCTTGACAATCTATGCTTTTAAGGGGGTATTTAGACCATTTACATTCAGGGGTAACATTGATATATGTGATTTTGATCCTGTCAATGTGTTGTGAGCCAGGAGTTTTGTAGACTTTTACAAAAAAAAAAAACCTAACAACAGCAATAATACACCTGACAATACCAACTGCTGATGAGGGCATGAAACAATGGGAAACATATATTCATTGCTGATGAATAAATGAAATGTAACAACCAGCATATAAAGTAGTTAGACAGTTTCTTCTAACATTAAATATATACTTACCATGTAATTCTACATTTCTAAGTATTAGGTAAGGAAATTTTTCCATTTCCTAATATTTAAAAAAAATCTTTACAGAAAGGTTTTTGTCAATTTTATTCATTGTAACTCGAAACTAGAAGCAACTGTCCTTCAGCGGATTAATAGAAATATAATCTGTTGTGTGTTTATGCAATGGAATATTACTCAGTAATTAAAAAAATAAAGCTTAATTTTAAAGCAATGTGGATGGTGTATTAATCCATTCTCACTTGCTATAAAGAGCTACCTGAGACTGGGTAATGAAAAAAAGAGGTTTAATTGACTCACAGTTATGCAGGGTTAACAGAAAGCATGACTGGGAGGCCTCAGGAAACTTACAATCATGGTGGAAGGCAAAGGGGAAGCAAACACCTTCTTCACATGGTAGCAGGAGAGAGAGAAAAGAGCAAGGGGGGAAGTGTCCCACACTTTTAAACTATGAGATCTTGTGAGAACTCATTCGCTATCATGAGAACAGCATGGGGGAAATCCACCCCTGTGGTCAATTGCCTCCCATCAGTTCCCTCCCCCAACATTGGAAATTACAAGTCAACATCAGATTTGGGTGGGGACACAGAACCAAACCATGCCAGATGGTTTTTAACTGTATTCTGTTAAGTGAAGAATCTGGACATATATGGCTATATGTTACTTTACACTCTTTTTATTCTTTTCTGGAGGGAAAAAAAAGGGAATGCAAAACTAGTTAATTATTGCCATGGACTGGGTTAGTGGAACAGTAAATACGTGAAGTACAGAGAATTTCTTGGGTGACGGTACTGTTCTACATTGTACACTGGTGGTGGGTACCTGACTTCATGTCTTTGCCAAATTTACAAAAATGTTAACCACAAAGGATGTAGTTTACTTTCTGAAAAACAAAAGATGTTAGGGGAATAAGATTTACAACAGAGTGTGATAAATGTTTTTAACCATATTATCAATGTATGATGTGTAACCTCAATTAAAGGGGTGGAGAAAAAAAAAGAACTGACACAAAAATTCGGAAAATTTTATTTTGATTGAGTAATATAGGCCTGGAGACAAAGAAGAACTGTACACAATACCCTCCCCTAGTGATAAATTTGTTTCTCACATAGTTAGCAATTCTGGAATCACCTGACTTTTATACTGTAGTTACAGACATGAGTAAATATATTTTTAAAAATGGCATCCAAGTTTTTCACTGTCAGAGAAAGATGCTGCAAATAAACAATGGAAAAAGGCTAGAATGAACCTTGTGCTGCTGCATTTGTCAACAGTTCTATGAATACATATGTATATCTATGTATCTATGTATATACATCCTATCTACATATTATATATATGAAGAATGAATAAAACACATTTATAAAAGATTCCTAGTAAATATACATAGAATAAATAAGGTAATAAAAAATCACCTTTAGAACACTAAAATGTAATTGCTACATGCAAGATCCATCAGCAAATGTTAAAATTTGTAGCAGAAACTTTGAAGAGAAATGAGTTATTTGTATAGAATCAAAGTATTCTGCAAAAATATTTATTAATTACTCTGAAGAGTCTTACATATGTAATCAATATTTTATACTCCCTCCCTTCCAGTAAGTAGAGCCTTATTTCACATGCTTTGAGTTTGGATTGGACTTGGTAATCTGCCCCTAAAGCATAGAATATGAAAAGGAAAAATTCGTAACTTTACAATGACAAAACTCAGCGTCCACAACCGTAATTACAGAAGCAACATTTACATCACAAGTAGTAATTTTCATTGATATCATGGGCTTTCTAACATAACGAGACAAGTAGAATATTTCACGTCTGTACTCATCACCAAAATTCATAATCCCAGTCTATATAATATGTACTCCAGAATTTCAAGGTCCTTAAATATAAAGTAGCACCAAAAACCTGTCCCAGAATCAATGACCTTTAGATGCTATGTGCTATCATGCATTGGATCTTTAAAGAGAGAAAAAAGAAAGTTACTAGTAAACCTGATGATATTAAAATAAAATCTATAGTTTATTTAACTGTATTGTACTAATATTTTTTTTTAATTTTGGTAAGTATAGAAGCATTGGTATGTAAGATGCTAGCCTAAAGAGATCCTGATTCTTGGTATATAGGAGCTTTTTGGACTACCTTTTCATCTTTCTTCTAAATTTAAAGTTATTTCAAAAATAAAATTTAATAAAAATGTTTAAGCGTTTATTATATGTCAGGCACTATTCTAGGTCCAAAGTAAAATAGACATGACCCCTGATCTATTCTGAGAAAAAGCACTGAAACAAACATTTTTAAAGTCTATTATAAATATGATAATATATTATAATTCAGTAAGAATTGAATAATTTTGAATTTTCCCTGGGAAAGAAAGGTATTTCTATAGAAAAATTAGTATATTAAAGAAAAATGGAAAATTTTCTGTATAGATCAAGCAATGCTATGACTATAAAAATACTGGTGATTATGAACACAGTTCTTTTTTTTTTTTTTTTTTTTGAGACGGATTTTCGTTTGTTGCCCAGGTTGGAGGGCAATGGCACGATATTGGCCAACTGCAACCTCCGCTTCCCGGGTTCAAGTGATTCTCCTGCCTCAGCCTCCTGAGTAGCTGGGATTACAGGCATGCACCAGCACGCCTGGCTAATTTTGTATTTTTAGTGGAGATGGGGTTTCTCCGTGTTGGTCAGGCTGGTCTTGAACTCCCGACCTCAAGCCATCCGCCCGCCTCGGCTTCCCAAAGTGCTGGGATTACAGGCATGAGCCATCAGGCCCGGCCGAACACAATGCTTTTATTGCCAATTTTTTTTTTTAACATGCTTAGTTAAAAGGAGACATCTAAGAAATGGTCTTCTTTGATAAGCAAACATATCTGGACATCCAATATAGGAATTAGGGACTTCCAGAAAAATACTACTTAAGGGTAGGGGAAATTGAAATGCCTAAATTTGAATTAACAAATAGCTTAGAAGGATAAGAGTGGACAAATAATCTAAAAGATGGAAATTTATCACTCCAGTATCTTCTCATTTTAGAGTCCAAGGATGCAGGAACTATTACACAAAGCAAGTACAAATTAAGGACGTTTCAATAAAGGCATATAGAAAATTTAGAAACAATACCTTGTTTCCTATTTGCTAGAATATATGAGTGAATAGTGATTTCTTTACTGAGATGACTTGTAGAATATATGTTTTCATGAAACTCAGAGTAATGAGCAGCAAACTAGACAGATAATCTTTTAGAAGAGAGAAAAATGAAAATAAAGACTTCCTTAGTGCTTAAGTGCCTTGAGATCTTGCACTAAGCAATGAAATCTGTAGCAGTAAAAGCAGGATCTCTACATTGAAAGCCAAAGCAGGGGAAGAAATAAAAAATGTTATATGCGAAGCTCAACTGAAAGTACAACTTGTGGAACTCTTATGAAACAAATCCTGAGAATAGCATGAATGTCACTGGAAAAAATTTGAGGAGCTACAAATTTCTTTAAACTGATTCATGATAGTACTAGAAATGCACTGATAGGCTTCAGTAATATAATTATAAATATCCATTTATTCATAGATGAATATGATTTTGTCTAAATTTTCCTGTGCTGAAAAGAAACCACATAAGTAAAATTGCACAAACTTTAGTATTTGTATATGAAACCCACATCTAGTGACAAATGAGAATTTTTGTGGATTAAGTATTATTAGTTGATAATAAGAGTATTCATTTAAATTGACCTATTACTTTTTGTTTCTTCTATTTTCCCTATGAAACATGATTAAATAACAATCTACTCTTTTCTGGCAACAACTGTTTTACACATTTCTGACATTATGATCAGTAGAGAACAACCCATTTATCCATCTATCATTAAGGCCACACAGCAACTAGAACATGAACTTTTTATTTTTAGTTCACTAAAGGAGGAGAAATAAAAAATGTTCAAGCCCCTCAGTGATATCATTAGGAGTCACTAAACACCAAATTACAATTCAAGTTGTTCTTTGTTATTTTTTGTGTTATCTGTGGTTTTGTTACTATTTATAAGTGTATATAGAAAAAGAAGCAAAAGTACAAGAACTGCATTATAATAAAAAAGCATTCTAAAATGACTCTTCAAAACACTTACATTTTTCAAACATGATTTTAATTGTTCCAGTCTTTAGTTATTTATCCTTGAATGATTTTACAGCCAATATCTTGAAAGTAAGAAAGTATTTAGTGGCTAGGGATGGAAGTGGCTCTTCAGTATTGTAAAATAAGAGTTCTGCTTAGGAAGAATTAATCTGCATGCAATTTGAATACATTATCAGTTTTAAGGTGTATTACTAGTGTTAACACTGTGCCCAGGTTATTTTATTGTTCAAGAGCTTTGGATAATATCAGTAAATTGCAAAGAGGGGAAACATTAAAGCACCATAATAACAAACAGAACCTTCATATATTCTGTTTTAGATATTCTGTCAACATGGAAATAATTTATTGCAAATACTTTCATGATATGCTGGTGATTGCCATTCGTATACAAGCAAAGGAAAGACATTTTAGATGGTTCAAGTATCTGGACATGCACATGATACTTTATACATAAATTCATCAAGTCCATATCTGCACCCCCACAACACACATCTGTAAGCATTTATCTTCGTATATAATACAACAAAACAAAAAAAATAATTTGGGGAAACACCAGTTTCCCCTAATGGTTAGTAGAATTTTTTTTCATCCAAAAGAAATCTCTTATAAAATAGGTTTTTAAAAGTTTTGCTCTGGTGGAATCTGTAATGTAGTATCTAAAACATCCACCATGTAACTTAACTATCACGCTGTGATGTGTTCCTGAAGCTCAGTATTGAAACTCTTCAGAAAAAAATTGAAAACCACCCCTCTATTGAAATTGTGTGGAAGATTTGGATTTATGTCCCCAGAATATCATTAAGTCTGAGTGTCAATCAGCAATCAGGTAAAAGAGATAGAAGAATAGGGAGATGAGAATTAGCAGCCCTAAAAATATTAGAAATGAGCATGAATTCTTAGTTTAAAAATATTCAAGTGTTAATTTTTGATGTGTTAGACTGGGAAAACAAAGATTAATTAAATAAAAATTATATTTATTTCTGGTGATCACAACTTAGTGGACATTTAAACATCCTGGAACCTATTCAAGAAGCAATTAAGGTGGAGAAGGGTTATAAAATGAAGACATATAAGGAAGTTTGGTGAAAATTAGCCTGGAGAAGAAAAAAAAAATTAGGAAATAAAATGTGTTTCCAATTATTTGAAAAACATTCCCTTGGAACGGAACTTGCTTAGCATTTTTTCAGCAAGTATGTATTGAATACGTACTATGATCCATGTTAGATGCTATGAATACCACTTGGAGGCAACCAGACATGGTTTTGGCCTCAATGGAGCTTATCAGAGGGAAGCAGACAAGCCATTAATTTGAAGATATGAATTATTAAATTTGGGATATGTGTTAGGAATAAAATGAAAGACTAGTTATAAAGGATACCGGGAGACAGTCAATAGATCAGGTGGTATTTGAAGAAGGTGCTATATAAAATATGCATCCCTAGGGATTGAACTGGGAACCAACTAGGAAATACCAGAGAGATTGTTCTTTTTAACAAAGATCACTTTCTCCAAAGACACAGCAGGTTGTCCCAGAATATAATGATGCTGAGTCATTAAATAATTTAAATATAAATTGAATAAATATGGAGAATAACAAAAAGTCCATTCAAGTGTTAAAGAATAAGAATTTTAAGTAACAAAATGGCATGCAGTCCTTCAAATCTCCTCTTCATAAGTAAAAATATCAAATCAAAGTTGAAAACATTTTTAGAGTGCCAACATAAAATTTTAGTTAACATTTTAAAATAATTAAGTATATTTCAGTCGCATCTAAGAGAAAGTTTAACATTTGGTGATTGGTTTTTTTACTTAGCATAATTTCCTGGAATTTAATCCAACTGTGGTGTGTATAATTATTTGTACTGAGTAGTGTTCTGGAGTATGGAGGTACTACATTTACCTGTTGAAGAACATCTAGGTGGTTTCCAGTTTTTGTCTATTGTGTGTAATGCTGCTATGAACGTTTGCATACAGATTTTTGTATAGACATGAGTTTTCATGTTTCTGTGATAAATACCCAATAGTGTAATTGCTGGGTTACACAAAGTTGCATGCTTGATTTTATAAGAAATTGCCTGTTTTCCAGAGTGGCTGTATCATATTACATTCTCATCACTAATATATGAATGAGCTCCATCAATAATATATGAGTGACCTAGATTCCTGGCATTCTTGTCAGCATTTGATATTTACAGTGTTTTTTATTTTAGCCATTCTGATGGATGTGCAGTGATTTTTTGTGTGTCTCTTTTGAAAATAATTAATTTTGTGGGAACATAGTAGGTATATATATTTATGGGGCACATTAGATGTTTAATAGGCATGAGATGTTAAGAGGCATGCAATGCATAGTAATTACATCATGGAGAATGGGGTATCATCCTCTCAAGAATTTATCCTTTGCATTACAAAAAAAATCCAATTACACTATTCTATTTATTTTGAAATGTACAATTATTATTGACTATAGTCACCTTTTTGTGTTATCAAATAGTAGGTCTCATTCATTCTTTCTATTTTATTTTGTACCAATTTACCCTCCCCACCTCTACCCCATCCCTCGAGTATCATTTCCAGACACTGGTAACCAACCATCCTACTCTCTATGTCCATGAGTTCAGTTGTTTTCATTTTTAGGTCCCACACATAAGTGAGAACATATGATGTTTGTCTTTCTATGCCTGTTTTATTTCACTTAGCATAATGTTCTCCAATTCCACCCATTTTGTTGCAAATGACAGAATCTCATTCTTTTTATGGCTGAATAGTAGTCCATTGGGTATATGTACCACATTTTCTTTATCTATTTATCTGTTGATGGGCACTTAAGTTGATTTCAAATGTTGACTATTGTGAACAGAGCTGCAGTGAACATAGGAATGCAGACATCTTTTTGATATACTGATTTCCTTTCTTTTGGGTATACACCTAGTGGTGCAATTGCTGGATCATATGGTAGCTGTATTAGCAGTTTTTTGAGTAACCTCCAAACTGTCCTCCACAGTGGTTGTATTAATTTACACTCCCACTGACAGTGTACAAGGGTTCTCTTTTTCTGCTTCCTTACCAGCATTTGTTATTTCCTGTCTTTTGAATATATATGCCATTTTAACTGGGGTGACAGGATATCTCATTGTAGTTTTGATTTGCATTTCTCTGATGATCAATAATGTTGAGCTCTTTTCATATATGTTTGCCATTTGTATTTCTTCTTCTGAGAAATGTCTATTCAAATTTGTTGCCCATTTTTTGGTTGCATCATTAGATTGTTTCCTAAAGTTATTTGAGCTTCTTATATATTCTGGTTCTTATTCTCTTGTCATCTGGGGAGTTTGCAAATATTTTCTCCATTCTTTGGGTTGTCTCTTCACTTTATTGTTTTCTTTCTGTGCAGAAGCTTTTTAACTTGATATGATCCCATTTGTCTATTTTTGCTTTGTGGAGTATTACTCAAAAAATATTTGCCCAGATCGATGTGCTAGAGACATTTCTTAAAGTCTTCTTGAAGTAGTTTCATAGTTTGAGGTCTTAAAGTTAAGTCTTTAATCCATTTTGATTTGATTTTTTGTATGGTGAGAAATAAGAGTCTAGTTTCATTCTTCTGCATATGGATATCCAGTTTTTCCAGCACCAATTATTGAAGAGACTGTCTTTTACCTAGTGTATGTTCTTGGTACTTCTATCAATAATGAATTCACTGTAAGTATACAGATTTGTTTTTGGGTTCATTATTCTGTTCCATTGGTCTATCTGTCTGTTTTTTTTTTTTTTCTTTTTTTGGCAGTACCATGCTGTTTTGGTTACTATAGCTCTGTAGTTTAATTTGAAGTCAGGTAATGTGATTCTTCCAGTTTGGATAGCCTGTTTGGTGCTCTACACCCCTGTGGCCATACTCATACTTAAGGTCCAAGGCAAAGTCTCCTTTACTTTTACCTCTGCTTTTCTCAAGTAGAAGGAGTTTTTTTCCCATAGCCACCAGAGCTTCGTATGTGCTGAGTCTCAGCTGAAGCCAACAAGTCTCACAGGCTCACCAAAGGCCCTCAACATAGTACTTGGCTATTGCTGCTGATTGTTCAGGCTCTTCAGTTAGCAGGTGATGAATTCTTCCAGAATATTTTTTTCCCTTCAAGGCAATGAGTTCCCTTCTGGCCCAGAGTGTGTGTAGAAATGTCATCTGGGAGCTAGGGCCTGGAACAGGGCTTCACTACTCTGATCAGTGCCCTTTCCTACTGTGGCTGAGCTGGTATCCAAGGCACAAGACAAAGTCCTTCCTATTCTTCCCCCTCCTCTCCTCAAGTGGAAGGAAGGGTCTCTTGGAGCTGTGAGCCATGTGGACTGGGATTAGGGCATGGGTGATGCCAGCACTCCCTTCACTAATCCACCTGGTGTCTCAGTAGGTTAAGTGCCCCCCAGTCTACTGTTTCTGGGCTGAGTTCAGCACTAGGATGTTCCTAGGAGTTGTAGTCCTTATGTACTAGACTATCTTTCAGGTTTACTTGAAGACACAGAGCACTGTGGCCTTTGGTGACAAGTTTTGCAAGAGCTCAAGTCCCTACTTTTAGGACCAGCAATTCCCCTCTTCCTAGAGCTAATTTAAATGCTCCCTTTGTACGCTTGTTCCAGTTGAGTTTGTTCTGGTTTTCCTTCCTGCTCTAACAGAACAGCACTGAGTTCATTGCTTCACAATTGCTGTGTTCTCCCTCCTGTAGCACCCAGAGATGCTCTCTGCACCAGGTGGACTATGCTGGGGGTTGGATAGGGGTGACGTCAGTGACTCAGGACTGTTTTTGCTATTTCCCCAGTGCCTCTTTCAGAGATACAGAGTTAAAACCAGATACTGTATGGATTCACCTACTTTTTGGTTCTAATGAAAGTGTTTTATTCATGTAGATAGTTGTTAAATTGGTGTTCTTTTTGGGGGCACAATTGATGAAGCCTTTAATTCCTTTATCTTGCTTCACCTCTCTTCTAAAAAGTTTTTATTGTTTGCTTCTTAATAAGGAAGATAAAAAAGATGGTCATCATTAAGCAATAATTATTCATTTCACATTAAATTAAATCTCATATGTTTTATATATCTAAGTTATTTGTATCAATTATCTTAAGAATCCATAGGAAAGGATGGATTTATCACTCTCATGCTAAAATTAAGATCTAGGAAATACTTAAAGAATATTTTGCCAAAAGTGGGAAACCTAAGTCAATTGAGTTTCTTTCAAAATCCCAACTAAAATCCATATTTCAAAAGAATGTAAAACAGATTTAGAAAATAGGAGTCTCTTCCTACCCATGAGCATGGAATGTTCTTCCATTTCTTTGTATCCTCTTTTATTTCATTGAGCAGTGGTTTGTAGTTCTCCTTGAAGAGGTCCTTCACGTCCCTTGTAAGTTGGATTCCTAGGTATTTTATTCTCTTTGAAGCAATTGTGAATTGGAGTTCACTCATGATTTGGCTCTCTGTTTATTTGTTATTTGTGTATAAGAATGCTTGTTATTTTTGTACATTGATTTTGTATCCTGAGACTTTGCTGAAGTTGCTTATCAGCTTAAGGAGATTTTGGGCTGAGACAATGGGGTTTTCTAGATATACAATCATGTCATCTGCAAACAGGGACAATTTGACTTCCTCTTTTCCTAATTGAATACCCTTTATTTCCTTCTCCTGCCTAATTGCCCTGGCCAGAACTTCCAACACTATGTTGAATAGGAGTGGTGAGAGAGGGCATCCCTGTCTTGTGCCAGTTTTCAAAGGGAATGCTTCCAGTTTTTGCCCATTCAGTGTGATATTGGCTGTGGGTTTGTACTGCCAAAGGTAATTTATAGATTCAATGCCATCCCCATCAAGCTACCAATGACTTTCTTACAGAATTGGAAAAAACTACTTTAAAGTTGATATGGAACCAAAAAAGAGCCTGCATCGCCAAGTCAATCCTAAGCCAAAAGAACAAAGCTGGAGGCATCACGCTACCTGACTTCAAACTATACTACAAGGCTACAGTAACCAAAACAGCATGGTACTGGTACCAAAACAGAGATATAGATCAATGGAACAGAACAGAGCCCTCAGAAATAACGTTGCATATCTACAACTATCTGATCTTTGACAAACCTGAGAAAAACAAGCAATGGGGAAAGGATTCCCTTTTAATAAATGGTGCTGGGAAAACTGGCTAGCCATATGTAGAAAGCTGAAACTGGATCCCTTCCTTACACCTTATACAAAAATTAATTCAATTTGGATTAAAGACTTAAATGTTAGACCTAAAACCATAAAAACCCTAGAAGAAAACCTAGGCAATACCATTCAGGACATAGGCATGGGCAAGGACTTCATGTCTAAAACACCAAAAGCAGTGGCAACAAAAGCCAAAATTGACAAATGGGATCTAATTAAACTAAAGAGCTTCTGCACAGCAAAAGAAACTACCATCAGAGTGAACAGGCAACCTACAAAATGGGAGAAAATTTTTGCAACCTACTCATCTGACAAAGGGCTAATATCCAGAATCTACAATGAACTCAAACAAATTTACAAAAAAACAAACAAACAACCCCATCAAAAAGTGGGTGAAGGACATGAACAGACACCTCTCAAAATAAGACATTTATGCAGCCAAAAAACATGAAAAAATGCTCACCATCACTGGCCATCAGAGAAATGCAAATCAAAACCACAATGAGATACCATCTCATACCAGTTAGAATGGCAATCATTAAAAAGTCAGGAAACAACAGGTGCTGGAGAGGATGTGGAGAAATAGGAACACTTTTACACTGTTGGTGGGACTGTAAACTAGTTCAACCATTGTGGAAGTCAGTGTGGCGATTCCTCAGGGATCTGGAACTAGAAATACCATTTGACCCAGCCATCTCATTACTGGGTATATACCCAAAGGACTATAAATCATGCTGCTATAAAGACACATGCACACGTATGTTTATTGCGGCACTATTCACAATAGCAAAGACTTGGAACCAACCCAAATGTCCAACAATGATAGACTGGATTAAGAAAATGTGGCACATATACACCATGGAATACTATGAAGCCATAAAAAATGATGAATGATGAGTTCATGTCCTTTGTAGGGACATGGATGAAATTGGAAAGCATCATTCTCAGTAAACTATCGCAAGGACAAAAAATCAAACACCGCATGTTCTCACTCATAGGTGGGAATTGAACAATGAGAACACATGGACACAGGGCGAGGAACATCACACTCTGGGGACTGTTGTGGGGTGGGGGAAGTGGGGAGGGTTAGCATTAGGAGATATACCTAATGTTAAATGACGAGTTAATGGGTGCAGCACACCAGCATGGCACATGTATACATATGTAACTAACCTGCACATTGTGCACATGTACCCTAAAACTTAAAGTAGAATAATAAGAAAATAAAAAAATAAAAGAAATTGCTTATTAAAAAAAAGAAAATAGGAGTCTCAGTGTAATTACTGATTATATTTTCTTTGTAGCAACCTCAAGAGATGTATTGGGGTGGGAACATGATTGGATCTAGGTTTATTCCAGGCTTTGTGTAACCAAACTAGGTGTCTCAAGTTTACATATCTCTAGTTTTCTGGGTGTTACAATAATACATAAAATCATTCTTATCTCTCTGAGTGTTTTTCATAGTCTCAGTTACTGGAAACTTTCTATGTCTGTCTTAAAAGAGTATCTCAATATTCTGTTAGCAGCTTTGTTACATTCTTATTCAATATTGAGATAATCCAAGTCATTCAATATGTGTTGTTTATCATGTATACTGATGGCTCCACAACAAAATACACTACCTCTGACCTTTATCCAATTTTATTCCAAGACCAAATGCACAATTATTAAAAAGTATGTCAACAACTAGATGTTTCTAGGCACTCCAAATCTAAACTCTTTTAAATAGTCCCTTCTTCATTGTATGCATATGTGCACATACACAGACATACATGCACACACACGCATATGCACACACATACACATATGTGAGAGAAACTTTATTTTGCTGTATTTTGTTTCCAGGGATCACCATCAACTCAGCCTTTCAAACTGAAATTCTGGTAATCATTTTAGATTCTTACATCTTCTTTCCTCCCCACCATTCTCATGCACAGCTATGCACACAAGAGTATTAAACAAAAGCTATTAAGACCTATTAACATTAACTAATGTACTCAGTATCTCCTATATAAATTTCCATTACTTATAAAGGAAACTAATCACAATGTTTTATAGATACATAATATTTGTACATATTTCTGGACTGTATGTAATATTTTGTACATGTATACAATGTGTAATGATCAAGTCAGGATCAAGTATACATCACCTCCAGTATTTATAACTGACTTCTTTGTGTTGGAAACATTCCAAGGCCACTATTATTGCTATTTTGAAATATAAAATACATTGTTTTTAACTACAGTCACCCTACTTTGCAGTCAAACATTAGAACGTATATGCTTTCTAACTGTATGTTTGTACCGATAACCAACCTCTGTTTTTTTCTGCACTCACTCAGCCTTCCTAGCCTGTGATATCTGTCATTCTACTCTCTACCTCTATGAGATCAACTTTTTTAGCTCCTGCATATGAGGGCTTATTTTACTTAGAATGATGTCCTCTAGTTTCATCTTTGTTGTAACAAATGACATGATTTCATTATTTGTTATGGTCAAATTGTATTCCATTGTCCGTATATACCACATTTTCTTTATCCATTCATCCATTCATGGACACTTATGTTGATCCAATATTTTGCTGTTGTGAATAGTGCTGCTATAAATATGGGGGTGCAGGAATCTTTTTGATACAATTATTGCCTTTCCTTTAACAAATGCCCAGTAGCAGAACTGTTGGTTTGTATGTCAGTTCTATTTTTACTTTTTTGAAAAATCGCCATACTGTTTTCAGTAGTGATTATACTAATTTACTTTCCTATAACAGTTATAAAAGTTCCCTATCCCCTGCATCCTCGCCAGCACCTGTCATTTTTTGTCTTTTTCGTAATAGCCATTCGAACAGAGGTAAGATGATATTTCATTGTGGTTTTGATTTACATTTTCTTGATGATTAGTTGTGTTGATCATTTTTTTCCACATGGGCCCATTTTTCCTTTGAGAAATGTCTATTCATGTAATGGATTTTTTTTAATGTTCGTTTTTTTGCATTTTTTATATATTCTGGAAATTAGTTTCTTGTCAGATAAAAAGTTTGCAAATGTTTTCTTCCATTCAGCAGGTTGTCTTTTCACTATATTTATTGTGTCCTTTCATGTGCAGTACATTTTAATTTTTAAATTTTATTTAATTTATATATAGTTTTTCTATTTTTTAACTTTTATATTGGTTCAGAGGCACACAGGCAGGCTTGGTTTTATAGGGAAATAGTGTGTCACAGGGATTTGGTGTACAGATCATTCCATCACCCAGGTGTTAAGCATAGTACTTGAAAGTTAATTCTTTGATTTTTATCTTTTTCTGTCCCTCCTTGGCAGTTCCATAGGAATAGGATTGAATCCGTAAGTTACTTGGACACCATGACCATTCTAACAAAGTTGATTCTTTCTATCCATGAACAAGGAATGTTTTTCCATTTGTTTGTGTCATCTCTGATTTCATTGAGCACTGTTTTGTAACTCTCGTTGCAGAGTTATTTTATTCCTTTTTTGGCTATTGTGAATGGGATTGCATTCTTGATTTCGACCTCAGCTTGGATGTTAGTAATATATAGAAATGTTACTGATTTTTGTATATTGATTTTTTATACTGAAACTTTGCTAAATTTACTAGATCAAGAAGCTTTAGGGGAGACATATGAGATATTCTAGGTGTCGATTCATATTGTCTTCAAACACAGATAGTTTGACTTCCTCTCTTCCTATTTGGATGCCTTTTATATGTTTCTCATGACTGATTGCTCTGGCTAAGACTTCCAGTAATATGTTTAATAGGAGTACTGAGAGAGGGCATTCTTTTATTCCAATTTTCTTTCTTTTTTTTAATTATATACTTTAAGTTCTAGGGTACATGTGCACAACATGCAGGTTTGTTACATATGTATACATGTGCCATATTGGTTTGCTCCACCCATTAACTAGTAATTTACTTTAGGTATTTCTCCTAATGCTATCCCTCCCCCATTCCCCCACCCCATGACAGGCCCCAGTGTGTGATGTTCCCCGACCTGTGTCCAAGTGTTCTCATTGTTCAGTTCCCACCTGTGAGTGAGAATATGCAGTGTTTGGTTTTCTGTCCTTGTGATAGTTTGCTCAGAATGATGGTTTCCAGCTTCATCCATGTCGCTACAAAGGACATGAACTCATCCTTTTTTATGGCTGCATAGTATTCTATGGTACATATGTGCCACATTTTCTTAATCCAGTCTATCATTGATGGACATTTGGGTTGGTTCCAAGTCTTTGCTATTGTGAATAGTGCCACAATAAACATATGTGTGCATGTGTCTTTATAGTAGCATGATTTATAATCCTTTGGGTATATACCCAGTAATGGGATGGCTGGGTCAAATGGTATTTCTAGTTCTAGATCCTTGAGGAATCTCCACACTGTCTTCCACAATGGTTGAACTAGTTTACAGTCCCACCAACAGTGTAAAAGTGTTCCTATTTCTCCACATCCTCTCCAGCACCTGCTGTTTCTTGACTTTTTAATGATCACCACTCTAACTGGTGTGAGATGGTATCTCATGGTGGTTTTGATTTGCATTTCTCTGATGACCAGTGATGATGAGCATTCTTTCATGTGTCTGTTGGCTGCATAAATATCTTCTTTTGAAAAGTGTCTGTTCATAACCTTTGCCCACTTTTTGATGGGGTTGTTTGATTTTTTCTTGTAAATTTGTTTAAGATCTTTGTAGATTCTGGATATTAGCCCTTTGTCAGATGAGTAGATTGCAAAAATTTTCTCCCATTCTGCAAGTTGCCTGTTCACTCTGATGGTAGTTTCTTTTGCTGTGCAGATGCTCTTTAGTTTAATTAGATCTCATTTGTCAATTTTGGCTTTTGTTGCCATTGCCTTTGGTGTTTTTAGTCATGAAGTCTTTGCCCATGCCTATGTCCTGAATGGTGTTGCATAGGTTTTCTTCTAGGGATTTTATGGTTTTAGGTCTGACATTTAAGTCTTTAATCCATCTTGAATTAATTTTTGTATAAGATTTAAGGAGGGGATCCAGTTTCAGCTTTCTACATATGGCTAGCCAGTTTTCCCAGCGCAATTTATTAAATAGGGTATCCTTTCCCCATTTCTTGTTTTTCTTAGGTTTGTCAAAGATCAGGTGGTTGTTGATGTGTGGTGTTATTTCTGAGGCCTTTGTTCTGCTCCATTGGTCTATATCTCTGTTTTGGTACCAGAACCATGCTGTTTTGGTTACTGTAGCCTTGTAGTATAGTTTGAAGTCAGGTAGCATGATGCATCCAGCTTTGTTCTTTTTGCTTAGGATTGTCTTGGCAATGTGGGCTCTTTTTTGGTTCCATATGAACTTTAAAGTAGTTTTTTTTCTAATTCTGTGAAGAAAGTCATTGGTAGCTTGATGGGGATGGCATTGAATCTATAAATTACCTTGGGCAGTATGGCCATTTTCACGATATTGATTCTTCCTACCCATGAGCATGGAATGTTCTTCCATTTGTTTGTATCCTCTTTTATTTCCTTGAGCAGTGGTTTGTAGTTCTCCTTGAAGAGGTCCTTCACATCCCTTGTAAGTTGGATTCCTAGGTATTTTATTCTCTTTGAAGCAATTGTGAATGGGAGTTCACTCATGATTTGGCTCTCTGTCTGTTATTGGTGGATAGGAATGCCTGTGATTTTGCACATTGATTTTGTATCTTGAGACTTTGCTGAAGTTGCTTATCAGCTTAAGGAGATTTTGGGCTGAGATGATGGGGTTTTCTAAATATACAATCATATCATCTGCAAACAGGGATAATTTGACTTCCTCTTTTCCTAATTAAATACTCTTTATTTCTTTCTCTTGCCTAACTGCCCTGGCCAGAACTTCCAACACTGTTGAATAGGAGTGGTGAGAGAGGGCATCCCTGTGTTGTGCCTGTTTTCAAAGGGAATGCTTCCAGTTTTTGTCTGTTCAGCATGATACTGGCTCTGTGGGTTTGTCATAAATAGTTATTATTTTGAGATACGTTCCATCAATACCTAGTTAATTGAGATTTTTTTAGCATGAAGGGGTGTTGAATTTTGTTCAAGGCCTTTTCTGCATCTATTGAGATAATCATGTGGTTTTTGTCTTTGGTTCTGTTTATTTGATGGATTACGTTTATTGATTTGCATATGTTGGACCAACCTTGCATCCCAGGGATGAAGCCATCTTGATCTTGGTGGATAAGCTTTTCGATGTGCTGCTGGATTCGGTTTGCCAGTATTTTATTGAGGATTTTTGCATCGATGTTCATCAGGGATATTGGTCTAAAATTCTCTTTTTTTGTTGTGTCTCTGCCAGGCTTTGGGATCAGGATGATGCTGGCCTCATAAAATGAGTTAGGGAGGGATTCCCTCTTTTTCTATTGATTGGAATAGTTTCAGAAGGAATGGTACCAGTTCTTCTTTGTACCTCTGGTAGAATTTGGCTGTGAATCCATCTGGTCCTGCACTTTTTTTGGTTGGTAGGCTATTAATTATTGCCTCAATTTCAGAGCCTGTTATTGGTCTATTCAGTGATTCCACTTCTCCTGGTTAAATCTTGGGAGGGTGTATGTGTCCATGAATTTATCCTTTTTTCTAGATTTTTTAGTTTATTTGCGTAGAGGTATTTATAGTATTCTCTGATGGTAGTTTGTGTTTCTGTGGGATGGGTAGTGATATCCCCTTTATCACTTTTTATTGCATGTATTTGATTCTTCTCTCTTTTCTTCGTTATTAGTCTTGCTAGCAGTCTATCAATTTTGTTGATCTTTTCAAAAAGCCAGCTTCTGGATTCACTCATTTTTTGAAGGGATTTTTGTGTCTCTATCTCCTTCAGTTCTGCTCTGATCTTAGTTATTTCTTGCCTTCTGCTAGCTTTTGAATGTGTTTGCTCTTGCTTCTCTAGTTCCTTTAATTGTGATGTTAGGGTGTGGATTTTAGATCTTTCCTGCTTTCTCTTGTTGGCATTTAGTGCTATAAATTTCCCTCTACACACTGCTTTAAATGTGTCCCAGAGATTCTGTTACGTTGTGTCTGTGTTCTCATTGGTTTCAAAGAACATCTTTATTTCTGCCTTCATTTTGTTATTTACCCAGTAGTCATTCAGGAGCAGGTTGTTCAGTTTCCATGAAGCTGTGAAGTTTTGAGTGAGTTTCTTAATCCTGAGTTCTAATTGGATTGCACTGTGGTCTGAGAGATAGTTTGTTGTGATTTCTGTTCTTTTACATTTGCTGAGGAATGCTTTATTTCCAACTACCTGGTCAGTTTTGGAATAAGTGCAATCTGGTGCTGAGAAGAATGCATATTCTGTTGATTTGGGGTGGAGAGTTCTGTAGATGTCTATTAGGTCTGCTTGGTGCAGAGTTGAGTTCACGTCCTGGATATCGTTGTTAACCTTCTGTCTCATTGATCTGTCTAATATTGACAGTGGGGTGTTAAAGTCTCCTGTTATTATTATTATTAATAATATAACTAAATATTAACGTTAGTTAATATTTAATATTAATATTAATAATATTAAATAATAATAACTAACTAACTAAAAAGAGTCTGTGTCTCTCAGGACTTGCTTTATGACTCTGGGTGCTCCTGTATTGGGTGCTTGTATATTTAGGATAGTTAGCTCTTCTTGTTGAATTGATCCCTTTACCATTATGTAATGGCCTTCTTTGTCTCTTTTGATCTTTGTTGGTTTAAAGTCTGTTTTATCAGAGACTAGGATTGCAACCCCTGCCTTTTTTTGTTTTCCATTTGCTTGGTAGATCTTCCTCCATCCTTTTATTTTGAGCCTAAGTGTGTCTTTGCATGTGAGATGAGTCTCCCGAATACAGCACACTGATGGGTTTTGATTCTTTATCCAATTTGCCAGTCTGTGTCTTTTAATTGAGGCATTTGGCCCATTTATATTTAAGGTTAATATTGTTATGTGTAAATTTGATCCTGTCATTGTGATGTTAGCTGGTTATTTTGCCTGTTAGTTGATGCAGTTTCTTCCCAGCATCAATGGTCTTTACAATTTGGCATGTTTTTGTAGTGGCTGGTACTGGTTTTTCCTTTCCATGTTTAGTGCTTCCTTCATGAGTTCTTGTAAGGCAGGCTTGGTGGTGACAAAATCTCTCAGCATTTGGTTGTCTGTAAAGGATTTTATTTCTCCTTCATTTATGAAGTTTAGTTTGGTTGGATATGAAATTCTGGGTTGAAAATTCTTTTCTTTAAGAATGTTGAATATTGGTCTCCACTCTCTTCTGGCTTGTAGGGTTTCTGCCGAGAGATCCGGTGTTAGTCTGATGGGCTTCCCTTTGTGGGTAATGCGACCTTTCTTTCTGGCTGCCCTTAGCATTTTTTCCTTCATTTCAACCGTGGTGAAACTGACAATTATATGTCTTGGGGTTGCACTTCTCGAGGAGTATCTTTGTGGTGCTCTCTGTATTTCCTGAATTTGAATGTTGGCCTGCCTTGCTAGGTTGGGGAAGTTCTCCCGGATAAAATCCTGAAGAGTGTTTTCCAGCTCGGTTCCATTCTCCCCGTCACTTTCATGTACACCAATCAAACGTAGATTTGGTCTTTTCACATAGTCCCATATTTCTTAGATTCTTTTTTTTTTTCTTTTTACTCTTTTTACTCTAAACTTCTCTTCTCCCTTCATTTCATTAATTTGATCTTCAATCACTGATACCCTTTCTTCCACTTGATTGGGTTGGCTATTGAAGCTTGTGCATGCATCACGTAGTTCTTGTGCCATGGTTTTCGGCTCCATCAGGTCATTTAAGGTCTTCTCTACACTGTTTATTCTAGTTAGCCATTCATCTAATCTTTTTTCAAGGTTTTTAGCTTCCTTGTGATGGGTTTGAACATCCTCCTTTAGCTCGGAGAAGTTTGTTATTACTGACTTTCTGAAGCCTACTTCTGTCAACTCATCAAAGTCATTCTCTGCCCTGCTTTGTTCTGTTGCTGGCGAGGAGCTGCGATCCTTCGGAGGAGAAGGGGTGCTCTGGTTATTAGAATTTTCAGCTTTTCTGCTCTGGTTTCTCCCCATCTTTGTGGTTTTATCTACCTTTGGCCTTTGATGATGGTGACCTACAGATGGGGTTTTGGTGTGGATGTCCTTTTTGTGTATGTTGATGCTATTCCTTTCTGTTTATTAGTTTTCTTTCTAACAGTCATGTCCCTCAGCTGCAGGTCTGTTGGAGTTTGCTGGAGGTCCACTCCAGACCCTGTTTGCCTGGGTATCACCAGCGGGGGCTGCATAACAGCAAATATTGCAGAAGAGCAAATATTGCTGCCTGATCTTTCCTCTGGAAGCTTCGTCTCAGAGGGGCACCCAGCTGTATGAGGTGTCAGTCGGCCCCTACTGGGAGGTGTCTCCAAGTTAGGCTACACGGGAGTCAGGGACCCCCTTGAGGAGGTGGTCTGTCCGTTCTCAGAGCTCAGACACTGTGGTGGGAGAACCACTGCTCTCTTCATAGCTGTCATACAGGGATGTTTAAGTCTGCAGAAATTTCTGCCGCCTTTTATTCAGCTATGCCCTGCCCCCAGAGGTGGAGTCTACAGAGGCAGGTGGGCCTCATTGAGTTGTAGTGGGCTCCACTCAGTTCGAGCTTCCTGGCTGCTTTGTTTACCTAGTCAAGCCTCAGCAATGGCAGACGCCCCTCCCCCAGCCAGGCTTGCTGCCTCCCAGTTCAATCTGGTACTAGCAGTGAGCAAGGCTCCATGGGTGTGGGACCTGGTGAGCCAGGCACGGGATAGAATCTCCTGGTGTGCCATTTGCTAAGACCATTGGAAAAGCGCAGTGTTTATGTGGCAGTGTCCTGATTTTCCTGGTACAGTCTGTCCCGGCTTCCCTTGGCTAGGAAAGGGAAATCCTCTGACCCCTTGTGCTTCCTGGGTGAGGCGATGCCCCGCACTGCTTTGGCTCACCCTCCGTGGGCTGCACCCACTTTCCAACCAGTCCCAGTGAAATGAACCAGGTACCTCAGTTGGAAATGCAGAAATCACCCGTCTTCTGTGTCAATCACATTGGCAGCTGCAGACTGGAGCTGTTCCTATTCAGCCACCTTGGAACAGACTATTTTGTTCCAATTTTCAAAGGGAATGCTTTCAGGTTTTTGCCCATTCAGTATGCTGTTAATTGTGGGTCTGATATAGATGTCTCTTATTTTGATGTGTATTCCTTTAATGCCTAGTTTGTTGAAGATTTTAATGTAAAGAGGTGTTAAATTTTTTCAAAAGCTTGTATAACCTCTATTGAGATAATCATGTGGTTTTTGTTTTCAGTTCTGTTTTCCTGATGAATCACATTTATTGATTTGCATATGTTGAACCAACCTTGCATTTCAGGGATAAAGCCTACTTGACTGTGGTGTATTAGCTTTTTGATATGCTGCTGGATTCTGTTTGCTAGTATTTTGTTGAGGATTTTTGCATCTATGTTCATTATGGACATCACTTTTCTTGTTATGTCTCTGCCAGGTTTTGGTATTGGGATGATGCTTGCCTTATAGAATGCATTAAAGTTCTTCCTCCTCAATTTTTTGGAGTAGTTTCAGTAGTAATGGTACTAACTCTTTATACATACGATAGAATTCAGCAATGATTTCATCTAGTTCTGTTTTTTTTTTTTTTTCTGGTTGGTAAGCTTTGTATTACTGATTCAATTTTAGAACTCACTTTTTGGTCAGTTCAGGTATTCAATTTCTTCCTGGTTTAACCTTGGAAGGGTGTATGTTTCCAGGAACTAATCACTTTTTTTCTTGGTTTTCTAGCTTGTTTGCATAAATGTGTCCATAGTAGTCTCTGATATTTTTATTATTATTATTTCTTTGAGGTCAGTGGTAATGTCCCCATTGCAATTTCTTATGGTGTTTCTTGAGATATTCTATTTTCTTTATGAGTCTATCTAACACTCTCCTTATTATTCCTTTTAAAAATCAACTTCTGAATTCATTGATCTTTGTATTTTTTTTGTTGTTGTTTGTTTGTTTTTCTTCTCAATTTCTATCAGTTAAGCTCTGATTTTGGTTACTTCTTGCTTTCTGCTAGCTTTGGAGTTGGTTTGTTCTTGGTTCTCTAGCTCTTCTCGCTGTGGTGACAGAAGATTTTTTCAGTTTAATGCAATTCCATTGTCTATTTTTGTTTGTTTTGTTGCTTGTGCTTTTGACGTCTTAGCCATTAAATCTTTGCCTAGACCAACGTCCTGATATTTCTTCAATTTTTCTGCTAGTAAGTTTATGGTTGTAGGTTTTATGTTTAAGTATTTAATCCATTATCCATTGATTTTTGTATATAGTAAATGGTAGCGGCCAAATTTCATTTCTCTGCATATGAATATTGAATTGTCTCAGAACCATTTATTGAAGATACTGTACTTTCCCCAATGTATGTTCTTGGTGCCTTTATTAAAAATCAGGTGGCTATAAATATTTGAATTTATTTTTCTGTTCTCTATTCTGTTCCATTGGTCTATGTATCTGGTTTTATACCAATACCATGCTGCTGATTACTATAATCTTATAAAATATTTTGATGTCAATTAGTGTGATGTCTCCAGGTTTGTTCATCTTACATGAGATTATTTTGGCTATTTGGGCTGTTTTTGTCTCTTACAAATTTTATAATTTTTTTTTTCTTATTTTGGTAAAATAAATGACATTGGTATTTTGATAGGGATTACATTGAATTTGTAGATTGTTTTGGGCAGGATGATCATCTTGACACTGTTAATTCTTCCAACCCATGAGCATAGGATATCTTTCCATTTGTTATTGTATTCTTCAATTTATTTTATAGATTTTTTTATTGTTTATCTTGTAGAGGTATTACACCTCCTTGGTTGGATTTATTGCTAGGTATTTTTTTTTGTAGCTTTTAAAATGAGATTTCCTTCTTTATTTACTTCTCAGCTAGTTTATTATTGGTGTATTGAAACATCATTGATGTTTGTATGTTGATTTTGTGTTCCACAACATTACTGAGTTTATCAGATCTAAGAGTTTTTTGATAGATTATTTATGTATATATATAATATTATCTGCAAAGAGGGGCAATTTGACTTTCTCTATTCCAATTTTAATATCTTTTATTTCATTCTTTTACTTATTGCTTTGCTTAGGACTTCCAGTACTATGTTAAATAGGAGTGGTAAAAATGGGCAACTTAGTCTTTTTCCAGTTCTTACAGAAAAAGCTTTATGTTTTCCCGCATTCAGTATGATGTTAGCTTTGGGTTTGTCATATATTGCATTTATTATGGTGAGATATTTTTCCTTTCATGCCTAGTTTGCTGAGAATGTTTATGATGATGGAATGTTGAATTTTATCAAATCCTTTTTTTCTGTATCTATTGAGAAAATCATTTGGTTTTTGTCTTTTTTTGTTGATGTGTTTTATTGCATTTATTATTTTGTGTATGTTGAACAATCTTTGAATCTCTGGGATAAATCTCACTTGGTCATAATGTATTATCTTTTGGATGAGCTGTTGGATTTGGTTTCCCACAATTGAGAATTTTTATTTCTATGTTCATCAGGGATATTGGCCTGTAGTATTGCTGTTGTTGTTGCATCCTTATGTAGTTTTGGTATCAGGGTAATGCTGGCTTCATACAATGATGGAGGGAGAATTTTACTCTATTCAAATTTTTATAATAGCTTGAGAAAAATTGGTGTTAGCTTTTCTTTGTAAGATTGTTAGGACTCTGCTGTGAAGTCATCTGGTCCTGAACTTTTCTTTGTTGGGAGACTTTTTATTACTGATTCGTTTTAATTATTCATTATTAGCTTGTTTAAGTTTTCAGTTTCTTACTGATCCAATATTGTTAGATTGTATGTTTCCAGGAATTTATCTATTTTCTCTACGATTTCCAGCTTGTTAGTGTATATTGTTCACATAGTCTTTGATAGTCTTTATATTTCTGTGATGCCTGATGAAATATCTTTCTTTTCATTCCTGATTTTATTTACTTGAGTCTTCTCTCTTTTCTTCTTGACTAGTCTAGCTAGTTGTTTATTAATTTGGTTACCTTTATCAACAACTGACTTTTCGTTTGTTGATCCTTTTTATTTATTAAGTTTTTATGCTTTTTTAGGTCTGCCTTATCTTTATTATTCCTTTCTTTCTAATAATTTTGGATTCAGTTTGTTCTTGCTTTTTTTGATTTCTTGAGGTTCATCATTGGATTGTTTACTTGAAATCTTTCAACTTTATGTTGTGGGCATTTATTGTTAATACGCTTCCCTCTTAGCACCATTTTGTTGTATCTCATCAAGTATGATGTGTTGTGTTTATAATTTTATTTTTCATAATACACTTTTTGATTTCCTCCTCATTTTTTTTCCTTGATACAATGGACATTCAAAAGCATCTTGTTCAATTTCCATATATATTCATAGTTTTCAAAATTCCTCTTTTTATTGACTACTAGTTTTATTCTATCATGGTCTAATAAGATATTTGATATTTTGATATTTAAAAATTTGTTGATGCTTTCTTAATGGCTTATCATGTGGTCTATCCTGTAGAATGTTCCATGAGCTAATGAGAAGAATGTGTATTCTGTGTATTCTGTAGTTTTTGGATAAAATGTTCTTTAAATATCTGTTAGTTCTATTTGTTCCAAAGTGTAGTTTAAAGCCAAAATTGCTCTGTTAATTATCTTTCTAGATGAACTTTATAATGCTGAGAAGGGTGTGTCAAAGTCCCCAAATATTTTTGTATTGGAGTTTTCTCTCCCATTAGATCTAATAATATTTGCCTTATATATCCAAGTGCTCTAGTGTTGCTTGCATGTGTGCTTAGAATTATTATGTCCTCTTGCTAAAGTGATTTCTTTATCATTATATAATAAACTTCTTTGTCTCTGTTATGTTTTTTGAGTCAAATATGTTTTATCTGGTAGACATGTGGCTACTCTTGGTGATTTATGGTTTCCATTTACATGGAGTATCTTTTTTTAATCTCTTTTCTTTCAGTCTACATACACCATTATTTATTTTTAATATTATTTGTTCATTTTGTTTGTTTTAATTGTTTTTGTTTGTTTCTTTCTTTCTCATTGTGGTTTGATGATTTTCTGTAGTGGTAATACTTCAGCCCTGTCTCTTCCTCTTTTGAGTGTTTGCTATACCTGTGAATTTTTTTTTTTGCTTTTTTTTTTTAATTGTTTTATTCATGGTAGTAGATATTGTCTTTTTGCTTCCAGGTGCAGTACTCCCTTACGAATGTCTTGTCCAGCCAGTTAGGTGGTGATGAATTCGCTCTACTTTTACTCATGTGAAAAATATTTTATTTCTTCGTCATTTATGTATAATTTTGGTGGGTATAGTATCCTTGACAGAAAGTTTTCTTTTTCTTTCATCACGTTGGAAATATTATCTCATTTTCTCCTGGCCTGTAATGATTCTGCTGAGAAATTTGCTGTTAGTCTAATGGGGGTTCTCTTAAAAATTAGTAGTCACTTTTCTCTTCAAGTTTGTGAAACTCTCTCTTTATTATTTACTTTAGACAATTTGGCTATAAAGTGCAGTGAAGAAGACTTAAATTATATGTATTGGAGTTCTTTGAGTTTTCTCTTTCTAAATGTCTTCTAGAGTGAAATTTTCAGCTATTATTTAGTTAAATAAGCTTTCTATTACTTTAATTTTCTTTTTGCCTTCTGTTTGCCTTCTAACAATTTAAATATTTGATTGCTTTATAGTGTTTCATACGTCACATAGGCTTTATTCTTTTTTATCCTTATTTCTTAATTTTTATCTGACTGGATTATTTGAAAAGACCTGTCTTCATGTTCTCAATCTTTTTTCGACCTGATCTAGTTTATTGTTGAAGCTTTTGAGTGTATTTTGCATTTCATTTAATGACATCTTTAGCTCCATAATTTTTGTTTGATTCTTTTTTAGGATAACTATCTTTTCGGTAAATTTATTTTATATTGTGGCTTCTTTTGCTGATTTCATGGCATTGCTTATCTGAGTTATCTGGAATGATATTTCCTTGCTTGTGTTTCTTGTGTCCTTATGTTGATGTTTGTGCATCTGGTGTAACAATTACTTATTCCAATTTTTTGAATTTCTTTTCATAGGAGTGGACTTTTTACTGAAGATGTATCTATGATATTGGTTGGATAGGGCACTTTGACTTTGATTCTGGGTGACTGCAGTAGTATAGTATCCATATGATTACTTTTGCTATAAACAGTGACAATAGAGGCTCTGATTGTCTCAGTGGCTTATGGTAAGGTTTTTAGTGGAGACTGCTGTGAATTTTTGCTGGACACAAGGAAGTCATTTAGGACAGTTCTCAAGACCTAGCGATAGAAGTTGTGGGCCAAGCATGCCTGTCCTTTGGCCCCAGTGCAGTGTATGCAGTGCATATACTGCAGACCAGTTCTTGGACGTCCAGGCGGCTTACATAGGTGTCAGCAGTGGCAGCAATGGGCTAGGTAGGTGGTGGGTCCTCAAGATTTTGGGCAGCAGGTATGGCAGAGGCAATGGCAGTAGCAGTGGCTGGACAATTTTCTGGCTCTCAAGCTTTCCATGTGGTAGTTGGCAGTAGCTGTGATGACCTGGGCAGCCAGTCTGTGGGCCAACAGATAAAGAATGCAGGTAGATGTCACTTGTGCTCAGGTGCCAATGGTGCTGGATGTAGCATGGGGATTCCCATACCCCTAGATCGTGTGTTTGGGCACTAAGTGGGTGGAGCCAGCCTAGAAAGATCTGGCCTCAGGTCCCCCAGTAGTGCACAATAGTGCCTGTAGACCCTGGCAGTGGTAGGCGTGGGTTGGGTGCCCCAAGTGGAATGCTCAGGTGGCGATCACAGTAACTTTACTTTGGCCCTGCTGCTAAAAAGGGTGAGGTGGCTTTAAGTGGCAGTGGCCACGAATATGTGGCTAAGGAATATGAGCTTTGATCCTAGATTGTGGCTGTGAGCTGGATAGCCTGTCCTCAAGGCGCTTATAAATGCATAGTGAGTTTGCTGCCACTGGCTTGTGCTTCAGTCCTGGCAAAAACAGCCAGCAGTGCTTGGCGGTAGGCAGGGGATGTCAGTGGGGCTCCAGGGATGTGAAAATTCAAGGGGTTTTTAGCCTCAGGAAAGGATGCAATCTGATGGACCTAGGGTCTCAAATAGTGCCCTGCTGTAGCTGCTTAAGATTTGGACATTGGGACCTAGCTGGAGTTCCGTCTCCAGAGAAATACCGTGGCATAGTTTCTAGGCAGCTCCTATGTTAATTTCAGGGGCCACCTGGGTCAATAGTTGCCCTGTGGCTAGAATTGCAGGAATCTACAGTGGGAATGTGGAGTACTGAGGGTCACTTATTTATTTATTTATTTATTGAAACGGAGCCTCAGTCTGTCACCAGGCTGGAGCGCAGTGGCGGGATTTCGGCTCACTGCAACCTCCGCCTCCCGGGTTCAAGTAATTCTCCTACCTCAGCCTCCGGAGTAGCTGGGATTACAGGTGCGCACCACCACGCCCAGCTCATTTTTGTATTTTTAGTAGAGACGGGGTTTCACCATGTTGGCCAGGATGGTCTCAATCTCTTGACCTTGTGATCCACCCGCCTCGGCCTCCCAAAGTGCTGGGATTACAGGCATGAGCCACCACGCCCGGCCCTGAGGGTCACTTTTTTTTTTTTTTTTTTTTTTTTTTTTTTTTACAGTTCCTCTGCATTGGAGAGCAGGCTCCCAGCCAGCCCATCCTGGCTAAACAGTCTCACTTACTTCTCTCTTCTTTGCCTTAGGTGTTTTCTGTCACTTCTCTGTTGAATTCCAGTGTTTTCTCTGCCCTCCCCTCCACTAAAAAATAAATTTGTTTTGAGTTATCAGAAGGAAAGAAATTCTGTCAAGCTATTACTCACCATTTATTCCCAGAGAGAATTTGCTTCTTAAATGTAATAATCTTTCAGTAAATATTTAATAAATGTTTTTGAAAAATTCTGAAATAAGTGTCAACTTGATTATAATATTCAAAATAGATTATTCATGTTTATAGGTACATATAAAATAGAAGTTGTTGCAACTGCTTCTGAAATGTTAGCCATATTTACAATGTTAACTTGCAAGAAAATAAGAGAAACATTAAATCAAATTTATGAGAATAGCCATTGGGAACATGTCAAAACAAGAGGTAGGAGTTTTACATTCAGTGAAATGATACTGAAAAGTATTCATTATTTTGCCAACAGAAAGCATGAAAAAAGGAAATATGATGAAATAGCACAATTATCATCTTGATAAGAGGAAAAATTTTAAACAAAATAGTTTTTATTTATCTCATAAGGAAAAACATATCTTGCTTTTTGCCTTTGTGAGAAAAAGAACAATATATTTTAAAGTAAACGATAAGTTAAAAGTTGAGAATAAGCTATTGTGAGGAGATTTTAGCTTATCAGAATAACAGTATTATGTGAGGATAGATAATATGAGGATAGTTAAAAGTAGAGTAGCTATACAAATATATGCTGCTAAAAATTTAAAAATCTGCTTTAAGTACCATCTTTATGATATTAAAATGTATTTAATGTATATTAACATATTTTTATAAAGATTTAATACAATTGTATATATGTAAATGAATATGTATATATGAAACACACACACACACACACACACACACATAAACCTCCAGAAGACACCTTAAAAATCTAGAAAATTCTTGCCATATGATTTGAGATCCGGAACACTGCAGATTAGTATACTCTTTTCATGCTAAACTTGTACCAAAACTACAGCTACATTCAGAGGAGGACAAAAAATTAAATACTTAAGACCAGAACTCCAATTTTTAATTTTTGGTAAACATCTATGTAGTACCTATTATGATATCAGTGATATATATGATTTTCTTAATGTTAGCTATTAATATTTGTCATCTATGTATTACAAATATGTTTGAAGATGGTATATTTTTGTTCAGAATGTTAAATAAAATAATTCCAAAATCAGTTAAATACCTATATTGAAAACAAATTATACCACGGGACTATGGCTCTTACACAGTATTACAATTGTATTTATAGTATAAAATTACACAGATAATTTTCCAAATAGACTCATATTAGGGAAAAAATATTTCTTAAGTCACAATTACTCTTCTTTACTGTTCTTCAGACTCAAATTGTTATATACCTATGGAGATTGTTTAAACCTAGTGGACACTGGGAGTTAAGCAGCAAATTTTTCTCTTGAATTATCAGTTTCAAGCCTTCCCTAAAAGGTACAGAATATGTGAAGTAATTTAATGTATTCCCATTTCTGAGAAGCCTTATAACTAAGCTAGAGGCATTCCTCATTACTGCCTATAGCAATCTTCGCTTCCAGCTTACTAGCTAAACCCTGACTGCAGGGAAGTTGTGGTGTGATGAGAGAGAACTGTGTTCCCTTGAAGCAATGTCAGGGAACCTTGCTAACAAAGGCAAAAATCTTATCTCCTAGGACAAGCCTTTGGAACACCGTCTTCGATGTATGACTTGAAAGATTCTAAATTTTTCTTAGAATTTATGTATGTATAATAATATTTTTTGAAAGTCCAGTTTGTGTGAGTTGATTTCTATTCTCTAAATTACTAACAGCACGAAATTAAGAAGATAATTTAAATGACATGTACACTAGTTTCTTCATGTGTAAAGTGTGTGAAATAATGCCTGCATTGTGAAAGGATAATAAAAATTGCTTAGGTTGTTGCCTGCATACACTAAAAATAACCATTCAATTATTAGTTATTGCTATGAACACATATACTATATGAGTTTATCTATGTGTGTTATATGTATAGTAATATACATATACATGTGCATATACAATATATGACATATATTTAAGATAGTACTGGATAATAAATGAGATCAGCAATCAGTTTATGAGATTTTAAGTTATATAAAACAATCTATTGGGACAAATCTGTTTATAGAAGTGATCAGAGTTCAATAAAAATGTAAAAGAAAATAATGAACAGAATAGTTTGAGTGATTGGGCTTAAAAATATCCATCAGTTTGCTAAACAATTTTGTGAGTCCAGCGTCCAAAGATACAGTTCCAATTCCTTAAAGTGAGATGAGGCTGGACATAGCCCAAGAGTGAATGAATACAAGACAGGTTGCTGAGTCACCGACTGAAACAGAATAGGAAAAAAACAAATTGTTGGGGACAAATGCAAAGCTCCAATATTAAAATGCACTAAATGCAGTTAGGGGTTAAAACAGAACGTTACAAGCTTACATTTTGATCAGTAAAACAAGAAATAATGATTTCCTTAAATTTTCTTTTAATGCTGGAAATGCCTGTTGGCTGTGCAGAGGGTATAAGCAAATTAGCTCGTAGAGTGTTGAGATTCTTCCTCTAGGGGGAAAAATCATTCCTATTCTGGGAAAGGAGCTGAAGAGATAATTTGGCAAAATAAAATTGACTGTAATAAGAAAATCTCCTCAAAACTAATTTGTTTTCATGATGATTTTTTTTGAAGTATAAGTGCAATTGATTCACCCTTTCTTGTGTATTTATTTGTAATTCATTAAAAAGGTATCTAAAAAGTGATTCAAGTTTGATCCACAAAATACCACTCAATAGTCTTCTCTATAAGTGTCAGGGTTAGTGCCATTAAATTAAATTTTACATACTCATACAAAATATACTTAAATGTTGCATCTAATATATATGGAATAGCTTTAGATGTCTTTTTTTTTTTTTTTTTTTTTTGAGATGGAGTCCCGCTCTGTCACCAGGCTGGAGTGCAGTGGCGTCATCTTCGCTCATTGCAGTCTCTACCTCCTGGATTCCAGCCATCTCCTGCCTCAGTCTCCCAGATAGATGGGATTACAGGCCCGCGCCATCACGGCTGACTAATTTTTGTATTTTTAGTAGAGACAGGGTTTCACCATGTGGCCAGGCTGTTCTCGAACTCCTGACCTCAGATGATTTAGCTGCCTCAGCCTCCCAAAGTGTTAGGATTACAGACATGAGCCACCATGCCCGGCCTAAATGTATTTTAATTATTCTGGGGTAATGTGGCTGTGTTTTCTGCAAATTGCTCCCTACATAGGATGTAGGATTTTGCAAACAAAGTTTTCTGCCTTCTTTATGCAACTGAATTATTACCAGGATGAGGGATATATTTTGAAACAAAAAATTTTCAAGTTTTACTAAAAAATACTTTTAAAATTATTAAATCTTACACTATTTTGAACAAGCTCATAAACTGCACATCTAATTTAAAATATGTCTTCAATTAAATTTCATATTAAAGTGCTATGAGCTTTGAATGATTGTAATAGCTATCTGCCTACTTTGATCCAAGGAATTTTAAGTAGTTCAAATGCTGGATTCCATTTTTCAGGCTTCCTTATTGACTACGAGGGAGGTTTACAAGTAAAAATAAACTTTTCTACTCCCTTTGCCTCATGGTTTTGTCTACCAGAGTGATTTACATTGTGCAGGTATTAACTGGACATGGAAAATAAAAATTTGTCGAAGAAGTCTAAAATCAAAAAAATGTTTATTGAATATAGAAGTAGCATCTCACATACAATATGTTTATGTATGGAACATGCATAAAAATAGATAATTTAGAATTTTAAGAATTTTATTTCCAACTATTTCATATATAATGTAATAATACCTATAAATATACATTTATAGGATATTTGAGCGACAAACATAATTATATAATTATAATATACCTTTTAATCAACAATAGCTCAGGTAAATATGTCTAACACTAAAGAAATTAAGAGAATGTCAGAAATAAAAAACATGGTGGGAAACAGAATAGTTTTGAATTGAATAGATTTCAGTTCAATTTTATAATTGTCCTTTTAAGCAGTGTAATATTTGATAAAATATTTAAATTTTAGTTTCCTTTCTTATTCAACGGGAAGAATGATTCACCTACAGTAAATTTTTATAATTGTTATAATTCATTTCAGTTTCCCAGACCACATGTAAACAGTGGCCAATGATAAGCTTAGATGACATTTCTAATCCCATGATTGCAAATAGCTATGCCAAGTCTTGACTTTTGCTGAGCCTAAGAGTGGCAGGTGAGGATTGTTTCTTATTTTAAGCCATAGCATTATTCCAGTGTTTCGAGATTTTAAACACTTGGATGAAGTACAAAAACAAGAAACTTTTAATAACCAGACAAGTTTTCTCAGGAGCGTTGGATTTCCTCATTGGATCCAAAAAATATAATAAAAAAGGAACATTTCTCCTATTTCATTAGCATAGTAGTGATAGATCTTTGGTATAGTGCCTGTTGAATAGACTGAAATCTGGTCTGAAAAGACAATGTGCAAATGTCTGAGCAGGGTTATAATTACTTTGTAATTTCAATTCCAAAACTGAGCCACAAGTGAAACCTCTGCTATCATCAACCCAGAAGGGCCTTGTTCACTTATGCATAATTCATTATGCTTAAATGTCAGCTTCTGTGGATGCCATTTGCTGAATATACCAAGTTTAACCAAGTGGCCACGTTGAAGGTATTTACATTTCCATTTGCCCACTGGGATTTTCATATGTCTGTTTGAAATGTACCACATAAGTCGAACCTTTCCTAAGACAAGAAAAACAAAGGCAGGGTTTGTGTATGGTGACAGCAATGTTGCAATGTGACATCTGCATGTGGGTTAATAGTTCCAAAATGGAGCTAAGCTGTGAGTAATAAAGCAACCAATATAAGAGCATATTTAAATTATTTAATATGAAAATATAATAAGCAATAAAGTTTAATAAGTTTTCAAAATGGGATTTAGAATTTATAAATTGGAGGGTGAAATGAATAAAGTTGCTATTCATAACAAATATTATTTAAATAATAATGGTTATTAATGCTTAATATTATTACAAATAAAATTATTTGACATGTAATTAATTTTGATAAGGAGGTAATGGGTTACAGAAAAAATAACCCAGAGATGGAATTAATTTTTAATAAAAATTAATAGAAAAGCATGTATCAAATTACCAGATAAATATTATCTTTAATTTCTTTTTTTTTTTTTTTTGAGATGGAGTCTCGCTCTGTTGCCCAGGCTGGAGTGCAGTAGCATGATCTCGGCTCACTGCAAGCTCCGCCTCCCTGGTTCACGCCATTCTCCTGCCCCAGCCTCCCGAGTAGCTGGGACTACAGGTGCCCACCACCACACCCAGCTAATTTTTTGTATTTTTAGTAGAGATGGGTTTTCACCATGTTAGCCAGGATGGTCTTGATCTCCTGACCTCATGATCCACCCATCTCGGCCTCCCTGAGTGCTGGATTACAGGCGTGAGCCACCATGCCTGGCCATATTATGTTTAATTTCTATAATACCAAAAGGGAGAATTGCATTTATCTATGGCTATACAGTGGATTAAAACAATGACTTCACTCATTGCAGTCTTAATATTTTTTCTGATTATATAGGTTGCCTTGATAATTCTGCTGATCTTGCCTGGCTTTACTAATGTGCCTGAGGTTGTCTAGAAGATGAAATGGAATGGGTGGATTTGGTGGAATAGGTGGATTCGGTGGAATGGATGGATTCAGTGGAATGGGTGAGTCTTTCTCCACATGGTCTTTCATCCCAATCATCTTCATTCTCTGGTGGCGTCAGGTTCCAAAAATGTAAGAGCTGAAGCCCCAATGCCTCCTGAAAATGAGTCTTGGAAACCTCTTAATATTATTACTGTTGCTTTATATTAGAGCAAGTTGCAAGATCAAGAAAGAGTTGGGAGAAATAAGATTCACCCTTTAAAAGGTATAGAACCAAAGATTCAATGGCCATATTTAATCTAATGGAGGAATTTAATAATCAAATTATTTTACAAATAATAAACCCAAAGGCCCAATGAGTTATTTGTTTTCTTGCATCATTTATTTATTGGCCTGCCCGATGATTTTCATATCTGTATGTCTGAAGAAAGACGACGAAGCAAAAGTTTTACATGATTGACAGCTAATATCTGTAACTGAACTGTGAACAGCAATGAATGAGATGTTGTCAACTGTAAATGGACTGCATGTAATGAAGAGGAAAATGACAAACATTACATTACTTAAAAGCATGAGTAGCTTCTAAGGAAAAATTGACTGGGATCCATCACTCCAGCACTGACATATGTCACTTTTTTTTGTATTACGTTATTTCAATTGAATAGAAAACTATAAAATATACTATAACAAATTTTTATATACATATATATGTTGTTACACAGCAATAGGACTTTTAGGTATGTACACTAGAGAAACGCTTGCATATGTACACAGTGAGAAACATGAGATTGTTTATTTAAGTATTGTCAGTAGGAGATAAATGTTTGAAAATCAATCAACAGAAGAGGAATAAAAGGTCAGTTAAATGATAGCTGCAATGTATCGAAAATAACACCTCCATGTTGTCTGATATGGTTTCACTGCATACCATAGATGTTCTTTGTTACATATTATTGAATTGCCACCAAAAAGACAACACTCAAACGTGTTTCCTGCTGTCACTGCATGGTCAGGATCTGTCTACTCTGAGAAGGCTGAAGCCAGTTGTTCAAAAAAGCCACAGATTGAAGTCACAGCAAAGTATATTGAATGCTTCTCCTTGAGACACTTTTATAAATAATTCTGATATGAGCTGGGTGCGGCGGCTCATGCCTGTAATCCTAGCACTTTGGGAGGCCAAGGTGGGTGGATCACCTGAGGCATGGAGTTCAAGACCAGCCTGACCAATATGGTGAAATCCCATCTCTATTAAAAATACAAAAATTAGCTAGGCATGGTGGCACATGCCTGTAATCCCAGCTACTTAGGAGGCTGAGGCAGGAGAATTGCTTGAACCCAGGAGGTGGAGGTTGCAGTGAATCAAAATCACAAGATTACGCCACTGCATTCTAGCCTGGGCAACAGAGCAAGACACCATGTCAAAAATAAATAACTAAATAAATAATAAAAAGTGAACAGAATTCTGATATTTAAAGCCATGAAATAATAAATAACCAGGCACATAGTACACTCAATTTCCACCTAGTAAAAATTACATCTGTACAAAATGCATTCTGCAAACAGAAAATGTGAGCCCACGGTTTCCCATTTATAATAGAAGTTTGTATTGAATGAATTTTTTCCATGTGTCTGTCACTGTACTTGAAGACCAGTTTATGGATCATATTTGAAATTATTTTATGAATAAGAAATACATTTAAACTCCATAAGAAATACATTAAAACTAAAGGGATGTGATAAGAATAGCAGTTTGGGGAAGGAGAAAACTGTTACCGGGATAGGACAGTCTGTTCTCAAAGAAAATCACTGAAAATTTTATACTATATAAGTAATGCATTTCTAAATAGTCAGTAGATATTAGTGCTTTTACTTTGCTTTCTTTTCAAAAATTTGAGTATTTTATTGATTCTTTTACAATGCACTTTGGTCATTCTTGATCTACAATTAGTGAAATACTAAAACTTGCACTGCATTTTTGTTAGATTAACCTAGATTGAAATTCCAGATTCATAATTTGGTATGTACCAATTTATAAAATGGGTGAAATAACATAATATGTGAGATAATTTCCAAAATCAAACTAAAATCTATAACAATCCATTATACTTTGTTGGGATATAGGATATAATTAAAGTCTCCCAATATAATCAATCTTTTTTCCTTTGGGCAATTAAATTACTTCTTTATTTAAAATAGTTATATACCTGAAAGAAACCAGTATGATCTAGTGAAATACATGCTGATTGGGGATCACTATTACAGGTTACAGGCAGCAGATTAACTTTTAGCAATTTATTTATTTTCCTAATTGCTAATTTCCTTATATGTAACATAACCTACATTTTGATATTTTTTCATTACTTTTAATTTTGAAGATCAAAAGATCATAGAATTTATAATATTCTGAAAAATACAAAATCATATTAAATTTGTTAAAGCATTCTTTATCCAAATTACTTCTTTTGTAAACTAAGGGTATAATAAAAATATTTAATATTGAAAAATAATTTACACCTAAGCAAAAAAAGTACAATCACATAAACTATAACTCACTTTCAATGAGTAAATAGGTACTAGAATTTACTCCATGAGCTTGAACAAATTATACAATTTACTTAAACTTTAATTCTTAATAATATTTATTTTAGTGCATAGTTAATGCTTTCCCTCTTTATTGGTGTGGGGTTTGAGGGTAAAAGAGATGGAATGCTTTAAACTTATTATGGGACAATTTATTGACAGCAAACAGGAAGTCTCTATAAATGAGCATGATTGTGTTAGTGTGAAATGGAAGTGGGAAGGAGAGGTTAGTTATGAAGCTGAGAAGAAACAGGAAGTGAAGTAGCATGCATTTGTTATTTATTCTGACACAGACATATTAATATCTAGACTATACTAGGTTATGTTAGAGCTCAGGAAACTTTATTAGAGTAAAGCTTGGTATATGGTCTCATTTAAAATCATATATTGTAATTTAAAAAAGTTTACATATATTTTTGGTACAAGTTTAGCTAGTAATATCTAAGGAAAGTTTAACTCATTTAAGAAAGCCTATTTTTAGGGGAAAAAAAGCTTAGTAACAAATGTACTAATTAGAAATTATTTTCATTGATCTTTCCAGAGAACAAGAAAACAATTTCTGCTTTCTTAAGGTTCTTCACAAGAACTAATACTTAATAAGTAAAAATGGGTCTATTTTTATCAAAATAATATTTGCCTATGGCAGAAAATGCACCTATAAAAATTGTAACATGATTATATAAACTACTATATTCAGAATCAGTTATGGAAAATTGCACTTGTATGTTTGCTAAATTGTACTGGTAATTGAGCAAATATGGCTACAGAGTTCATTATTGTTTCTCTTACAGGCTTTTCTAGTTACTAAATTCCTGTAGCATATCTATCAAGCATGCATTATTTTCCTCTGGTTTTAACTTGGGAGGTGGTGCCTGACAGTAAGAAATCTATGGGTTACCCTTATAATCCATTTTGCCTGAAGCTGGGTTTGGTTCTATGACACTTTGTTCAGTGAAAACGTAGTCCATCCATACATATTACTTAATCTCCCACACTCTAGATTTCAAGTATCTTCCACTAATCAATAGTATGAACACATGATTTTACAGTAGACATTCTCCAGTATAAAGAAGCTCATTGGTCAACATTCACTCTACCTCACTACTTTATTCAACACTCTATATTTTTAAAACTGTAACATGGTACTGGTACCAAAACAGAGATATAGATCAATGGAACAGAACAGAGCCCTCAGAAATAACGCCGCATATCTACAACTATCTGATCTTTGACAAACCTGAGAAAAACAAGCAATGGGGAAAGGATTCCCTGTTTAATAAATGGTGCTGGGAAAACTGGCTAGCCATATGTAGAAAGCTGAAACTGGATCCCTTCCTTACACCTTATACAAAAATCAATTCAAGATGGATTAAAGGCTTAAACGTTAGACCTAAAACCATAAATACCCTAGAAGAACACCTAGGCAATACCATTCAGAACATAGGCGTGGGCAAGGACTTCATGTCTAAAACACCAAAAGCAATGGCAACAAAAGCCAAAATTGACAAATGGGATCTAATTAAACTAAAGAGCTTCTGCACAGCAAAAGAAACTACCATCAGAGTGAACAGGCAACCTTCAAAATGGGAGAAAATTTTCGCAACCTACTCATCTGACAAAGGGCTAATATCCAGAATCTACAATGAACTCAAACAGATTTACAAGAAAAAAACAAACAACCCCATCAAAAAGTGGGCAAAGGACATGAACAGACACTTCTCAAAAGAAGACATTTATGCAGCCAAAAAACACATGAAAAAATGCTCACCATCACTGGCCATCAGAGAAATGCAAATCAAAACCACAATGAGATACCATCTCACACCAGTTAGAATGGCAATCATTAAAAAGTCAGGAAACAACAGGTGCTGGAGAGGATGTGGAGAAATAGGAACACTTTTACACTGTTGGTGGGACTGTAAACTAGTTCAACCATTGTGGAAGTCAGTGTGGCGATTCCTCAGGGATCTAGAACTAGAAATACCATTTGACCCAGCCATCCCATTACTGGGTATATACCCAATGGACTATAAATCATGCTGCTATAAAGACACATGCACATGTATGTTTATTGCGGCATTATTCACAATAGCAAAGACTTGGAACCAACCCAAATGCCCAACAATGATAGACTGGATTAAGAAAATGTGGCACATATACACCATGGAATACTATGCAGCCATAAAAAATGATGAGTTCATGTCCTTTGTAGGGACATGGATGAAATTGGAAATCATCATTCTCAGTAAACTATCGCAAGAACAAAAAACCAAACACCGCATATTTTCACTCACAGGTGGGAATTGAACAATGAGATCACATGGACACAGGAAGAGGAATATCACACTCTGGGGACTGTGGTGCGGTGGAGGGAGGGGGGAGGGATAGCATTGGGAGATATACCTAATGCTAGATGATGAGTTAGTGGGTGCAGCGCACCAGCATGGCACATGTATACATATGTAACTAACCTGCACAATGTGCACATGTACCCTAAAACTTAAAGTATAATAATAAAAAAAAACTGTAACAAAACCTCTCGTCATATTCCACACATTTTAGCAAGTTTGAAATTCTAATCAGGATAAAACCATGGCTTAGATTCTATATTGCATAAAGAAAAGATTTTTCATATAACAAAATAAAAAGCATCTTTCAAGTGTTGGGTTAAAGAAGTTAAAATAAATGAGATAGTTGTTCAGAAAAACATTGAACTTGCAGTATTTTTTTTTAATCTGACATAACAGGGCTGCAAATGGAAAATCAATTATAGAATCCTGGTTGGAAAGTAAAATTTCCTCTCAATGAAGTAATTTCTAAATACAATTATTATGTAAATATGTGGACTGCTCTTTTATTCTTATTTGTTTGGAGTTAATTTGCAATTATTAAATAATTGGAAGAAATATTGTATAAATGATAGACATCCTGCCTAGGCTTGAAATCTTCACATGAAGGAGATGCTCACCATCTTAGGTTACAAAGTATCTTCACATGGCCATTTTAATTTGGTATAAAAATCCCAAACTATTAAATGTTCTGATTTGTTTGAAATAGTGCATGATATCACTATTATAGTAGGGACTTCCAGCGCTCACCAAGATCTGGTTTTTCTCTACTTCTAGGCAGAATGAAAAAATGCATGTCTTACCCCCTCACACGTAGGGTCATGAGACGTTTTTTGGCCAATAATAATTGAAAATTATTATTAAAAATTGAAAATAAGTTAGATAAACTCATCATAAATTTTGAAAATAAGTAGAAAAGGAAACTATTAAATTCTCATCTATTTGAATGTACATATTTATGAAGGGAATAAAATTAAGATGGGATTTAAAGAATAAGTATGTTAATCTGCTTGATAGTGGTGATCATTTCACAATGTACACATGTATCAAAAACATCAAATCCTATGCCTTAAATACATGCAGTTTTATTTGTCAACTTTACTCAGTAAAGCTGACAAGAAGAATCAGTTGTTGAGATGAGATGGAGTAAAGAAAAGTATATTTCAGGTTTTGAAATAACATAAAATAATTAACATCCCTTCATGTTAAAAACTCTCAATGAACTAGGTATTGAAGGAACATAACTCAAAATAATAAGTGCCATATATGACAACCCCACAGGCAGCATCATGCTAAATGGGCAAAAACTGGAAACATTACCCTTGAAAATCAACACAAGGATGACCTCTATCACCATTGTTTGCAGGTGACATGATCCTATATCTACAAAACCTCATTATCTCAGCACAAAATCTTCTTAAGCTGATAAGCAACTTCAGGAAAGACTCAAGATTCAAAGTCAATGTGCAAATATCACTAGCATTCCTATACACCAACAATTGTCAAGCCGAGAGCCAAATTATGAATCAACTCCCATTCACAATTGCCACAAAAAGAACAAAATACCTAGAAATACAACTAACAAGGAAGGTAAAAAATCTCAACAAATCACTGCTCAAATAAATCAGTGGTGGCAAAAAGAAATGGAAAAACATTCTATGCTCACGGATAGGAAAAATCAGTATCATTAAAATTGCCATACTTTCCAAAGCAACTAATATATTCAGTGTAATTCACATTAAACTGCCATTGACATTCTTCACAGATCTAGAAAAAAACTGTTTCAAAATTCTGTTATAAAGACACCTGCATATGTATGTTTGCTGCAGCACTATTCACAATAGCAAAGACATGAAATAAATTAAATGCCCATCAGTGATAGACTAGATAAAGAAAATGTAGTACCTACACCCGTGGGATACTATGCAGCCATAAAAAAGAATGAGATCATGTCCTTTGTAGGGACATTAATGGAGCTCAAGGCCATTATCCTTAGCAAACACAGGAACAGAAACCCCCCCCCCCCAAAAAAAAGGGCCCAAATAGACAAGGCAATCCTAAGCAAAAAAGAACAAAGATGGAGGCATCATACTACCTCACTTCAAACTATACTACAGGCCTACAGTTACTAAAACAGTATGGTACTGGTGGAAGAAAAGACACATGGAGCAATGGAGCAGAATTAAAGAACTCAGAAATAAGAATGCACACCTACAACTATCTGATCTTGGACAAACATGATACAAACAAACAATGGAGAAAAGATTCCCTTTTCAAAAAAATGGTGCTGGGGTAACTGGCTAGCCATATGTCTTTCTTACACCATATACAAAAATTAACTCAAGCTGGATTAAAGACTTATATGTAAAATCCAAAACTATAAACACCCTGGAAGACATCCTAGGCAATATCATTCAGGATGTAGGCATGTGCAAAGATTTCATGATGAAGATGCCAAAAACAACTGTTACAAAAGCAAAAATTAATGAGTGAGATCTAATTGAAGAGCTTCTGCACAAGAAATGAAACTATCAACAGAGTAAACAGACAAACAGATTGCATAAAATATTTGAAATCTATGCATCTCACAAAGGCCTAATATTTAATGTCTATCAGGAACTTAAACAAATTTACAAGGGAAAAACCAAGCAACCTCGTTGAAAAGTGAGCAAAAACCATGAACAGACACTTCTGAAGACATACATGTGGCCAGTAATCATATGAAAAAAAAAGCTCAACATCACTAATCATTAGAGAAATGAAAATCAAAACCACAATGAGATACCATCTCACACCAATCAGAATAGCTAATATTAAAAAGTCAAAAAATAAAAGATTCTGATAAGGTTGTGGAGAAAGGAAATGCTTATTCACTGTTGGGAGTGTAAATTAATTCAATCATTGTGGAAGACAGTGTAGCGATTCCTGAAAGACCTAAAGACAGAAATACTCTTTAATCCTGCAATCCCATTACTGGGTAGATACCCAAAGTAATATAAATCATTCTGTTATAAAGACACATGCATGCCTATGTTCGTTGCAGCACTCTTCACAATAGCAAAGACATAGAATCAACTAAAATGGTCATCAATGATAGCATTTATGTGGTACATATACATCATAGAATGTGGTACATGTACACCATGGAATACTATGCAGCCATAAAAAGAATGAGATCATGTCCTTTGCAGAGACATGGATGGAGCTGGAGGTCATTATCCTTAGCAAACTAACAGAAAAACAGAAAACCAAATACTGTGTGTTCTCACTTATAAGTGAGAGCTAAATGATAAGAACACATGGACACATAGAGTAGAACAACAAACGCTGGGGCCTATCAGAGGAGGGAGAAGATTAGGAAAAATAACAATGGATACTAGGCTTAACATCTGGGTAATGAAATAATCTGTACAACCAACCCCCATGAAACACGTTTACCTATGTAACAAATCTACACCTGTACCCCTGAAGTTAAACTTTTTTTGATTTGTTTGTTTGTTTTTAAGAATGCAGGTAATGGAATTACTTTGTAGAGATTGCTGTATCCAGTCGAGGCATTTTTATTTTCTTGTGTAGACAAAAGGCAGTGGGAAAAGGAGGTTTATTATTTAATAATATTAATATTTTTATCAGTGCCTGTGAAACAGGTATGCTGTTATTTGAAAATATAAAGTTTAGTGTGAGTATAGAAAGCCATTCCAATTATTAGGAGAGTTCATAGATTTATATGGAAATCATTCCTGCTCTCACAGTAAAGTCATAGTTTACATAGTTTAAATTGTACAAATTATGACCAGAAATATAATTACCAGTGTAAAATACCCATGAGTGCAAATTTTCTACATTTTTATAAGTTACATTAAGAGATATAAAGGAATACTTTAAGAGAAAATGTTAAAGGAAAGAAGAGAAATAAAAACAAAGCTTAAACACTGCCCAAAGAAACTAAGAATAGTGATATCTTATTTTTGAGCACTTCTGTTCATTTTTTTCAAGTTTATCTAATTGAAAAGTACCATGGATTTGATTGATAAGGGTATTTGCAAAGTCACTGTGTTAAAACTACAGGAAATAAAGTATGTGATTATATATGTATCTCTTTAATTTCCAATTATATATATAACATACAACTTTGCATATTGTACAAGGAGAAGTAACTAAAACTTTCAAGATGATCTTTAATTTTTTAATTTGAAAAACATTTTGAAAGTTTTAGTTACAATGAAAAGTAACATAATATGGTTGAATTAATTATTGATTTTTGTTGAATGAGCAGGGATATATCCATTGTTATTTCAGAATATTCATTTCCAAGAAATATGATTGTTTATATGCTTTTCAAAATCACTGGGTTAATCCTGACACATATTATTAAAGCAAACCATGAATAAATTTCTTACATCCTACTCTTAACAATTGATGTAATACATAATTTAAAAACAGATGTCTGATCATTGACCAAAGGGAACTGCTTATCTGACTGCATCAAAACAGTATCTTCTACTCTCAGAATGAAAATGGCCATGAAATAACAAAAGTCATCTGTATTGTGATCTTTTTGTTAAGCTCTCCCCGCACTCCCACCCAACAGTTAATCTGTGCAGTGCCATTTTAATTTAAACAATGAGCAAAATAGTAAAGTACCTTAAAAAAGAAATAAAATAAGGTTAGGTTTCCATAACTGCTGTTTAATTTTAGGGTGTATTTTCAAATTAGCCATGAGTTTAGAAACTTCTATAAAATTTTGAAAATTTGAAATACAGACTAGACAAAAGAAGAAACAATGGTATTTCTGTATTTATTTATTGTAAATAACAGTTAATATTTTTCAATTTTCCCTAGAATGCAGGCTCTTTTTAATAGTGATGGGATTTAATTTTTTTAAAGAAAGCTTCTGTAGAAACTTGTGTTATAATTAAGAAGTTGTCAATATTTTATCCTTAGGTGATTCATATTATGAATAGAGGAAGGGTCCAGGTAAAAACTTTCTTTTCTGTTGTGGCCAATTTCTTATAAATTAAATTAACAAGTTAGCCTAGGTAATCTGCATTCTTCCTTTGCTAAGTAACTCCAAGGTGCATACATATGTATGCCCATGTTATAAATATTATTGTATGCCATTTTATAAATGACCCAGAGTCTATCTGTTTCCTAATGAAGGGCCTCATATTTACTTCCAGGTTTTAGATATTATGAACAAAGCTGCTATATATATTCACATATATTTTTGTATGAACTGAAATTTTCAATTCACTTTGGTAAAAACTTAAGACTTTGATTGCTGGATTACATGGTAAATTTATGATTAACTTTATAAGAAAATATCAAGGTATTTTCCACATATTTTTATAAACAGGAATGCTTAATTTTAGAATGGTCCAATTTATAAAAACAGTGGTATGGCTATTTTAGTCTTAAAAGAATATTTGACTCTTCTATATTATCTTGGAGAAAGTCTATAGTTTTATCTTTCATATTTAGGTTGCTATAATCTAGTAGGACTTGATTTTTGTATAGTGGATGAGGTAGGGTATAAGATTCGGGTATTTTCATTATGGATCAATAATTTAAATAATTATTTATTAAAATTATTAGTTTCAACCACTACATTTTCAGGGCCCTATTGATTTAAATTAGTGAAGATAAATAGGCAGGTCTATTTTAGGACTCTCTATTTTGTTCCATTTGTTTAATTTTCAATTCTTGATTCAGTCCACACTTGTAATTGATGGAATTTTTCATGAGTCGATGTCGAATAGTTTTAAGTCTTCTAATGTTATACTACCTTATGAATGTCTTGGATTTCCTTGCCCCCCTTGTGTTTGTCTGGGTAAGTGTACATGCATTTATAATAACGCTTAAACACAGCTCAATATTTACTTATATATTTATTTAATTTATATTTCTGTTTACATCCTCTATTCCTATCCTTGCTGTTGTATAATCTGCTCTCCCAGAGAGTGTGTTGAATCAAATGACTTACCCCTAGCAAATAGAACATGAAAAATGTTTGGAAATATCAGACCATTTCTGAGATTAGGTTATGGTTTATGTCCCTGTTAACTTTGGTCTTGCCAGCAATGTTTTTCTGGCTGTTCTTTCTTGCTGGCTTTGATTTAGTAAGTCACTATTTTATATGCTTTTTTATGTCCCAGCCCACCTGGCTGGCAAGGTACTGAAGGAAGCCTCAGAACTGAATCCTGTCAACAACCTTGTGAATGATCCAAAAAACAGATCTTTCACTGGTTGTTCCTTGAGATGACTACAGCCTTGAGATGACTACAGCCACGTATGAAAACTTGATCACCGCCTGTGAGAGAACTTGGGCAAGACAGATATACCAGTCAAGTTGAACCTAGATTTCTAACCCATAAAAATCACGAGACAATAATTGTGTTTTGAGACATTGAGGTTTGGGTTGATTCATTATATAGTTATAGGCAATGAATATAGCACCAAGTCATCTTTAAATTAACTGTCTATTCATTTTGTCAAGCAAGTCAGCCTCAGTACCCATAGCCAGCGGGTCCCTCCCAGCAGCAATTGGCTTGTGGGTATGCCCCCTTGTGCTATAGCTGAAGGACTCTGCCCCCTTCTCAAAATGGACAGAAATAGCAGTGGTATTGGTCAGGTGTTACACAATGCCGTGCTTAAGCAGAACAATGTATTGAGTCTGACAGAGGGAAAGATATTCCCACACAAGATGATGAGTTTAGCACAGGCTATGAGGACTCTATCTTGTGGAAAGTACCAGTCCCTGGCCCAAGACCTATTCTTACGTGACCAAGTGAAAATCAAAAGAGACTGCCTTTCCCAGCAGATTTCTGAACTAAATTATCCTATTGAAACTGGGACTCTAACAAAATTCATGTCAAATAAGTTGAAAAATTTTAGTTATATTTCATACATATATGGACAAAAAGAGAATCAAACACAACTTGTTGCTCCTTCATCATAAAATGTATTTATTCATAGGAGAGAATTTGTTAATTAGTTTATGAACTAAAATAAGAAATTAAAACAATAACATTCTCTCACTTTGCAATTGTTTTGAAGGACAGTTATGGGCTTCAAATTGTGACTTAGTTAAATGACATTTTTGAGCTGAAAATTAATAAGAAATTTCAAGAACTGTGTGAAAATGTATTAAAGTGTTCTGACAAAGTAAAATTTCAAATTTTGAAACTTAAATTTATAAATTATTGACTAAGAATTCCATGCATGGTTTTAATGGAGGGTGTGCTATAAGGTTAATTCTAAATATAAATCTTTGCAATGTCTGGGCTTTGCACCCTCATCACAAATACCACTAATATATAATGTATATAGTGCTTTTATAATTTCTAATTTTCTTTGAAATATTGTTACTGCAATTTTTTTACCCATTAGTTTGTTCTGGCACTAATTTACAGAACAAATAATTTTCAACTAATGCTATTAACCAGGAATATTTAATAATATATGAATATTTATATATATGAAATCAAAGGACAATACTTTTTTAATTTAGAGTGGTCTCTATGTTATCTAGAATGTCATAAAATCCATCAGTAATATTACGTGATATTGGCACCTCATTTCCTTAGCTAGATGAACAGTTCTATTAAAGGTTTTCAGCTGTTGAGCCATCTTGGCACCTGTTCTTGTTGCTCTATTTTATTATTCCCCAAGTTGTATTGGCACATTCCATTTGATTGGTATTAAGTATTCTGCAACTGGGTAAGAATTTACTCGATAAAATGATAGTAGGAAACCAGCTTCCTAAAGAACTAACAAGTAAGAAAATAGGTGAAAGGCAAGAAACTTTATGTGGTTCAGGGAAAAAATATCATATTTTGGAACTTAGACTTGGCTGTCACTGGGTCATAATCTAAGAACCTTTGGCAGTTTTGTTACTTATAATTTTATTCTTAAAAATGTTATAATATTGTTAAAAGTATTTAAAAAGAGGATTTTTTGTTTGTATGTTTAGTTTGACATTCCCACGGATTTAGGCTTCCTGGATCTATAAGTTTGTCTTCTTTTCTTTTTTTCTACCAGTTTGTTCTCTTCCAACAGAATCAAATGTATTTCTTATTTTCTACAAGCTTGACACTTCTTGCAAGAGAGTCAAAATTTGAAATTGTTGAAAAATTCTTCGCCTGTAGACCGTGTAACATATGTACATATTCACTAATTATCCGTTATTTGAACTTCAATTGTTTTCTCAATACTCTTATTTATTATATGTGGGGTAAAATATGTTTTACACAGGCTTTACACTTGACAACTGCCAAAAGAATACTCAAATTCCATGTGCATTCCCACTCTGGAATCTAGATACCAGAATCAAAATTTTTCATGAGGTTTCAACTTGTCCAATTGTGGCTCCTGCTTGTTAAACATATAATACCTAAGGAAACATATAATATTTAGGGAAACAGACTATCTTAATTCTTGGTTCTGAGGCGTCTGCTATATTTAACCTAATTTACTGATATACATTCAGACTTGATAGTTGACAATTGTCGGTTAATACACAGAATTAGGAAAGTATGCTGCTGAGATATATACAAAGTTGAAGCCACTATAGATGTCTTAATTGCCATCTCAAACTGATATGATTAGCCTACTTTGCTGGAAAGTATTATATAATACTAGATTGATTTTATATTTTGTGCCAAATTCTGTTTTTTAATAAAGCTGCCTTTGATCTTATGCTATTCAGAGAATGGTAGGGTACATGTAACAAGGAAATAAAAGCAAAATACTAAGATCTACTATGGATCTCTAAAGGACAAGCAATGAATTATGTGTGATATACAAATGAAAAATGCATGATGAGTGAGCTGATCACAGGAACTTCAGAAATTGCACTTTGCAGCTTCATCAAAATTGTCTTATCCTTACGACTTCTGAAAGCAAAAGAATATAAGCAATTTCCCTGAATTAAATTTTATTCATAAAAATATCTGTTAAAAAGAAAATGAACATGAATTTAAATAATTTTGCAAATACAGTAGAATTTTGAAGAATTATAAAGGATAAATCAGATATATATTTTTTAATGTTATGAAGGCAATATAGAAAGGACTTTTTGGATTACAATAAAATACAGTTAATAATATGTGGTTATTAATAAAAATAAAAATATTCATTAAGCCTAATTTTAAGTAATATATTTTAATTAAGAATTAATTATTATATACCTAATTTATATAAAATACTAGTTCTCAAATATTTAGCTAAATTTTCCTATATTTTCCACTTAACTATGAGATTTTGTATAAAAAATGCAGTTAGCAATGTTTTATATTTCATTCTTATTAATATTATAGTTTCTATTATTGAAATGTTGAGAATTCCCTATTATTTATCTGATAAACTTAATCCAATTTCCGTCTTGATTTGAATATTCTCATTATAACAGAGTGGTTTCCATGATAACAATGATCCATATAATACAGGCCATGTAAAACAAAACTTAATAAAGCCTAATTTGCATCATTGTTTAATCATCAATGATAGGCTATTGTATAGTATTTAAAAATCTCTTTATTGAGACAATAAAATAATAATATTTCAAAAGTCCAATTTTTGGTTGGGAAGGAGTATCTACATTTCAGTACATCTAATATATGAAATCCTACCCCCAAAAAAGCACCAAATTCATCAAATGATCAGAAGAGAATTTGCAAACTCTTCTATATAATCATTGTTTTTTTAAATTGCTGCACCACTTATCCACAGAAATAATTCTGTCTCCTTAGTTATGTCATTCTCTGCAATATTAAACATAGTGGAATTTGCTACTCTATAATAAGTCAATACAATATTTTGCATACTTTTCTCATAATACTCTATTTCACATACATAACATTTTACTCAATGAATCTCCAAACATGTAAAAGTTAGAACTGATATGCATATTTCCTTTTGTATGCCTCATGATAAATTATGTATTACTTGAAGAAGAAATATATATGTTCAGGAATTATTGAATGACATGAGTATATATTCCCTAGAAATTATCAGAGCAATCATGCCAATATTATAGTGTTTATGAAAAGAAAATATAATGTAATTTTAATTTGCTAGGTTTTTGTTTATTTATTATTTATTTATTTTACTTCTGATTTTATTTTGCTCTGGTAGGCATACAACTGAATTGGTCAAAATGCTGATGGCAAAAATAATAATTATCCCATGTATAGTATTTTTATCATTCATTAGATAATTCATTGTCTGCCCTTCATAATATTAGTGATATTTAAATATAATTTTGGTCATTCATAATATTACTGTAATAATCTATGAAACCATCTCACAACAGGAAAAATGAACTGAGAATAACATACATCTGTTATAATTCTCAGTTTAATAATTTACATTTGATTTTTGGGGTTTTATTCTTTATTGAAATTCTGCATATAATTCACTCATTGCAACCATGTTTTCCTTTAAGTTCTTGGATACATTTATAGTAGCTCCTTTGCTATCTTTGTCTCTTAATTCCAATATTTCAGTATTCTTTTGTTTTTTTTAAATCAACATTTTTTGACAATATATTACATGATTTAGATTTTCTGTAAACAAAGTTGTTTTAATTTTAAACTTGGAAATTGTGAATGATACATTGCAAAGACTCTGAATTATATTTTGTTCTATAAAGCTGTTGGGCCCAATCCCTATTGACTCCAGTAAGGATGGCGCCCTATCTGAGAGGCCAAGAAAGAGACCTAGACACAGTGAACTACGTAGGGTGTATTGAGGACTTACATACAGGGGTGATTCAGTGGTGGTGGGCTGGAGAAGATAACTGCTACTGTTTGTTGAAAGCTGTAGCTTATACAGCAGTTTTCACTTAGCACCTTCCACTTAGCAACCTCCGCCCAGCAACCTTCATTTAACCCAAAACAGAAGGCCCTGACCACTGTATGGCGTGAATTCTAAGGAATGAGCCAGGAGTTCGGCTGTCCTTAAGAGATAGGAGAGAATCTCCTGCTTGGCCACTGATTCCTTGGCTCAGGACCCTGAACACACATTCTTCTTAGATAAAAAGGTCATTCTCTGGGTATGCTTAAGTTATTGCTGTCAGGTGTCTCTGCCATCCAAAGCATGCTTAAGTTCTTATTTCTTGGACTTGGCTTGGTTTTTTTATGTTTTAATATTGTGTCTCCTAATATTGTATGTCCGAGACTCCAAACTCTCCTGCAGTACATGTCACCTGAAACCTATGTTCAGTTTTCTCTCTACCCAGTTGTTTGTATTTTCTGGCAGATGTATTGGTGTCTTTTCCAATCATGCACAGTTTCAGGTGCCAGCCAAAGATGTAAAAGGAATCTATATGCCTATTTTGAAAAAGGTTCCCTTCCCACACAGTAAATAACCCTCTACTAATCTCAATTCCAAACCAAGACAATTTTAGATTGGTCTTTTTTTTGCTTCACAACTTGCTGCTTCATGCAGCAAGAACTTGGGAATGCACTAAAGGGAAAAAGCAAAATCTGGAACTCACCCATTATGTTTCCCCTTTTTTCAAATGATAAATCTCCTGTCTGTGCTTTTGGTGACTCTCCTGTGACTTCAACTACATTTTTAAAAGTTTTTCTAGAGTATACAGATGATATGCTGAGGGCAAGACTAATAATAGTTAAACTCAATATAACTAGAATCAGAATCATAAATAAAATATCTAAAGAAATAAATAATTGACAATTTTTGAACATTGATAAAAGATAACATCTTTAGATGCAAGGTACTTAATATATCACAAGCAAGATACAAAATAAGATCTACATTTACAGAAGTCATATTTAATTGGCAGAAGGTTATAGATAAAGAGATGTTTAGACAATCTTAGAAAATTGAAAGAATAACTTAATTTAAACACCAACCATAGAAGTCAATGACAGTAAGAATTTATTTTTTAAATTAAAAAACTTACCATTAACTTAAACTTTCTTTATAAGTATATTTACAATAGAAAATAATATGGTTTGATGGCAAGTAGCTTTAATAGAGATAAAGAGAGACTTTAATTATGTAGTTTTTATTATACCAGGAAGAGATATCAGTTCAAAATTTTATTCAGGTAATGGCATGGCTCTTAATATGTAATGTAAAAAATGACATATTTCCAAAAATACATTAAAAACCACCATTTAAGAATGTTTACTTATTACTTGATAGATTTAAAAAATACAAAACGGCAATGATAGAGGTTTGAGAAACAATATTTTGAAAATTGTTTAATGGATACATATGGGGTTTTACCCAAATGTGTTACCACTTTAAAAAAAAAAAAAAAAAAAAAAACAGAACGCCACTTTTAAACAAAACTATGAAACTTGCCAGAGTGAATTGAGTTAATTTCTGATGATCATTGTATGGTTCACGTGTTCTACCACAAACATATGAATACTTAACATAAAATTGCATACAATTGAAATTAAAACAAACAAAATATTTTCACTTGAATGACAACAAAACTTACACCTATAGCAATTATAACTAATAAAATTGATGGCAAGAGAAATATATATATCATTAAGCACACATATTTGCAAATTTAAAGAACACAAAATTTATGATCTAAGAACAAAAATTCAGAGGTTTTATGAGTATATTTACTTTAGTACTGAGTTTGAATTAAAAGAGTATTTTACAGATTTAAAGATTAAATTAATACATACAAAAACATAGACACATGAACTTACGTAGAAACAAAACTTAAGACAGTTTAATAACTGATAATACACATAGGCAATAAATTTACAATAAACAATTATAAAATCATTTCTGATAACATATCAACATGAAACTATACAGTCTTTGTAGACTATATTTACAAGACAAAATAACTTTCATAGTTTTTTTGTTTTGTTTTGTTTTTTACTTTAAGTTCTGGGGTACATGTGCAGAACGTGCAGGTTTGTCACATAAGGTATACGTGTGCCACGGTGGTTTGCTGCACCTATCAACGCATCACTTAGGTCTTAAGCCCCACACGCATTAGATATTTAAGTTTAATAGTATTTAAAATACCAAAGAAAATAAGTGAATATAGTAATGTTTTGAGGGAACAGGGTTCTAAGTGTAAGAAAAAAGAAATATAAATAAAACATATCTAAATATCTGTTACATATAAATCAGAAATGTAAACTTGTAATTTCTTCTAAATTTATTTCTGAGTTAGTCTAGAGAAGTGCACAGAAGCAGAGGCAACCAAGTACTACTACGAGCTAATCTAGTGCAATTTTTTTTGTTTCTAAGTACAATGCCTAACTATTAGGAAAATGAGTTTTTGAGAAGAATGAATTGGACAAAAAATGGAAAGGAAGCTAGGACATTTTATAATATAAAACAATGAATTTTTTTAATATACAGTAAAATCAAAGATACAGAGAAGCCAGCATTAAGACGCTCTGACTGCTCAAATTATGAAAATTTCAGCTGTGAAATTGTTACCATAATTGATTATAACAGAAGTGTTTTTTTTTTGTTTTTTTTTTTTTTGAAATGGAGTCTCGCTCTGTCACCCAGACTGGAGGGCAGTGGCACCATCTTGGCTCACTGCAAGCTCTGCCTCATGGGTTCATGCCATTCTCCTGTCTCAGCCTCCCCAGTAGCTGGGACTACAGGCATCCACCATCACGCCCGGTTAATTTTTTGTATTTTAAGTAGAGACAGGGTTTCCATATTAGCCAGGATGGTCTCGATCTCCTGACCTTGTGATCGGACTGCCTTGGCCTCCCAAAGTACTGGGATTACAGGCATGAGCCACCGCGCCTGGCCAACAGAAGCGTTATTTTTAGCAGTAACCTTAATATCATGAAACAACTATTTTATTATACTTTTAGACTGTATTGGTTAAGAATTTGAAATAGGAGTAGAATGAATAATTGGCCTCTGATCCGTTATGTCTTCTTGTTCCTGAGTGACTCAGTGGTCCAAAGTCCAGTCATCCTCGGTTATAAAACACGAAGTCGGAATTGAATGGAATTTGGGAAGCTAGAATTACCTTACATAACCTAACATGGTAAATTACACAGAGATATTTTTTACTGAATTCACAAACAAAAAACACGTAAAAAGGGGAAGAAACATTGTTTCTACTGCTTGACACAAGGGGTTTTAAAGTCACATTATAAGAAGAGCTTGTGGAAAAGAAAATATTATTGTAACCATTTTTTAATAAGCTTCCACAACAAGAATAAATAAAATAACAACAAGGAGACACAAATTTTTTTCAAAGAAAGATTTCAGTAAATAAATATAAAAGGATGGCTAAAAATTACTATTTTGCACCCTCTTATTTAACATGGTTCAGACAAGAGTCATTAAAGAATCCTCAAAAACCTCACAGTGAATGCATGTTGGGGAAAAATGTTCAGATGATGACAATTTTTGACTCCAAAGTTCCTTCATAGCTGAATGTGGGAAAACATACTTTGTATTGAAGAAAGCTGGTAGTAACGAAGTGCATAGGATTCTATGTCAGGAAGTTTTGCAATCTTATTCTCCACACTCTGACCATTTTACCAATATCATTTGCAAAAAAATGGCTTTAGGTCCTCAACATGGGAGACCAAAGACTGGCTCCCAGGGTCTTCCACTGTAACTACCAGTGCCCTTGCACACTACCTGGGATCAGAGAATTGGCTTGACTTGAGTTTACTACCTTCACCACTGGTCCCCATGCATGCCCCCCAGAATCTGATGATTGGCCTGCCTGGCATTCCAGTCCCCAAGAAAACCTTGCCACAGCCACCAAAAATAACTGTAGTATAAGCCACTGAGAAACTCAGAAACACAGCTGACAGTTATTACGGCCAGAGATATCACTTTGAGACTACACTACTACACCCACCCAGAACCAAAGCCAAAGCACTTTACATAACCAATAGTATTGATGCAGCCACGAGAGAAATTATTTCCGTAGAAAGATAGTCCATAAAATTAGAATAAGCAACTGTTACATTAGATGCATAGATATCAACATAGGGACACAGAAGCAAAGCAAAAAAAAAAAAAAAAAAAAACTGAGGAAACATGACAACTCCAAAGGAGCACAATAATTTTTCAGTAACAGACCCCCAAAAAGGAAATCTATGCAATACCTAAAAAGAAATTCAAAATAATGATCTTAAGAAAACTGAGTGAGATGCAAGAGAAAACAGACCATACAAAGACATTACATAAACAATTCATGAACTGAATGAGAAATTCAACAGAGACAGATATCAAAAGAAAGGACCAAACAGGAATCCTGGAACTAAATAATTCAATGAAAAAAATAAAAAATACATAATCAAGAACTTCACTAATAGACTAGGTCAAGAGATGAAAACATTTCTGAACTTGAAGACAAGTCTTTTGAAATAAAACAGTCAGAAAAAAATAAACAAAAAACAAACTAATTTAAAAAAATGAAGAAAGCCTATATGATATATATGACAATATCAAGCAAATAGATAATCATATTTTGAGAGTTGCAGAACAGATGGGAAAATATGGAAAAATCTCTTCAACAAAGTAACATATAAAAACTGCCCAGGTGTTGGGTAAGGAATAGACATCCAAATACAGGAAGCTCTAAGCATCCCAAATAGATTAAATCCAAAAACTTCTCCCAAGGCGCATTATAGTCCAACTTTCAAATGTCAAAGGCAAAGAAAGAATTATAAAAACAGCAAGAGAAAAGTACTAAGTCATATAAGGGAATCACCATCAGACTAACAGCACATTTTTCAGCAGAAACATTACAGACTAGAAGATGATACATTTAAAGTGCTGAAAGAAAAAAAAATTGCTAGGCCAGAGAAGTATATACAGCATAGCTATCCTTAAAAAATAACAGATAAAGTATTTGCCAGACAAGAAAAAGTAAAGAGAATTAATCACCACTAGACCAATCCTGCCAGAATTGCTTTGAAAAATCCTACATCTGGAAGTGAAAGCACAATATCTACCATCATTAAAACAAGTATAGATATGTATAGATATGTATAGATATAAAAAAAGTATAGATATGTATACTGCCATCATTGGTATGGCAGATATACAAGTGAGAACAGAAAGGAATCAAATATTATTATTACAGAAATCCACCAAATTGCAAAGATAAATAATTAGAGATGAAGGAAGAAGCAATCAATATACAAAGCAATCAGAATAAAAAATTAATAAAATGACAGGGGTAAGTTCTCATAATGAATAAAACCTTGAATGCAAATGGTTTAAATTTCCCAATTAAAAATGTAAATTGGCTAAATAGATTTTAATAAAAAGGTCTAACCATCCGATGCCCATATTAAATCTACTTCACTTTTTAAAGATATGTGGGCAGAAAGTGAAGAAATGGAAAAAGATATTCCACACAAACCAAAAATGTGGAAGAGTACCTATAATTATATTTGACAAAATAGACTTTTAGTCATAAAACATAAAAAAGATAAGGTCATTATATAATGCTAAAGTTTTCAAGTCAGAAAGAGGATACAACAACTGTACAAATATATGAACTCAACACCAGGGTATCGGGTTCTATAAAGCAAGTACTATTGGATCTAAAGGGAGAGATCAACCCCAGCACAACAAAATTGGGAATTTTAGCACACAACTTTCAGCAGTGGCAAGATCATCTAGATAGAAAGTCAAAAAGAAAAACTTGGACTTAAACTGTGAATATCTTCACACCTAACTGATATTTACAGATCATTTCATCCAACAGCTACAAAATACACATTCTTCTCATCAGCACAAGAAACATTTTAGTATAGACTATATGTTAGGCCACAAAACAAGTTTCAATAGATAAAATAAATCAAAATCATATCAAGTACCTTCTCAGAACACAATGGAATAAAATTAGAAAACAATAAGGAACTTTGGAAACTGTAAATATACATGGAGATAAAACAATATCCTCCTGAATGATCACAGCATCAATGAAGAAATTAATAAGAAAATAAAAAAATGGACATCAAAATACAACATATTAAAACCTATTGTATACAGCAAAAACAGTACTAAGAAGAATGTTTATAGCAATAAATGCCAACATCAAAAAATATAACAATTTTAAATAAAGAAACTGATAATATATCTCAAGGAACTAGAAGAACAAGAACAAATTAAGATCAAAATTAGTAAAGAAAATAAATAATAAACATCAGAGCAGAACCAAATAAAGAACAACAAAAAAAACTAAAAGTTGTTATTATACAAAAGAAGTTTTTTTAAAAAAAGTAAACCATTAGCTGACTAAATAAGACAAAAACAGAAGATCCAAAATAAATAAAATAAGAAACAAAAAGATGGCATTACAATTGATACCACAGCAATACAAATGATCACTAGGGACTATTATAAAGAACTATATGCTAAAAAATTTTGAAAAATCTAGAGAAAATTGATCAATTCTTCAACATATACTACCTACTAAGATTGCACCAAGAAGAAATAAAAAATTGAACAGACCAACAGGTAATGATATTGAATCAATAATTTAAAAAAACTCCCAAGAAAGAAAATATCAGGACTAGGTGGCTTTCCTGCTGAATTCTAGCAAACATTTCAAGAGCTAACACAAGATTTCCTCAAATAATTGCAAATATCTTAAGAACAAATTCTTTCTAACTTATTCTACAAGCCCAAAATTACCTTGGTAACAAAACCAGGTGAGGACACAACAAAAAAGAAAACTGCAGGCCAGTATCTCTGATGAACATAGATGAAAAAATTATAAACAACTACTAGCAAATGGCATCTAACAACACATAAAAAAGGCAAGACACTATGATGAAGTGGGATTTATGCCAGGGATGCATGCATGGTTCAATATATGCAAATCAATAAATGTGGTATGATATGCCTCAATAGAATAAATGACAAAAATCATATGCTCATTTCAATAAATGCAGAAAAAATATGATACAATTTAACATCCCTTCATGATAAAAACTCTCAACAAGCTAGATGTAGAAGAAACATTCCTCAACTCAGTAAAGGCCATTTATCACAAACCCACATTTTATGTCATGCTGAATGGGGAAAAACTGAAAGTCTTTTCTCTAAGATCTGGACCAAAACAAGGAAGTTCACTTTCATCACTCCTATGCAATATAGTACTGGAAGTCCTAGCCCGAACAATCATGCAAGAGAAAGAAATAAAGTTCATATGAATTTCTCAATAATAATAAATTAGTAGCATTTATGTACAAAAATAATGAAATTGCTAAAAAAAATGAAGAAAGTAATCCCATTTACTAAAGCTATAATAAATAAATACATACATACATAGGAATGTATTTATCCAAGGAAAGGAAATGTCTCTATGATGAAAAGAACAAAACACTGATGAAATAATTTAAACAGGCCACACATGCACATACACACACACACACACACACACACACACACAAAAGAAATACATCCAATGATTATGGGCTGGAATAATCAATATTGCTAAAATGATCATACTACCTAAAGCAATCTATAGATCCAATGTAATACCCATGAGATTAATGATGACACTCTTCATATAAATGAAGAAAACAATCCTAAAATTTTTATGGAACATAAGAGATCCAAAATAGCCAAAACAATACTGATCAAAATGAATAAATCTGGAAACATCACACCACCTGACTTCAAAATATACTCCAAAGCTATAGTAAGCAAAACAGCATGGTATTGGTGTAGAAACAGAATCCTAACCAAAGAAACACAGTAGAGAACTTAGAAGTAAATCCACATATTTACAGTCAACTGATATTTGGCAAAGGCACCAAGAATGTATAATGGAGAAGGAAAAGTATCTTCAATAAATGGTCATGGGCAAACGGAATATCCATATTGAGAAAATTAAACTAGACTCTTCCCTCTAACCATGTATAGGAATCAACTCAAAGGGGATTAAGACCTGAAACTATAAAAACTACTAGAAGAAAAGACACGTAAGTGCTTAAGGACTTAGTCTAGACAAATATTTTATGGGAAAACAGTAAGGAGATTTTTTAAAAAGTTAAGACTAGAACTGCCATATGATCCGGCAATCTCACTACCATTTATTCAAAGGAAAGGAAATCAATACATTGAAGTGATACCTGTACTCCCATGTTGTTTCTTATAGCACTATTCATATAATAGCCAAAATATGGAATCAACCTGAGTGTCCATCAATGGATGAATGGATTTTTGAAAATTGGTATATACACAGTGGAACACTGTTCAATTATAAGGAAAACTGAAATCCTGTCATTCATGGCAACATCAATGAGCCTAGAGGACATTATGTTGACTGAAATAGGTTAGGCACAGAAAAATAAATGCCTCATGTTCTCACTCCGATCCACTAGGCTACTCTTTTAGGAATAATTAACTTCATGTCTGGATTCTGTATAAAGATCTGTGGTTGTTCCATAGTGATTTATACATCCTGTATCAACCCAAACATGATCTTTCGCTCTGCAGCATGCAAAATCAAAGACACTATCTATAAATTACTTATTTTCATAATCCATTTTAGTAAAGGTTTTTCAGGAAGCTGATTATACCAATCTACAAAATGAAACAACTCCTTCACACCAGACCCACTGGTTTCAATGGTTTCTTTGTTTTGCCCTCTTCCCATGTTTTCTATCTTCTTGGTGACCAGAGGTTTTAGAGGTACTTACTGTAGTCCCAGCATAATGTGTCCCGTTGGAGTTGACTTTGAAACTAGTGGCTGAAGCTCAGATTCACTGAAATCTGAGCTTGTTCTAGCATCAAAGTCTGACCCAGCACTCTCTTTTAATTTTAGCCGAGCCATTACAGAAAACAATGAAAAGGAATTGCATATTTTACTTTTTTCTTATTAGCTTGCATTTCCTTTTACAACCAATGAAACTTCCCAAGAGTTGGATTCATCTTTAAATTCCATTAGTAACCTTTGCATGTAGTACTTGATTGCAGCATAGCTGCCGCTTCATACCATGTGTAACCAAATGGCCACCTAGGAATCAAAAGTTCCTTATCTCCTGTCCTTTTAATCTTTCTGTTTCTAAACCATACGTTTCTTTGAACCAGGGCCATTCTAGTAAATTCTGATTCTGACACGAATTCTGGGAAAACGGTTTCTCTACATTCTAACACAGAACACTTCTGACACCAAATGTGTAGGGTTCTCACCCATGCTTACCTTCCCCCTGAAAAAAAAATTCAATTCAATTTTTACACTACCTGCAGTTTGCCACAGATCCCACGTGTCAAAAGCTCAGTCCCACAAGACTGCCCCCACATCAGACGCCATTCACAAGACCTGGTCTTTCATATTTATGACCAATCAGCTGTAAATCTGGAGTTCCCACAACTCCCTCTTGAGTTAGATCATTTGCTAACACAGTTTACAGATCCCATTGCTCCATGGAAGTGATCAATTTACAGAATATCATTCAAACGTTCTCTCCCGTTCTTCTATCATCCCTTTCAACAAGAGTCTTATGTTATAATCATTCACTTGCTACTGAAAAAAATTAAAAGGTATTTCAGATAATTTTATTTTTCTATTTGAGATGAGAAAAAAATCAAGAAATCATAGCTTGTACTTATTAGCTTAGGTAGAAGTGAGTATACAAATATTTTGAAACAAAATTAGAAGACACACAATTGCCAAGTATTAGTGGTGCTGTGTCTAGCTTACATTGGGTTCAATCTAATAATAACAGGGAAAGTGTTGGCCATATCATCTCTATTTAGATCTTCCCATTATCCATAATACCGTATCTATTCTCATATCAGTAGATCTTGGATTGCAAGTAAATTAATACAAGCAAAAACAGTTAAAAATTTTAAAATATATTTATTTTTACTATATAGATATGTCAAATATTTATGTGTAAAATACATAATTTTATAGAACAAAATATACATATCATTCCACAAATTAATCTATAAAATGTCTAATTTTTAAGGTTAAAACACGCAGTTTGGCAAATAAAACATTCTGTAAACTATATGTTCTATTGATCTTTTCTTGTGTACCCTAAATTTTTCAATTTTTAAAATACCACTTTATCTAAATATTCTTTAATTATTTTTGCCTGTAAAATCTTAACTGTATTTAAAAACTTAGCTCAATTTTCACTTCCTTTTGGAAATCTTGCTTACTTCCTATATTTTTATCCTCTCAATCTTTGTCTTTTAATAATATATATTGGGTTACTCTTTTGTCCTCTAAATCGCCTTTGTGAGCCTTTATTAGTACAATGCCTTTCTTTATTTCTCTCTTTCTTTTTCTTGCTTGCTTTTCTTCCTTCCTTCCTTCCTTCCTTCCTTCCTTCCTTCCTTCCTTCCTTCCTCTCTCCCTCCCTTCCTCTCTGTCTCTCTCTCTCTTCTCTTTCTTTTTTCTTTCTTTCTTTCTTTGAGATAGAGTCTCGCTCTGTCACTAGGCTGGAGTGCAGTGGTGCAATCTTGGCTCACTGCAACCTCTGCCTCTTGGGTTCAAGCGATTCTCCTTCCTCAGCCTCCTGAGTAGCTGGGACTACAGGTACATGCCGCCACGTCCAGCTAATTTTTGTATTTTTAGTAGAGATGGGGTTTCACCACATTGGCCAGGCTAGTCTTGACCTCCTGACCTTGTGATCTGCCCACCTCAACCTCCCAAAGTGCTGGGATTACAGGCATGAGCCACCTCGCCCAGCCAATACAATAATTTTCTATTCAGGTGTCTGGGGCAGGATGATCCTTTAAATTGGAAAGGTCAAGCCTACAGTGAACTATGGTCTCACTCCTGGCCTTCAGCCTGGTGACAGAGTGATACTCTGTCTCTAAAAGAAAACAAAGTTAATAGGGAGGTGGAGGTGGGTGGATCACGAGGTAAGGAGATTGAGACCATCCTAGCTAACACAGTGAAACCTCATCTCTACTAAAAATTACAAAAAATTAGCCGAGCATGGTGGCGGGTACCTGTAATCCCAGCTACTCAAGAGGCTGAGGCAGGAGAATTGCTTGAACCCAGGAGGCGAAGGTTGCAGTGAGCCATGATTGCGCCACCACACTCCAGCCTGGGTGACATAGCAAGACTCATCTCAAATTAAAAAAAAAAAAAAAAGGCTAAAAAGTAAATAAAAATTAATGTTAAATAATAAGGTATTTTTAATTAACATTTATATACCGCACTAAAGAGAATACTAAGGTAAAATGCACTCCCTTTTACAATTGAATAAAGAAAAGTGTAGCTGTAGCAGTGTATATTTCATATTTGACATTATTATAATTGAAAAACACACATTCATTGTAAAATGTGTTCAATTACTTAAAAATGCACTTTTACTTTTTATAATAATTTAATGAAGCAGCGCACAATTTATCCTGCTTCACACAATTATGTGCATATATGTTGGATAGCATTATATTTGTTTTAAAATACTTGATGATTACTAGTTAAGAAGACGTACTGAAACATGGTCCTGAGGGTGATTAGTCAAGTTGCCCTCACCAAATAAATATTTTGTAAAACTTGAAGGCTGTAAAAACTACCAAACTTGTTATTGGGAAAAATATTTGTAATAAATTTTTATAGTGAGCTGGGTTTAATATGCTACAATTAATTCAGAGAGGAAAAACGTTTTTATAACTTGAATTATTGACTCATGTAAAACAAAATTTTATGGAGAGTCAGTCACATGTTAAGTCTGTCTTGATTTTAAACTCAAATTTTATGATTTATTACATTGTAATGAGTGCTGATCTATTAATAAGATCTTGCATCTACCTTATGAATATGTTTTCACAGTCATATTTCTTTCTGTTAGAGGAAAAGAGAGCAGTAGAGTAAACTCCTGAGTTAAGGGTAATTGTATTCTATATTAGCTTGTTCTTTCCACCCCCAGTCCTCATTTTACTGTAGTTTATACAGGAACAAAATAAGAATTTGAAAACATTCCCTCTATATTCTGTTTCAACTACTTTTCTCATCATTTAAACAGCCTCTTGGAATAAGTTTGAGCAAGACTTCCTAATTGTCTTCAAATGTGTATTTGGTTTTCCAAATCACTGGGCATTTTTATTACATAAATAATTTTATACATCACAGCATAGTATCAGATACCTGATCTGTTCATAAATTAAAATACATATTAATCCAATATTCAACAATACAAATTCTGACCTTCCACACCCTTCAGGAATCAGTAAATCATTTTGGTTTAATTTCAAAATACATGCAGCATTTGACAATATCAATACTCCACTCATATTACCACGATCTAAGAAACTCATGTCTCTCACTTGGATTATAGGAACAGCCCTAAATATTATTTTTCTATTTACTTTTGTCTCCTTACTACAGACTAATTCCTAGTGGCACACATGATTCTCTTAAAACATAATTCTGATCATGAAAGTCCTCTTTTTAAATGAATCCAGTGGTCTTCCACTGATAATGTAGAAAGTTTTTTCAATGTATTTTGTGTCCGTAAATCATTTTCTCTATTTTTCTCTCTCTTTATTTATCTCTGTTTGATAATTCTCCTCCTGCCTTTTCCACCCTACTAACACTGCGTCCTTGTTGTAACTGCAACACGGCAAGCAAGTTCCTGCTTCAGGGCTGTAAAAGGTCTTATAATTTCTCATTGGAATGATATTTCCTTAGAACTCTGTGGCTTCTTCTTTTTTCTTTTCTTTTTTTTTTTTTGGCATGGCTTGTTCTATTAGCTTATTGACATTTTTCTTAATGTGCCAACTTTTTATAAGCTTTGTGATATCCCTACTTTAAATTTTAACATCTTCAACACTTTATTATTCCTCATGTATATATTACCACTTGAAACAAACAATATTTCACTTATTTCTTGTCTAATTCCTGAACCAAAATGTATACAGTATAAGAGGTGGAATGTCTGTCTTTATATTTACTGTAATATCTTGTGAAATAATTCCTCAAAAACAATAGGTAGTCAATCAATTTTTGAGTGTGTGAAGAATATTATGCTAAAAGAGTTAGCACTTGTGATATAATAGCCATGATACCATATGCAGAGGGATCAGAGTAATCAGAAAGCACAGATGGAGGTTAGTCTATGAAAAACATGGTCATTAAACAGAAGATAGGGATTTGATTCAGCTTGGGTGCAGTAAGTACTGTAGCAGAAACAGGCCCTGAGTCATGTGGTTGTACAAATGGAGAATGAGGTTAGATCCAGGGTGATACATAGTGAACCATTAATGTGATTTCTGAGTAGAGTTAGAGAAATCACTCTCAAGGTATGAAAAGTTAAACATAGTCCCTGAGCAGAGAGGAGCTTGGTGTGTTTGAATAATGTTAAGTAATGTCTGTGTGACTGAGAGTGGATTAAGCAACGGATGAAAAACATAGTTGAGGCTGGTGAGTTCAACACTTGTCAGATAATTCAGGGTTCTTCAGGCCACAGGAAGATTTTTATTATTTAATCTGAGTACAAAGAAAAAACACTTAGTATTTAAATACACTATAGGCATCATAAATTTGGAAGATTATTCTGGCTCTGTCTGAAAAATAGTTGCTATAGACTAGGAATGGATTTAGTGAGAATAGTGATGAGATTATTATTCAAGGAAGACATGGTTATGGCTTGCACTAGGTAAGTTAGTGGAATCGGTAAAATGGAGATTTCAGATTGATTTATAATGCATATTACCTCATAAAATATTTTACCCAATGAGTATATTTATTGATCATACTTTTATTTTTCTCTTCACTCGTACAGCCCAAAATATGTATGAACTCCAACTCTAGCATTTACTAGATATAAAAATTTGATGCATTTGTTTTAAATTGTAAGCTTCAATTTTCTCCTCTACACAATGGGAATAATATTTATATACCTTTTAAAAGTATTAATATAATAACTAAAGCTATGTTATATGCATAACAAATGTAATATATATCCCAACTGTTATGTAATCATTGTTAAAACACCAGCTCCATTCATAAAATCTGGAAAAATAAGCCTAAGTTCCTACCTTATTAACCTTCTGCACAACAAATAGTAGGAGCAGTAGGAGTGGAAACCTAGACCATGTTAGAAATATAAAATAATCTCCCACTATTAAATAGCCATGAACCTGAGAAATTACATCAGTGAAATGGTGGTAAAATCTTGTGTTGAAAACCACGTATGTCTGGGTTAGTACACCAGTAATGCATGAATCCACAAGGCAACAGTTCTAAACTTGACATGAGACAAGATGGTAAAGCAGAGAAAGCCTATCTGCAGAAAAGAGGAAGGGCCTGGAGGATGTGGATGGAGCGTATTTGAGGCAGGAGATGAAATAAGCCCAAGATGTGATGAGAAGAGCCTTGGTTTTTGACTTTTTATATTAGCAAATATATCTGTCAATTTATTTTATATTTTAGGCTATCTATGAGGTAGATTGTGGTATTTAATAAATGTTCTTAAATTTTATTCCATATCTGATGTTTTGTTTCCTTGTATTCATAGAGGCTTAAATTAAAAGTGAAGCAGTATGAATTCCAATAAAATTGTCAACTTATTTCTGAAAGATACAGAGATTAAATGTAAATATTATTAAACACATATATGCATGGAAACTCAATTACGAGTTTGCTGATATGGTTTGGCTGTGTCCCCACCAAAATCTCCACTTAAATTGTAACTCCCACAATTCCCATGTGTTCTGGGAGGAACCCAGCAGGAGGTGATTTAATTATGGGGGCGGGTCTTTCCTCCACTGTTCTAGTGATAGTGAATGAGTCTCAAGAAATCCGATGGTTTTATAAACAAGAGTTCCCTGCACAAGCTCTCTCTTTGCCTGCTGCCATCCACATAAGATGTGACTTGCTCCTCCCTGCCTTCCGCCATGATTATGAGGCCTCCCCAGTCAAATGGAACTGAGTCCAATTACATCTCTTTGTTTTGTAAATTGCCCAGTCTCCGGTATGTCTTTAACAGCAGCATGAAAATGGACTGATACATTTGCTTGTTGTTCGAGTTTGCTTATTTATTGAAAACATACAAAGTTCTACTTTTGGTAGGAAAGAATGAGCACATAACAAACTGATTCTCCCCAAACTACATAACTGATAACTGTGTACGGTATACGAAACTGAACTTTCTGTGGGTTCTGGACAGTGGACAAGAGCAGGCAGATGTTTGAGGGTTGGTAAACCTTGGAACAAGTGACCGACACAAAGTGAGTTCCTTGTTTTTGTAGCTTTTGACTGTGGGTGGCTGCTCTTGTGGTGGCAGCTGGTCAGGGGCAGCTAAAATTCTGATAGAAAGTCCAACACCTTCACTGGAGGAACAGGAGAATGAGGCTGCGGAAATTAGGACCTCCAGAGAGTGAACACCCAAAAAAGCCAGAGGAAAGGCACTCCAAAACGTTTTTAAAGGGCCCATCCTCTTGCTAATGCCTAAAACATACAAACAATGCAAATGGAAAGTAAAATACAGTGGACTTAAATAACTGAATTGTGATCTGGGCTACCGCACAGTATGACTATGACTCTTTGCAGTTTGAGAATAATCAAGTTAATTGCCTGCTTCAACGAATAAATAATCTTCAGAACAATCTAATGAAATAACAAATAATATTTTAATTATCCAGGATATTATCCAAACCTTAGCATAGCAAGACCCAGGAAATGTGATCCAATCTGTAGCAAACAAAATGATCAACAGATGTTTATCTCAAAATGACATGAATGTTTGAAATTATAGACAATAATTTGAAATTCACTATTACAAATGTTCTCAAAGTAAAGAGTAGTACATTTTAGGCCGGGCACGGTGGCTCACGCCCGTAATCCCAGAACTTTGGGAGGCCGAGGGGGGCAGATCATGAGGTCAGGAGATTGAGACCATTCTGTCTAACACGGTGAAATCCTGCCTCTACTAAAAATACAAAAAAATTAGCCGGGCGTGGTGGCTCGCGCCTGTAGTCACAGCTAGTCGGAAGGCTGAGGCAGGAGAATGGCGTGAACCCAGGAGGCAGAGCTTGCAGTGAGCTGAGATCGCGCCACTGCGCTCCAGCCTGGGCAACAGAGCAAGACTGTCTCAAAAAAAAAAAAAAAAAAAAAAAAAAGAAAAAGAAAAAGAGTAGCACATTTTAATAAAAAAAAAATAACATCTCAGTGAGAATTTAATTAAAAAAACAATTTTAGAATTAAAAGTTAAAAATCAGAATAGCAGAAAAGAATGGTAGCAATATTGTTTGTGACCCTGAGGAGAGACGAATGGAAATAATTTAATCTACAGAAGACAGAAAACACAATATTGGATAGTGCTTCAGTAACATGTTGGGCAATTTCGAAAGATGTAACTGGCAGAAAAATGGAGCTAAAGAGGTGAGGAGAGTATGTGACAAAAAAAAAAAATCCGCAGAAGTAAAACAAGTTTTTAATTCCATTAAATGAATAAGTTTACAGATTCAAGAAGCTATGATTCACCAAACAGCATATATATAAAACACCCAAGGCTAGGCACATTACAGCCAAATTGCTGAAAGCCAAATAATGAAGTAAAAATTTCCAGATCAGCTAGAGTAAAGTAACACGTCACATACAGGGGTAAAATTAATTGAATGACTGTAGACATTTTTTCAGAAACAAAGGTGGCCCAAATACTATGGATTAATACCTTTAAAGTGCTGTTGGAAAAGAGCAACCATTAATATTATAAAAATTAGTATAGCTAAAAGGCAATCTGTATGTTCACATATAATTCTAAATATATTAAAATATTCCAAAACAAGGTAGAAAAAAAGAAACAGGAAAAAAATAAAAACGAGCAAAGAGGATGGTGGTTGGGGTAGGGGGGAGGTCAATGGTCTCATTTTCTAAATCAAAGGCAGAGATTAGAAGATTGAATAAAAAAGCAAGATTCAACTCTGTTCAATCTATGAAAGACACATGGAATATAAAGAAATATTTAAAGTAGATGAATGAAAAAAATATATATATATCTTATAAACAATGATCTTTTGCATCCCAGGGAAACAAAACTTATGTCTACAAAAAAACTTATGCACAAATATACATAGCAACTTTATTCAAAATGGTCAAAACTGGACATAACTTACATGCCCAAATACATATAAATGGAGAAACATACTGTGATATATCTATAAAATGGAAATCTTTGAGGCAATAAAACCTAACAAACTACTGATCCATGCAACAAACTGGATGTATCTCAAAAGCTTTATTCTAAATGAAAGATGTCAGACACAAAATAGTACCTTCTATGTTACTCTAGTTCTATAAAATTCAAACAAAACCATATTGCCACATGATACATCAATGTTTGCTTGGAGTCAGGGATAGAAGAAAGAATGGATTGTGATGGGCATAAAGCGTTTTTAGAAGAAAAAATAATTATCTGTAACTTGATGATGGTGTTAGGTTTAGTGAATGTGCAATACTGTTAAAACTCATCAAGTTGTACCTTTTAAATTATATCTTTTTAGTTTTTATATGCTATTCCTAATATACTGTAGAAGATATATACATATATATCTTATAAATTACATATATAATATATGTAATAAATTAGAAATATGAATTGAATGTGCTAGTATACATTTCTTTCAAAGGTGACATATCAAAATCACTCAGAAGCTGTATGATAAAATAAAATTGATTAATGCATTTTGAGTACTATATGGACAACATATTTTTACACTTTCCAAATCTATACATTCTTACATTACACCCTTTCCATATTATTTCTCCCATGTCTCTGTAGGCAAGTGGCCAGAGAATGCTTCAGAACAATAAATCAAATAATAAAATAATACAGGTAGCCATGCTGTAGTTTAAAGTAGCTTTCAGAAGAGTCAAACAAGTTCAATAAAGGGAGTCATTTATCCAATTACTAAAGTTTCAAGAAATATATTGCACAAAATTTAAGGACTGCGAACATGTTAATAAAAGTTGTTAAATTATTTTGGCAGCTGAAAGAAGCCCAAACATCAGGATTTTATGCCTAAAAAATCCTGGCAATTGGAATTTTTAAGCACAAGATTAAAGAAGGTGCTATGTTAGAGAAGCTATTCAATCATAAAGTATTAGTCTTATAGAGTCAGAAAATACTCTGACAATTTATCAACAAATATCCTGAGTTGACAACTAGATTAAATAAATGAAGAAAATATAACAGGTTGGAGACAAGCCTTCAGGAAAGGAAACTTGTTAACTGAAGCTGAAATTAATGCCATTAAACTGATGTTGCAGAAGATTTGAGATTTAACCAAATAACAAATGAAACCTCATTGCTGTTGTTGTATCAGAAGACGGAAATTAAATGGATAGAAAAAAAGTACATAAACAAAGAACCTAGAATGTGTGTGAATGAAGAATATGGTTTCTATAATTTTATTTCTTTAACCAATAGGAAATCTTTTTCTCCAGAATCTGTGGGCTCTTAGAATTTAGAAACAACTGAGAAAAGGCAAGAGTAATGAAGTTTAATGGCCCTATTACTTCCTTGAGTCCAACCCTCTATGAGAATATGGGATAATTACCAGTATAGGAAGACTTTTACAAAGGCCTTAGAATTGCTAATGGTGAAAGATTTCTTTCGGTTTCTTCTGCACTCACTCCAAACCCTCTGACCTCTCAGGGACTAACATTTTCCTAAGTGAACACACACACACACACACACACACACACCCCCACACACACACACCCACACACCCCAGAAAGTCAATTTATTGAATTTGTTTATTGCGGGGGTAATTATTTTTGTCTGTTATTCCCATGATACATAGCACCACTATTAAAATGTTTTTAAATTTAATATAATCTATAATTATGCACATTTTCTATTATTTAAAATATGCCACATTGTCAACCTTCACATATTTAAAAGTCAAATATTTCCTAGATTTTTTTATCCTGTCAAAAAGAGCTAAAGACCACTTTAAGAGAATCATAAGAATACAAAATGTAGGAAAGGATAGACCATAATAATTAGTCTGGAATAAATATAATGTGTTGTGCAAATAAGTTACTATTAAGTGTCACAGGGATATATTAACTATTTTGGAGAATCTGAGGAGGAAACATTGACGAAATTGTTCTCCCATTAGTTTGGTCTATCTCACTTGCAGTGTTGGATACCTAACACTTAGCAATATATCACAATGAATATACTTTGCTACATCGCTCTTAAATAATACTACAGATACACGTTAAACAATTCCATCTTATTGAACTGCATAGATTCTCCTTCATAGTAATTCTGATAGAAGTGAAACTTTACTGTCTATAGAAAATAGTATTCATTAATAGAGTGAGTAAACATTTATAGAGGAAACATAAAATTCCTGACACTCCTTTGGACGCTGAGGATAAACATGGAACAAGGCAAAATCCCTCTCCACACTCAAAGTGGGGAGACAGAAAGTACACAAATAAACACACTGGTATATAATATATGAATTCTGATATTATGTCCTTAGAAGAGTCTTTCCTGACTAAGCTCAGAAAAAGACCAGCTCCATAATTGGCAGTTACTTTACCATGATTTTAAATTTTACCATGCTTTTTAATTTTTATTTACTACTAACTCATCATATATTGTATACCAATTCATTGCTTTAGTTGGCTACTCTGGCTCCTAGCAGCTCAGTTCTTTCTCCTAAATTGTTAAAACAACAAAACAAAAGTTAAAGTAACAGTCTAGTCCTTAATCACTTACTAGGATTAATCACTTACTAGGATTACTAAGCAAGAGACTAAATTAGAAAAAGTGCTGATTTCATCTCATTACTCTTCCCTCCACTACTCCCCCTACCCTCCATCTTCCATTCCACACTGGTGAAAGATCAGGCAGTTCAGCACAGAAATGGGGGTTGTCATAGGGCCAGGGAGCCCCAAGCAAAATCTCCTGCACTTTTATGGAAACCAGGAGTGGGAAATGGAAAAAGAACACAGAGGGCAAGCGGGGGAAGCTAGAAATGGGAAAATGCTGGGCACTGTGCCAGAGTAGAGTGTCTAGAAGGTTGCCCCTCCTTCTCTCCAATAAGGTGATCTCAGCAAAGCTATCTAAGGATTCAGATAAAGAACCTCCAAATGAAATGGACCACACTAGGAATACAGACATGTGTAAGTGCATGGCCAGTCAGAGAGGCCTGAGTTATTGATTGCAACTCCCCTTAAGGGCTATAATGTATGGGCTGTGCACCAAGTATAGTGAGGGGAGAGCAGTTTTTCCCATGAGACCTGCCAGATAATTATTTTTCGTTGCCTGTGGTCGAGTCTGAAAACCACACACAAGTTTTTTAAATCCACTAGTTGGTGGATTTAAAGCTAGCAAGCAGGAGCTCCAAGAAGACATGCTGTGATTGTAAGGGGCTCACCAGGACAATCTGCATAGTCCATACTAGGTATGAGGTTGAACGAAGTAGAATATACTTATCCTTTAGGGAGGTGGCCACCAGCAGGCAGTTGTATAAGGCAGATATATGGATGGATCTCCTTAAGAAACTGAGGCAGTGGAGAAGTGGAAACTCTGACAAGGGTTACTGACCCCTCTTCTGGTATGAAAAAGTTAAGAGTCACATTCAAAATGGATTCCAAGGCAACATAAAATTATAAGAATTCCATACAATACTAATTCAACAAAATTATTGACTCTTGAAATAAAAATTTTCTTCATATTCATGAAAAGAATTGAGTTTTACAAACTAAACTTTTGATAAATCCAGATTTATTCTCATATGGTCTACAAATATCTAAAGAACATATGGACAATGATTGTATCATCAACTATTAACATTTGCTTGGGCCAAATTCTCAAACGTAATGCTGTGTTTAACATAAGACTTGACAATTTATTAAAACAATTTGACAAATAACAGAGCATTTATTCTACTTAATTAATGTAGATTTTGCTCATCCTTCGTTTTCCAAGTCAATGTAATTTCACTACCAGTATCTGAAAACAGATCCTTTGACAGCTACATTTAAACATTTTCAAGAAATGTTCCCTAAATCAAAGTAACTTATGTATTTGTTATAAATTTGCTGACTATGAATGATATATTTAGATTGGTGCAAAAGCAATGGCAAAGACCGCTTTTACTTTTGCACTGACCTAATATTATGACCGAAATGTATTTTGTAAATGCTTAGGTCTATTTAAATAGCATAAAATTAATTAAGATAGCACTATTTGTGTGTGTCTGTGAATAGGTGAGTTTACTCTCCAAATGTCTACATGGAGCCAGTCATTAGAAATTTATTATATTCAAATTTAGTTAAAAATAGTTTATTTAGTCACTTAATCTATATTCCCAGAATTTGAAAGAGAATCGAATTTCAAGATTGTAAACATGTAAGTAAGAATGATTTAAAGGATCACCTCTACATATCTTTTCAGTTTTAAATTTCTATGGTGTAAATATTTATCATAGTCTGGCCTCAGCACAAAAGTGATAATACATCTACATATTTACTGTAATGACCTCAACAATAGCTGGTATAATAAATTTTATCAATGTTACCTATGTAACCTGTACACTAATTGATGCAATTTTATTACATTATGCTGTTAGTTATACAGTAATATTTTATTATATAGGCAGTATTAATTTCCTTTTTTTTTTCTTGAGATGGAGTCTCGCTCTGTTGCCCAGGGTAGAGTGCAATGCCACGATCTCAGCTCACTGCAGCCTCCATCTTCTGGGTTCACGTGATTCTCCTGCATCAATCTCCCAAGTAGCTGGGTTTATGGGCACCCACCAAAACCCCAAGTTAATTTTTTGTATTTTTAGTAGAGATGGGGTTTCACCATGTTGGCCAGGCTGGTCTTGAACCCCTGACCTCAAGTGATCCTTCCACCTCTGTCTCCTAAAATGCTGGGATTATAGGCGTGAGTCACCACGCTTGGCCCAGTATTAATTTCTTAAAGGAAATGCTTGCATAATCAATCATCAGTTATGCATTACTTATTGGATTTGGATGATTTTTTTTAACTACATAACATTTGGGATCACCCACACACAACTGCCCTTAAGAGTTGGTAATATGTCTGTAGCACTTTAGTGCCTGTTGCTTTTCCTCTGGGCCATGCTTTTCTTTATCCTTGTTAATATTCTATCATCATTAAGTTGCATTCCTCTATATCCTATCACTGACAATGTTGCTTGAAAATAAAAGAAAATAGAAAAAAATTATATTTACATTTTCTTTTTTTTAATTTTATTATTATTATATTTTAAGTTTTAGGGTACTTGTGCACAATGTGCAGGTTAGTTACATATGTATACATGTGCCATGCTGGTGTGCTGCACCCACTAACTTGTCATTTAGCATTAGGTATATCTCCTAATGCTATCCCTCCCCCCTCCCCCCACCCCACAACAGGCCCCAGAGTGTGATGTTCCCCTTCCTGTGTCCATGTCTTCTCATTGTTCAATTCCCACCTATGAGTGAGAATATGCAGTGTTTGGTTTTTTGTTCTTGTGATAGTTTACTGAGAATGATGATTTCCAGTTTCATCCATGTCCCTACAAAGGACATGAACTCATCATTTTTTATGGCTGCATAGTATTCCATGGTGTATATATGCCACATTTTCTTAATCCAGTCTATCATTGTTGGACATTTGGGTTGGTTCCAAGTCTTTGCTATTGTGAATAGTGCTGCAATAAACATACATGTGCATGTGTCTTTATAGCAGCATGATTTATAGTCCTTTGGGTATATACCCAGTAATGGGATGGCTGGGTCAAATGGTATTTCTAGTTCTAGATCCCTGAGGAATCGCCACACTGACTTCCACCATGGTTGAACTAGTTTACAGTCCCACCAATAGTGTAAAAGTGTTCCTATTTCTCCACATCCTCTCCAGCACCTGTTGTTTCCTGACTTTTTAATGATTGCCATTCTAACCGGTATGAGATGGTATCTCATTGTGGTTTTGATTTGCATTTCTCTGATGATGAGCATTTTTTCATGTGTTTTTTGGCTGCATAAATGTCTTCTTTTGAGAAGTGTCTGTTCATGTCCTTCGCCCACTTTTTGATGGGGTTGTTTGGTTTTTTTTGTAAATTTGTTTGAGTTCATTGTAGATTCTGGATATTAGCCCTTTGTTAGATGAGTAGATTGTGAAAATTTTCTCCCATTTTGTAGGTTGCCTGTTCACTCTGATGGTAGTTTCTTTTGCTGTGCAGAAACTCTTTAGTTTAATTAGATTCCATTTGTCAATTTTGGCTTTTGTTGCCATTGCTTTTGGTGTTTTAGACATGAAGCCCTTGCCCATGCCTATGTCCTGAATGGTAATGTCTAGGTTTTCTTCTAGGGTTTTATGGTTTTAGGTATAACGTTTAAGTCTTTAATCCATCTTGAATTAATTTTTGTATAAGGTGTAAGGAAGGGATCCAGTTTCAGCTTTCTACATATGGCTAGCCAGTTTTCCCAGCACCATTTATTAAGTAGGGAATCCTTTCCCCATTGCTTGTTTTCTCAGGTTTGTCAAAGGTGGGATAGTTGTAGATAAGCGGCGTTATTTCTGAGGGCTCTGTTCTGTTCCATTGATCTATATCTCTGTTTTGGTACCAGTACCATGCTGTTTTGGTTACTGTAGCCTTGCAGTATAGTTTGAAGTCAGGTAGCGTGATGCCTCCAGCTTTGTTCTTTTGGCTTAGGATTGACTTGGCGATGCGGGCTCTTTTTTGGTTCCATATGAACTTTAAAGTAGTTTTTTCCAGTTCTGGGAAGAAAGTCATTGGTAGCTTGATGGGGATGGCATTGAATCTATAAATTACCTCGGGCAGTATGGCCATTTTCACGATATTGATTCTTCCTACCCATGAGCGTGGAATGTTCTTCCATTTCTTTGTATCCTCTTTTATTTCATTGAGCAGTGGTTTGTAGTTCTCCTTGAAGCGGTCCTTCACGTCCCTTGTAAGTTGGATTCCTAGGTATTTTATTCTCTTTGAAGCAATTGTGAATGGGAATTCACTCATGATTTGGCTCTCTGTTTGTCTGTTGTTGGTGTATAAGAATGCTTGTGATTTTTGCACATTGTTTTCGTATCCTGAGACTTTGCTGAAGTTGCTTATCAGCTTAAGGAGATTTTGGTCTGAGACAATGGGGTTTTCTAGATATACAATCATGTCATCTGCAAACAGGGACAATTTGACTTCCTCTTTTCCTAATTGAATACCCTTTATTTCCTTCTCCTGCCTAATTGCCCTGGCCAGAACTTCCAACACTATGTTGAATAGGAGTGGTGAGAGAGGGCATCCCTGTCTTGTGCCAATTTTCAAAGGGAATGCTTCCAGTTTTTGCCCATTCAGTATGATATTGGCTGTGCATTTGTCATAGATAGCTCTTATTATTTTGAGATACATCCCATCAATACCTAATTTATTGAGAGTTTTTAGCATGAAGGTTGTTGAATTTTGTCAAAGGCCTTTTCTGCATCTATTGAGATAATCATGTGGTTTTTGTCTTTGATTCTGTTTATATGCTGGATTACATTTATTGATTTGCATATATTGAACCAGCCTTGCATCCCAAGGATGAAGCCCACTTGATCATGGTGGATAAGCTTTTTGATGTGCTGCTGGATTTGGTTTGCCAGTATTTTATTGAGGATTTTTGCATCAATGTTCATCAAGGATATAGGTCTAAAATTCTCTTTTTTAGTTGTGTCTCTGCCCGGCTTTGGTATCAGGATGATACTGGCCTCATAAAATGAGTTAGGGAGGATTCCCTCTTTTTCTATTGATTGGACTAGTTTCAGAAGGAATGGTACCAGTTCCTCCTTGTACCTCTGGTAGAATTCGGCTGTGAATCCATCTGATCCTGGACTCTTTTTGGTTGGTAAGCTATTGATTATTGCCACAATTTCAGAGCCTGTTATTGGTCTTACATTTTCATCCTCTAAATTATCCTTGGACCCAGACAAGTGAAAAACTTCAAATTACCTGGTCCTACTCTCCAGCTTCTTTCTAATCAGCAAACTTGTGTTTGAGAGAAAAAAAAAAGTTATAGTTACACTAAATTGCCTAGGCTTCTCCTCATTTCAGTAATTTAGACTCACACATATTTTCATCATGGGAGTCTGTGATGCCTTAATGAAATAATAGTCTCTTACACAACCTCAAAAACCTCTTTTAATTGCCTTTTTTACCTTTTCTTCAGCAAAAGACAGAGAATCCATGGTAGTGAGGTGAACTTAATATGTTGAGAAATTTGAACATTTGATGGATCTAATGCTGAACAATTGAGTCCAACTTAATTGTTTGGGAGTATATCTTTTTAAAATATGAAAATAACGTGTTACATTCTAGAAGATTGAGGTAAAGTATAAATGTTAGATGATCTTAAAAGGACATTGCTATGGTTTGAATGTGTCCCCTTCAAAATTCATGCTGAAGCTTAATCCCCAATGCAACAGTATTAAGAGGTAAGAACTTGAGGAGGTGGCTAGGCCATGAAGAGTCTGACCTCATAAATGGGATTAATGCCTTATAAAAGGGCTGGAGGAAATGATCTAGGACACTTTTGCCCCTCCACCTTCCACTGTGTAAAAGCACAGCAACAAGGCACAATCTTGGAAGCAAACAACAGCCCTTAACAGACCCTGAATTTGCTGGTGCATTGATCTTGGACCTCCCAGTTCTTACAGAACTGTATGAAATAAATATAAATGATTTATGATGTGAAAGTTGTCAGAATAAAAATGGAGACACTTGTGTTAAAATCTCTGACAAATAGAGTTGGGATGACCATGAAGGGAAAATCCCCATTCATAAATGCCTCATATCAAAACTATCACAAAAGACTGCAAAAAACACAACCTTGTACAAAGGCCATTGCAAACTCACACTTGTGTGACCCTTGTTGCTGATTCTTGAAACCAAGAATAATCATCTCAAAACAATGATGTAATTCTCCATAATTTTTCTTTAAAAATCTTTGTCTTCTTATACTTTCTTGAATATGCACATATTTTACTATGATACTGGTATTCCCATTGCAATGACTGTTTCATAATAAACACTCTTCTTTTTAGGAAGTCTTTCTCTTTATTCTTTAGATTGACAATAATTTACCCAGGCATTTCATTATAGCAACACAAATCAACTAAGACAGATATGTAACATTGTTATAAGGGATTCTCCTTCCAACAATGCCTAGACAACTTCTTTAAAACAGACTTGGCTAGGAAAAATGATAAAAAGTGATATGTTTGAAGGTATCACAGAACTATCATGACAGAAATATGTGTGAGTCTAAGTTACTGAAATGAAGGGAAGCTTAGACAATTGAGTGTGACTATAACATGTCTTCGCCTATTCACAAATTTTCTGATTAAAAAGAAACAAGAGAGAGTGGCAGGTAAGCAAATAAAAACAGCCTAGAGGTCTTGTCAATTGCAATCTTGGATAAATATTCATATTCAAGCCTGCCAAAGAGTAGAGACCATACTAAATACCTAAGACCTTCAGAGAGGTCCTCAGAACTCAGAGCAATTCTCTACTCTAGCAGTAAAGTACATCAAAAGTAGAATGAAATAAATCAACCAACATGAAGACCAAAGCTTAGTTTTTAATCATCACTAAGCATTCATCATATTAAGGTATCACTAGCTGTTATAATTTCTGGTTAGAAGAGGAGTAAATCATCTTGGTAGAAGAATCGTTAATCTAGAGTTCCAAATTATCTTTACACCTTGTTATACACAATAGCTGATGGTTCATACAAAATGACTAGACATGGAATAAACTAAAACAGAATACTTTAGTAAAAACCAAGATCACAACAGATAATATAAGCAGATATAGAACAGATCAATTTAATGGGCTTACCAGACAGACATGGAGTTTAAAATAAATGAAGTTGATATATTCAAAGATTAAATGTGAAGATGAAAAATTTTAGCAGGAAATGTGAAATTCTGAAATATTATGTAAATTATAGAAAGAAAATGTATATAATGTCTTAGCCCATTTGCATTGCTATAAAGGAACACAAGGCTGGGTAATTCATAAGAAAAGAGGTTTATTTGGCTTATGGTTCTGCAGGCTGTTAAAGGAGCATGGGGCTGCATCTGCCTTTGGAGATGGCCTCAGATTACTTCCATCCATGGCAGAAATGAATGGGAGCAGGTGAGATAGGGGAAGAAAGAGAGAGAGGAGAGGAAAATGACAGGCTATTTTTAATAATAAATTCTTATGGGAACTCGTAGAATGAGAATTCACTCACTACCATGAGGATGGCATCCACCCTCATGACTGAAACACCTCCCTCTATGTGCCACCTGGAACATTGGGGATTAAATTTCAACATGAGATTTGAATGGAAAAAATATCCAAACTATATCATATAGCAACTAATATCTTTGTTAAACTCACAAGGCCTAGGTTTAATAGCAAATTAGACAGAACAAGAAAACAGCCTAGAAAAAATTACACTCACATTGCAACAACAAAAGATAAAATGTTAGGTAATACAGGAAATATCGTAGGATACACATGGAATGTGGGGAAAATATTTGAACACACCTGTGAGTCCTAGGAGAAGAGTAAAATAGGAAAGAGAAATGTTTGAAAGAATAATGGACAAGTATTTTCCAAAGTTTATGTTAAGGGATTATAAGAATAACTAGTAAAAAAGGGATGTACTGTCCTGATGGAAGCAACAATAAAACTTTAGATAATGTGTCCATAGAAAAACAAACAAACAAAAAAACTAATGGAAGGTAACAACAGAATAATATTGTATAAGTTCTAAAATTTAATAACTAACGGGCTGGGACATTATGCCAGTGAATTTATCTCTGAAGCTTTAAAGTGTAAAAAGCCACAATGGTGATTATTATTGGCAGGTTAGCAATGGAAAGAGAGCATAATGTAGTTTTTTGATAAAGATAATATTCTGTCTTTTAATGTTAAATGCTGTATATTTTCTGTAGGAATGCATATATTCTGTATGAATAACAACATCAATAATTCACATTTTTAAGCAAAACTGCTTGTAAAGGAGAGAGACTTCATTACCAAAAGAGCCCTAGTTAAGGAAAAATTAAAGGGAGATTTTTAAGAGAGAAAGATTATTCTAGATGAAAGCACATAGATTAAGGGAGAATCTATCTCAGGAAGCCATGATAGAAGAAAATTTTATGTATTTGAAAATAGAGCAAACATTAATCTTAACTGGGAAATGTTAGTACATTTCCTGTGACTTAAACAACGAGAAAACAATGCCCACTCTTCCTGTGTCAAAATTAGACTGGAGTTCTAGCCAGTTTATAATACAAGAAGTAGAAATAAGTATATGAAATATGTTAAAAAGTTAGTTTCACAGTGTTTTATTACTTCTGCTCATGAAAATATATGATTAGAAAAGTAAAAATTTAAGTCAGAGATTAGGCAAGAATAATCTAAAAACACATCTTACAAAGAAATCCTACAAATTAATTGTAAAAAGATACCACAATATAAAAGTAAATAAAAACATGGAAGATGCATTTCAAAAGAAGAATATTCAACTAAATAACAAATATGTGAAATAGAAAATATAAATTTAAAGCACAATGAGATAATATTTTACAAGCATCAGAACGGCTAAATTTAACACACACACACAAACACACACACAGTACTATTTGTAGTATAAATTTGTATTATCTATTGAAACTGAACACTTGCATCCTTTACTATCAATTTTATTTAAAAGTATGCCTCGAATTATAATGTGTGCATGTGTCCAACAAGATGTGTACTAGTATATTCTTGGCACCATAATTCTTAATAGCCAAAAACTGGAAAAAACTTTTATGTTCAGAAACATGGATATAAAACTGTAGTATATTCATATAATAGAATACCACACAGCAATGAAAATGAAAGAACTATAAGAATCAATAAACTATAGGTTCATGAAAAACAGAGATTGATATAGCAAATATAATGGTGAATGAAAGAAAACTGACACAAAAGCATACATGCTTTTGGATGCCATTTATGTAACATTCAAATGTTGTAACAATGGTTTTCTTTGAATAGAATTGTTGTGATATTGAGAAGAGTGATTTACAAGGGAACCATTGTGGGTTACTTGTAATTTCCTATTTCTTAATCAGGATGATTACTACACATGTCTATTCACTTTTTGGTAATTCTCTCATGTTTAAATTAAAGCTTTCGCTTTTTATCTCAATTTTATTGGCTCTTTGGACAGCATTTTTCCTCTTGGAAGCTATCTCTGCCTGTGCACTGGATAGATTTCCCAATATTTGCTGCACAAGTGTTTTGGGAATTCTCTGCACCTTTGCACTCATTATTTATTTTGTTTCTTTTCTAGATTGAAACCTTTTTTTCTGAATCCAGTGCCTTCTGCTATATTAGTTCTTTCCCTTATTTAACAATGTCCACATTATCTAACAGCATCCTTTAATTTAGTGCATGGGATATAAACTTTTCTGAGATTTTACATTCTTAAAATAACTTTAATCAATTACATAATATAGATATTTACCTTTATTTAGAATTTCAGGCTGTGAATATAATAGTACCCAAATTATGAAGTGTCATTCTACTGAATTTTCAGTGTCACTCGTTCTTAAAAACGTCATGTATTTTTCACTTCAAAAATTTTAATGTCATCTTTATTATATTCTTCACCTAGATTTTTGACTTTCAATGCCATTAACCAAATAAAACAATGTTCATCCTTAGTGTGCTTTAACTACTCAATAACCTCACTTTCATTGGTTATTTCTTTAGTGATTGTTTTTGTAAGTGATTTAATAAGGAAACTCATGTTTATCACTCACATAAAATAAATTTGCTTTATATTTTCATTATTTCTTCACCTCAATTTCTTCTTAATATTATCCTGGAGGCACTGTATTGTATGATGTTCAATTTTCTCGACTGGATTGATTCTCTAAGAGGATTATCTTTTTCCAGATTGTATATTTATTTTCTGCTTGGGGATTTGTTTAAAATTAGCTTTAAACTCTTCCATTGACATCCCCCACTGGCCACCATCACACCATGTTTAATACATAGGAACTCAGACAGTCTAAAAAAGAATGATACAGTTAATTAATGAATGTAGTATTTTATATTACATCTAAAATAATGTATATTTCTGCCTTATTCCATTTTGTGTTGCTATAATTCAATCTCTGAGGCCGGGTAATTTATAAAGAAATGAGATTATTTATCTCATGTTCTGCAGGCTGAGAAGTTCAAGGGCATTACCCTGGTTTCCAGAAAGGACTTTTGTGCTCCATCTTAATATGGCAGAGAAGGTCAAAGGGGAAGCAGACATGAGCAGAAACAAATCCAAGGAGCATACTGGCTTTGTAGCAAACCACTCTTGAGGGAATGAATTTATTCCCATGGGAACTAATTTAGTCTCTCTAGAACAAGAACTTAATACTGCCACATTGGGAATCAGATTTCCACATGAGTTTTGGTAAGAACAAACCATAACAATTTTGAAACCTTTTCTTTATGTGCTATGAAATTTATCCCAAGACATTTATTTATTTATTTATTTATTTATTTATTTATTTATTTATTTATTATATCTCTGTGGCATCTTAGGTAAACACCCAAATAGCTGGTGAGCTTAGACTGCCTATTAATATTTAACAAGGAAAAATTGTTTAAAATATCAATATTTGCAGGGCCGGTGAGTTTCCTCAGAAAGATATCTTCAGATAACTTTTCCTTGGATAGTATTTCCTAAGTATTTATGAGACATTTTTCAAAATCTCCATGCAACTACCACCCCAAATATCTGACATATGTCAAAAATGTTACCTAAACTTATTGTTTACAATTTCTTTTCTCCTATTTTTTTTTTTTTTTTTTTGAGATGGAGTGTTGCTTCTTTGACCAGGCAGGAGTGCAGTGGTGCAATCTCAGCTCACTGCAACCTCCACCTCCTGCGTTCAAGTGACTCTCCTGTATCAGCCTCTTGAGTAGCTGGGAGTACAGGTACCTGCCACCACGCCCGGCTAATTTTTGTGTTTTTAGTAGAGACAGGGTTTCACCATATTGGTCAGGCTGGTCTTGAACTCCTGACCTCAGGTGATCCACCCACCTCGCCCTCCCAAAGTGCTGGGATTACAGGAGTGAGCCACCGCACCCAGCCTCTTTTCTCCTCTTCTCTATTGACACCATTACATAGGTGTCAATGGACACCTATGTAATGTAACCTTTTTAAAATCTCATAAGATTTACACATCAGTGAGTTTTAGCAAAGCATTAAAGAGCAGATAATTTCCCTTTTGTGTACGCTGTTTGTGACCATAGGAAATAATTTGAATGAATTTACCCGTCAATGTAGTAAGCTAATATACAATAAAGCACAAATACACACACACACGCACACAGAGACTATAAACTTTAAACATAAATACAATGTGAAACTATTTAAAAATCCAATTAAACATCAGACAATAAAGTTTGTAAATATAAGCTGGACACATCATTACTAAATGCATTTTTGCTTATCAATGCAAGAATAGTTTAACATCAGCAACTATATTAATGCAAATCTGGATAGAAACAAAAAACGAGAATTTTAATATATTAACAAAGTAAGAGACATAATTAATTACCTTGAAGCCATATGCTGAGTAGTAAACCATTTGAAATGAAACATTACCATTCAAACTCAGAATAAAACAAGATTAAAGTTACCATTTAATATTTTATTTAAAGTTCCAGTCACTTTTGTGAAAGTTCTAGCCAAATTAAGTGTGTATTATTTGAAGAAATATGTTATGGCCTATTTGGTAATCTCAAATGAGTAAACTGACAAGCCATTTGAATTAATCAGAGTTTTGTGAAAGATGGCTACATGTAAGATCAATGTTAAAATTAATTTTCTAAATAGCAATGCTGCAGAAACTTCTAATTTCTTCTAACTAGCTTTATTACCTTCTTTAGACACATGCAGCCTCATTTTAGTGTAGTACTTGCTACTATGATTTAGAGACATTTTAAGTCCTATTTGTCAATAGTTGTGGCCAAGTGGCTAATTTATGACTAATGAGCTATGAATAGAAGATCAGTGGGTGATATCAGAAAAATTCTTTAAATAAGAGGACACATGCTCTTTTTTGCCTTCTTCCATGCTTGCTCTCGGGAATGAAATGGTTGGGCCCTGCAGAAACCAAAATTTTCCTTGAAATAACCTTGAGAATGAAACATACAGATAGTAGAGAGATAATACAGAATAACCGATGCAGGGTTTCTGTTGAACTCTTGGAAATATCAGCTATGGAATGCCTACCTTTGGAATTATTTTACATGTTTGAAACATGAATGGCTTTCTTTGTTAAACCACTAATTTTTTCAGTCCTCATTTTGGAAATCTAAAATTAATCAAAACAATTAAAATATCCACACAGTATAATTAGAAAAGTTAATTAATAAATTCACTTCACAACAGAAATTTATATTAGAGTAGAATAAGATCTGGGAATAGAATATGGGTAATTTTGCTTATTAGTTCATACGACCTAACACAATTTTTACAGTTGCTTTTATACTTTTAGAGACCATTTTGTCTGAGCGATCTATTCTGTACATTTGTTAACCATATTATTGAGAGACTAAAATTTTTTAAATGTATTGGAGTCTGACATCTAAATCCTGAACATATTAATTATTAAAGGTATATCTTAATTCTATTTTGAGAAAGGTCTATACTTCATGTGCTTTTTATTGTGGTTTTAATGAAATTAAAAGGCTTGTTGGGTTACATAACCTCTTAATATTCTATTATTATCATACTGGTTCAATGAGAGAATACTTACCTTATACTAAAGGATGTTGACATAAAACCAGAAAAAGCTTTATAAACAAGGTACTACAAACCTCCCTTTACTGAAGAGTACTGAACAGAAAGTCATTAATTGGCGCCTCTGAAAATCTAAATTATTTCATATTCTTTTGGTTAATTCAGATGGAAACCGTGTGCAGAAAGGGGCAGGATAAATGATGTGGATCACTGAAGAGAAATGTTAGAAACATTCCACCCACTCAATTGACCCAATCAATCTTGCCCTAAATCATCTGAGAAATGAATTCTTCCTCTGTAATTCTTCATCATCCAAATAAATGCAAATATCTGGAAAAAAGCTTTATAGTCCAATCATAGAATGTTAGTTTTTTGAAAATATTTTGCTATCTTTAGAAATTGATAACAAACATATTTACTTTTGACACTTCTCAAACAAGAAAAGCTAGATCACACTATAATAGTTGCTAAATATTGCATAGAAGTTAACTGCTACATTCAAATATAAGAAAGTGAATACTACTAATTTCAGCAAATACAGTTGAATGTTTTAATCAATAAGCTGGAAGAAAACTTTTCTGTATTTTAATTTCTATTAGAAACAAGTTATCTCTAATACAAAATTTCTTTTTGACGTCTTTGAAATTTGTATAGATACTTTCTTCTCTACATGTAAACACTATAATCTCTATATGTTTTTATTTATTCAATAGAACTTACTTAAAAATTACAAATAATTTTTAAAATAAGAACATAAATCAACATTAACATTGAAGAGAATAAACAATACCTTTGGAATTTTCATTAAAATGAATCTGGTTTTCAAAGAAATGATATGGCTTAAATAGATTTCTGCCACATTGCAATAGACTCCTATTGCTTGAAAAATGAAAAGAACAGAAGAATACGTAAGAAAATAAATGCTCAGCAAAATCTGAGCCTTTCATTGTTCAAGAAGAGTGTTTTTAATACAGTGTGGTAATGGAATGCTTTTGTCTTTCTTTGTCTAATGACAAATGCAATTTTAATTCTTTGGGTCTTTTGGGCTGCTAACTTGAAATGTCATTTAATTATTTCATTATTAATTTATATTTTTGGTCATCTAATAGACTGTGACATTCTTGAAGATAGGAACGTCTTAATCATCTTTGTTTGCCTAGGAGCTATCACTGTGCCTGGAGCTTAAGATCAACCAATATAATTTACCATTTGAATACTAATGAATAAATTAATTACTAAAAGTGAAACTATTATTAGTGAAAAAACAGTTGAAGTTAATAGTTAATAGTATTTTACCAATGTTATTGTTTTTAAAAATTTATAAATGGACCATGTAGGGTACAGTGTAAGCAGTAGGAGAATCTTTGTGAAGAGTATACGAAAACCTTCTGTAATCTTTCATCAACTTTTTTTTTTTTTTTTTTTTTAAGGAGTCTCACTCTGTTGCCAGGCTGGAGTTCAGTGCTGTGATCTCGGCTCACTGCAACCTCCACCTCCTGGGTTCAAGTGATTCTCCTGCCTCAGCCTCCCTAGTAGCTATTTCAAAGTATTAATAAATTAAATAAATTAGGAAGATATTTGAACAATGCTCTTATTTTTTCCATTTCATATCGAAATTCAAAGTATTTAGGAAAGCCAAAACAACTTTTCAAGAAAAACAACGTTTGATGACGTATTCTAACTTATTTGAAGGTTTATTATAAAAAATACATTTATCAGGACAGTATGTCTACAAATAAAGATAAGTTGATCAATGTATCAAAATAGAGAAAATACAGATATAAACCCACTGATTTTTGACAAAAATTTCATAGCAATTTAGGGGATAAATAACAGACTTTTAAAGAAATGTTGCTGGGCAATTTGATACTTATCTGCAAAAAATTTTGAAGTTTGATCTTGTAGACCTATATGTACAAACTAAATGTATAAAATTTCAGGGCAAAACTAAGTATTTGTGCTTTGAAGTTAGACAAAGCTTTCTTATATAAGATACCAAAAGCATGATTTATAAAATAAAATAATGATAAATTGGATTTAATCAAAATTTCAAATTCTCCTCATGAAAAGATACTATGAATAGAATGAAAAAAAATCAACAACAGACTGAGAGATTCCATTTACATATTATAATTTGAAAAAAAAGATTTGCATGTAGAGCAAGGGTCGACAAACCTTAAATAGCCAAATAGCAAATATTTTAGTTTGCAGATCTGACAGTCTCTGTGGAATCTCCTCCGTTCTGTTATTGCAGCATGAAGGCAGCTTTAGACAATATAAACATGAGTGAGCTTAGCTGTTTCTGATTAAACTTTAGATACAGAAACAGGTGGTGTGCTGGATTTGGCTTATGCATGATAGTTTGTCTACCTGTGATGTAAATATGAATAATTCACAAAACTAAATAATAAGCAAATAAACAATGCAATAAAAAATAGGTGAAAAAAATTAACAAACAGTCCACCAGAGAGGATTATAAAGCTATTTTTGTTATAGTGATTGAATTAAACACAGGATAAATGCCCTTTCTTGTTCTCTACACCCCTGAGAGGAAATGTCCCTAATTTATTTTTTATTTGAAATCTCTCTCTTCCCTAATTCTACTCAACTTAATGTCAGGAAGCTTAATTATAAATACTCAAATTTTCCAATAAAAAGCCATTTATCTTAACAATATTAGGTATATATTTCTTAACTGGGAATAAATTTAAGTTTCGTGCACTGGCTTACACATGATGTATAATAACTGAACTATTTATGCCAATCCAATGATTAAGATTTCTTATATAAAATAGATATAAAAACAAAAATGTTTTTATGTGTTGAGGTCAAAGAATTTTTATTTATTACATTTGTAGGCATTTTTTGTAATAACATTTATGTTTTCCATTTATAATGATGAAAATCAGAAAACCATTCTGAAATAATAGATTTATCTTTGAAACCTAAAAAGTATGTAGTTTTTTGTTTTTTTTTTTAATATGAGTGGAAACTATCTTCAAGTATGGAAGTTATGAAACCCATTTTATGACTTTTTATAACACTTTATAATACATTTCCAAATGTGTTGTTTGGAAATTACATATTGGTATATGTGAAAAAGCAGGAAATACATACAGAACATTCCTGCCTTATCACCTAGAAAAAGTCTATGCTACAGTGATTTTGTCATTGATTACATAGTCATTCAATATAAATCTGTTTACTTCTTTAATGATTTTATATTTTTCAGCCATAGATACATTTTAGCCTCAATGAGTTAAAAACTTACACAAATACATGTTTAATTCAAGATTAATAAATATTTGTTTTTCAAAACCACCATTTTCTATGCTCTTCTGTGAGTCTCATAATAATCCAGTGAGATAGGCAGACAATAAATAATCTCTAGCTTAACAATAAGAAAGATGCCAAGGATGTTGCACCAATTGATCTGCTCAATGTTCAATTGGTAATAATCAACACAGCCAGAATTTGAGATGTCCTGTGTGGCTATAAAATCTCTGTATTTTGCCCATTATTCTCTGATGGTTTAGCAGTTACTATGATGGCATTAAAATATGGCCTCAATGTCTTTGGTTCTCCTCCTTTAAAGAGGTGGAATCTCAGTGACTTGGTTCTAAGGAGTAGGAAAAAAAAAAAAACATCAAAAGCACGAGAGTACAACTTAGGAGTCTAAGTCTGGATTACTTACTCAGGGAAGCCAGCTGCTGTGTCATGAGAGTACTATGTGATGAAGAACTGAGGCCTCCACCCAACAGCGAGGCCTCCACCCAACAGCCACGTGCGTGAGCTGTTGTGGAAGCTCATCCTCCAGTCCTGGGAGCAGCTTTCAGGTATCAGCAGCCCTAGTTGACATCCTAATTACAACCTCATCAGAGTCCCTGAGCCAGAACCACTCCACTAATTCACCTTGAATTCCTGGGCTTAAAAAATTGTGAGATGTATGTTTTAAGCTGTTATTCTAGGTTAATTTATTATGCATAAATAGATAACTAATAGTTACCTTCTCAGACTTCTTCCCAGTACTGATGCCTTTGCTGATTAGAACAGTTTCAAGAACCATTAATGTGTTTTCAACAATCTGTTTCTTCTTCCTTTTGATGACCAATCGGTGCAATTTCTAATGGAAGATAATGTCAAAGGTTCATATATGTGTAGATAGATAGATAGATAGATAGATAGATAGATAGATAGATAGATATGATTTCACTCTAGATTCCACTTTAGAATTGGTCTTTGCTTCTCTGAAGAACAATGTTTGGACTATCACGATATACTTGAAAGTCAATAAAACAGACCAAACAGTTTACCTCTTTGAATTAGAACTCAAAGAAAAACAGCAAATGGCATGTCTTAGTCATGGAATTCTGCTTTATGGATTATGCTGTTAGAGCTGTAGATTAGAAGAAAACTAGGTCTCAATTCCAGTAAACATGCTGAAATAAGTAGAAATAAGTATACAAATAAAAATTTTCTCTAATATGTTTTATATTTCTGACCAGTTTTTATAGGAAGGATAAGCCAAATCATTGAATTTTTTTCAATTTATTAATTTTAAAAACACTGAATGACGTAACCTGTAATATGAAGAAAAGGGAATAGATATAAATATTTAAAATAAGGAGGTGGTATTATGGTATATCAAATAATACCTTAATGGATTATTATGCAGATGTTAAAATTATAATGGAAAATATTAGCCACAAGATGAAATGTGTGAAAATTATGTCAAATGAATAAGATGAAAATAAAATTGTGACTATATTGATTATAGTCATGTAAATATTATATACAAATATAAATAAGAACAAAAAATAAAATTAGAAGAAATGATTTATTGGAGTAATAGAAAACTAAGTAAATACAGTTTGCTTCTTAAGAAAGCCGGATTTTAAAAAAAAATAGAAAAATCTCTTTGGCAGTCCAACAAAAACATAAAGTTATTTATAAGGAAAACAAAATGAGGTTATCATCAAACTCAACAGCATGTTTAATTCCAGAACTAAATGAAATAACACATTAGTGACACTCCCATAAAGAAAAGTAAGCAAAGGAAAAGTAAGATAATAGTATTATATTGAGCCAAATTTACTCTCAAATATAAAAGCCACAAACTGTTATAATGCAAAGACAAAGTAAGATAAATGTATTATATCTAGCCAAATTTACTCTCAAATATAGAAGCCACAAACTGTTACAATACTTCGAGAGCTAAGAAATTGCTTTCTCCATGAGCTCTTTCTTATGCATTAACTAGGCCATGAATTGCAGACAACCACAACAATCAGTATAAACATCAATATAAATACTGCCTTTTATTTTTATATAAATATAAAAATATTACGTAATAAATAGTTCAATTCTACCACTTTTGATATTCTTCAAAACATATGTATTTAATGTGGAAAAAAAGAAGACAAAAATTTAGCAGAGATAACGTATACATCTCAGTCTTCAATTTAAATCAGGCATAACACTATGAATTCACGGAGGGCATGTTATCTGCCTTTTTTTTTTTTTTTTTTTTTTTTTTCTGTCGCCCAGGCTGGAGTGCAGTGGCGCGGTCTTGGCTCACTGCAAGCTACGCCTCCCGGGTTCACGCCATTCTCCTGCCTCAGCCTCCCAAGTAGCTGGGACTACAGGCGCCCGCCACCACACCTGGCTAATTTTTTCGTATTTTTAGTAGGGTTTTACCGTGTTAGTCAGGATGGTCTCAATCTCCTGACCTCGTGATCTGCCCACCTCGGCCTCCCAGAGTGCTGGGATTACAGGCGTGAGCCACTGTGCCCGGCCTTATCTGCCTTTCTGCTAATCTAGCCATCCATCCACACTTCAATCCACTTATTCACTCTAACTCTGTCAAATGGAAAGATGTAGAAATAACAACAGACCCAGTTAATAATGCATATTCATATTGCCCAAATTCTGGTCTTGAAATACCCTTCCTCACACTCCCGCCCCTGCCACATATACACAAACCAGAACTAGAAATGTCTCATTCCAGATCTGGGATGGAAAATGTGTAGGAAGTGTCTGAAACATTTTAGCAACTATCAGGGACTGCAATGGGGCATGTCAAAAGAACTCAGAAGACATAGGAGCCACCCACTGGAGAGACAGGAGCATTTCTGCTTCAATAAAAACAACAATGGATTAAAACACTTCAAATATATTTTGTATAACTGTGAGTTCAAATACTAATAAAAAATTAATTGAAACTTTTCAACAAATTAGCCAAATTTGGAGGGTCATAAAGAAATAATTCCGTTTTTAAAATAAATTAAGAAGAGCAAAAAAATAAATCTTTTAGCCTATTAGTCCTGTGCAAACTTCTCTGAGATAGAAAACATTAGATTAAAAAAAATTTTTACTCATATAAAAAATTTTACTAATAAAAAAGGAGAAATGATATAATAAAATATCACTAATTAATTAATATATCTAGGCAATAAGCACAATCAATAGATAACATCACCAAAAGTGGCAACCAGACACAGTATGCCTCTTGCTTGAGGAATGTAATGAACAGTCTTGCCAAAAGGTGAAGAAAAGATTTATTTTTATCTATATAAAACTAGTACAGATTCATATATATAGATAAGTTTTTATATATAAACTTCCTATATCTATTTATATACTTATATATATCAATCTATATATAGATTGATATATTTATATAGCTAGACATATTTATTTGTTTAAGGATTAGCTACATATTTATGTATTGACTCTGTAAATCCCCTATATTAAACAATCAATTGATAGAAAATACAGAGGGCAGAGAAATATGTTAAAATATTCCTTGGGAATATGTGAAAATTATAGAATCTTAAATACTTTACAAGTAAAATGGCCCAGTTATATTGTGAAATATAAGATTGCAGGAAAATAATAATTTATGGATTGGACCTGTAATAAAGAATACTTAAGATATATAACCATACTCACAAAAAGTTAAAATCAAACCTAGTATTTCAGAATACTTCTTGAGTTATTAAACTGTGAAGTAAAGCAGAGCATGATTACCATTAAATATGTACAATGGTTACAGCAGGGCTGTGAGGTTTTGATTGAGATCAGGCACATTGAGAGGTTCAATAATGTCTGGAAAGACTATTTATTGATAAAAGTGGTAGTTACTAGTTGAACACATAACAATTTATTAAGTTGATCATATGTTTTAATCTTTCTCTGTGCTATATTTTACAATAAAAGAGTTTTTCATCAATAGCACTCAAGGAAGTAAATTGTAGAGCTCAGAGAATCTTTAGTAAAGCTGATGATCCAAGCTTAAAAATGAGATGAACCTTAAGATTCTTGGTATTTCAAACCTTAGCCAATAACACATCACAGGAACTGTCAGCTCAGGACACTGCTGCAATGGAACTGCCATTGTCATTGTCACTGTCACAAAGCTGCTTGACAATAGAGTCCATGGCTAGCCTTGCTGACACTCTTTTTGTTGGCACTCTCTCTAGATTTAGAATCCTTGGTAGCAAAGTCCGATTGGTCAAGCCTGCATCACAGCCTGTGTACATTATAGTTTCTAGGGGAGAGTAAAAATTAACATCTATTCTTCTGAGATGTTATCTTCTGATGTAGAATTCAGCCCTGCCTCCCTTGAATATTTACCCTGTGAAAAAATCCTCTATTTGAGTAATGAGTATAAAGTTTTGGCTCCAATATCTACATCAGGAGACAGATCAGTTTTCATCCATTTTCTGTTACTTATTAAAACAATCCTGGAAACTGGGTAATTTATTTAAAAAGGAATTTATTTCTTACGGTTTTGGAGACTGAGAATTCTAAGATTGAGGGGCTGGATCTGGTGAGAGCCTTCTTACTGGTGGAAACTCTCTGTGGTGTCTGAGCTTTTATTTCATTTTATCTTTTCTTTTTCACATCAGACAGGTAATGTACTGATATCATAGCAAGGATTGAGGGAGCCAGATCTCATATAAGCTTGAAAAGACAATAGTCATGTTTCTGAACTACAAATGGATCTCAGCATGAGTTATAGAGAACATTCAAGCCATAGCAAGAGCTAACAACTTCTATCTCTGTGTGGTTTATTAAACTAGTTTTAAAGGAAATAGAGAAATTATATAGAAGTGTAATAGTTTTAGAAGATGGATTTAGTGATATAATAGCAAATAACTAAAGGATTTTACTAATCTGGTGGCCATAGCTCTTTTATTGGGGAACTGAAGGTGTTGGATTAGATCAAGAGGAAAGCCAACGTTGGAGGAACACAAGATCAACACAAGTGGTGGTCCTCAGACAGAATAAAAAACGCAATGGAAAGGGTATCTGAGATGACACTAGGATGTAGGTAAAAGCCAACCCAAGGGCCTTGAAGTCTGCATTATGCTGACTCTTTTTTCTTTTCCTTTTTTTTTTTTTTTTTTTTTTTTTTGAGACTGAGCCTCTCTGTCGCCCAGGCTGGAGTGCAGTGGCATGATTTTGCAAACTCAGCCTCCAGGTTCAAGCGATTCTGCTGCCTCAGCTTTCAGAGTAACTGAGATTACAGGTGTGTGCCACCACGCCCAGCTAATGTATATATTTTCAGTAGAGATGGGGTTTCACCATGTTGGCCATGTTGGTCTTGAACTCCTGACCTCAAAAGATTCGCCTGCCTCAGTCTTGCAAAGTGCTGGGATTACAGACATAAGCTAGCATGCCCAGCCCATGCTGAATCAGTTTATGATTCATATTCTTTGTCATTAAATTCCCATAACTCACAGTTTATGATTAATGCATACTGAATGTAATCAAAGACCTTTTTAATATCTACTGGGATTATCAGGATGTTTTTCTTATTTGCTGATATGGGGTGTGTGTATGTGTATACATATGTAAACATATTTTCTAATGTTAATCAATCTGCAGAGTTCTGGGAAGTATCTGGTTCATAATAACATGTTATACTTTTAATATGTTGTTTCATTATGTTTGCTGGTATTTTATTTTGGATTTGGACATCTAATGTATTTATGACAAATTGTTTTAGAATTTTAAATATACTCATCAATTTCTGTTGACAAGTTTAGTCTAGTTTTATAAAACAAATTATCTCTATTTTCATATTTTCATCCTTCTATGAGCATTACATTTATGTGTCTATTCAAATTATATAAAAAGTCTACCTAAATAAAATAAATCTAGTTCCATCTTTAGTCTCTTCGCATTTCTGATCAGCCTTCTTCAGCTGTCCTTCAAATCTAAGTCTGTCTTCTCTTAGACCCATGTTTTTCTTGATTATCAATAAAATATAAGCCACTTGGATCATCTCTCCTCCTCCTGGAGGGTTCTCTATCTTCTCTCTGTAGTTCCTATCCCTGACACATACTATCACTCCCTTCCTGTATAATAATCTTTCCTCTTACTTCTGGGAGTTGATCAACAATTGCTTTAACAAATATCTCATTTATTCAAACCCATTATCCCAGAATGCTTCTTTGAATATTTTTTAATCATATTTTGTACTTAACTAAAATTTTTTGGGAGGTGATTGTCTATTTTATTTCTTTTTGTAGGGAATGGGGTCTTGCTATGTTGTCCAGGCAGGTCTCCAACTCCTGCGCTCAAGTTATGCTCCTGCCTCTACCTCTAAGTTCTGGGATTTCAGGTGTAAGCCACCATGCCTGGTCTTAACTAAAATTGGTATATCAACTGATAATATTGAATTCATTGAAGATGTCTTTTTATAAATGGTGTCTATCTCAGTGTAAGGAAATGGGATTATGTAATTTCACTTGCTTTCCAAAGTCATTTCTTTATTATTCTTCTACACTCTTGCTTTTTCTTTAAGTCTCTTCCTATCTATCTTGTCCGTCTTGTGTTGGTTAATATTGAGTGTCAATGTGATTGGATGAAGGATCCAAAGTATTGATCCTGGATGTGTCTGTGAGGCTGTTGCCAAAGGAGATGAACATTTGAGCCAGTGGACTGGGAAAGGCAGACCCACCCTTAATCTGGGTAGGCACCATCTAATCAACTACCAGCAAGGCTAGAACATAAAGTTCGCAGAAAAAATGTGAAAAGACTAGACTGGCCTAGCTTCCCAGCCTACATCTTTCTCCCATGCTGGATGCCCTCGAACATCAGACTCCAAGTTCTTCAGTTTTGGGACTTGGACTGGCTCTCCTTGCTCCTCAGCTTTCAGACAGCCTATTGTGGGACCTTGTGATTGTGTGAGTTAGTACAATAAACTTCCCTTTATAGATAGATAGATAGATAGATAGATAGATAGATAGATAGATAGTAGATAGATAGTAGATAGATGGATAGATAGATAATCCTATTAGTTCTGTCCCTCTAGAGAACACTAATACACCCCTCTTCTTACAATTAGTGTGTAACCCACTACCCTCTGAGAAAATCTCCCTTATTCCTGAACATTTTCTCTCTTGCATGTGATTTTCCTAACCAATTCAAATGCTGCCAAGATTCCAAATGACTTCATGATTTTTATGGACAACACATCCAATCCCCTAGTTACTCAGCTTGTTTACTTCCTCCAAATCCCATGTTTTACATGGCTTTACTGGTCTACAGTCACACGTTTTAACTTATCTCTTACAAGAAATAATTTTCCATTCTAAATTATTTTTCAAGCAGTCATTTTAACAGTCTTATTAAAATACTCCAATTACATATTTTCCTTGATATTTCTTCCTATTCATCTATCTTCTTTTTTATTCCTTTTCCTTCATAAATTCTTTATTCCATGATACATTGTATCATTTTCTCTTAATTAAGATATGCCACGATCCCTTAAGTTACACCTAATTGGCAAATCCTACAACCAATAGATGCAAATATTGTCATCCACATATATATACATAAAGATATTATTATTACAGTAGTATAAACAACACAAACTGTCAATGTTATAATCACTATAAATTTATTGCCTACAAGTGAGCTCAAATCTCCCAGGAAATATTTATTTATTAAGTCATCTCAATCTCTCTTTCTCACCATAGGACATGTAAACCCTTTCCTCTTTCTTTGCACCTGATCCATATAAGCCCCTTTCTCTATAAGTTCAAAAAGGAACAGTAGTCATATGGTATGAACTCTCAAATTTCCATCTACTTTGCTTAAAACTACTTGTTTCTTAAAACTATCATTTCTCCTGTAAACCCAGCACTTTGGGAGGATGAGGCTGGCAGATCACGAGGTCAAGAGATAAAGATTATCCTGGCCGACATGGTGAAACTCCGTCTATACTAAAAATACAAAAATTAGCTTGGCATGGTGGCACGCGCCTGTAGTCCCAGCTACTCTGGACGCTGAGACAGGAGAATCGCTTGAACCCGGGAGGCGGAGGTTTCAGTGAGCCGAGATCACGCCACTGTACTCCAGCCCGGCAAGAGAGCCAGACTCTGTCTCAAAAAAAAAATCAAAAAAACAAACAACAACCACCCCCCCCGCCCCCAAAAAAACCCTGGCATTTCTTACTTAGATCATGTAATAATAGTTGAATTCTCCACCTGTGTTTTTAATCTGATTCCTACCAGGTTTCTCAGGAAGATCATACTTTAAGTTATCTTCTTATCTTCATTTCTCTCTTCTTTGTTTGCACATTTTTCCTGCTCAACTGAATTTTTTTGCCACAGATATTTCCATTTGTTCCTTTTATTTTTTTCATTAAAAAAGTTAACCAACCAACCAACAAAACTCCAATGAAAGCATCATAAAAGTTTTCTGTCCTGTGGGTATCCAGAAGTAGTGGTTTAAAGTAGCTTTCTGTTCATCTTTTTACCAGGTGTCCATAATGTAGCCTTACAATTTCAACTTGCCTGCAATTGCAAAGGTTATTGATATGTTGCTAACTCCAGTATATACAATTTAGTGGTTATTTTACTTCACATTAAAGAAGAGTTTATTTCAGTAAACCAATCATTACTTTTTGGACTTCATCCTCTTCTGTTTCTTATGATGCTACATTAACATAGGTATCATTTAATTAAAATTAAAATATATGCATATAAAAATAAAGAAGACATTCAAATAAATAATTTGTTAAAATATTAATATGGTTACCTATGAAGGGAATAGAATGTGAGTAGTATATGTAATTAAAAGGGAAGATATGCACGGACACACACACACACACACACACACACACACATATATGATTAAAGAGACGCAGCTCAAAACAACTAATGATACTCATGTGCTGGGAACTGAGAGGTATGATTATTTCAACCTTCTGCACATAAAATACTAAAATGATTTCACATTGTCATATTAAATCAAATAGCTCTATATACAGTGATGATTACCACTTCCTAAAAATAAGTTAGTATGTCTTTCTGGAATGACTGTTTTTAAATATGCAATGAACCAAGCCAATTTTCTTAGTAAGTACGAAGTAACTTAGTTATTTAATTTTCAGAACAAATTCATTCCTGTAATTTTTAAATGTTAATGGCTAAATTTTAATATAGAGCAGAGATAGCTATGTCATGACTAATCTATCAGTTAAAGCATACTTATAATGCTCAAAATCTAAAAATCACTGATATAAATACATGAACACTATGCATTTAAACTTACGTAGTGTAGAAATTAAGAAGCAAAAATTGATTAATCATTATTTATAAATTTATCTTTAGGAATGAAATATGGAACTGAATTTAGTTAGTTGGAACCAGATGTTTTCCAACTTAGTGGCAAACTATAATGTAGATATTTTTTGAAAAATAAGCGAATTATTTAATGTCTTTTCCTGTTTTTTTCCTTGTAAAATGTTATGCTCAAATAACATTTGGGAAGTACTTTTGAGAAGTTTTGTTGTGTCATGGAAATCCTTTGATAAGACTCATTATGTTAACTGCCATACTAAAAACATAAATCAGGATCTTGGATTGATTATTTAAACAAACACTAAAAATTAGTCTAGTGTGACATTGAGAAGCTAGGAGTGAAGATATTTTATTGTTCCTGTTGAATCTTGTTGAAACTTTTATTCCCACTGTGAAATAAAATAAAACATTTACTTACTTCTCCATATCATTATTATTCTAAGATTTTTAATTTATTTATTCTTTAAATTAACCCAGTTCTCTTCCTTTTCTTCTCCACCTCCTTCTCCCCCTCCACCTTCTTATTTTTCTTCTTTTCATCTTACATGTGAGGAAAATTAATTATAGAAAAATTGTTACCCAAGTTTATATAATCAGTAAGTATGAGGTTAATATGAAGCCCTGGATCCAGAAAACACATATATATATAAAATATATATATATATTATATAATATATAATTATATATAATATATATTATATATTTATGTTGTATATATTATATATAATTATATATTATATATTATAATATATATATAAAACAACTACACTAGACTGTCTATTCCTACAGTGCAGAGACCAGAAAAAAAATATATGTTTATATATATATAATACACACACACACACACACACACACACATATACACATACATACAGACATGTAAATACACACACGTACATATATAAGCAATTCTATTTAATGGCATGCTAGAGAAATTTTACTTTTAATAAAAATGATGCCTTTAAGGTGAAAATAATTTATATAAATGTAAATTTATATATATGTTTTTATATATGTATATATTCAAAGAAAATGTGTCAGGGTGTGTGATGAGATGGTGATAAGAACAGAGGAAGTGTTAAAACAGAACTTGCAATTTTGTTTTGTCAGTTATCCTTACCCAATCTACAGGTGAGGTTTATATTATTATGTTTTTATTTAAGTGAATTATAGTTACACAAAAATTTCCTATCTCATGTAGTATGTCTTTAAACTGCAATAAAAACGAGCTAAGTTCAAATATTCATCTCAGGATTTAAAAAATTTGGAGTTCAATTCACACAAAACTCTATGAACATATACTCTTCATAATATAATAACTTAATGAACATTTTTCCAGTTTCATGATGGTTTTTTGGTAGGGTCCCAGGCTAGAGAAGGAGGAGAGCTTTATACACAAACATAACAGAATTTATTAGGTGAATGATCTCCAAAGAGCTTTTTCAGTGATGTTCACTTCATGTGCCAACACAAAGATAATGACAGATCTTGACTGTACTGCCTAAGCCAAATTGCTAGACTTTATTGAGTCTAAAAAAATGTCAGGTGACATTGTTTGATTATATAATATAGAAATAATCAAGTCACTTGCGCTGTGACTTAGCTCAAATATAAAATGATCAGATTTGATAAGGTCAGTTCCTGTATAGATTGATGTGGGTTACTAAGAAATCAATGGCAAAAGAATTATTGAGCAAGTTAATGAGTAATCAATGATGTTAGCCATGATATAGGACTTAAGCCAACCCAGAGTCAGATGGGAAATGTTCCAGACTCAACAACAATTGCAGTTTAAATTGACCAAAGTTTTAAATAACTGTCTGGTATACCTACCATCATTTATTTAATTTCCTCTAAGCATTTGACATAAAATGTGATATTGGATGATTACAAAGTGTTAATGTAAGCCAAATATAATTCTAAGGGCTTTATATGTATGTGGACAACTCTATGATGTAGGCACTATCATAATCACCATTTTTTAAAGAAGAGTTATGTTTTGAATTTATGTGTCTCTCTTCGTTTCTTCTACCTTAAATCAATTGTTGTTGATTGGAAAGTTGTCAGGAAAGTTGTAAGAAGCCGGTTTTAGTTTGGTACCTAATTTTTATTAATCTAACCTATTACCACAAAATTTTTTCAAGAATATAAGATGAAACCTAGGGGAAAAATAACTTATCTGATCTCCATATATCTATTTGTGGAGTATGTAGCTCCTGGTTTTAAAGAATATTTGCATGTACCAGAATATTCAGGCTTCATGAATATGATAAAAATAACTGCTTCTGTGGATATACATTTAAAGGCTATATTAATGGTTATCACAGTCTTACAAATGCTAAAGCACAGCTATGTTTTTTAAAAAGGAAATTATGTGGTCGCTTGGCTACACATTTAACCAAACATAGCAATTTTATGCAAAAAAATTGTCTATCTGTACTATAAAATGAATGCCTGAGAATTTTACCACAGTATAAAGTGAGACATTTGGCAATTGAATTAAAATCAGAAAAGGGTCAGTGTTTGCCCACATGACCCAGGAGAAATGGAAAGATTTCTTACCCAGAGCACAATTATTGCCCTAGCATTTCAAATTCAAGCATTATGTCTCTACTTATTGTCAGTGCATGTAAACATAAAAATATTGTAATTTTATATTTTTATGTTTTTGCTTGGTTTTTAAGTGGGGTATATAAATTTATAACAGGTACCAAAATCTGTGCCATATTCCAAGAGTCCAGTCAAGAAACTTTGCTCTTATTGTTTTTAACTTTTAGAAACCATAGCTTCTAGCTGAGAACAAAAGAAACACAGGATATTCTAAAGGGGAGCTGATTTTAGGATCACATTTATCAAACTTAATCAAGGTAAATTTATTGAAAAACAACAAATACCAAACATATTTTTCCAAATGGTAACTTGTATTTTATTTGTGTAAGTTTGCATGGGATTGGGAAAATAGTTCATTCTACTTAAAGCCAAAAAAATCTATCTTCGATGTTTATTTTGTTAGGCTTCTCTTAAAAATTGATGCAGTTGTACTGGTAGATTCAAGATCTATAATTGTATAGTAAAGTACCTCAAGAAATACATTTAAGCCTGCATGCAAACCACCTCTGCAGATGCAAATTGTAAATGTTGTAAGGTATTCTGGAGGTCAGGGAGTTTTTTTATTTAAATGGAATGTTACTACATTTAAATCTAAATGATTTTTTGACTAAGTCAATAAAACTTATGATAACATAAAGATTATGACTAAAATAAAGCACAATTTATGACATAAAAAATTAAAAGTAAAATTTTGACTTACGTATAAAGCTTTTTTTGAAATTATACTACTAAAAAACACATATTATAACATTTGTTCTCTTATTTTAGATAAATTTTTCTGACCTGAAAGCAAACATGTTTAATTATTTAAAACTCTATAAACATTATCTTAATAATAAATATATAATATTCTGTGATTGTTCTGGTGTTTATTGAGGTACATGTTCACATTTTTCACTAGAAATACACAGAATAAGAAAGGCAAAAAAAATCACTTCATTATGAAAGTAGTTTTACATTTTTTTATTACTTCAGTCAAAAAAATACAGAATTACATTGTGAAATTTCACTTTCTGAAGGAGCTACATTAATTTATAATTGCTTATATTGATTTCAGAATTCAATTTCTACATTCTACACATGCATTTAGTCATCTATAAATATAATACATAGAACAACATACAACATATTCTGGACATAATACATTATTCGTTCTCTAAAATCAGTTTATACTCAATGAATATTTTAAATTAAAATCTCTTAATTTAACAATCAATCATTTGTCTATATAATGGGATGGTTTTCTCTCTGAACTTTACCTAAGCGATAAGACAAATTTTAAAATGTACGATATTTATGATAAATTTATTATTGATATCAATACAAGATGGTATCTTCATCCTTAAAATTTACAGAAGAAAATCCTTGTAAATACAATCTAGTCTAAAATACATAAAAATTGAAAACACAGAAAAAAATTTCCTTTCCTGTAAATGGTTCCCAAAGTACTGTGCTGTAATAGTTTTCTTACCCAAATAAATGTATAATTTAGAAGAATTACAAATATATTTGACAAGCTCTAAGTAAGGTGTAGAAACCACAAACACTTCAATATTTATTGCAACTAAATAAGGATGCTTACAGTTCAGTGTTTCAGTGTTTTTACAAGAGTAGCATTGAAATTTTAGCTACTCATTTATGTTTTTTATTATTCATGTTACAATAATGTTGATTTCTCCTAAAAATTATTATAAAAACAGTGAGATGTTTTATTGATAGAGAATCTCTTTTATTTTTAAAAGCAGTGATGAATGTGGATCAATTCTAATATACTCGTTTTATCCTTTTTCTCTACTTTTTTAAATTGAAATATACACAAGGAAACAAAACATAATATAATGGATTTTTTTTTCATTTCTAGTGAATAAATATTAATATATAGCTGAGACTGTATTTATTTTGGACCAAAGCTATTTCCCATCTTAATTATGTATCTTTTGCAAAAACCACTATTCATTTGCAATCTCAACTGACTCCTGAATTATAAATTTTACTTCTTACAAAAGCAAGTCAGCTGTCTTTAACTTAAAACTGTAGGCCCATGTGTGTGAGATAGAAAATAAGAATTTCTATGGTAGATACATTATTTAATTAGTCTGGATATTTTGATAAATTTCTAATATGGTTTTAAGAATATTGAAATTCATTTTATTTTGAAAGAAAATTATCCTACCTTAGACATACTCATTCACAATGGCTACATACACACTACTGATACTAGAATTAATAAGCAATATAGTTGGATGGAAAGAGGCATAACGAAATAACTGCTTTACTTCATGGATGTGTGAATTTTGGTATAAATAAATAAAATAAATCAGGTCTTAGGATACTGCACAGTATAATAGTTCCAGTCGTCATTGTTTCCAGGAGATGGAAACAATAATTTGTGTTTACTAACTCAAGCTATAATGTCACAAAAAATTGCATTTCACAAGAAGCCAGAAAAACAGTGTGTATCATCATTGTTAAACATTTTATTTTATTGAAGTATCTTCAACACATTTTATGAGAAATAACAATGAATATAATTGAGTTGCATGATTAAAAATAAAACAGCACATGCTTTAACAGGGTAGTGATCTTATGAGTGAATATCATGAAAGTGTCAACCACTCATCTAATGAACATTAGTCCCACCCTTGCGTGGGTGTTCTTAGATGATTATCTCCCGAGACATTTTTTGCAACAATCACGAAGGAAATATATAATTTCTGAAATCAGTTACTCCCTAAAATTTTCTTTGATTACATTTTATAACAAATATTATGTTAACATTGTCATATTAATAAGTTTGTAAGTCAGCTTTGGTTTGTATCTCACTTACAGTTAATCATGCTATCTATGGCCTCCTTGTCTTTGCATTCTCATACAGGCACAGATCAATTCATTCCAAAAAAATGGTATTAAATTTAAGTTTAAAATTATATTTTTAATTTATACTCTATTATACATGGAAGGGATAATCGAATTTAACAAGTTAGGGATGGAAATGCAAATCAAATACCCTACTTAAAACTGAGGAAACATATATAAGGTAAGAACCTAGAATTTGGAGCCTCGCTTCAAATCTGAGCTCTATCCCTACTGACTGTGAGTTATTGGGAAAGTTAATCTCTCCAGCCCTCAATTACCCCACCTATACAATGAACAAAAAAAGAAGTAACTACCTGATATCCTTGTTATGAGGACTGATTGAGTTGTTATCATAAAGCATGTAGACACTGGCACATAATAGAGCTACATAGATTTTTGTTAAACAAACAAAGTTAAATTGATTTTTTAAATGCCAGTCATGCTTAATACATTAAGAATGAAGAGTATTGGGAATATGTCTGACATAAAAGGGGAATTGAAAAAGAAAAAATATTAAAAGAGAGGATATAGGAAAAATGCTGATGCAGGACACATAATGGAAGTGCTACCAATGACAGCAAAATAAAAATGCAAAATTAAGCAAACCCATCTATCTTATCTAATATTCAATCCCCATGATATCTTTATTTGGTAACATATAATTAGTTTTACAATTACACATTAAAATAAAATTTAAGTTTTTTAAAATTGACATTTCTTGACAATTTTACATTTATTAATATTCATTGTATACATTTTTGAAAATGCTAAGCAAAACAGTTAAAACTATATATAGAAGCATATTCAAGAAATAGAGATTTATATGGTAAAATCTATTTGTATATAAACAAGATCATGCTATAGCATTATATACTATATTATACTTTCCTACGTATTATAGTCTGTTTTCTATTTTTAATTTATGTATTTGGAATACCTATAATTTCAGTGCAAGTGCTTCTAAGATTTTTTTTAAGTTTGTTTCATTTGGATATATACCATCATTTTTAAAACTAACATTTTTAAATCAATCAGTAGTGCATTATCAACCAAGAGGGATTGCATATTATTGCACATGAGGTAAACCGAAAAGACCACCTAGCTATTTAAATTAATTAGGGAGATAAGCTCTATATTCAGGAAAATATACATTAAATAAAAGATAAGAAAATACTAACCATGATCTTAAGGACATTCTAACGTATTCCCCTAAAAATACTAGATGCCACAATATTGATGAGAGGTAACTGTTAAAGTTCTTCTTTAAAAAATAATAATAATAAATGTTTGTAATGCTAAAGAATCACATATTTTAAAAATATTCCTTGCCATAAAACCTAACCTATTTACCAGGAAGTTATATTTGCTGCTTTTAGAAAACTGCATAACACTCTCGGCCGCGCGCAGTTGCTCACACCTGTAATCCCGGCACTTTGGGAGGCCGAGGGGGGTGGATCACTTGATTCAAGTCAGGGATTCAAGACCAGCCTGGCCAGCATGGTGAAACCCTGTCTCTACTAAAAATACAAAAGAAAATTAGCCGGGCATGGTGGCGGGAGCCTGTAATCCCAGCTACTCAGGAGGCTGAGGCATGAGAATTGCTTGAACCCGGCAGGCGGAGGTTGCAGTGAGCCGAGATCACACCATTGCACTCCAGCCTGGGAAACAGAGTGAGACTTCATCTAAAAACACACACACACACTCTCTATGAACATGAAAGAAAATCAGAGATACAATCTGGCTGTCAATATTTCTGATTGACAAAATTAAAGAATTAGAATATCACTAAGGCTATATAGCATTTAAAAATATTGTGATTGGGTGCGGTGGCTCACACCTGTAATCCCGGCACTTTGGGAGGCCGGGGTGGGTGGATCATGAGGTCAGGAGTTCGAGAGCAGCCTGCCCAACATGGGGAAACCTATCTCTACTAAAAATACAAAAAATTAGCTGGGCGTGCTAGCACACACCTGTAATCCCAGCTACTCAGGAGGCTGAGGCAGAAGAATTACTTGAACCTAGGAGGCGGAGGTTGCAGTGAGCCAAGATCGCACCATTGCAGTCCAGCCTGGGCAACAGAGCAAGACTCCATCTCATGAAAAAAAAAAAAAAAAGTGTTGCTTAATTATCAGTATATAAGGGCTTGTTAACATAGGTTATAAGTAAACACATTATTTATTAAACCAATAAGTATTAACTACTGATAATATGCTATACACTCGTCTATAGTTCAAACATGTCTCCTGTCCTCATGACACCTTCAGTATATTAAGGTGACTCTAATGTAAGCACAATGTAAACCTACATTAATGTTAACATTGGGCAGTGTTGTGAGAGCAACATGGTTGGAGGAATAGGCAAGACTCATGAAATAGATTCTTAGATAAAAAGTCTTTAAAGGAAGATTGTAAATTTAATGAGGAAATCTTGCTTTTTTAAACTGTTGCTATCTCTAATACCTAGAAGAGTGTTCAACACATAGTAAGGCTCAAAAACTACTGGAATCAATGGATATGTGAAAGAATAAATAATTGAAAACCAGCAGCAGGCAAGATGAAAATATATTTTACACAAACAGAACTGCTTATGTGTAAAGAACCCTCATGCAATATAATAAATTGAAGAAACCACTGTGTTAGCCATTTGCATGGCTATAAAGGAATACCTGAAGCTGGGTAATTTATAAAGAAAAGGTTTATTTAGCTCATGGTTCTGCAGGCTATATACAAATATTAGTACTCACATCTGCTTCTAGTGAAGGACTCAGGAAGCTTACAGTCATGGCGGAAGGTGAAGGAAGTTAGCATGCCATGTGGCAAGAGAGGGAGCAAGAACAGGAGAAAGTGGTGCCAGGCTCTTTTAAACAAATGGATCTCATGTAAACTACTAAAGAGATAACTCACTCATTACCATGAGCATGATATCAAGCCATCCATAAGGGATCTGCCCCATGACCCAGACATCTCCCATTAGGCCCACCTCCAACACTGGAGATTACATTTCAACATGAGATTTGGACAGGGCACACATCCAAATGATATCACTACTCACAGTATATTGTAACTTGAATTTAAATTACAATTGAAGAAGCAGAAGATGATATTAGAAAAGTCAATAAGAATGATATTATGAATGAACTTTTATATGCCTTACAAAAGTCTGAATTTTGAATGATATATTTTTATTTTAAAACCCAAAACTTATAAAACAGTATAGAGTAAAATCAGAATTAATAAAAACAAATCACAGAATTGAACCTATTATGAATAGCTTCCAATATGTAAAATGAAAAGTAGCACTTAGAAGAGGAAAAAGGGAATGCTTATACACTATTGGTGGGAATGTGAATTAGCACGATCTCTATGGAAAACATTATGCAGAATTTTCATAGAACTTAAAATAGAATTACACTTTGATCCAGGAATCCCACTACTGGGTATCTTACTAAAGGAAAATAAATCATTTTATCATAAAGATACCTGCCCTATATGTTTATTGCAGCACTATTCACAAAAGCATAGTTATGGAATCCACCTAAATGTCCTGAAATGGATGAGTGGATTAAAAGTGTGGTATATGTTAACCATGGAATATTACTCTGGTGTAAAAAAGAAACCATACATTTTTCAGCAACATGGATGCAACTGGAGGCCATTATCTTTAGTGTAATGACTCAGAAACAGAAAGTGAAAAACCACACATTCTCACTTATAAGTGGGAGTTAAACAATGGTTATACAAGAACACACAGAATAGAATGATGTGTGTTGATGGGACAGGGGCAAGGGATAAAAAATTACCTATTGGATACAAGGTAGGCTATTTGGGTGATAGTGACAATAAAAGCCTCAACTTCACCTCTACCCAATATATCCATGTAAGACAACTATGTTTGTACTTCTAAATGCATACAAATAAAAAGTTGTATTAAAAAAGCAAACAAAGGGGAAAAGCTCCACAACACTGGCATGGGCAATGATTTTTTGGAAAGAACCCCAAAAGCACAGGAAACAAAATCAAAAATAGACAATAGGATTGCATCAAACTAAAAAACTTCTGTACAGCAAAAGAAAAAAATTAAGAAAGTGAAGAGACAACTCAACTGGGAAAAATATTTGCAAATGGCATATCTGATAAGGGGTTAATATCCAAAATCTATAAGGAACTTAAGCAACTCAATAGCAGTAAAACAAACTGGTCAGATGGGTTATTTATATGTTTAAACCTAAACAAAAAAGAGAAACAGAGCAGGATGAGTAGTAAGATTTTAAATCAGTTCCTAAGTTAAAAAGTGGATATATGGACTGCCTCTCATTTCTTCTTTTTCATAGTTGATTTGCACAATTGGACTCCTTGAATTATATAAAGGGGAAAATCAAACAAATCAACTGAAATTTTTGTAACAGTTGGTTTTTTTTATTAATATCCTACTGTTTTGAATCTCAGGGTTCACAAGAAGTAGTAATTATTGTAGTTTGTGAGGTGTCCCAGAGGCAAAATAGACAAGAGAAATAGATGTGCTTAGATATTTTTTTCATTCAGGTAAAGAAGGAGTTTATTTTGGTGACAGTAGGCAAATTGGACTCATTCGAGTTTCTTATGTTTTTCATTCTTCAATTAATTTTTGCTTTGATTATTAAATTAGTCCTATATCTAGTTCCACTTTTATCTACCAAAGTGATATTAGACTTATTCCACCTATAATACTTTAAATTCTGACAAAAAGTCTAATGTGTTTTATGTATTAGTAATATGTTTCACTGCCCCAAACTACATTTCTGCTGACAGTGATAGGTTTAACTAAAATCCACTGGTGTGTCCACATATGCCTTTGCCACACTGATTATGGATGCACATTCATGCTTCTAAACTCTTAATTATTTTTTCCTTGTAATTGCTGTTTCAGCTTTTCAAGGGAATTTTATTCAAAGATCGATTGTAATGTTTACAGGTATGTTCTCTGATGCCCCCAGCTTAAGGTTCTGATTTATTGTCTTTGTAACCCATTAGGATGCAAACTTCACAAATGGGAAGAACAGAAGTCTTAATCACCATATTACTTGTAGTGCCTGGTGTTGGCTCCCAATAAATATTTTATTAGCTAAATGAATTCTTTCAAGAATAAATGAATACATGAACAATTAAATTAGTGTTTTCTTCCTTATGTAGGAATGAAAGCTTTAAAAATATTGATAAATCTGTAAATTTAAGATTATGATATAAACACAGAACGTCATTGCACCCTTGACAATTGGCTTAAATTTTTGACCAGTTATTTCTTTCTCATTAAAAAATGAGTTATTTAATTTATTTCTGCTATATTAAAAACTCTGCTATAAATGTTGAGCAAATATTCATACCCCCATCCCAGTAAAATCTCTATACTCACAACCCAAAACTTTTCTACAAAATTACTTGAAAATTTTTGAAAAACTGTATAAGAAAAGACCAACCAGGTGAACGGTTTAATTCAGGCATTTTCTAAACAATGGTATATTTTAATAACCTGAAGTAAAGAAGACCTAGTGCCTGTCAAAGATTTTTTTTGGTTTTGGTTCTTTTATTGCCAAGGCACTGGACAAAAAAGCACTTTTACCAATGGTCTAATTAACCATGAGCGTTCCTTACCTCTTAAAACCAATTCAGCTTTTGTTCCATCTACATTTGATTCATCTCCGGATGATGAGAGCAACAGAAAATTCAATTATGAAATATGGTAGTGTTTGAGAAAGGTGTACTAAATGTTCTTATCATAACCATTTTAATTTTTATTGCCATAACACAAAAGTATATAATAGATACACATTATATGTTTGAGAAAATGGCTTCATGGAATGAGTTAGGGAGGATTCCCTCCTCAATGTTTTTGAACAGTTCAAAGAATTGGTATTAGTTCCTTGTACTACTGGTAGAATTTGATTGTGAATCCATCTGGTACTGGGCTGTTTTTATTGTTTTTGGCTGGGAAGTTTTTAATTAACTGATTCAATTTCACTACTCATTATTGATCTGTTCAGGATTTCTATTTCTTCCTGGTTCATCCTGGGAGGTTCTATACTTCTAGAAATTTATCCATTTCTTGCAGGTTTTCTAGTTTGTGAGCGTAGAGATATTCATACTAGCCTCCAAAGATGTTTCGTCTTTCTGTGGTTTCAGTTGTAACGTCTCCTTTTTCATTTTGTACTGTGCTTAATCTTGTATCTTAAAACACGAAAACAAAAGAAAGACACACATAAAAAGAAAGACAAGAAAAACAGATTTAAATATTTTTCTAAAGTTTAGTTTTCTCTTGGATAAAAATGTGGTTAGAAAATAAAGGGTTTAGTGCATTCACATTGAACCATTTTAGTGTTTGCTATAAAATAATGATTCCAAATGAATGTTTTATTGTATTATTTATGCAACAATTTTATTTTTTACAACCTTTTGGAAATACTTGTATTATTTCCAGATGCCTAAATCCAGTTATAAATAGCATCCCATTAAAATAAAAATAAAGATTTCATATCTAACATATTAACACTCTACTTAATTAAAAAGCAATATGCCAGTACTGATATATAAATTGTTAAAATATCCGTACACCCAAAAATAATTAGGCTGTGTCATATGTTTTCAAAAAAACTTTATTACAAAACATCATTAAAGTTACATTTTTTTTCAAAGCAGGAACATTTGTCTTTTAAAAAATAAATAAATAAAAGGCAGCCTGAAAAAGAATTGCAGTTCTAATCCGCTCATAAACATTTGCCACTTCATAACACTATTCTAATTCTGTTATTTGGTTATATGCTTTATTGAAAAAAATAGAAATATTATTAGATTGAATTTCAAATATACTGATTTGTAGCACATAAGAGACATTTGTTATAGATGAGAAATTAATTTTGTTTATTGTCTCCCTCTTTAAAACTAATGTTTCTGAGGAAATTATATCTCCATTAAATTATTAATATCAAAAATTTTGTGCTTCTTGTTATGAGTTTCTATTGCTATCATTTTTAACTGAACTTGTATTATTCATATATTATATTAGGTAAAAACAATCTATCTAAGAAACAATAAAGCCGGAATAGAAGCTTCTAAACATTAGTATATTTTTGTTACTCTGACAAGTGTAGTGACTATCTCAATCTAAACCCTAAAAGGTATTTGACTTATGAAAAGGGAAAATCACTTTTTTCTCTTTTTCAGTTTGAGAAACCGGCAGCCAAAATTTTACTATGTGAATATACACGTCAGTAATTTCATCTTAGCATATATGTATCAAAATTAATAAAATTTTCATGAGCATTGAAATTTAAGAGATATGCATTCTAAAAAAGATACTTTTATTCATCTGATACAATACGTCATATTGAGAGGATTATGTATATTTTTGAAAATACAATCATTTTTGAATTTGTGTAATATTTCTTATTTTTACCTTAGCAACTAATAACCACAATATCTAAAATAGTAAGATTTGTTAATATTAAAATGTATATTATGTGGACTATATAATGTACTTATTAAGTATTTCTTCTATATCCATAGTTAAGTATGTAAATAAAATTTTGTGTGTTGTATTTATTACTTAGATCCCATTGAAAGGGAGTTTGTTAGAGCACAATGAATCATCAAGTTGTTCAGTTTTCACTAATTTTCTATATTATAGATTTTTTCTTCCAAAAGCATTTAAAAATATTAGCTGTGCATTCAAAGTATACACACAAAAACTAATTGAAATTATTTAATGCATTTAAAACTGCCATACCTTTTAACTAAATCTGGGAACAGTTAGTATAAATAATCACAAAAATAAGATTCTTTAAATTCATTCAACAAAACATAGTCACTCTATGGTAAAGAGTTAAACTGATTCCATTTCAGATAGATGTGAATGTTGTATTTCTCTCTCTCTCTATTTTTGATAGTATTATCAAGCTCACCTGTTTGCTGGTCCCTTCAACTACTCTGCAAATCACATTCAGAACACACATGCACACACACACACACACACACACACACACACATTTTTTTTTCAGGGAATAACTTAAGACTACTCTATGACTAACTTTAATAAAAGTGGAATAAACTTGAAACCAAATTTTTCAAAGAAAAAAAAGTACATGCTAATCTATCTATCTAAAATTTCAGTGCAACACTCCTGGACAAAATAGTAACTAAAAGTCTATCTTATATAGGATTGCAAGGTTGGTGATCATCTCTCAGCAAGTGAATATTCAACCTCTTTAATCTTTTTGCTGTCACGAGGAGAATCAGGAGTAACCTTAGTGTGGGGCACCATTAAGGCTAGAGGGGATTTCTTGATCTGACTGGCATGTGACCAGTAGAAGCTTTTGTGTGTATCAAATCTGTAGCTGAGTGCTGCTGGGACAGAGGAAGAACATGTTTGGATGGTGTTGTCATGAGTGGGGCATTGCCAGTCAGAGATCACTTGAACTGTTGGCTGTTAGTATACAAGAAAACTGAAAAAAGATATAAGTACATATTTGAGAAGTATGTATCTATGATATTTTATTAGTTCTCTCTTCTGCAATACTGAGCTAGATTTCTCAGTGTTGCAGAAGAGATCACTAATAAAACAAGAAGTGTAAAGTAAACCATGTGGCATTTAATAGTGTTTGGAAGGATAAGTCTAATCTCATCTAAGATAGATTAGTAGATAGATAGATAAATAATAGGTAGATGATAAAATAGGTAAGTTGATAAATAAAGATAGATTTTAGCATGTTCGTGTGCATGTGTGTATATGTATTCTCATTTTAGACATCTGTTTCATAAGTGCTGAAACAAACAATAATCCTCCAATATCTCTGAGCAAATCTAGTGTTTATATTCTGGATTTCAAATACCATTTTCTACAAAAGGGCACCAAGTCTCGTTGGATTTATGGGCTGGGGCATGGAGAATACAAGAAGATTCTGGAATATCTCCTATCTGAGAGTTAAGTAATACTCAAAGAATGATAGTAACACAATTCAATATATTTCCACTTAACACTTCAGAGTGTTTTGTGTGTGTGTGTGTGTGTGTGTGTGTGTGTATTGGTGTGTGTGTATGAGACAGAGAGAGAGAAAGATGGCAATCTGATTTTAAAATTTCTAGGTTAAAGCTAATCTTAATTAAACCTTACAAACAAATATATCTCATTTTAATCAGTTGGAGTATAAGGTAAGATTTTCATAAATCTTGTATAAATTTTTATAATTTTATATTAGAGAGCCATCTATGACAAACCCATAACCAACATTATACTGAATAGGCAAAAGCTGGAAGCATTCCCCCTGAGAACTAGAACAAGATAAAAGTGCTTATTATCTCCAGTCTTATTCAACATAGCACTGGAAATCCTACTCAGAGCAATTAGGAAAGAGAAAGAAACAAAGTGCATCCAATAGGAAAAGAAGTCAACTTATCTTTTGTCACTGATTATATGATTCAATACCTAGAAAACCCTAAAGACTTTGTTAAAAATCTCCTGGATCAGATTAATGACTTTTGTAAAGTTTCAGGACACAAAATTAATGTACAAACATCAATAGCATTTCTTTTTTTTTTTTTTTTTTGCTTCAACTTTTATTTTAAGTTCAGGGGTACTTCTGCAGGATGTGCAGATTTGTTACGTAGGTAAACATGTACTATAGTGGTTTGCTACACAGACCATACCATCACCTAGGTATTAAGCCCAGCATCCATTAGTTATTCTTCCTGATGCTTTCTCTCCCAACCCTGCCCCAACAGGCCCCAGTGTGTGTTGTTCCCCGCTGTGTGTCCATGTGTTCTCATTATTCAACTCTCCCTTTTATGTGAGAACATGTGATGTTTGGTTTTCTGTTCCTATGTTAGTTTGCTGAGGATAATGGCTTCCAGCTCCATCCATGTCCCTGCAAAGGACATGATCTCATTTCTTTTTATGGCTGCATAATATTCCATGGTGTATATATAGCACATTTTCTTTATCCAGTCTCTTATTGATGGGCATTTAGGTTGATTTCATGTCTTTGCTATTGAGAATAGAAAGGCTACTGATTAAACTACATAACTTAATCAATGGCATTTTTATATACCAATTAGGTTCAAGCTGAGAGCCAAATCAAGATCACAATTACATTTACAATAGACACACAAAAATAAAATATTTAGGTATATATCTAACTAAGGAGATAAAATGTCAGCATGGTGCTGACATCTGTTTGGCTTCTGGTGAGAATATCAGAGATCTTTTTCTCATGGCAGAAGGTGATGGAACCAGCATGTCACATGGTGAAAGTGGGAGCAAAGGAGAGAAGAGGAAGTGCCACATATTTAAAACAACCAGATATTATGTGAACTTATAGCAAGAAGGCACACATTACCACGGGAAGGGCAGCAAGCCATTAATGAGGGATCCATCCCAATGACCCAAATACCTCCCACCCTGTCCCACCCACTTCCAACACTGGGGATTACATTTCAACAAGAGATCTGGAGGGGCAAATATCCAAAGCATATCATATGTGGAATCTAAAAAATTTGAGTTTATGGAAGCAGAGTAAAATGGTGTGTGGTGGTGAGGGTGGAAGTAGGGGAAATGTTGGTTGAAAGACACGAAATGTCAGTTAGACAGGAGAATAAGTTCAACAGATCTATTAAACAACATGGTAACTATATTTAATAACAATATATGGCACACTTGAAAATCATTAATAGAGTAGATTGTAAGTGTTCTCACCTCAAAAAAAAGATCAGTATGTGAAGTAATGCATATGTTGAATATTTCAATTAGCCATACAATATGTACATATTTGAAAACATGGTATGCATGATAAATACATACAATTATTATTTCTCAATTAAAATTAAATTTAAAAAAGTAAAATAAAATAAAATTTATGTGATAAAATTACAAATAATCTTAGGGGCAAAGATGAGGAATTACCTTGCATATATCTATATTTGTATAAACCCTTCTCAACATCGGTCTTGGCAACGAATTTATTGCTTATTCCTTAAAATCAATTGCAACCAAAGCAAAAATTGACAAGTGGGACCTAACTAAATAAAAGACTTTCTGCACAGAAAAAAAAATTTTATATAGATAGATAGATAGATAGATAGATAGATAGATAGATAGATATCTCAACAGACTAAACAGACAACTCACAGAATGGGAGAAAATATTTGCAAACCATGACCCTGACAAAGATCTAATACCCAGGATCTATAAGGAATTTAAACAAATCAACAGGAAAAAAGAAATAACTCCATTAAAAACTGGGCACAGGACATGAACAGACACTTCTCAAAGAAGACATACAAGCAGCCAATAAAACATGGGGAAAAAGCTCCACATCACTAACATTAGAGAAATAGAAATCAAAACAACAGGCCGAGATGGGCGGATCACCTGAAGTCAGGAGTTCGAGGCCAGCCTGGCCAACATGGTGAAACCCCGTCTCTACTAAAAATACAAAAATTAGCCAGGCGTGTTGGCAGGTTCCTGTAATCCAGCTTCTTGGGAGGCTGAGGCAGGAAAATCACTTGAATCCAGGAGGCGGAGGTTGCAGTGAGCTGAGATCATGCCATTGCACTCCAGCCTGGGGGACAAGAGCGAGACCGTCTCAAAAAAAAAAAAAAAAAAAGAAATCCAAACAACAATGAGATACCATTTCACACCAGCCAGAATGGCTTTTAAATAAAAAAATCAAAACAAAACAGAATAAACAAAACAAAACAAGAAAAAACAGATGTTGAAGGAGTTGTGGAGGAAAGGGAACACTTGTACACTGTTGGTGAGAATGTAAATTAGTTCAGCCACTTGGAAAGCACTTTGGAGATTTCTCAAAGACATGAGTTAAACTACTATTCAACCCAGGAATTTTATTCCTGAGTATATATCCTAAGGACAATAAATTATTCTACCAAAAAGGCACATGCTCTGTTCATTGCAGCACTATTCATGATAGCAATGACATGGAACCAACACAGATGCCCATCAGCAGTGGATTGGATTTAAAAAGTGTTGTTCATATACACCATGGAATACTATGCAGCCATAGAAAGGAAAACATGTCCTTCACAGCAACATGTATTCATCTTGAGGCCATTATCCTAAGCAAAGTAATGCAGAAACAGAAAACCAAACACCAGGTGTTCTCACTTATAAGGGAGACCTAAACATTGAGTACACATGGACACAAAGAAGGAAACAACAGACATCAGGGCCTACTTGAGGGTGGAGGGTGGGAAGAAGAATGAGGATTAAATACCCATTGGCTACTCTGCTCACTTCCTGAGTGATGTGTTCAATCATACCTCAAACCTCAGTATTACACAATATATCCATAAAACAAACCTGCGTGTGTATCCCCTGGATCTAAAATAAAAGCCATAGAGGATAAAAAAAAAATGAAGCAATGAAAATTAGGACTGAGATTTGCCAAGGAATTGAATAATGGACTAATGAAGCAAAATAGACTCTAAAAGATTCCATATATATGGATCCTTGGTGTAAGTCATGGATGGTAGGAGCAGCAGGGATGGATTATGTTTAGCTTTGAATATCTATTGAAAAAAAAGTGTGTTTTGTACTTTTCAATAAGAACAAAAATTATTTCCATGTAGGATTAGACCTCAATATTGATGACAAAAAGAATTAAAGATAGAACATGACAAAGGAAACTATTTTACTGAACTTTCAGTTGTCGACTACTCTTAAACGCACCATAAATACAATATTCGTATAGAAAAAAATGATAAATTGGAGTAAATTAAAATTAGAAACTTTTGTTAAACAAAACATACCATTAACACAGTGAAAATATACATGTAATGTAAGAAAGGATGTCCTGAATACATATGATAACTAAGCAAACATTTTAAGAAAAATAACTTAAACAAATAAATAATTAAAAGAGACAAAATAGGAAATAATACCACACAAATGACTTACTTGGACATTTCAAGAAGAGGTTATTCAAAAGCCCCCCCCAGGAAGCATATAAATATTCAACTTTTGTTTTCATCAAAATTTCATCAAAATAATAAACAGTTAAGTTACTAAAAGATTCTACTACATTCATAATAGAATGTATGAATTATTACTGAATTTAAAATTTATGACTAAAACTAAAAATACATTTAACACTACCAAGTGTGGACTAGGATATGAAACAATGGAGCTATTATTTTCAGTGAAATATAATATAAATAGAATTATGAATGTAATATAAAATATAACATAAATTTGTAAAGTTGTACATTCTGTTTACAAGAGTGTTTGCCATATTAAAGATGAACTATTCATAAACATATGCATAACATATGCATAAACTATGACCATTAACTTCACTCCTACATACATGCCTGAGATACAAATGCACATATGTATCAGAAGTTGCACGGAAAAATGATAATAGTTATGTTGCAATTGTACAACCATATCAGTATTTCAAATTTCCATCAACAGAAGAATGATGTGTAAATCATAGCATATTCCTAAAATGGAAAATGTATAAATGAAGGAAAATTAGCAACTACTACTTCAAAAACATAGATTAATCTTTCATATTGAACAATATAAGCCAAGTAAAAAAAGTACATACTGTATGATTCCATTCAAAACGTTGGAAACACGCAAAATGAATTTATGATGACAGAAGTCATGACCTTCTGGCGTGAAAACTATGGTCTTGAAGGTATGGATTACGGGAAGGACAACTGGGATATTGCTCATAATCTGTTTTTGGATCTGAGTGGCAAGTTAGCAAGTTAGAATTTCTGCTTTTTCTGGTGACTGTGATATACTTCAAAAAGAGTAATCATGCATTAATACAGTTTTGTATGATTAGTTACCCACCTATTTGGAAGAAAAAAAGTCTGTGGTGGAATCAGTTAAAAATAATGTGGGTTTTAAACTCATCAAATATTTAAAATGGGGAGTGAAATTAAAAAAACATAAAATTATGTGTAACTAGTTCTCTTTAAAACTCTTAAATAAGGCAAGAATTAAATGACATAGAACATTAGAATTATTGCCATCGTTTTCATGAGCCTCTCTCTTATTCTCTCATCTTATGTGTACTATATAACTTTTAAAGAAATAATAACTAAAACATCATAATTTCAGCTTAATTATTTTACTATATGATATTAAGATATTATATTATTACAATATTTGAAATAATAGGCAAAGGTTTTCACAAGCTAAAGTGTAATAGTTACCTCACAGGGTATTTAAAATGCAGATTCTTTATTCTTATGCTTAAAGCTTTCTTGATTATGTTGTGGTAGTTGATTTGCAAATTGCATTGTGAGAAATGTTATTCTTGATACCGTATATTACTATGAAGTGAACACCTAGTATTTATGTAGTATGTTTACTAATTAAGTTGTTAGATATGTTGAATAAATGAGTTATTCAGTTAGATATTTACCAACCAGATCAGTAATATACTTGATAAATCGACTTCACCAAATGTTTGTCAGGCTTCTCTCCTCTCCACGGACTCCCAAACCATATATAGATTATTATTGATAATCTATGTAAAGTGGATGCTTATCTGTATATTGCATTGTTCTAAAGAAATTTAGGGGTCATTCAACAAATAAGAATTATCTGGAATACTGACAACATGAATAGTAATAATAATATAATTGTAACTATTAAAATGTTATTAACTGAATATATAATTTATGTTGTTTACTTCTTATTTATGGTTTTCATAATAACTGTTTAGTTAAATGTTGACATCTACATTTTGCACAGTGAAAAACTGAGGTTCCTTTATTTATGTGTTGGTGAGAAATAGTGCACGTATTTAGCCTTTTTCCAATATTTAGTACTTGCCATTCTAGGTAATGAAGAGAACTTGGAATGTATCCAGATGTTCTTTTATAAAATGTATTGAATAATGATTTTTTTCAAAACTTAACCTTTACAATCAACAAAAAAATTTAATCTCCAACTTTAGATATAAATGGTATATTAATGCCTTAAGAGAAAATAAGATTTATTAGTATGAAATATTCATCTCTATAAGTTAGTCTTACTTTTTCTTATTAGTGTTTATATTTTATTCTACATAAAGCATGGATTACAGTTTCTTAGTTTAGGTACTAAAACTTATGAGAAATTTCAAAATGGTCTTAAGCATTAGAACATACGATGCATGAGAAATAAGCTGTTTTGTTTCTCTTTTTTCCCTTCAATTAGATTTCCTATTTGCAGTTTCTTTCCTAAACATTATGACCTAATGGCTTTATTGGGAAATTTATCTTAGTACATTCTGAGAAAGTTCCCTCCCTTCCTTCCTTCCTTCCTTCCTTTTCTCTCTGTCTCATGTTTCTGTGAAAGAAACTGTGATATAGAAGAATTTATTGGTATCCTCATTGATTTGACAAGATATGTAACTAGTGAGATGTATATAAATATAGATATATCTATATATATATTTTTATTTTTTTGAAATGGAGTTCAGCTCTTGTTGCTCAGGCTGGAGTGCAGTGGTGCCATCTCTGCTCACTACAACTTCTGCCTACTGGGTTCAAGCAATTCTCCATCCTCAGCCTCCCGAGAAGCTGGGATTACAGGCACCCGACACCGCCCCCAGTCAATTTTTGTATTTTTAGTAGAGACAGGGTTTCACCATTTTGGCCAGGCTGCTCTCGAGCTACTGACCTCAGGTGATCCACCTGCCTTGGCCTCCCAAAGACTAGTCATATTTTTAAGGCTAAATAACATTTAGTTATTAAATCATGTCTGTATAGTTAAAGAAAATATGTATTTTTAAAAATCATTGTGCGAGTACTATATTCTGTGTGAGTAAAATGAGGCAATAATGACAGTTCTGTGAATTAGAGCTTCGTTTGTGGAAAATACTTTTTTCTAATATTTTAAATGCTTTTCACTTTCTATTTTGTATAGCTCAATTAATCACATGTAATTGTAGTATTTCAGATTTTTGGAAATAATTATGCCTTTATATAATATTTTATAAAAGTTGCTGAATAATCATATCAAACAAGTATTATTGAAACAAACTAATTACATTCAAACATGTATGTTTATGCATGAGTAATATTTAATGAAATATACATTAAGTATAAAAGAAAACATGATGTTATAAGTTATTACAATATTTTTATTTTAAATATAAATTTAGAAGAACATGAGTTCACATGCTATATATTTCATGTTTATAAAAATTACATTATATTAAGAAATGTACAATATTTTTCTTTATTGATTTATTTTTCTAAAGCTAGACATTTTTAGTGAATGCCTTGAAAAAATTAATATTTATCTGTCTTTTCTTTATGTTATTGTCTATGCATTCCTTTGAAGGACATTTTCAATGTATATTAATTTGTTTATTAAATCACTTACTCATTGATTCAATAACTTAACCTAGCTGGTGGGACTAAAATTTTATTTTGTCTAAAATGATTTCTTGCATACATATTAAAGATAGTATTTTTATCCTATAATTTTTCTATTAATATTTAAATCTGATTATTCTGTCCTGCCTTTTCCAATACAGAGAAATCTTTTATTTATTAAGAAAATAGTTATCAGAATGGATCCTCTCACTACCATGCTAATTCTCTCTTCCATTTATTGCTAAAAGTGAAGTAAAATAACACATGCCCATGTAAACACTTGTACATGAATATCCAGGCTAGAATTATTTGTAATATTGAAAATATTATAAGTGTTTATCAACTACAAATTAATAAGCTTGATATGGCATATTCATGCTTTGGAATACATTTCATAAATTAAAAGGAGCAGACTATAGATATATCCCAAAACAAATGAATATCAAGAGAGTTACTTTCCGGTTAATTGAAAGAAGACTAACACAAAAGGCTACATTTTAGATGATCCCATTTTTAGAAAATTTCTAGAAAAGACACAACTATGGAGACAGAAAATAGAATAGAGATTGCCTTGGGCTTCTGATATAGTGATAGATTGTAGTGATAGATTGCACAAGGTGAAGGACTAATGTTTTAGGGTAAGTGAAGTGTTCTAAGCCTAGACTCTGATGATGAGTGTGCAACTACATGTACTTACTAAAATTTATAGACCAGTATACTTATAATGGGTGAATTTTATTGTATATATGGATTTTCATCATAAAAACTGTATGTAAATAAATGAAACAAGAAAATAAAATGTGGCCATATCAAAAGGGCACAGAGGCCAGCTAGTAGTTGTCCCTAGCCAATCTAGGAAAATGTGATCATTAGTTTAAATATTCATAACAACAGATTATAAAGTATTAAATAGAAGAGTAAACTATGATTTTTATCAGTCCATTATGACAAGTAAATCAATGAATATATTGATATAGAATGGTATTTTTATAATTTCAAAGTACACATACCCAATAATTATTAATAGCAAACAAAAAATGTAATTTCATAGTCAAAATATTTGGCAGACAAAATCTTAACTATGTGATCCAAATGAACATTATTAGCAATGGGACAAATAAAAAACATGTGCCACCTGATAGTCTGCAATGAGAAGACCATTGCATCAAGTCTGTGAGATTCTTGTCAGAGATGCAATACCTGCACCTAATTTTATGTGGAAACATCAGACACACCACCATTATTGAAAGTCCTAGAAAAAATATTGTTCTGTAGTTTTTAACATTGTCAATTCATAAAATGCTAAGGGAAGACTTGAACAGTTCCAAACTAAGTATATATGACAACTGAATAAAAAATGATGTAGAACTAGTTCATGCTCTACAGGACAATATCAGGACAATTGGCAGAGTTTGCATGTGATCTTGGTATTAGAATAAAATGATGCATCAATGTGAATTTCATGAATTTTTTGGCTATATAGTGATTACGTATGAGAAATATTTGTAAGAAACAAAAACTGAAGCATTCTGGGGTAATAGAGCAACATGTTGGCAACTTTCACTCAAATTGTTCAAAAATATTTTTGTGCTTTATTGTAACTTGTCTGTACATTTGAATCCACTTCAACATTTTAAAATGATGATATATTATTTTAAAATCTATACTAAATAAATATTTTTAAAAATTTTATAATTGATAAAAAATAAAAATTCTAAGGAAGTATGGTGTGATAGGTATTTAACTGTGTTGGAGTTCTTAAGGGTAGCTAAATCAATAATGTATTTTTTAATTGATGGCATCTTATATTTCACAAAATATATAAATAAAAAACATTGTAATAGTCAAACCCAAATGCATTAGGAGTTGACTGAAATTAACAGAGTTAGAGCAAAAGAAGCCAAGGAAATCCGGAGAGATTACAGTAGAGAACATTTAACTCTAGAACATAGAGTGTATCATTGAGAATATAACTTTTTATTAGAAAGACTTGTAAGAAAAAAATGTAATAATGTCAAATACAAGAAAATAATTTCTCAAACTTAAAATCCAAGGAATTTCTTTTTAATGATTAATGTCTTTTTGTACAATGCTACTTCTTAAATATTGAATGTTTGGGAACTGAGCACTCATAGTTTCATTTTCTTCTTGAGAAACAGCAAGCCACAACTCAAGATAGGTCTCACACTATGAATTCAGAACAGAAATTTGTTGTTAGTCTTTGAGATCATCTCAAGAAGAAAAGAATTAGTTCAAAAGACTTTTCTTACAGAGTGATTCAAGCTGTTTCTACACATTAAAAAGTGTATTTATAAAACCCGAACACTTCCTAATAAGTGTTCAATTTCATTTTATAAAATTGCACACTAGGTGAAAGTTAAGGTATCAACACAAGATTTTTGTTCACCTAAAAACTCATTTATACTATGGTTCTACATAGCAGTCCAAATATGCTAAAAAAAACTGAATTGAAGGTAATTATTTTATCCAAATATTTACCTATAATATTAACAAATAGCCTATTTACAACTTATAAATTGTTTTGATAGTGTGGATTCTGAAACTTACCCCCAAATGTCATATCTCTTTGCCCAGGAAAAGAGTCTCTCTATAAAATAGGTTCCGTTAAGAAAGAAAGCCTCCCACTTTGCGCCAAATTCGTTTGTGTTTTATTTTGCTGAAACATTTAGCAGTGCCTGCTAAGATGAAGAAACATATTTGTACCTGTACAAAGATTGAAATAGTCAATTTTTCAATAGCCTAACTACCCAGTCTTGAATCAAATATTTTACTTGTGATCTGCACATATGAAAGATACATCTGTTAAGATTTTTAACAGGCAGTTGGAAATTCTTCTTGTCAGAGCATAAGGCCATTATATTATATAATGCAACATAATGGCATAATGCCTAAGAGGATGAAACACCAGTTTCTGGCCAAACATTTAAAGAGACATATGCTTATGTTCAGATTACTAAATTGCTAAGTAGGGTCCTGGACAGACCATACCAGACAAAATGAAGATGCAAATAGGGAGTGAAAGTTTCATCAGTATACCAACATATTTTCCGGGTGATGAAGGTTTGTTGTTCTTGTCATAGAGTAATGAACAGGTGTAGTGGAATCTGAATCTGAAATAAGAACATCTCTGGAAAAATACAGTAAATTGTACTTACCAACTTGTATGATGTGTGTAGAGAATAGTAAATGAAGAGGTTTGTAAAATAACTAATCTGAAGAGCTTTATAAAAATGCATATAAACAAATGTCATTTAAGATTTCTCAAAGTAATTTTAAATACGTTAGCATTTTTATCTTGATATTAGATCTGCAAACTAAATATAACAGATTGCATATAGTTAATAATTATACAGCAAATGAAGCTAGATTCCAAATAGTTTAACTGGTCTCATAATAAATTTGCAACAGTTGCAAGTTTCATTAAGATCTCAGGATTTTAACATTGAGTACCACGGTATTATTATTATTAGTTATTACTATACATTTAAATATTATGTGTGTTTGTGTTTACACCCAGAGATAGAAATTTGTAGAATAACAATATTTTATGACATTGGTACTTATATATGGTATGTATAGCCATATATTTGACAAATATATGGCTCAGACGTGCTTTTTATTTTTTTAAGGCCAACAATTATCACTACTGAGAGATAAAATATCTGAATTCTGCAATATATGATTATTTTCTCTGAAATATATTAATATTAAATGATTTTAAAAAGAACATTTTTTTCATTTAACTAAGATCTGTAGTGATATTTGAATCAAGATATTTAATTTAATTTAACATTTTCCCCAAGAAATTGTTTTCTCAACTTTAAGCCTAACAGTGAATTTTCAGAAGAAAATTCCCAAAGTAAAAATTGTTGCCAGAGTTTTGTACAAAAATTTCTTTAAAAATGTGGAATGATTGTTCCATGTTTTTGAAAGCAGCAGGTTAAATTACATAACAGATGTAATACACTAGGTGTATATAGCATCCTTACAATAATGTGAATTTTCCAGTTCTAGCTTCTGGTTAAATACTTAAGTTATTCTCAATTTTCCAAGAAGAATTAAATACATTTATTTATTTACAGCTTTCAAATGTATTTCCTTAGTCTTGGGCAGTAACAGAGGAAATATATTAGTTCAATTTTTTTCTGAAACAATTTCATTTTCAGTTTTCTTGGATCTTTTATATGTTAGTATTTCACCATCAGTTCATGAATATATTACTGCATTAAAATACAATTACACATGTAGAATGCTCTATAGAAAAAAAAAAACTTTGGTAACTTTGACTTTTTTACTGCAACACTCTGACAAGTGAAAGGCAAGCTCCTCTGTATGAAAGGAGTCATTGATTATTCCTTCCCTTCTCTGTTTCCTTATGTACCCTTTATCTTTCACATATGTTTATAAAGTGAAATCAAGCATTACCCTAGGGATACTGATCCGAAAGATCTAAGATATTTACTGCTTTCATAGATTAACAAAGCATTGTGAAGACAGACATAAAGTCAATTCAGAGCAGGTGCAACCCTCAGAGGGAAGGCTTATTCAGTAAATATTTACTGAATGGCTATTGTATGTCATTAACTGTTTTAGGCTTCAGAGATTCAAAGACCATACCTCAAAGAGTTCAGGGAAGAGTGGAGGAGACAGACAGGTAAACAGATAATCTTTGCTGATAGTAACATTATGGCAATTTTTTTTCAGTTCCAAATATAAAACTTCTTTCTCTCTTTAAAACATCCTTGAGAATACAGGAAAATCAAAGTCTGGCAACAGCACTGAATGTTTGCTTTTGCCTGGAGAAGTTTTCTACTAAAAGAATGATAGAAAGGTTGAATTTGGAATACAGTCTTGATTACTCATTGCATGGTATATGTTTAACCACAACAGGCAGATAGTGCCAAGAGAGGTTTGACATAATTGCTTCCACCAAGTATCTGTACATAAATCCAGAGTGCAGAGGCTGCAATAATGAAAACAAAACCAAAAACACTTATTTCTTATGATAAGCATAGAAAAGAAAAGCAACAGGAAGATTTCTACCTAAAATGAAAGAAGAAATATATTTTGAGCTGGTCAGAGACAGAATTGTGAACTCAATCCCTATTACCCTCTACTGTGGTACAAATGTTCAAAGAAAAGTTTTTCCAACATGAAAAACTGTAAACAACAGAGGGCAGCAGGTTAAAAATTGAGGAGGGGGTTCATAAATTGTGCATAATTGTTTAAAGAATGGCCTCAGAAGTGAAGTGTTTGCTCTATGGCAGCAGGTCTCAATTTCATATGCCATCAGGAACCACAAATGTAACATAACCCTGATAACAAAGTTAGAAGTAATGATAACTAACAATTTAGCTTCTAAGAAGAAACACACAGGAAATGGATAGATCTGTGTAGATCTGGAAGTGCAAACCCCTATCTAGACTGGAAACAACTATTACTGAATTAAAAACCATTACATTGCCAAACAAATATACAAACATGTAACTGATACATAATCCCATTTTCAACAAATTGTTTGTTGTTAACTTAGTTTATTAACCTGTTTGCTTATAAGCAAGTACATAAAGTTCCCCTAATAATTTTAGGAAGAACATAACAGTATTTCACTATAAGCAAACAATAAAGTAATGACTTTGTTGAATCCTAGGCATAATTATTTAATTACTTTTTGTTTTAGGCTTTATTGAAGCCTAAAACAAACAAAAAGTATTCTTGGTCTGGCACAAGAATAATAAATTGGGACTTCATAAAAATAATATCATTATCTGTCATGCACACTATGATGAACTTTATATACTATATATTCTATGTTGTAGATCATCTTTATGATATTGTAGGTATTATATACAGTTTATATGTTACTCATCATGCTATTATACAAATATGTTGTATAATATCACATGCTATATAATAAAATAGCATATGATGTAACACAAACATTAAATATAAAGCATTACATTTTATAAATATGTATTGTATTAAATTCATATAACAAACTCTCATAATGTATTCTTATTTATCAAATTATATCACAGATTATAAATGATGTATTCTATATTCTAGAGTAGAAACTGGAAAGCTATGAGCAAATATGGCTTATTACCTGTTATTATAAATTTTTATTGGACTATACACACACCCATTCATTTATGTATTGTCAATGCCTGTTTTCATGTTACAAAGACATGTTAGTTAGTTGCAGAACAGACTATATGGCCTGAAGATATAAAATATTTGCTACAGTCCTTTACAGCAAAAGTTTGCCAGGCCCTGTTGTAGAGTATGAATATGTATTACATATTACTGTCTATCATCTATTTATCCATTCATTAATCTATCCCCTGCATATTATATTAATGTAATATTAGGGTGTGATATATTTATCATTGAAAAATATAACATCATAATTATTATTAATATATTTATTTATTTATGGCACCATTATTTCCCAAATGTTTTACTGTGGAAAAACAAAAACAAAATCAGAATCTTTTTTTCCGACATTGTTAAGTCCAGTATTACCTTCTAAATTCCAGGCTCAAAAGTAAAGAAATAAATTATGTCTACCACCCTGCTTAAAATCTTTTAGTCTTTCCTTTGCGCTTAAAAAGAATTGATATTTTAATATTAAAGTAAATCAGGCACAGAAAAACAATACGTCTCACTTATATGTGCCGTGTGAAAAGTGAATTTAAACTGAGAAACAGAGAATAAAATGGTGGCTACTGGAGGCTAAGGGAACGGGAGAATTGGAGAAATGTTGGTCAAAGGACACAACATTTTAGTTAGAGGAGAAATCAGTTCAGGAGATCTACTGTAAATCGTAGAAACTAGAGTTAATAGCAATATATTGCATATTTGAAAATTGCGGAGAGAGTAGATGATAATAAGGTAAATATACGTATGTGAGATAATGCATATGCTGAATGGCTTGATTTGGTCATTCCACAGTGGTTTGCATCTATCCAGACATCATTTTGTACTCTATAAATGTGTATAATTTGTACTTGCTAATCAAAACTAAATACATAAATAATAAATTCTTTTTCTGTAATTACTTGTTTAAATGATATTTTGATACAGTGGGTTAAATAAAATACATTACAATATTTTGAAAAAATCAATATACTTTCTTCTGCTTGCAATCCTCTACTTTCTAGCTTCCTCAATGCTACCCTCATATTGTCGGTTCCCTGACACCATTTTTCATTCATGTGAAATTCCTTTCTTCTCTCTTCATGGAATACTCTTCCTTCAACTTTCCCATGACCAAATCTCCTTGCAATTTAGGTCTCAGCAAAATACCATTTTCTTAGAGACTTTCTTTGTCTATCCAGTTTGAGGTATGTGTTTTTGTTTACGAGTTTACTTTATAATTTATTTTCCCCCAACACTGAAGCGAAAGTTACATGGAATTACAGATTGTGTCACCCTTATTCTCTGCTATATCAACAGTAAAAGGATAGATGGCTGCTCCTTACTGTGTAAAAACTCTGTTTTATAGAAAAACATACAACATAATATTGGATACTAATATGTAAATATATATTCCTAACCATCCAATTATTATTAATAATTTGGCAAATTAATAATAAAATAATTTAATAACTTATTTAACATTTTCTATATTTACAAAAGTTTATTCTGTACATTTTGAAATATCAGCTTTATATTTGTATTTATATTTCATATGTCAAAAGTGACATTTAGATTTCTTTCTTCAGAAAGTTTAAAAGTCTAGTATATTTTTGCTAATTTAGATATCTGTTATTTTTTCTTCACAGTGGAAATAAATAACATTTAATAAGGGTATAGTTTTGGGGAGGGGTAACCATTTTTGTAGCCATAAGACTATTCTTTTGGGGTGGGATTAACTTCTTTTCTGCTTATATAGGTAATGTTATACATTTTATCTTTAAAGGGGTGAATTTCTATAACTCATCCTCATGCATTAACTTGTTCCTAAAAACCTGCATAATAAAATTTCAGTTTCTAGTAAATCTCAGTAAAGTTTTATATCATATATACATTTTTATTTTCACATTTAAGCACCATGGGAATAGGGCCACATCAATATGTTCTCTCTTACTTTCCAGTGTCCAGCTATAAGCTGAGGCACAGTACACTCTTAAAAAATATTTTTGTATGTATGAAAAAATTTGTATCTATTTCTTTATTTTTTCTCATTTTTAATATCCTTTGTCTTCTATTATGCTCTTCATAACTATCTCAGACTAATGAATTATATCACTTGTTATGGTTAATTTTATTTATAAATTTGACTGGACCATGAGGTACTGATATGCTTTGGCTGTGTATCCCCACCCAAATCTCATATCCAATTATAATCCCCAGTGTTGGGGAGGGATCTAGTGGGAGGTGATTGGATCATGGAGTCAGATTTCTGCCTTGCTGTTCTTGTGATAGTGAGTGACTTCTTATGAGATCTGGTTGTTTAAAAGTGTATGACACTTCCCCCTTCACTCTCTTTCTCCTGCTGCAGCCATATAGAATGTGCTTGCTTCCCCTTCGCCTTCTGCCATGATTGTAAGTTTCCTGAGGCCTCCCAGCCGTGCTTCCTATACAACCTGTGGAACTGAGTCAATTAAACCTGTTTTCTTCATAAATTATTCAGTCTCAGGAAGTTCTTTATAGTAATGTGAGAATAGAATAATAGAGAAAGTTGGTACCAGAGAGGTATGGCTTTGCTATAAAGAGACCTGAAAATATGGAAGCAGCTTTGGAACTGGGTAACAGGCAGAGGTTGGAAGGCATTGGAGGGCTCAGAAGAAAACAGGAAGATGAGGGAAAGTTTGGAACTTCTGAGAGACTTATTAAATGGTTGTGACCAAAATACTGATAGTGAATTGAACAAGTGAAGTCCAGGCTGAGGTGTTCTCAGATAGTGATGAGGAACTTATGGAGAACAAGAGTAAAGGTCACTCTTGTTATGCTTTAGCAAAAAGACTGGTGGCATTGTGCCCTTGCTCATGTGTGTCTGCAAAGACATTGTCTGAAATGGGAAATTATTTAAAAGAAAACAGAGAATAAAAGTTTGGAAAATGTGCAACATGACCATGTGATAGAAAAGTAAAACCCATTTTTCTATGGAGGAATTCAAGGCTGAGGAAATTTACATAAGTACAAAGAAGCTGAATGTTAATAGCCAACACAATGGAGAAAATAACTCCAAGCCATTTCAGAGTCCTTCATGACACCCATTCCCATCACAGACCCAGAGGCCTAGGAGGGAAAAATGGTTTTGTCAGCCAGGCCCAGGGCCCTGCTTCTCTTCTCAGCCTCAGAAAATGGTGACTCATGTCCCAGCTGCTTCAGCTCCAGACATGGCTAAAAGGGGTCAAGGTACAGCTTGCGCTATGGCTTCAGGAGGTGCAAGCTCCAACCCTTGGTGGCTTCCATGTGGTGTTGGACCTGAAGGTGTGCAGAAGGCAAGAGTTGAGGTTTGAGAGCCTTCGTGTAGATTTCAGAGGATGTATGGAAACTCCTGAATGTCCAGGCAGAAGTCTGCTGCAGGGCAGAGTCCTTATGGATAACCTCTACCAGGGCAATGCAAAGGGAAACTGTGGGGTTAGAGCCCCTACACAGAGTCCCCACTGGGGCAATGCCTAGTGGAGCTGTTGAAGAGGGCCACTATCCTCCAGACACTAGAATGGTAGATCCACTGACAGCTTGCACCATGCACCTGGAAAAGCCACAGGCATTCAATGTCACACTGTGAAAGCAGGCACAGGGGCTGTATCCTGCAGAGCCACAGGGGTGGAGCTACCCAAGGTCTTAGGAACCCACCCCTTAATATCAGTGTGGCTTGGATGTAATACAGAGTCAAAGAAGATTATTTTGGAGCTTTAAGATTTAATGACTGCCCTGCTGGGTGTTGGCCTTGCATACAGCCTGTAGCCCCTTTATTTTGGCTTCTTTCTGCCTTTAGCAACAGGTTTATTTACCCAATGCCTGTACCTGCATTGTATCTTAGAAGTAACTAACTTTTTTGATTTTACAGGTTCATGGGCAGAAGGGATTTGCCTTGTCTCAGATGAGACTTTGGACTTGGACTTTTGAGATAATGTTGGAAAGTGTTAAGACTTTGGAAACTGTTGGGAAGGCATACTTGGTTTTGAAATGTGAGAATGTCATATAATTTGGGAGGGGCCAGGGGCAGAATAATACGTTTTGGCTCTGCGTCCCCATCCAAATCTCATGTTGAATTGTAATCTGCAATGTTGGGGGATGATCTGGTGGGAGGTGACTGGATCATGGTGGCAGACTTCCTCTTGCTGTTCTCATAATAGTGAGTGAGTTCTCATGATGTCTGGTTGTTTAAAAATGTATAGCACTCCCCCCCTTCGCTCTCTCTCTCCCACTGCACCAAGCACCATGTGAAGAAGGTGCTTGCTTCCCCTTTGCCCTTCCACCACAATTGTAAGATTCCTGAAGACCTCTTCAGCCAGCTTCCTGTACAGCCTGTGGAATTGTGAGTCAATTAAACCTTTTTCTTCATAAATTACCCAGTCTCATGTAGTTCTTTATAGCAGTGTGTATTAGTCCGTTTTCACACTGCTGATAAAGATATGCCTGAGACCGGACAATTTACAAAAAAAAAAAAAAAAAAAAGTCTATTGGACTTACAGTTTCACATGGCTGGGGAGTCCTCACAATCATAGTGGAATTGGAAAGGCACGTCTCAAATGATGGCAAACAAGAGAAGAGAACTTGTGTAGGGAAACTCCCATTTCTAAAACCATCATACCTCATGAGACTTACTATCATGAGAACAGCATAGGAAAGACCTGCCCCCATGTTTCAATTACCTCCCACTGGGTCCCTTCCATAACTCATGGGAATTCAAGAGGAGATTTGGGTGGGGACACAGCCAAAAAATATCATTCCACCCCTGATCCCTCCTAAATCTCATGTCCTCACATTTCAAAACCAATCATGCCTTCCCAACCATCCCCCAAAGTCTTAACTCATTTCAACATTAACTCTCAAGTCCGCAGTACAAAGTCTCATCTAAGACAAATCAAGTCCCTTCCACCTCTGAGCCTATAAAATCAAAAGTAAGTTACTTACTTCCTAGATACAATGAGAGTAAAGGCATTGGGTAAATACAGCCATTCCAAATGGGAGAAATTGGCCAAAATGAAGGGGTTATAGACCGCTTGCAAGTCCAAAATCCAGTGGGGCAGTCAAATCTTAAAGTTCCAAAATGATCTCCTTTGACTCCATGTCTCACATCCAGTCACACTAATGCAAGAGGTGAGTTCCCATGGTCTTCAGCAACTCTGCCCCAGTGGCTTTGGAGAGTACAGCCTCCCTCCTGGCTGCCTTCACAGGCTGGCATTGAGTGTCTGTGGTTTTTCCGGGTACATGATGCAAGCTCTCAGTGGATCTACCATTCTGGGGTCTGGTGGATGTTTGGCCTCTTCTCACAGCTCCACTAGATGGTGTCCCAGTAAGGACTTTGTGTGGAAGCTCTCACCCCACTTTTTGTTTCTGCATTGCCCTGACAGAGGTTCTCCATGAGGGCCCTGACCCTGCAGCAAACATCTGCCTGGGCATCCAGGCATGTGTATATATCTCTGAAATCTAGGCAGAGTTTCCCAAACCTCAATTTTTGACTTCTGTATACTCACATGCTCAACATCATGTGGAAGCTGCCAAGGCTTGGGTCTTGCCCCCTCTGAAACCATGGCCTGAGCTCTACATTGACCTCTTTCAGCCATGGCTGGATCGGTGGGAAACAGGGCACCCAAGTCACTGGGCTGCACAAATTCCTGCCTGTGCCTCTAGGCCTGAGATGGGAGGCCTGTGATGGGAGGGGCTGCCTTGAAGACCTCTGACATGCAGCCACATGGAGATATTTCCCCCATTGTTTTGGGGATTAACATTTGGCTCCTCGTTACTTATACAAATTTCTGCAGTCAGCTTGAATTTCTCCTCAGAAAATAGGATTTCCTTTTTTATGGCATTATCAGGCTGCAAATTTTTCAAACTTTTATGCTCTGCTTCCCTTATAATATGGAATGCCTTTAACAGCACCCAAGTCAAATCCTGAATGCTTTGCTGTTTAGAGATTTCTTCCATCACACACCCTAAATCATCTCTCTCAAGTTCAAAGTTTCACAAATTTCTAGGGCAAGAACAAAATGCTGCCAGTCTCTTTGTTAAAACATAACAAGAGTCACCTTTGCTCCATTTCCCAACAAGTTCCTCATTTCTATCTGAGACCACCTCAGACTGGACTTTATTGTCCATATCACTGTCAGCATTTTGGGCAAAGCCATTTGACAAGTCTCTAGGAAGTTCCAAACTTTCTCACATTTTCTTGTCTTCTTCTGAGCCCTCCAAGCTGTTCCAACCTCTGCCTGTTACCCGGTTCCAAAGTAGCTTCTACATTTTCGGGTATCTTTACAGCTGTGCCCCACTCTACTGCTACCAACTTACTGTATTAGTCCATTTTCAGACTGCTGATAAAGATATACCCAAGACTGCACAATTTATAAAAGAAAGGTTTATTGGACTTACTGTTCCACATAGCTGGGGAGGCCTCACAATCATGGAGGAAGGTGAAAGGCATGTCTCACATGGTGGCAGACAAGAGAATAGCCCTTGTGCAGAGAAACGCCTCTTTTTCAAACCATCAGATTTCATGAGACTTATTCACTTATTTACTATTATGAGAACAGCACAGAAAAGACCTGCCCTCATGATTCAATTACCTCCCATCAGGCGCCTCCCACAACACGTGGGAATTCAAGATGAAATTTGGTTGGGGACACAGCCAAACCCTATCACAGTGTGAGAATGGACTAATAATATAAGTACCTATATATTTAAACAATGTTTGATTGTCAGAAAGGGTGTTTTGTATGAAATTAATATTTGAATTGGTAGACTGAGTAAAGCAGATTGCCATGTTTAATGTGGGTGGGCCTCATCCAATCTACTGAAGTCCTAAATAGAACAAAAAGCTGAGTAAAGAAGAATTCTCCCTCTCTGTGGTATTGTCTTCAAAGTGGGACATTAGTCTTCTCTTGCCTTCAGACTCCGAATACTATTTGAACTTAGATCAAGAATTCTTGTTCTCAGGCTTTTGGACTCACATTGGAACTACACCATTAACCCTTTTTGGTCTCCAGTTGGCCAGCTGTAGCTCTTCAGATCTTGGGATTTCTTAGCTTTCATAATCACATAATCCAATTATATATCACATATATCCAATATATAATATATAAATATTATAGCTTTCATAATCACACAATCCAATATATAATTTATCACACATATATGATTATATTAATATTTATATTTGTAATACATAATTATTTAATTATATAATCTACTATTTTATAGATATCAATATCTAATATATAATTAATCTATGAATTTTGTTTTTCTTGAGGACTCTAAAACATTGCTAATTTGAATATCCACCATATCAAGTGAATACTTGACTGCCAGCATTGTGAGTTTTATATCTATTACAGTTCTTTTGGTTTTCTGCCTTCCCTTCTCCTAAAGAAGTGAAGTCCTTTACTTTTATATAAGTACACACTTTTAGCCATTCATCTTTTTATATGATGCACTATTATTTTATACATGCAAGCCTTCTTATTCCAACTATTTCACAATTAAAATTTCTGAATGATGTGTCTATACCTTATATCACATCACTCCTGTAGGCTTCTTTTTTTATTCTTTATGGGAATTCTTTCATTGGTACTGGAAAACATTTCATAATTCCCCTGATTTGTTTACTCATCATGTTAGTATTAGATATCACTCTAGGCTCATCACCTATCAACAGGCAGTTTATCTATTCTCAGTGTCCACTTCAGCTTAATTAGAGTCTTTCTCTTAGAAATAAGAAGAAGGGAAGGAAGTCATTCACAATTCATGGCCTGATTTCTAGGACTTATCAAAAATTCACTTATTTTGGCTTTAATAGATTGAGATACTTTTTCCCACATCATCCTCCAGTAAGCTTACAGAAAGCACGAATACCCTAGAAAAATAAGACAATTCGATTAAAAAAAGAGATAAACATTTAAAAAGTACATATTTTAATCTCTAGATTTTTTTTTCCCATGGTAACTTCTTTTTCTGACTTCACAGCAAGACATTTTAGATACTTGATCTGAGTTTATAGTTACCGAAAGATGAGGAAATCTCTTCAGTAAACAGCACCTTTGCAGAGTAGTATGGTTCACAAATTTCTTGAGTATCAGGTTTGGTAAAAGGTCAGAACCTGATTAAATATAGTTTCAGACAAGATACTAGTTTTTTTAAATAAAATATTTTCATTTATCACAAATTATTTCAATCCAGCGTGCTAATTATATTTCTTGTTAGTAAAAAAAAAAAATACTCCATTTTTGGTGCTTTTTTCACTTAAAATAAGGGAAATCAAGCCATAACTATATATACATATATACATACATATATATATATGTTCATGACAAACTTTGGGGTAGATGTAGTTATGATCTTTTAGACATCATAAACTGAGACTCAAATATTTATCTAAGATGCTCAAAAGAATTGACCACATGGATTTTTTTAATCTAGACTTTTAGACTCCTAAGTAGGCACATTTTCAATTAGCATATATTATTTATATATTTTCTTACCTTTTATTTTGTATATTCTGAGAAGGAATATGGAGGAATGTAATTGTTTTAATAGATATTAGAAAGATTAATTAAAGCCCTCACAGTTAAAAAATGCAAAGTTTTCTATATTACCTATGAACTGAAAATGCATGTTCTAATTTCAACTCTATTTTATTGCAACAAAATAACTTGTTTTCTGGTAAATATATTTTATTCTCCGTTTACATGCAAGTCCTGCCTTCTTTTCTTGACTTTCCTTGATATTATGTCTCATAGCCCTTATTAGTACCTTTCACATGGATCTACCTTTAATTTCTGGATTTAATAAAATTCAGAATAGGAAAAATAAATGTGAATTAAATCCTGCTATTATTGAACATGATGCTTTAGGCAGAAGGAAAGATGGTAATATGATTGGGCTGTGTCCCTACCCAAATCTCACCTTGAATTGTAATAATCCCCATGTGTCAAGGATAGGGCCAGGTGGAGATAGTTGAATCATGAGGGCAGTTTATCACATACTGTTCTTATGGTAGTGAATAAGTCTCACAAAATCCGATGGTTTCAGAAGTAGAAACTCCCCTGCACAAGCTCTCTTGCCTGCCACCATGTAAGACGTGACTTTGCTCCTCATTCACCTTCCACCATTATTGTGAGGCCTCCCCAGCCATGTGGAACTATGCCATTAAACCTCTTTTATAAATTATCCAGTCTTGGTTGTGTCTTTATTAGCAGTGTAACAGCAGACTAATACAGATGGCATATGTAAAATATCTTAAAAGATGGATGGAAACATTATATGATATTTGGAGTATAAAATTATATAAGTACTTACTGCAAAGACTATATAATTAAGAATAAATGATTAATTTTCTGAAAATTGAATTATATAATTAGCATATGATGAAATAAAACAGAGAAAACATTAACATAAGATGACATACAACAGAGAAAACATAAAGCTAAAATTGGATTCTTGTGCAGCCAGAATTGATTACATTCATATTAAGTCCTCTTCATCTGTCTTAATAATGTATCACAAAGAGCAAAAAAAAAAAAAAAAAAATGACAAGATTATATGTTATTTGTCAACCAATAAGTAATTTCAAAATGGGGCTTACAAAGGTAAAAAAGTGTTAGCATCCACGCAAGCTTTGTACATGGAGTAGGCCAATATACCATCCATTATTGTGCAAATTTATATAACATGATATCTTGGTCTCTGTCATAAACATTTAACAACATAACTTTCTTTTTTCTAATTTTATGTTCAAAAAGCAAACTGACAAGATGCATGGCCTGCCTGGCTTTAGAGTGAGGTGGTATAAGAAGTCAGACGGGAGCTGATATTAAGAGCAGTCAGTGAAAAAAAAGCTTATAAACATAAAAATGTTAAATTGTATGTATGTATAGATACATGTATCAATATGGATGTACATATTTCAATTTTAATTTATTCAATACACTTAGTGAAGTACACATAGTTTATTCTACAGTCTATTAAAAAATATGAAACTGAGCATTAATAATTGGCCTTGTATGAAAAGCATTCTCAATTTCATGATTAGTTTGTTTTTAATGAAGCATTTCAACTAATTTAATATTAAAATATGCCATTCATAAATCCCCTATGAATCCTAAAAGAAAAACTTAATCCAGTGACTGAGCTATTAATAGAGGAAAATTACTTCTTGCAGTAACAATCATGCATTGGTTGTGAGGAATATTGATAATAAAATAAACTCTTCTTTAACTTTAGTTTCTTAATTATGATAATGGTACTGCAGAAGGAAATGCCCAAAGAATTTTTAAAATTAAGAAAAAATTAGAGTCACCATTTCCATGGACAATTACAAACCATGCTTTAATAATTTTCTGACTTGTTAATTTTTAACCAAATTTGCTGGCTTTGAGAATCTCCATTTTATTGTGATTGATACATATTTTTGGCAATGCAAATTTCCTAGAGCATCTCTAGGGAAATAGAATTGAAAACTCCATAAATATCATGTCTTATTAAATACTAGCAACATAAGCATGATCACTCCCATCCTGTACAACTTAGGGACACAGAATTAGAAGACCATTGCAACTCACATTTCAAAAATTACATATTTCATTTTTAAAACAGATCTAGAAGACAACTTGGCTGCCGGAATGTAAAGACTAGGAAAAAAAGGCCGAAATGAGTTTGTGTTAGATTTATAATAAACAGATATTAGGCAATTAAAAAAAAAACCTATGGTGTGTTTATGTCCCTCTTTTCATTTATCAACTCTTCTAAGGGCCTATCATGTGTAAGTCACCATGAGAAGTCTTTCATCTCAATTGTTATAGTTGAGTGTAGGAGGGAAGACATAAAAATGAATGATTGCAGCTAGAGATAACGTAAATTCCTTGCTAGAGCTAGAGGTATTTCTGGTAACCTAGATGTTAATAAATTGGGATAATACTTACTAAATTAATATGTCTGTCTTTGGAGTCCAGTTGATTTGGCAAAATAAAGGATATTAAAAGCATGAAAAAGTTTATTTTACTGCTTCAAACCCATCACATACAATGGAAAAGTATAAAAGATGGCAGAGAGGAAGCACAAACAAACGAAATGTTAACATTCACACAGAAAAACTGGGGCAACAACAGTCTCATTACTGCCAAATTATGTGAAATCTGAATCCCAAAGGAAAGACTAAAGCCTTCACATTAATTTAATGTGTGCCTTGGTGAAATGACATCATAAAGTGTAACTGGAAGCATACAGTTTCTATTGTGTTTATTACATCCACGAGCTGTATAATTATCTAGCATCATTTGCATCAGTAATATTAAATTAGCTGTAATCCATTAGTCATCATACAGCCAGTCTAGATCTGTTTGTGCTCTCTCATTCCTGCAATTTCCAAACAATTATATACATTTTTGAGGTAATGAGTGAGCAGATGGATCAGTTTCTATTTTTAGAGTGGATCTTCCCAATCCCTCTCCTTCATGCACTGTAGCAGGATAGGGACACACTGAAGTTTTCTACTTATAAAAGATTGAAGCCACATGGGGACTCATCATCAAACCAAATAACCAAATAATCCTTTCCACTCAGCAATCTATGGAATTAGCAATATGGTTTCAGGTAGATTCTTCCTAAAACTATATGACAATCATGATTCACCAGGCTTCTACTAACCATTTCTCTATAAAAGGTCTTCACTCTTTAATAGGATATCCTCTGCATTCTGTAATCAACCAGCCATGGCTTCTACCTACCTGTATAGTTGTTTGAGTAGTCAATTTTTTTTAAGTAAGTGATTTCATGAGTTAATCTAATATCTGCCCATTTAGTCAAGAAGCTTAAGAAGGCTTCTAGAGGAGAATTTTTCTCGAGTTGCCCCAGCCTTTAGTTTTAGAGGTCTACTTTTAACAGGACTGTTAACAAAAGCCATTTTCTTATGTACTTTCTGTCTTGCATTTTGTCCAGTTAGACATCTCTGCCAGGTGTAGATGTATTTCTTCCAAGTTCCTTTCATGAGATGTACCTCAGGGTCAAGCCTTTTGCCACACTGTATGGGTGATGAGTAGGCAGTCCTTCTGGAATCAAATACTCATCATATTCCTTTTTATTCCCTCTTTTGTCTGCCAAAAAAGGGCTTTTGTCATTATGATCTGTGCATCTGAAAGACAATATTGCTTACAATGCTTATCTGAGACAGCACAGAAGCAGTTGATCACTGTGGACTCAGGATTCGAAGATTTTACTTACTAGGAAGCTCTACCGTAGAGGTGAAGGAGACACTGGAAAAGCCAGGCAAGACAAGTTCAAGACTTCCAAAGTTGTTGGATGGGTTCCTTGCAGCCAAAATAGGAAGTGCTCTGGCCCAGATTCACATCCAAGACTCCAAGAAATGCAAATGCTCACTGAGCTTGCACAAGTAGAGCTGCTTGGGCCATGACATATCTCTGTTTTATACTCAGAAGAGTTCCTCAGATAGTTCCATAGCTTATGTGACAATATCCAAGGAGCCATGCTCCATAAATCGATGGATCCCAGGGTCAGAAAAACCCACTACTTGCCATTTTCTTTCCATACAGGGCAATCATTAATAGCTGCCACAGAGCCTCCCAGAGAGATGGAGAAAGATGACAACCAAGAACACATAATATGCAGAATTTCATAAATTTTGAAAGCTAAAATAATGTATTATTTAAAGAGTAGAATACCTCCCAAATTTTGAAATATAGATTATTAAAAATCAATAAAAGGATATAATTAAATATTTTATATTAGCATATAGAATGCAGAACACTTAGAGTGGCTCTTTAAATAAAATATTGAAAGATTTATCAAAAAAACATATTCACACATCTTATGACTGTTACAAAACATGTAAAGAACATGGAAGTGATTTTTTGAGGACAATTAAAAGAAACATTTTTCTTGAGTCAAGATGTAAAAGTATTTGACAAAATGATAATGGTAATAATGATTGTTATTCAATAAATTTACTTACTGAACACATTATTATTAATAATTCTGTTGTGTAGATAGCACTTAGTACATGCCAAGTACTGTGTGAAGATTTCTTCTTCTCTCTGTTTCTCTCTCTATATACACATACATACACAAATATACATATATAAACATATATATATATCTCCAAATACTTATCAGATGACTAACAAAATGTCATATGCTTATATATTATATTCATACTAATCTGTATTAATTTAATACAAATATTAATATAAGTATTAGTCACTGGAGAAGTATTAATATAAGTATTAGTCCTCAGATAAGTATCAAATACAGAGATATAGGTATACAAATTATGAAATCCTACTAGTCATCAGAGAAGTATTTAGAGACCTATTTTTCAAAGGCAAAATAGCTTGCTCTTAGTCACAGGTGGTAAACTAGACCCCATCTAGTAGAAACTAGACCCCATAATCCAAAATCAGTCCTGCCAATTTTTCTTTTTCAATGCACTGACAGGAAATTGGATAGTAATATCATAGGATCAAATTTATGTTAGCTGCAAAAATGTCTGACAGTAAATTTCTCTTTTTCTAATCTTTGAATAACTGTGTAATGTTGAGTTAAGATTATATAGAAGATTAAATATTTATGATAATTCCTTGATGAAGTCAATGAAAGGTGAGCCTGGGGTTTCCCTGTGAAATGAGTATTAATGAATAATACAATTTCTGTTCTATATATATTTTTTAGAAACTTTTTGTTTATTCTTTTATGAGATTTGGTAAATGTTATGTTTTGAGAAGTTTATTCCATTTAATCTTAATTGTCAAATATGTTAATATAAAGTCACAATTTCTACAAAGTCAGTGCTTATGTCCTTTTTATAAATGTATGATACTAATAGTTTGATATTTATTTTCTTTTTTAATCTTTTTTAGTAGATTTCAAGGAATTCTTTTTTTGTTTTTTGTTTGTGATTTTTACTGAGAATTAAGTTTTTATATTTAGTGTTCATCCTGTGAGAGTAATATGTCTTTCGTCCTTGTGGAAGCTGTTAAAATTTCATCCGTAATTTCCTCCCATTTTAGCAGTATGAGCTTATGTGTGTCCGTGTGTGTGTGTGTGTGTGTGTGTTTTAGTTTGTTTAGTGTTTGGAGTTTGGTAGAAATACCAAAATTGTTAGAAATACATAATTGGTGCCGCAAAGAAAAGTCAGCACAGAGACAAAAGATCTCTAAGTAAGGCAATCTTTACTTTCTGCAAAAAAGGTGCTCAATCACAGATGGAACAATGGCGAGAGCACACTTCAACAAAGGAAAAGCACCTGTATTTATTCCTTACGCATTTGGGTTGTCCTTACTGCTGTGTCCTGCATCCATTGACTGGAGCTGGACCTCACAATGTTAAACTGATACCCGATTTGCTAATAACCTAAAACTTCCCTAAATAGGTAAGTGCAAGGAAGAACAAAGAAGGAGAGGAAGTTGCTTACAAAAGGTTTAAGGAAGCAATAACATTTCCAAAATAAGGAAAGGGCATAAGCTATGAGCCAAGACTTGCCTAGGCCTATCCAGACATGCCTGAGTAAGCCAAAGCAACTAACTGGGCTAAAGTGTAAGAACTAATAGTTGATAGGAGGCTTTAGAGTAAGAAGCTATTATTTCTAGTGTCTATTATTTTTAAACCAAGACAAGCTTTGAAGAGGAACTTTTGTACTTTCTACAGAGTTTCTTCCACATCTTTAATCTTTATGTTATATCATTCCTATGTTATGGGAAAATGTTGTACATAAATCTTCAAATATTGCTTTGTCCACACTTTCTTTTTTCTGCTTCCAGACTTAAATTACATCTATGTCACAAATTTTGAGCTGGTTTTTCCAACACTTAAATATATTTTTCCTTTATTTTATTTTTTATATTTTATTCATTTCTGTCCGTGGCCTCTGATCTCCTATTCTGCTTTATACAATCTGTTCCTTCATTTTAGATGCTTCCTGTTATTTTAACATTATAAATACTTGTAATGGCCTGAATATTAGCTAGCAAATTGAACACTACTTATTTGATTCTGATTCTTATTATTCTCCTACAAAGATAAAAGAAAGAAATCAAAGTCAGTATTAAAAAATAAGTAAACCGACAAAAACACTAATGACAAACTGATGTGTATGACAATTGAAAAAGAAATGGGAAGTTATTGCTGTGTAGTATACTGAAAAAAAGGAATCTACCTGAATCTTAAGAGTCATGGTTTAAGTATTTTCATACAAATAATAAGAACTCTTATACTAGGTAAGTTATTTTCACTCTCTAGGCCACTATTTATAAACTGAATTAAGTTATCTGTATCTGACACCATAGGGGGTAGATTTATATACTCAGTGTTGACTACAAAAACAACTATTTTTTTCATTTTGAAAAATGATTATGCTTTTCTAATATAACTTGGAATTTTATTCAATGTTTTAATCACAAATAAGCCAACTTTAGCATTTCTTAATGTTTAGAGCAATAAAAACTCTTCCTCTTCATCATACTATATGCTTTAATGAAATAAAATTATTAGTCTTAAAGGGTGTATTTATATATAAACAATAGAATTCACATATTTTACAGGGCAAATGCTATTTTCAGAATAAAAAAATTAAACTCTAGTTTATTATGTGAAGCAAATGAAACCCTCGTGCATTGGCCACTGAGAAAGAAAAATGGAAAATAGTTTGTTAGTTTTTTATAAATTGAAGAATGAACTTTCAAAATGATCCACCAATCCCATTATTGGGTATTTTTTCTATGGGAATAAAAACTTGGGTGCACATAGCTATTATAATTGTTTATAATAGCACTATTTATAATTGCCAAAACTGGACACAAGTCAAAAGACCCTCAGTGGGTGAAAGGATAAAGAAACTGTGTTACATCCATGCAATGAGGTATTAACCAACAAAAATGATGAATACATGACTTATATGTGTACCCAGTTGGATGTATATCAGAGGATTATGATGAACAAAATAGACCAGTTTCAAGAGATTTCATATTCTATGACGTCATTTATATCCTATTTTTTAAAAGATAAAATTATAGTGTAGGAGAACTATACAGTGCTCAAGATCGGTGGTTTCCAGAAGTTAGAGTAAGAGAATGGTAAAACTAAAAAGGAGTAGCAAGAAGTTACCACTTTTCTCAATCTGCAAGATAATGTCTAATGCCTTTTTCCTGAATTTCAGCTCTACATTCCTAATTAAGATTGTTTTAGATTTAAAAGAAAAATATAAGTACAACCAGATTTTCTAGCACATCTTGCTTAAATCATTATTTACTTATTGAACTTTTGGTTTTAAGTTCAGGGATATGTGTGCAGGTTTGTTACATAGGTAAATTTGTGTCATGGGGATTCGTTGTACACATTATTTCATCACCCAAGTATTAAGCCTAGTACCCATTAGTTATTTTTCCTGATCCTCTCCCTCCTCTCACCCTCCACCTTACGATAGGTGTTGTTCCCCTCTCTTTGTCTATGTATTTTCAAAATTTAGCTCCCACTTATCAGTGAGAACATGTCATATTTTGTTTTCTGTTCCTGTGTTAGTTTGCTAAGAATAATGGTCTCCAGTACCATCCATGTTCTTGCAAAGGACATGATCTCATTCCTTTTTATGGATGAAAGAAAGTATCAACAGAGTAAACAGGCAACCTACAGAATGGGAGAAAATTCTTGCAAACTATGCATCCAACAAAGGTCTTATATCCAACATCTATAAGAAGTTTAAAGAAATATAAAAGAAACAAAAACAACCTCATTTAAGAAGTGGGCAAAGAACACAGACAGACACTTTTCAAAAGAAGCATGTGGCCAAAAATCATACTTAAAAAAAGCTCAACATTGCTGGTTATTAGAGAAATGCAAATCAAAACCACAATGAGATACCATCTCACACCAGTCAGAATGGCTTCTCTTAGAAAGTCAAAAAATAACAGATGCTGGCAAGGTTGTGGAGAAAAAGGAATGCTCATATACTGTTGGTGGGGGCGTAAATTAGTTCAACCATTGTGGAAGACAATGTGGTGATTCCTCAAAGACCTAAAGACAGAAATGCCATTCAACCAAGCAATCCCATTACTGGATATGTATCCAAAGGAATATAAATTATTCTATCATAAAGACACATGAACACATATGTTCACGTCAGCACTATTCACAATATGAATGACGTGAAATCAGCCTAACTGTCCAGCAATGACAAACTGGATCCAGATAATGTGATACATACACATCATGGAATACTAACACTTTCCTCCACTACACTTTCTACCAAAGTATATTTTAATGTCAGATATTTCATTTTCCTCTCTGGGTGATAATAAATCAGGGAACAAAAAATACACTTTGAAAATTAAAAGAAAAAAAAAAGGAAAACAAATCTAAAATTAAAACAAGACGTAAAGCAATCCACAAAGCTTTGCTTTATGGCATTTTTATCTAGGCCTGCTATATATCCTGTATGAAAACTGTATCCTAACCATTCAAGCTGATATTAAAGGGATTTTAAAGGTGATTTATAGGTAAAAATAACATAAAATAAAGGACCGTCAAAGAGAAATTTAACTGGACATTTGTTTAAAAAGCATAAGACATTTTATCCAGGCTACTGCAGTAGGGGAAAGAATCTTTCACATGGACTGAACTGAATTCTGGAAAAAACGGTGGAGATTTTTCCAGCCCTGTGGTAAGCTGCTAGAAAAGCACTGGAGAACGTCAGGAGAAAAGATTTTCAATGTGATTAGACCATCTATGTTTGCTAATTGACTAACTGACACTATTCAAAAGTAGGCTCCACCCCTCTCACAGAGATAAAGAAAAAAAAAAGCACTATCTTTTTCGATAATTACATTTCAAAGGGATGGTTCCTACAGAGAGATATTCCTGGGTTGTAAAACTGTCAAGAGTTTGGGAAGATTTACAACACAAAAGAGCAGAGAACAAATTTACAATTGCAAGTCTTTTAAAGGAAATTAAGAAAATGGGGGCTAGAGGCCTATCTACAAGGCAAAAAGTTTAGTCAAGATGAGGGGAGCATGCTGCCTGCTCATAGAAGTTATAAGGAACGTTCCCAAGATATCTGAGATGTTACACAGATCCGAGTTGCACATTACCATGTCTGTTATATAAAGGTAAACAAAATATTTTTCTTGATCAACTAGATTAGAAGCTATCTTTTGTTTTGTTCCCTTCTTTCCTGCCTACCTGCAGGATGTTGTTTTCTTTTCTGGATTGTTGTGTTTTGCTTTTGTTTTTGATGATTCCTTTAGACTTTCAACAAGATCATAGGGACACTGGGTTTCCAGTTTTAACTCAAAAACCTATAAGAGGACTTGATTTACAGTATTGCTTTCTCTCTAAAGTTTATATAATTTGACATTTGTTTTCACAGTTTCTCTTTTAAATACTATTTTTGTTCTATTTTATGTGCTATCTCTATGCAATATCTCAAAAATGAGTTTATATATATAATCTTATATGTTGAGAGGCAAATGTTCAGTTTACTCCTATAGTTTTAAAGCTACCCATTTGTATGTGTCTGAAAAATGCGTGAAAAAGCATGTGACAGGCACAAAGCTGAGCTCTTCCCATGCTCAATTAAATTCATTACAAAAATAAGGATTGAAGCTTAGGATGTCATATGCCTTGCACAAAGTCACCCAGGCAGTGAGGGGCTGAAATAAGGAATAGAATCAACATCTGAAAGCTACCGAATCCTGTATTCTAACTTTATTATTTTAGTTTTTTTGAGACACATATCAGATCCCCTAGGTAATATTTGATGCTTTATTATTTTAGATACTCATGGTTTTTTCTTGTTGTTGTTGTTGTTGTTGTTGTTGTTTTTTAGCAATGCATAGAGACTTGAATAAGGCCAAGTGATATCAGTTTGCTATTTTACTTTTACTTTTGGGGGCTGCACTTCAGAAATTTGGAGGCACTTGGAATGCGGGTCCTTGGCTTCAGAGTAGTTTATAAGATGCAGTCTAAGACTAACTACTTGAAGGAAATCAACACTAGAGAACTGGACTGTGTACCATTGAATCAGCATGACAGAAACATAACCTATGATCATGTTGTAAAACTGATGGACTGGCAGAAAAAGATGGAAATAGGCAATGCCAAAATAGGGCCAAATAGTTTAAATAGAAGGAACTTCACAAGAGTAATATCCAAATAAATTGGAAACAGAGATAAATGTATGGATCAAGTAACACTGTTTTGTTTTTACCTATATGTGTTGGTCTTTTACATATATTTGGTACATTCCTGTAACCCTAACATGAAATTTTCTACGAGATCCTGTTTGTGTGCACATAAATTTGTACTTATCAACATAATCTTCAGAAAGTACACAAAAAATGTATAACTCTATAATCTATTTACACCAACAAATATTGAATGATCCTTTTCTTTTCTTTTTGAGACGGAGTTTCACTCTTTTTGCCTAGTCTGGAGTGCAATGGCGTGATCTCGGCTCACCGCAACCTCCGCCTCCAGGGTTCAAGTTATTCTCTTGCCTCAGCCTCCTGAGTAGCTGGGACTACAGGCATGTGCCACCACGCCCAGCTAATTTTGTATTTTTAGTAGAGACGGGGTTTCTCCATGTTGGTCAGGCTCGTCTCGAACTCCTGACTTCAGGTGATCTGCCTGCCTCGGCTTCCCAAAGTGCTGGGATTACAGGCGTGAGCCACTGCGGCCGGCTATGATCCCTTTCAATTAAAATGGCTGATATGGTTAGGCTTTGTGTCCGCAGTGAAATTGCATCTTGAATTGGAATCCACAGATGTTGAGGGAGAGACCTGGTAGGAGGTGACTGGATCATGGGGGCAGTTTCCCTCATGATGTTCTCCTGATAGTGAGGGAATTCTCATGAGAGCTGATGGTTTTCTAAATGGCAGTTTCCCCTGGCTTTTTATTTTCTCTCTTTCTCTCTCTCTCTCTCTGTCTCTCTCTCTCTCTCTCTGTCTCTCACTTCCCACCATGTAAGATGTGCCTGCTTCCCCTTTCACCATGATTGTAAGTTTCCTGAGGCCTTCCCAGCCATGCGAAACTGTGAGTCAATTGAGCCTTTTTCCTTTATAAATTATTCAGTCTCCAATAGTGTCTTTATAGCAGTGTGTAAACAGACTAATACAATGGCATTCTTAGTTGTAAAAGTAAAGATATGTGCAGGGCTTTTTGTTGTTTTAGTGTTTACTTACAATTCCTAATAAAGTATAGAGTAACATAGCTTCATAAAAACATTGCTGTATGCATCACCTTACCTTTCTTCAACTAATTTTATTCTGAATCTTACTTTTTCACTTGTATCACTTAACGAACTGTTCATATTTCTCCACATCCAATTTAAATACACTTAATAATGAATTCATACACATTTTAATGTAACATAACATTAACTAGATTTTCTAGAGAAGATTTTTTTTGCTGTGTATTTAAAAGTATTCTGAGAAGCCATTAACTGTTTAAGGTGACTTTAAAATATAATTTAGAATGAGAAAGCAAATAAGAAAAAAGAAATATTAAATATACCAAAACAGTTGCTACAGATAAATGCAGACATTTAAATATAAGTTGTCATATTAACATTTTTACTTTCAATATTTTTATTAGTGCTTTTGCCTTGATACTATTTAATATTCGGGAATTAATTTAATGACACTAAATTTAAAAATATCATCAGCATTATCTTTTATTGGAATTGAAGATAATTTATTGTAAAATATTTAAGAAATTAAAATGTGGCATATATAGTTCACAAATACTAGGCTGAAAATAATATATTAAAAAGAGAAAGACATATGTGAAAGACAATTTTGGAAGATTAAGTGAATTAGAAAGTGATTGCACATAAATACATAAGAATTTTCTAAAGTATTTTTGAACTTTAATATACATGTGCTTTAATAATGCTTTTGGAAAATTTGGTATTCAATATATTAAGTTCCTATTATTATAAGACTGACCTCATAATTATTTTCTAATGAACATTCATTTTTTATTTACTTTCTTACATTGTTACCTAATAAAATTTTAGTTGCATGCCATAGTAAATCATAATTTCGGAAACATGTTATATTTCTAGTCTCAAAAATGTGCTTGCTTATTGACTTTTTTGTCTTATTAATAACATTTGTTTAATTCATAATGTTATGTAACAATAGTTTTATTGTTACTAACAGAATAGAAATTTAGTGCAGTATAAAACAATGTAAATCTAAACATTTAAAAAATTGTTTTAATGAATATTTAGTTAAGCTAAATATATACTAAATGTAATTTAAAACAAAAACATTTTTAACTGACACAGAAGGACAACTGCTACATGATATCACTTATGTTATGACTGTAAAGTAGACAAACTCATGAAAGCAAAGAGTGGAATGGTAGTTGCCAGAGGCTGAGGGAGGTATTAGTCAGGGTTCAAAGGTATGGTTATATAAGATGCCTAAGTCCTAGAAATTTACTGTACAGCGTAGCACCTACAGTTGATAATATTGTATTGTATACTTAAAAATTTGGTAAGAGGGTAGACCTTATGTTTTGTTCTCATCACTAAAAATAATATTAAATAAGAAGATTGGAGAAAACTTTTGAAGATGTTGCATAGATTTATGTCATAGTCTGTGATGATGGTTTCAAGGATATATACTTATCTCCAAACTTATCAAGTGGTATACATTAAATATGTACAGCATTTGTATGTCAATAACACCTCAATAACATTGTCTTACAAATATATTTCAGCAAGTAGAACATGTAGACACAGAAATCTACTTTTCAAGGTGAACTATAACAATTATTGAAGCATAAAAGAGGTTTGTCTTTCAATCTTTAGCTATATTAACATAGCTAATTATAATTATAATAGCCTGTTCTTCAATTAATTATCATCCAATCCTCTTTTGTTTTCAGTAGCATTGAAAATAGTTACTGGAGAGTGCTCCCTTAAGCCTGACACATAAGACATAATAAATGTTTAATAACCAATGGATATAAGTGGATAAATATCATATTTCATCATTTTATTAGAAGAGAATACTTAAAGGCACTGCATGTCATTTCACTACAATAATGGTCAGGATAAATAAAAACTAAATATTTTAATAAAACAAGACATATTACCTATATTTATTAAAAAGCAGAATGTTAAAATAGGCTAGTAATTATAACCATTAAAAGAACATTTATTTTACATATAATGTATTTAGAACATATAATTCACCAATCTCTTAGTTACAGAGATGATGAAACATGGAAAACAAGACAGAGATGTTAGTTATCTTCATTGTGTATGTGGATTAGCAGGAAAGACAGAGATTGGTGAAGAATAATGGAAATGAGTGTTATGCAGAACAAGATGTTGAATCACAGAAGAGAATGAAAGTCTCTAAGAAGAAATAATCTCTAAGCTCAGATCCAAAGGATGAGTAAGAGTTAGACATGAATATATCATATATCTAGAAGAATAAACTAAATGTGTAAGAGTCTGGGGGCCAGAAGAATGAACACATTCAGAGAGTAAAAGCAGATAGATTTTGAAATGAGAAGACTGATAAGGTAGGGCAACATGAAAAAATAAACAGGGTCTTAAATGAAATGGCAGTCAAAAAATTACTAAACTTCAATATAAATGGAATTTTGTAAGGAAATTACTTTTTATATTTTTAAAAGATTAATTGAATAAATATGTAATAAATGTCCATGCAAATAAGATTTTTAAAAAATATGTAGGAAAAAAAATTTCTTTAGAGAGAAAACATTTAGGTAAGTATCTCAATATAAGTATAATATTTAACTACAGATGAATCATGACTGAGAGAGAAGTTCTTTGGTCAGGCAGTTATTTGCAGGATATGATATCATGAAGCCTACAGTTTTAGATACAATGATAAGGAGCTTTTATCTTTTGTTTTGTTTATTTAAAAATATATTGCTGTCATTTTATTGTTTGCTTTATTGTACTTAGTCTTGATTGATTTTTTTGTAAGCAGCAGCCTGATTATTATTTATTTCCATTTTGCCATATTCATAATCTGAAAAGTTTTCATATACTATATTCTATTGAGTTATGATAAAGTTTTAAAGGGACACCAACGTTTCTCCCTTATAAATACCACTTTTTCCAATTAGTTCTGCCACCTGTAGTCATAGATACATCAAACTGCTTTTTTTAATAATAGAATAGTACTATTGAAAATGGATTTCACTCTTGACTTTTTCTCCCTAAGTTTTTTTTACAGTGGCTTCTTTCTTTTAAATATATTCCTCTTTCACATTTCACCTTATTTTGTTTTCCTTTTTCTTGTTATATGTATTCTGTTTTATCTAAAATATCTTTACCTCTGCTATCACGTTTCACTAGTTCTCTCTGCATTAATATTCTTATCTTTTTCACTTCCCTTATGTAATTATTATGAACTTGGAAAAATAAAGTAGCTGTTTCCCACATAATACATGGCAAGAAGACCATTCCTTGAAATAATTGAAACAAAGCCATTCTCCATGTTAGCCTTCCCTTGTGTGTTTTAGAAATCATGGAATAAATATTTGAAGTATATTTACCTCATCTTATTGCTATTGTCACTTTTCTAGACTTCAAAATTTTAACTTATGACAATAAAACAGCATGGCACAATCCCAAACACAGATTTAGCTTGCAATCACCAATCTATGGAAATTCTCTACAGGGGACATATACAACACATGTGGAGCTTAGAGTAAATAAAGAATTGCTGCTGAGCATGTCAGTGCTTTTTGAAACAAACAAAACATAGCACAGGTGGTATTTTAATGTCTCAAAGTAATTCTAAATAAAATATGTTTTTGCTGACATAACATCTGGTATGTTTTGAATGTTTGTCCCCTCCAAAATTCATGATGAAATGTAATATTCAGTGTGGGAGATGGAGGTTGGCAGGAGGTGTTTGGATCATGAGGGTGTATCCCTCGTGAATAGCATAGTGTCCTCGCAGTGGTAATTTCATGTGAGATCTAGTTATTAAAAAGAATCTCTCTGTTTGCTGAAAGGAATCTCTCTCCTTCTTTCTCTCTTGCTCCCTCTCTTGCCACGTGATATGCCTGCTCCCCCTTCACATTCCACCATGAGTAAAAACTTCTGGAGACCTCCACGGAAGCCAAGCTGATGTTTTGGTATTGTGCTTATACAGCCTGCAGAACTGTGGACCAAATAAACCTATTTTCTTTATAAATTACTCAGCCTTAGATATTCCTTTATAGCAATGCAAATGGACTAACACAACATTAATGGTAATAGAATAAGATTCTATGTTGACAATCAAGGTAGATACAAGAGAAATACCAAGCTCAGTCATCTTTGGAAGGAAATGATGTGTACCTAGATGCACAAACCTCACACAAGAGATTGTTGGTGATGGTTTTTGTTTCACTGGGGGAAGGGCTACTATTAGAGTCAATATTCTAGACTCTCTCAGCACCTTCATTTACTCCTACACAGAGAAGAAGAAAGATTAATTAATATATTATGAGAGTCTGAGAGAAGGCATGCTCCTCAGCCCATTTCTTCTTTCCTCTTTCTTGCTTAAGGGATTGTTGACCACAAAAGTTTACATTCCAGTCTTCTTATTCAAATTTTACAGGAACAGGGTCATATAAAGAAGTCACAAGTTTGCACACCACATTCTGGCCTCAAGAGGTAAAAAACTTCATTCTGGGAGCCACATTAACAAGCCCCTTAGCTTAAAGCCATATTCTTGATCCTAATTTTTTTTGGTAATAGCCATTTTTGTCTTCACCTGCTAAAATTGTATGCTCTAACTATAGCAATTGTTCGGAGCAAGAAATAAAAGGAATATTTTATTAGATAAAATGAAGCATCATTATTGAGGGTGGGGATATTAAGAGACTGACAGTGGAATTCGGGAAAGATAGTAATCTTTTATCAAGGCAGGAAGGTTTGGTAGCATGTTATTGTGACTGAAGCTGTTTAAATGGAGCAGTTAGTCTGCTGCCATGTAGCTGAGGCCTACGACTTAGGTCAAGGATATTTTGATCCTAGTTTGAGGTTGCACTTTATGGAAATGCCTTTCACCAAGTTTGTGTGACCCAGACTTAAACAAAGAAAGCTGGGTTTGTCATGCCTAAAGCGTGTGTGAGTAACCAAAATACACAGGTTGCACTGGTCTTCCTGGGAATCTTAAAACAATCACTTTCTCTGCAAGTGGCAACAATTTAACCATAGGGGAAATAAAATGTTTTGTATACAGTACATTTGAACATAAAAGGGCAGAACAATTGGTTTTCCCCCTCTACTGTTTTTTAACAATATTTGCTTTTAAAATGCAGGTAAATACCATAGAAATTACGGAGCTTATAAGTCTGTTACATTTTTGACTTTATTTGTTCCAGGCTTAGACAGGTTGCACATATTTTCTACTCTTTTTTTTTTTTTTTAATTTAAAAGTCTGTTTAAAATATTCTGTCTCCAGGAACCAGGTTTTCCGGGAATCTAAGGAGGACAGAATAAGTCGATAACATGTACAATCATAGAACAAAGGCAAAATTTTTAAAAGACTAAGCTAGAGGAAAAGATTGTATGCTTTCTTTCAAACATGAGTTATATCTTAGAAGAGATGTTACTAAGATACGAAGGGGAAAATGAGATCTTAAAAGCCATTAAAGAGCTATAAAAAAATAAAAATAAAATACCCTCAAATATCATTATTTTAAAGAAAACAACAAAGGGACGCTCCCTTAGATATTGCTAGACTTGAAACTAATGCAGGGCTAAGAAACCAAACCGAGGAGGAGGCTCATGATCTGAGTTCTAACTGGAATGACTCTGTACAGTGAATCCATAGGGGACTAGGATTCAGAAAATTATAAAGAAATACTCAAAGCAAGATATGGAAAATTCAGAGAAATACCAAAGGGGTACAGATAAGATATTTAAAAAGTTATAGCCAATGCAAAAGAATTTAATCAGAAAAGGCTTAGACTATCAAAGCTTATCAAAGATTGCTTGATAAGCTTTAAGGTGATACTTTCGTTGTAGGTGAGAATCACAGGACTTGTTATTGTACCTTGAAAAAAACATGGCCAAGAAATGTATGAAATTAGGACTCTAGGAAGGCTGACCAAAGATGAGGTACATATAGAGAGATATAAAAGGACAATGATGGATCATATGATGTTGGGTAAATGGGCTAATATATCCTGAACATAATTGTTTAGTTTATAAAAGTGAGAGTGAAAAATAATTGTTTGGAGATATTTTTGATGTATTAAAATATATTTTCTGTGAGAGATTGAGTACTTATTTAATAAATCGAATTTACCAAAATTTACTATTTAATATTTTAAAATTCAAATGTTAATACATAACCATTTTATAATGTATACAGATTCATATTATTTTGGAAACTGTACACATAATCCACTTATTTCAATATTTTGGGTGATATTTCTATCAACAACTTAGCTTGAAGATGTCCTGATATATAAGTAAGTATTTCCAAAAATTACCCTGCTAAGAAAGAAGGCCATTTTCTCTTGTTTCTGGCTCCAGGCGTACTTTATAATATTCTGTAAATTACTTACAATGCTTTTAAATGCCATAAAAGGATGGGACTAGCACTCATTGCTTGAATATTTAAAAAAAAAAAAAACTCTAAAATGGAATCCATTGCCAATTTAAACAACAGATAATTATGCTAATCATCCATAATCATAATTTCTGAATATAGAACATAACTGATCTGATGTAGGAGGTTTTGGATAGGTTGAAATGAAGGTATCAAGTAGTAGAGAAAGCATGAGTTGATGCTGCTGTGGAAGCCAGGTTCAATGGGTGACACTGGGCTGCTTCATTGGGGCAAGTCCATTCCTGATTGACTCACTTTGGAAATAGAGAACTCCCAATAATTGGTTCGCATGCAGAAGCATGGTTGCTGAGAAAAATTGTTGTTTTCTTTTTTTTTTGAGATGGAGTTTCACTCTTGTTGCCCAGGCGGAGTGCAATGGCGCACTCTCGGCTCACCACAACCTCCGCCTCCTGGGTTAAAGCAATTCTCCTGCTTCAGCCTCCTGAGTAGCTGGGATTACAGGCACCTGCCACCATGCTGAGCTAAATTTTTTTGTCCTTTTAGTAGAGATGGGGTTTCTCCACGTTGGTCAGGCTGGTCTCGAACTCCTGACCTCAGGTGATCTGCCTGCCATGTCCTCCCAAAGTGCTGGGATTACAAGCATGAGCTACCATACCCAGCCGAAAAATTATTTGCTGATATTCAAACATGCTTAAAACTAATTCTTATGTCTACTTTTTCCCATAATAAAAAAGGAAAGCAGTTTTTTCCTAGGACATGAGTAATTGAGATAACTGGTCTTTCATTTTTATTATTTTCAAGTGACAGGGTAAACAGATGATTTCCTTCTTACATTTGTATTTTAGGGTGTTAGGATTATGAGATGATTAAATACTTTGCTTTGTAAGCCACACACAGAATGAATACTTTTCAGGAGGTAATAACAGGAGTAGGACTGAATGTCATGGAATTTCTGAGCTCTGCACTATAAACTCCGATAATCATGTACTTATGGCTGATGTATTTAGTTGCAAGTAAATGTTTGTGCATTATTAGTAGCATACAGGATTTTCAGCTTCTGTTTATAGTAACCGTTGCTGAAACATCTTTCTAGTTTATGCAACTATGACTTTCTCTGTTTTGTTCCTCCATGGTGTATGCCTTAATAATTTTTCCTTTATTCCAATGTACCACTCTGCTTTTCACTGTGCCAGAATTAAATTTAATTACAATTCAAATAGAACAAATATGATTAGATCAGACATTGGCAAAGAGCAGACAGGAAAGGTTCCTTGTGGCAGAGGCAGATATTAAAGTGCTTTATTTTGATGGAACACATGAGGGATGACCAAAGCATGGGATAAAAAAGGACTAGATCCAGTGAAGTGTGTAGACACAACTCTGGGTCAAAATTAATCAGAATAAAGATGAGCTTGAGAATTGATATGAATTAATTTTAGTAATAATTTGGTGGTTGGCTTTTTAAAAGAAACAAAATAAAATATTTAAAAAATTGTCTCTCAGTTTTGTCCATGATGGATATTTGTGATCTGAAATTCTTATTTTAAGAAAATTATCAAATGCTTGTGTTTGGCTTTTTGATTTTGAAGCACATTACTTACCCTTCAGTCCCAAGGTCATAAAGATATTTACTTAAATTTTATCCTATTAATTCCAAAAATTTACTTTTCACATTTAATTTTTTGATCCAAAATTAAAAGACAATTGAAAGAATACTAGAAGTTATTTGTTATATCAGAAAATGAAAAGTGATTACTATCCAGAATAGGCAAGGGATGCCTGCAAATAATCAAGAAACATACAGCAATTCTATAGCACAATGAACAAATTGTATAAGGAAGCAAGTCACAGAGGGGAGGATCATAAAAGGTTTCAAGATATTCAGAGTTAGTCAATGCAACTTAAGGCAACAGTGCAATCACGTTACTCCTAAAGAGTTGGGAACATTCAGAAAGTTGGATAAAGCCAAATGTAAGTAGAGATATAGGTACATAAGACCCTTTGCACTGCTGATGGGAGTGTAGATGTAAAGCAGCTACATTGTCTGGGGTATACACCCTGGGGTTCCTCATCTCACCCCAGGAGATTTGCAGGGTCATGTTCATTGCAGCACTATTCACCATAGCCAATATATGGAAGCAACCTAAGTGTCTGTTGTCAGATGAAAAGGATAAAGAAGTTGTGAGATTTTATACACACATACACACAAATAATATTTATTCATAGAAAAAAGAAAATCCTGGCATTTGTGATGATATGTGTGAAAATAGAGGGCATTATGTTAAATGAAATAAGCCAGTCAGAGAAGGACAAATACTATACAGTGTCATTTATATGTGTGTATTAGTCAGGGTTCTTAAAGGGGACAGAAATAATTGGATAGATGAATATATGAAGGGGCATATATTAGGATTATTGACTCATATGATCCCAAGGTGAAGTCCCACAATAGGCTGTCTGCAAACTGAGGAATCAGGAAGCCAGTGCGAGTACCAAAACCTCAAAAGTAGGAAAGCCAAGAGTGCAGCCTTCAGTCTGTGGCTGAAGGCCTGAAAGCCCCTGGTGAATCACTGGTGTAAGACCAAGAGTCCAAAAGCTGCAGAACTTGGGAGTCTGATGTTCGACAGCAGGAAGCATCCAACACTGAAGAAAGACAGAAGAAGACTCAGCCAATCTAGTCCTTCGATGTTCTTCTGCCTGTTTTCATCCTAGCTGTGTTGGGGGCTGATTAGATGGTGCCCACCCAGACTGAGGGCGGGTCTGCATCTCCCAGACCACTGATTCACATGTTAATCCCTCCTTTGGCAATATCCTCACAGACACACCAGGAACAATACTTTGCATCCTTCAATCCAATCAAGTTGACAGTCAACATTAACCATCAAAATGTGGTATCTTTAAAAAAGTCAAAATGAAGAGTATAATGGTGGTTGCCAGTGGCAGGGTTTGGGAGGAATAGGGAGATGTTGTTTATCAAAAAATATAAAATGTAAGTTATAAGATGAATATGTTCTGAGGGTCTGATGTAAAGCAGGGTGATTATAGTTAATAATAGTGTATTACATACAGCCATGCACCACAGAAGGACATTTCAGTCAACAACAAATTGCATATATGTTGGTGGCTCCATAAACCACAAAGCCATAAAAAAGAACAAAGTAATATTTTTGTCAGCAACATGGATGGTGCTGAAGGCCATTATCCTAAGCAAGTTAATGTAGGAAAAAAACACAAATACTGCAGATTCTCACTTACAAGTAGGAGCTAAACATTGAGTACATCTGAATACAGAGAAGAAAACAAAATACTGAGCATACTTGAGAGTGGAGCCGGGGAGGAGAGTGAAGATTGAAAAACTACCTGTCGAGTATTATGCTGATTACCTGGGTGACAAAATTAACTGTACACCAAACTCCCATGACATCCAGCTTACCCATGTAACAAACCTGCACATGTACCCCTTGAACCAAAAACAAAAGTTGGAAAGAAAATAAAAATAAAAAAATAAAATAAAAGATTATAGTGCACTTGGAAAATTCCTGTTGCCTAAGGAAGTGGAAGCTATCATAACATCATAAGGCAAGGCATAACTCATATGTTTGTGGTAATGTTGCTGTTAACAAACCTACTGCATTGCCAGTTGTATAAATGTATAGCACATACAATTATTTACATGCACAATACTTCATAATGATAATAAATTGCTATGTTACTGCTTTAAGTATTTACTATACTATGCTTTTAATTATTATTATTTTAGAATATATTACATCTGCTTATAAAAAAAAGGTTACTGTAAAACAGTATGCCCTGTTATGTTGACAGCAGCCTCATACATGTCATATTTACCAAGTCTCTTGGCTGCATCATTTTTTCTTGTGCTTAATTTAATCTAGTGTTGTTTTGTTCATCATGGCCCCTAATCATACAAAATCCTCTGCTAATGTTGCCAGGATGAAGCCAACTCAAGTGATTAACCTGGAAGTAAAATTAAAGTGATTAAGGACTATAAAAATGGAAAATCAGTGATGGTTGGTTATTACTCACCAGTCAGACATGTGCTATTCCACCATGGCGACAATTTTGAAGAACAAGAATCAAGTGATGAAAGATGTTAAAGGACCTGCTTTATTGAAGATAAGGAGACACAAAATTTAATAAAGGCTTATCTCAGATACAGAGAAATTTCTAATGACCTAGATTGAAAACCACACACATAAATACATATCTCTCAGCATCATGACAATCAGGCAAAAGCGCAAAAGCAAAAAGTTTGTTTGCAGTGAGCAAAGTAAAGGCCGTACTCTACTATAAAATTGAGTTTACTGCTAGCTCTGGGTGGTATAAATGATTCAATAATTGCGATGCTTTGGATAATGTGAAAGCGAGTGGTAATCCTGTAAGTGCTAATGTGAAGGCAGCTGAAGAATTTTTGAAAACTCTAGATAATCTGATAGTGGAGGGAAATTACTTGCCAGAGCAAATCTTCAATATGGATGTAACATTTCTATTCTGGAAACAGATACCTAAAAGGACTTTCATCCATAAGGATGCCAAGTCAGTGCCAGGTTTCCAGTCTCTTAAGGACAGGATAAGAGTCTTGCTTGAAGGCAATGTTGCAGAATACAAAGTGAAACGTTTTGTGAGCTGTCAGTGAGAACCCCATGCCCTTCAAGCATATCAATAAGCACATACTGCCAGTGTATTACAGGAGCAATAAGCAGTCAAGGATGGCTCAGCTCCTCTTTCAAGATGCCCTCCTAAATTGCTATGCCAGCAAAATGGAGAACTGTCGTTTACAGAATAATATAGCTTTGAAATTTTTGCTTATTTATGTTTCTACATATCCTCCTTGTATTGGTGATTATCATCCTAATATCAAAGTGTCGTTTCTCTCTCAAAATTCTACTTCTTTGATACAACCAATGGAATCACAGTTATAGCGGTTTTAAGTCCTACTAGTGGAGAATAAGCTTTTCCCAGGCTATTGCTTCAACTGAGGAAGACACTGAGAAGAACTTGATGCAATCCTGGAAGGACTGTAACATCTATGACTGCATTAAGAACTTTTCTTGGGCCTGGGGTGATGTCACAAAGAGTGTTTGAATGGCAGTTGGAAGAAGACGTTGAAGAGGTTCACCTATGACTTCAAAGGATTTTCCAAGGATAAGGTGGTTGCAAAAGTCAAGGCTGTGATTGAGAAGGTGAACAACTTTTACCTGAGTGTGAGTAAAGATGACATTGAGGAGCTCCTAGAGGTGGTTCGTGAGAAATTGACTAATGTGGAGTTGTTGGAACTGGAAGAGAATTATAGAGCTGAAGAAGAGGCTAGAGAAAAGAAAACTGCAAGAGAAGGAAAAGAAAAACCCCTCAAGTAAATTCACAGTGAAGGTTCAGCAGAAGCTTTTGCAGATCTCAATAAGCGCTTTAAAATGTTTGAAAACATAAACCACAACTCTGCAAGGTTTTTATTGATATGCAGGGGTATTCCTGGTACATTATCTGCTTACAAGCAGACATATAATGAAGAAAAGAAATAAACCAAGCAAACCACCATGGACGTATTCCATAAAAGAGTGATAGCTTCTCAAGAAGAGCCTCAGGCAGGCCCTTCAGGAGACATTCAAGAAGAAGGCATTGTTATCATAAGAGATGACAGCTCCACATGTGTTAGTGCCCCTATAGACCTACCAGTGGTACAAGATGTGGATGTAGAAGACAGTGACAGTGCTGAAGCTGACCCTGTGTAGGCCTAGTCTAATGTGTGTGTATCTTAGTTTTTAACAAAATGTTTAGAAAGTAAAAGAAAAAAAGTTTTAAAAATAGCAAAATATAGAACTAGTATGTGAAGAAAGAAAATATTTTTTGTACGTGTACAATGTGTGTGTGCTTTAAGCTAAGAGTTACTTCAAAAGAGTCAAAAAGTTAACAAAAGTAAAAAAAGTTATAGTAAGCTAAGGTTAATTTATTATTGAAGAAAGAACTAAAGAACTTTAAAAAATCAATATAGTGTAGCCTAGGTTTCCAGTCTTCATAAGGTTTACAGTATTGTACAGTAATGTTCTAGATCCTCACATTCACTCACTGACTCACCCAGAGTAACTTCCAGTCTTACACGCTCCATTCATGGTAAATACACTATATACTTTTTAAATCTTTATTTTTTTTACATTTTATGCCATATTTTTACTAAGCCTTTTCTGTTTAGGTGTTTAGAAACACAAATACCATTTTGTTACTATTGCCTACAGTACTCAGTACAGTCACATGCTATACAGGTTTGTAGTCTAGGAGCAATAGGCTTTGCCATATAGTGTAGGTGTGTAGTAAGCTATTCCATCAAGGTTTGTGTAAGTACATGCTGTGATGGTCCATTAACCATAAAATTGCCTAAGGATGCATTCGTTTCTCAGAATTTATCCTCATCACTAAACAAGGCATAACTACATTTTAAATATGTTAGGAGAGTAGACCTTAGATATTCTCATTTTTAAGAAAACATGTGAGGCGATGAGTGTGTTAACTTTATTATGATAATCATTTCACAATGTATACTTATGTGAGGTCATCACCTTGTATACTTTAAATGTGTACTTTTTTGTGAATTATACTTCAATGAATCTAAAAAAGTCTAAATGTATTTAGGCATTCATTCAACCCACATTCTTTAAACTCTTACAACCTAGGAGATACTTAGGTTTTAGGAACACAGAGACAGAAAAGAGACTTTATATGGTTTAGATATGTTTCCTCATCCAAATCTCATGTCAAATTGTGATCCCCAGTGTTGGAGGAGTGGCCTGATGAGAGGTGACTGAATCATGGGGTAGATATCCTCCTTGCTGTTCCTGTCATAGTGAGTGAGTTCTCGTGAAAGCTGGTTGTTTAGAAACACTTCCCTCTTCTCTCTCTTCCTCATGCTCCAGCAAAGTAGGCATGCTTGCTTCCCCTTACCTTCTGCCATAATTGTAAGTATCCTGAGGCATCCCCAGCTATGCTTCCTATATAGTCTGCAGAACTCTGAGCCAGTTAAACCTCTTTTCTTCATAAATTACTCAGTCTCAGGTAGGTTTTTATAGTAATGCAAAAACAGACTAATACAGAATATTGGTATTGGGAAGTGGGGCATTGCTATAAAGATACATGAAAATGTGGAAGCAGCTTTGAAATTGTGTAATGGACAGAGGTTGGAAGAGTTTGAAGTGCTCAGTAGAAGACATGAAGATCAGGAAAAGTTTGGATCTTCCTAGAGACTTGTTGAATGGTTCTGACCAACATGCTGGTAGTGATATAGACAGTGAGGCCCAGGTGAGGTGTTCTCAGATGGTTATGAGGAACTTACTGGGGACTGGAGCAAATGTCACTTTTGTTACACATTAACAAAGACGTTAGAGGCATTGTGCCCCAGCTGTAGAGATCTGTGGAACTTTGAATTGAGAGAGATGATTTAGGGTATCTGGCAGAAGAAAGTTCTAAGCAGCAAAGCATTCAAGATGTAATCTCTCTGCTTCTAACATCATAAGCTTATGTGTGTGAACAAAGAGATGATCTGAAACTGAAACTTATATGTAAAGGGAAAGCAGAGCATAAAAGTTTGAAAAATTTGCAACCTGGCCATGTGGTAAAAAAGAAGATCCCATTTTCTGATGAGGAATTCAAGCTGGCTGCATAAATTTGCATAAGTACTTAGGATCCAAAGTTTAACAGCCAAGACAATGGGGAAAATGCCTTGAAGGCAGTTGAGAGATCTTCTCAGTAGTCTCTCCCATCATCAAAGGCCTGGAGGCCTAGGAGGGAAAAATGGTTTCATGGGTCCCAGTGTCCTGCTGTCCTGGGCAAGCCCAGGACACTATTCCCAGCATCTCAGCTGCTGTTACTGCAGCCATGGCTAAAAGGTCCTCAGATATGTCTCAGGCTGTTGCTCCAGAGGGTGCAAGCTGTAAGCCTTGGCTGCTTCCACGTGGTATTAAGCCTGTAAGTGCACCAAGGGCAAGAGTTGAGGCTTGGGAGCCTCTGTCTAGATTTCAGAGGATGTATGAAAACATCTAGATATCTAGGCATAAGTCTGCTGCAGTGCCAGAGCCCTCATGGAGAGCATCTATTAGTGCAGTGCAAAGGGATAATGTGGTGTTGGAGCCCCCACACTGAGTCCCCACTGGGGCACTGCCTTTTGGAGCTGTGAGAGGAGGGCCACAATTCTCCAGACCCCAGAATGGTAGATCCACCTACAGCTTGCACCATGAACCTGGAAAAGCTGCAGGCACTTAAGGCCAGTCTGTGAAAGCAGCCAGGATGCACCCTGAAGAGCCACAGGGGCAGAGCTGCTCAAGACCTTGGGAGCTCACCCTTTGCATAGTGTGGCTTGGATATGAGACATGGAGTCAAAAGAGATTATTTTGGAGCTTTAAGATTTAATGACTGCCCTGCTGGGTTTTGGAGTTGCATGGGGCCTATGACCCCTTTGTTTTGGCCAATTTCTCCCTTTTGGATCATGAGCATTTATCCATTGCCTGTACCCTCATTGCAGATGGGAAGTAACTAACTTGTTTTTTATTTTACAGGCTCATAGGCAGAAGGGACTTGTCTTGTCTCTTATGAGACCTTGGATTTGGACTTTTGAGTTAATATTGGAATGAGTTAGTACTTTGGGGAGTGTTTGGAATGCATGATTGTATTTTCAAATGTGAGGACATGAGATTTGGGAGGAGTCAGCAACAGAATGATATAGCTTGGATTTGTGTTCTTAACCAAATTTCATGTTAAACTGTGGTCCCCAATCTTGGAGGAGTGGCCTGGTGGGAGGTGATTAAATTATGGGGGCAGATTTCTCCCATGCTGTTTTCATTATAGTGAGTGAGTTCCCACGAGATCTGATTAGTTGAAATTGTGTAGAACTTCCCCCTTCTCTCTGTTTCTTCATCTCTAGCCATGTAGGACATGCCTACTTCCCCTTTGCCTTCAGCCATGACTGTATGTTTTCTGAAGCTTCCTCAGCCATGCTTTCTTTGCATCCTGTGGAACCAGGAGCCAATTAAACCTCTTTCCTTATTAATTAACCAGTTTCAGGTAGCTCTTTATAGCAACATGAGAATGGACCAATACAAGACTAGTCAAGTGATTTACCATATCTTGGGAAGAAAACACTAATTGAAGAAATCAAAATCATCAATTCTAATGAGTGCTAAAATCTATCTACGTGCAATGCATAATGGAAACACAGAGTAGGGATTCCTAATCCAGGCTTATGGGTGGCTTTTGTAGACAACATTATTTGTTTGTTTGTTTGTTTATTTGTTTATGTGTGTATGTGTGTCTGTGTTTACCAGTGGAGGTGACTTCAGAGTTTGAAATAATAGTGGTTAGCTAGCAGAAGCAAGCATGAGGAAAACCAGTAATAACAGATGATGGAGGTAAGGCATGGAAATAAAGAAAAGCAATGATGTGAAGTTTAAAAAAGTGGAATCCCCAATGTTTGAGAAGTCTTTGCTGTCAAGATTTTTTAAACATTTTCTATTCAATTTTAACTTATCAAAGTCTTTTCAAAAGGTGATAGTTATGCTTCAATGATAACAGTATTATTCAAAAAAATTCCAGGAGATGGGTCAGTTAGAAAGAATATTTCAGAAAACCTTAATCACATTCGTATTTTTGAAGCATCTATAAGTGTAGCTCAGAGTTTAGAATTCATTTGCAACATTGCTCAATACTTTTGTATTGATTATTCAAATTTATTTTACTCTTCCACATGGTTAAAACAAACAACAATAAGATTATCTTTCCAAAATTTTAGCTGACAGACACATGCCAGCAAAAGTATGGTTTAGTTGATACAACACTGCCTACTAGAATCCTGTTTATTTATTAAGGCACCAAAACACTAATGGCTGAGGAAGCAAATAATTGAATAACTAAGGATACATATTTACCACTGATATCTGGATGACTCAAGCTCATTCCCAGGATAACTAGAAAACTAGGTGATCAAGGAGAGGAAACATAAGGAAAACGTATGTATTTCTTGGTTCCTAATGACTGTCTTTATAAAATTGATCTTGCTTTGAGGAGAGGGAGAGAATTGGGAGGAATTTTTTTTTTTTTTTTTGAGACAGTGTCTCACTCTGTTGCCCAGGCTGTAGTGCTCTGGTGCAAACTCAGCTCACTGCAACTCTCCACCTCCTGGGCTCAAGTGATTTTCCTGCCTCAGCCTCTTGAGTAGCTGGGATTACAGGTGCATGTCACCACACACAGAAAATTTTTGTATTTTTAGTAGAGACCAGGTTTCACCATGTTGGTCAGGTTGGTCTTGAACTCCTGACCTCAGGTGATCCACCCACCTTGGCCTTCCAAAGTGCTAGGACTACAGGCATGAGCCTCTGTGCCTGGCCAAGAATTGAGAGGATTTAAAGCAAAAATTTCCAAAGTCTGTGCAGAAGGCAGAAAGAAAATCCACCTTGTGAACATGAAGCCCAGTTAGCGACTTAATTACATTGTATTTAATGATGCTTTCACTTATCTGTGATACCTGATAACTAAAACCATTATTCAAGGGGCTGATGGTGATAAGCAGATGACACAGACACAGTAGTTACAGAGAAAAGAAGTTGGGTCATTGCTGAGTTTGAGGTTAATTACTCTAGGGAAATTTAGGGAATAAACAAAAATTTATTCTGAGACACTGGTGAATGATAAGAATTGTTTATTAGCAATACAAAACCACCTTAAAAAGTACCTATTAGTGCAGAGTTAATGTCCCTTTTAGGGTGGATGAAGGGTGGAATAATGGTAGTCAATGGCAAGAAAAGAAAGAATATCTCTTCCCTTACTTTGAAAATTTAATGCTTTTGGTAGAAACAAAAAAAATAAATATTTGAGCTCAAACAAAAAGATAAAACATGAGGGACAAAATCAGGAAAAAATAAAAATATGATTGGGAAGTAGAGACCAAGAACACCTGAAATTCAGTGAACCTTAGAATTGTTACCCAGCTAGAAACTTGAAAATAAAGCAGAAAAAAAAAAAGGAGAAAGGAAAAACTAAAGAGTTGTTCCATTGCTGTGGTAGAAGATATACAAGAAAGGTTTATTTTTGTGTCCAGGCCTGAAAACATGAAAATTTCAGAAGTATCGAAAGGCATACATTTGGATAGTACCACTTCTTACAGTACATACAAGTTCTTACTAGGACTCTGAGAGTACAGGATTGAAAAAAATATATGAATATAAGCTTTAGTTCAGGAATCTGTCAGGTCACTTTCTGGGGGAGGCATAAGAAGGAAAGAGGAAAACATAATTTGGTAGGCAGATCTCATAAAATAAAGAAATTCCAGGTCAGGAAGCTGCACTGTGTCTTAGGCTAAAACAGCTTTTTAGTTTTTCCTGGGATAAAAACCTTGCTTGGAAAAATGCCTATTCCAGACAGGAATTAACCTGCTCACTAAAAAAAATTATATCATTCACAATGCCCTGTACTCTAATGATTAGCAGTATGCCAAGTACAAGATAAGCAAATAGAGAAATAAGAATTAAAGATCTTTAAATATGCATGTGCTTCTAGGAACTGAGAGAGCCTCTGGGCAGATGTCAGGAGAAAAAGTACCATCATTGCAAATTTATTTTCTTATATATTGACAAATACTAATTGTATATCTTTGATGGGGTACAGTGTGATTTATTGGTATATGTTATATTGTATAATGATAAAATTAAGCTAATAAGCATATCCATCGCCTCTCATACTTATTATTTTTGTGGTAAGAACATTTAAAATCTATGCCTTTAGCAATTATGAAATATAATTTCTAAATATGCAAACTAAGAAACATTTAAAATTTATCCTGTGAGAGAAGGCATGGTATAATTGAGTGGATTTTTTTCCAAGGAAATGGGCAATTCAGTGTCACAAATGCTTTCTATAAGTGAGTGCAGTGACATAATTAAAATTGGTAAATTGCTGACATCTCTCACACTCATAAATTATCAATGAATTACAAAGAAGATTAACATTTCTTCTTTGTTCACATTTTAGATTATTGTCTTTCCAACAGATAACACTAAACCTTTCCTGAAAAACAAGGATGGCTGCAACAGCTGGTGAATTTATTTTTATTCAATAGTTTGTGGAAATGAGATGGATTCAGTGATATTCTTAAGTTCTTCATTTATTCCTCGACTTTTTGTAAGAGTAGAATACGTGAGATTTCAGGGGTTTCAAATGTCTCTGGAAATGCTGAGGTAGCTATTACATCCCTGACTGATTAAAATATTTCGGCCTTAGCAGTTTAAGAAAGTTGCCCAGTTCTTCATCTTTGGGCTCCATACACTCCCAGATTGACAACAGATTGGACAACTGACTGGTATAGATAAAAGACAGTGAAAACCTGGAGAATATTACAGGTATTTTCCCCTTCAGTGGCTCAATAAAAGGAGACATTGTTTATAGTTGCCAGCACATAATGCTAATAATAATTTGAAAAATAACTAAACTGTGTTCAGATTTATTTTGTTTCTTTATTGTCTCTGCCTAGGGTAGGCTACTCACTGCCCTCTGTCACTCTCATATGCCGCTGTTCTCCTCCATTCACATTTTAATCTGGCTCATCTTTCAGGGCTTTTTCTTCCTCTCTTTATCTTTGCCTTTCTTAGTTCCATAATCTATTTTTAATTTGTTTGGTCAGAATCTTGTATTCATTGGATAATACTTTACAAATGGATAATGGTTCCTGGATTGAAAGTTATGCGTATTGTTTATACATCCTTTTTTTTTTCTAAGACATTCCAAGTAAATCTTTCTACCAGTCTGTATCATTGCACAATTTATTTCATGTAGTTTGGGTAAGTGGATTTATATATATTCAATATTATCCTTAAGTCTTCAATAACAACTTACAGAATAAGGAGGCATTTTTAGCTTGCCTTCAACTCCTAATGTCATTATAATAGGTAATAAGTTTTGTTTCTTTCTTCTTCCTTAGTTTCCTCTTCCTCTCAATCTTAAATTTCTTTTTGGTCATGTTAGTGTCTTTTTTTGGAAGTTTCACTACCAGGTCCATGAGTTAAGCATGGGTACTAAAGCCAAACATTGAATTCTATGGAGCAGGATTCTGAATAACAGACTGTTTTCTGTCTTTTACTAGAAATGATGCTTTATGCATATAAACTTCAGAATTCTTGCCAGTCATCTTTTAATAAAGAATGTGGCCTGGGTTGAGAGTTTTCAGAGGTTATGGTAGAGCAGAGAGCACCAAAAACTTGGTTCCCTGCCTAGGCAACAACTGCACGGACAGATATTGTCTGATATAACTAACTATTGGAGAACTCCGGAGTCTTTAAAATACATAGAGTTCTTTTTAATCTTTACTTGCAGTTTGGCTTTTCTTCCTTATCATTTATGAAATATTATTGAACTTTTTACTTTAGGAATAATTCTTTTTAGAACCATTTTTTATTTGTTATACTTGCTTAGTTTTCCTATGTATCTTTTATTCAATTAAATCAGAACTACTGAAATTCTAAACAATAATAATCATACCAAAGATGATTATTTTAAAGAAGGGTCCACAAAGCAATTTAAAATGTCTGTAAGTGTTATTGGATTTACTCATATAGATATTTATCTCTAGGGTTGGATTTTATAAAATCCATTTATATGTTGTATTATTTGGAAACAAGAATAGTGAGCAAAGAGAGCTATAACAAATTATCAGAAGAATGACTTTACTTGCTTTTTCTTAATGGTTGCCAAAATCCCTTATCACTTTATAAAGGATATGACAGATAGATAGAAATACAGATCTAGAAGTAGATCTATATTGATCTTTCCATTTTTGCTTTCTTTCTATTGCTTTTTCTGTGCATATTGATGGAGTATATTTTGCATTCAAGAATATGTTCTTTTAAATTAAGAAATATTTTCAATAGCAAATTGTGGAAACCTTGGTCAGAAAAAAAGCCCTACCATATGCAAGAGTCTATGATATGCTATGAAATATCTCTTTTACCGACAGCTGACATATGTGTAAAACTTTCCAGCCATCAGCTGAAAATTACCCCTTGAATAGGAGAATGTGTTTTTATTCTCTACCTAATTATAAGGGTGGGTTTTATTGGTAATTGAGCAAATATTCCCCTTTGAGTAATTTTATTCTGTTATAAGTTAGCCTGATCACAGAAATTCAGCAATATTATCATTATTTATTTTCTTTTTACCACATCTTCCAATGCTACCAAATTTTGAAATTAAAATTAGCTTTAGCTCCCAAGCACTATAAAATTAGCCTGCCAGTTTAATGGATGCTAACAAAATACACAAGACCCTTGCCGCAAAGCCATTTATACCTGATAGCAGTATCGGTAACCAGTAATGGCCTTTTGCCAAGATATTTTGGCAACATGAATAGGAAAAAGTTGTGTCCACACCAACCGTGGGGTACATTATAGGAGAGGGAAACTGAGCACATGAAACCATCTCTTTTATAACAGGCAGCAAGTAGCAAGTATGCCTTTGACTTGGAGAGAGAGATTATCTGTCATTTTCCTAAACAGTAGATAAACCTGTTTTTTTGCTCTGATGAGAAACACTATGTTAATCTTCAAACGCTGTTCACTATACAAACATACATTAAAACACAGTTTACAACAAAGTCAGTCTGTACCTCTACTCACATAGACAGAAACAAATGTGGGAGACTCACAGAAATTAGGCAATACAGCAAGGAGCTCTTTCTCTTGGCCTGATCTCTTGAGTTTCATTATGCTACTAAATTGCTTTATCAGGAAGTAGGTATGTGAATCAATCATAACTCGTTACACTTAAGTGTCACATCAACAGTCTGGAAGAATTCACTGAACATCCATTGTATATCAACTTATTCAAGTCACCAAATATTGAAACACTCTTTAATAAACAAGAATGGAAAACAGAAACAATTTTTGACATGGGAAACACCCTAACATCAACTTCAGAAGCAATTGTCTACTTTAGTTTAAAAACATACTAAAAACTAAAATTCTCACTTAAAATTGAATGAGATTTTGCAGAAATATGTTCTTCTGTACAATAGGGACGTGCTTTCTTTTGATTTTCTAGTAGCCTCACAATTGCTTTTGCATTCAGCAATAGTCAGGGTATATCTGAAGCTCCATTTTCTCCCAGAGAGATGTCTTTTTCTTTAACTTACATTTGCCTTAAATACTCAATTTTAATTTTCTCCTTCAAATGTTTTTGTCATAATTCAACATGAATTGCTTGACTGTTTGGAATATATTACTCTGGCACAAGGAAGTATCCCACTTGGTTATGGTAATATTAATCATTTGTTTAAAAGTAATTGTATTCAATAAAAATAAACTTTGTTTCATCTATGCTCATTTAACCCCTTATATGTTAATAAATTATTGCTATGATATTCTTGCATAATTCATAGTCTTAAATATCCAGGTTCCTTCCAAAGTTGAAGTCATTTTGCAACAGATGGCCAAAATCTGTCTTCAACAGCTGTCATATGGTTCTTTCTTTCTCTCCAGGTGTATTTATTCACCTGCCTTCACCTGTGAGTTCTGAAAATCCTATTGGGTTGAATTAAACAAGTGTAACAGACTTCGTAAGGAAAACCAAACTAGGAAAGTATTTGCTTTAACAAGGTTGCTAGACTCTTTTCTGTTTTGAAATACTATCTAGACTATGTTATAATATTTGTGTTATTATACCCACACCAACACTATGCATTGCCATTACTGTTAATTTTTGACAACTTGTTAGGTAAAATAAGTTTAGCTTTCATTAACCTGTCTAAAGAATTAACACCAAGAAACATTCACTGCTCCAAACACATAGCAATGACAGAAAAATATAAAAAGAAGCAACCAGAAATACATAGTTGAGCTTAATACAAAATGATATATATATGAAAATAGAAAAATAAATAAAACTACAAAATATTGAGAGGGACTGATCTCTAGTTGATAAATAGGCAGTGGTACCAGACAATGTAACTCCTCTAAGGATAAAGGGGATGACAGTGTTCAATTAAGATCAGAAAAGGAAAGGAAAGGTGGTAGTAAATTTCTTCTTGCGATGAAAGACTGCTAAAAAGAAAAGGTTAACAAGATACTGATTTGGATTAAGGCTTTATCAAAAGCTATGGGCCAAAAGAGAGGGGAAATAAAGACAATCAGAACTCCAGTATCCAAGCCAAGCTATATAATCTCCATGGGCTGAATGTACAATATCACCACTATGCCTGCAATGAAGTAACTTATAAACATGATTATAAGGTCTGTCTAAGGGATCTGGGAATGGATAGGGAGCAATGGCAGTTTTCTAGACAGGGGAGGGTATGTCCAAAGACACAAATGTATAAAGAATTGGAGAGAGGAAGAGATGGGGACAGAAATGGACATACAGGTACTCACGAAGTCCAAGATGACCAAATAGATGCAGCCAGGAAGAGCTTCTCCCACCAAAAGTGATCAAAGGCTAGTACACTCTGAAGAACATCTTTGGAAAGAAGGCGTTGAGAGTAAACAGAGGAAGGACATAGACTCTGGGCTGAATATGGAAGAAGCTGGAAACTCTGCACAGGATTACTAAGCACCAGGACTTATTCCTGGCCCCAAGGGGCTTCTAGGGAAGGAATGAAAGCAATAGGCATGGAGTGGCCAATCCTCACCTTGGGCCTTTGGGATCCTAGCTGCAGGAGACTCCCACAAACAGACCAGACATCTGAGCTTTCAGGCAGAACAGCCCAAAGAGTTGGCAGAGATAAAATTTCAGCCTCTGTGTAGCCCAAAGGGTTTGGCTCTGGAATGACTGCAGTGGAACATGGTGATAGGGGACCATTCTCCAAGGCTCACCATACACTTCAAGGCAGCTTTGGACTCTTTTAGTTGCTGGACCTGGACACAGCAGAGCACTTTTCCTCATGGGATGAGGCCAGTTTGATCTAAGTGCTTCCCTGTCTGCCAACCTCTCCCAGGGTTTCTGCTTGTTCATACCTGATTGCAGCACAGCCTCAGCTGCCCAGCTGAAGTGCTTGCCAGTGGCCACAACCACAGCTTTTTCTCCAGCAGACCCTGCCTACCCATTGGAGCACTTTTGCAGACAGACCTTCACCAGTGTGCACTTGCCCACAGCCTTCAGCCACCAGTATGTACTTGCCTGCAGCCTCCCCCGGCACCCCACAAGCACACACATGCATGGAGGCATGTTGTTGTCTCACTGGCACACACATGTATGGGGGCCTGCTTACTGCCCTGCCAGAGCAATTTGCCAGCAACATCTATCAGAGTGTTGTCGCCAGTGGATGGGAACATGTTGACCCATCCAATACAGCAGGTGCTTGACTATGAGGGGTAGAGAACAAAGTTGTGGGCCTGGTCCCAGCCCTCTTATGATTAGAGCACATGGTACGGGAGTGCTGACATGAGCCTTCCCCCACTGAAAACATCCAGAAATAAAGCCAGTTGAACAAACCCAACTTATACTGAAGCCGACCCTCAAGTGCATCAAAGAATATAAAAGGAAAAAGCCCCATCCAAAAAGGAGCAACTACAAAAATTAAGGAAACTTTAGCCCACACAGGTGAGAAAGAACCAGCTCAAGAACTCTGACAACTCTAAAAGCCAGAAGTCTTCTTACCTCAAAACAACCACACTAGCACCTGAGCAATGGTTCTTAACTAGAAAGAAATGGCTGAAATGACAGACATAGAATTCAGAATCTAGATGGCAATAAAATTCATCAAGATACAGGATGAGGTTAAAATTCAGTCCAAGGAAAATAGTAAAATGGTCAAGAGTTAAAAGATGGCATAGCCACTTTAAAAAGAACCGAACTGAACTTCAGGAAATAAAAATTTACTGCAAGAATTTCAGAATGCAACTGGAAGCATTAATAACAGAAGAGACCAAGCTGAGAAAAGAATCTCAGGACTCAAACACTGCTCCTTCAAACCACTGGAGGCAGACAGAAATTTTAAAAAAGAATTTTAAAAATGAACAAAACTCCTGTGAAATATGGGACGAAAAGACCAAACCTACCACTCATTGTCATTCCTGAAAGAGATGGAGGGTGAGCAAGCAACTTGAAAAACATATGTGAGGACATTTTTCATGAAAATTTCCCCAACCTCCCTAGAGAGATTGACACACAAATTTAAGAAATTCAGAGAAACACTGTCTTATTCTATACATATCCCCAAGACACATAGTTATCAGGTTCAACAAAGTCAATGGAAAGGAAAAAATCTTAAAGGCAGCTAGAGAGAAAATACAGGTCATCAACAAAGGGAACTCCAGCAGGCTAACAACACACTCTTCAGCAGAAACCTTACAAGCCAGAAACAATTATGGGGACTATATTCAGTGTTCTTAAAGAAAAATAATACCAAACAAGAATTTTATATCCAGCCAAACTAAGCTTAATAAGTGAAGGATAATAAAACATTTCTTAGACAAGCAAATGCTAAGGGGAATCATTACCACCATACCTGCCTTACAAGAAGTCCCTAAAGGAGTGCTAAACATGGAAATGAAAGACCTGCCACCACAGAGACGCACTTAAATACATAGCCCACTGACATGATAAAGGAACTATACAATCAAGTCTACATAACAACTAGTTAACAAAATGATGATGGGAACAAATCTGTATATATCAATATTAGCCTTGAATGTAAATGAACAAAAGTCCCACTTAAAAGATACAGAATGGTGAGTTGGATAAAGAAGCAAAATCCAACTCTATGCTGTCTTCAAGAGACCAATCCAACACTCTATGACACACATAGTCTCAATGTAAAGGAATGGAGAAGGATCTATCGCTTGATAGACAACAAAAAAGGGTTTATTTTTATTTCCAACAAACATAATTTAAACCAACAACAATCAGAGGTGATAAAGAAGGGCATTGCATAATAATAGAGTTAATTTAATAAGAATACTTAACTATCCTATATATATATGAACCCAAGATTGGCGCACCCAGATTCATAAAACAAGTTCTTAGAGACCTACGAGGAGACTTAATTAACCACACAATAACAGTGGTAGACTTCAACACCCCACTAACAGTGTTAGGTGGATTATCAAGGCAAGAAACTAATAAAGATATTAAACTCCAAGGTATTAAAGGTACCAAACTCAACATATGGCCAAAAGACTCTAATAAGCATCCACAAAATGCCCTACTGAACAGCAACAGTATATTTTTTTCATTTGTGCTTGGCACGTATTCTAAGGTCAACTGTACACTCAACCATTAAGCAATTCTCAACAAATTTAAAAAAATCGTAACAACCACATTCTTCAACCACAGTGAAATAAGAGTTGAGATCAATATAAATAAGATTTCTCAAAACAACACAATAATATGGAATTAACCTTCTCCTAAATGACACTTGGAAAAAGAATGAAATTAAGTCAGAAATCAAAAAATTCTTTGAAACTAATGAAAACGAAGATACAACATACCGAATCTCTGAGACAGGACTAATGCAGTATTAAGAACAAAGTTTATAGTGCAAAACGCCACATCAAGAAGTTAGAGCTCAAATAAACAATCAAATATCAAACTCAGAGGAACTAGAAAAACAAGAGAAAACTAACCCTGAAGCTAGAAGAAAAAAAAAAAAAAAGAAAGAAATAACCAAAATCAGAGCTGAGCTGAATAAAACAGAAATGAAAAAATCTATACAAAAAAGCAATGAAAACAAAGATTGGTTCTTTGAATGAACAAATAAGATTAATGACTGCAAGCTAGACGAATTAAAAAAGAGAGAGACCAGGCATATTGGCTTATGCCTGTAATTCCAGCACTTTGGGAGGCCAAGTGGGGGTGGATCATCTGGGATCGGCAGTTTGAGACTAGGCTGACTAACATGGTGAAACCCCATCTCTACAAAAAATGCAAAAGTTATCCAAGTGTGGTAGCACATGCCTGTAATCCCAGATGCTCAGAAGGCTGAGGCACGAGAATCGCTTGAACCTGGGAGGTGGGGGTTGCAGTGAGCCGAGATCTGCACCCTAGTCTGGGTGACAGAGTGAGACTCTGTCTCAAAAAAAAAAAAAAAAAAAAAAAAAAAAAGAGAGAAGATTCAAATAAGCACAATCATGAATCATAAACGACAAAAATGACGTTACCACCAACCTCACCAAAATATAAAATTTCTCACAGACAATTATGAACACCTCTATGCACACAAACTAGAAAACACAGACACAAACTAGAGGCATAGACACAAAGAGGGGAAAAATAGACAACAGGGCTTACTAGAGGGTGGAGGATAGGAGGAGAATGAGGGTCAAAAAACTACCTATTAGGTACTATGCTCACTGCCTGCTGAAAAAAATCATTTGTACACCAAACCCCAGCAACTTTCAATTTAACCATGTAAGAAACCTGCACATGTGCCTCCTGAACCTAAAATATATGTTGAAAATGAAAAAGAACCAAAAAAAAAAAAGAAATACAGATAGAGCCAGAGATGAAACAGAGACAGAAACCCTCTGTCAAAGTAAGCTTGCAAGTAAAAATATAAAGCATAGTAAAACCAAGACAAAACAACAAAACTAATATGAAGAAAGGTAGGAATGAATCAGTAATGAGACTAAGATTACAATTTATTTTATATGTAAGTATGTAAATAAGTGATGGGATATTCACAATGAAAATATGAAGCCGCAATTTTTATTTTAAAAGCAAAAAAATTCAAAAGAAGAAAACTAAAATTTGAAAAAACAAGATTAGATATACATTTATAAGAACAAATTGGAGGCCAGCGGTTGTGGCTCCCACCTATAATTCCAGCATTTTGGGAGGCCGATGTGGGTGGATCACCTGAGGTCAGGAGTTCCAGACCAGCCTGCCCAATATGGCAAAACCCTGTCTGTACTAAAAATACAAAAAATTAGCCAGGCATGGTTGTGTGCACCTGTAACCCCAGCTACTCAGGAGGCTGAGGCGGGAAAATCGCTTGAACTGGGGAGGCGGAGGTTCCAGTGAGCCGAGATCACGCCACTGCACTCCAGCCTGGGCAACAAGAGTGAAATTCTGTCTCAAAAAAAAAAAAAAAGAACAAATTAGAATTTTGGTAAATAAAAAAGTCATTAGAAATATGATTTCATGAAGTTTGTGCCTAATCTTGTCAAAATAACAAGTAGTGAACTGAAGTATTAAAATTGGAACTCTTGAAACTTTGGCAGTAATTTTACACTGAAATTTGTTTCATAAGGACAATTTAAATGATCATGTTAAGTAATAGAAACATTTGTGATAGCTAATTTGAACATTATAAGGTCAGTTTGAACACTATTTGAGCATGTGTCAGGAACTGCTAGTTCAATAATATCTAGTTTTTTCTCTCTATGGCCTTATTTTTTTTCTCTTCCTTTCTTATGACACCTATGTTTGCTTTAGCTTTCCTGTTTTCCTCTCCAGTGCATACAGGCCCCTCTCATGGTGGGCAGGGGTGTGAAAGGTAGGAGAGTCACTCTTGACCAGTCCCAAGACTATTTTGTTCCAACTTCTGATCCAAAAGCAAGAGAAAAACTTTCTTTTTTATTATCTCTAAATCATTTTCCATGTAAGGGTATTTTTTTCCTACCTTTTTCTTTTGTGGCCATGTAATGCAGACAATGTCCCCATCCCTCCTGCAGGAAGGGGCTGGGTTTGGACATTTCTAATGGAAGGGATGGGTCTCCAAATGAAAAACTGTATTGAATAGACGAAAACACATATTTCTCATCTCCTTTAAATAAACATACTTAATGTAGAAAGTCTAGGTGTCAGGGATAGATCGGTGAACAAAATAATTTAAAATCACTACTTGTTGGAGCTTGTGTTATATAGACAGGTATATGTGTCCTGTTACATGATGATGCTATGAGACTATCAGGTAGCCTAAAACAATGATAGGCAATAACTTGACAACAACTAAATCTCTGTGCAAAAACATACCTTCAGTAATACTTGATGATCAACAAAGTCAAAACTACAAAATAACTGTGTACAAAGGGAAAAGGCAACAAACCCATCACCTATCCCCACCTTCAGTGCTGCTCAGGTGCACCTCCTTCTCACGATCTGTAGCAAGTAAAGGTAAATCCAGAAAAACTGCTAGGTAGATGAAAAGGGGGTACTCATAAGGGTATCTAAGTCTTTCAAACGTATAGCTTCTGGAGGAGAAGAAAAGCATAAAACAAAACAAAACAATAAAAAAAAGAAAATTGTTTTTTTGACAAAGTTAAAGGAGAAAAGAAGTAAAGAGGAAAAATTTAGAGTTCTGTTAAGACAAAAGAGACAACCTCAATCCTACCACCAAAACAAAACATTTAAATCAGGAAGTGCTTGAACTTCACTAGGACAGAAAAAGTGCCATTAAACTAGGAATCTTGTAAAACATTTCAATATCACAAATATAAAGAAGAAAGTAAAATCCAGATAATTATTAAAGAAAGTCAGAAAATATAATTTCACACAAATTTAGTAAACCCATTCTTCTGAAATGGATAAAATTTATTCTGTAGATAAAAATTATTTCCATGTTAAGAAATCCATCAATTCCATACATCATAAATCTAAGGGAAAAGTCATGATTATTTCCATAAAGGCCAATAAATACTTTGAAAATATCCAACAAGTCATTTATGATTTAAAAAACACTCAAGAAAATGGAAATGGAAGATACTATGAAAACATAATTTTACATAGTTATATGCAATTTTATTTTTATATGACATAGTCATGAAAAACTATATAAGTATATATACACATGTATATATGTATGTGTGTATGTGTGTGTGTGTATGTACTTAGTCTTGGGTCCTTAGTCCTAAGGTCAGTATGTTAACTTATAGAGAAACAACAGAGCCTTGTAATAAAGTTATTAATCACCATAGTTAGAAAAAAGTATTTGAGGCATGAGAATATGTAAAGATGTTTCTATTTGTCCTACATCCCAAGCAGAAGGGAGGTAAAATGTTTTTTTCTTTTTATTTTTCTTTACTTGTTTCCCCTTTCTTTCTAAGAGGGAAAAAAATAGTGTTTCTGAAAGAGCAGGTTATTTGTTTTTGACATTAGGATCTCAACTTTTACCATCCCCCAAATTTTATCAAATGTTTAGTTTTCCTAAACAATAGCATCTTCCTCTTTAAAATATTTGGTTCCAGCACTGAAATTATATATTTGTTATATATGTAATAATATTCAAAAAAAGTCAAAAAGAAAGTATTAAATTTTGTCCAGAGCTGCAGTTAATGAAGTTTCTAAAGAAATAGTATTAAAATAATTTAATTTTAAAATAAATTAAAATATTATATTAAAATAAAATAATTTGATCAAAGACATTTTCATAAAACATTTCATAAAACTATGAAAATGTATCCTACAAGATTTCAGCCTGTCTCGTGTAAGAGAGTGCATAATTGGTTGTACTGAATATGAAACTGTATGTATTCAAATATGAATAAATAAAAAATAAAGGGATGAAACTAAGAAAATGTATGTATGTAAAATTATATTTGTTTTTAACTATCATCCCTCATCATATTTGTGACGTTTTCAAGGAAGGATAGACATATAAAGGTTATTGTATTTTCTTATCTCCTAATATATCACACCATGAAAGTTATTTTGAAAATGAATATTTTTTTCCACCTACCATGATCCTCTTTGAACAGGCTTTACAGATTTCTTGCTTCTTTTTCCTTTTGCTTGATATTCTGATTATTTAGCATAGTTACTAGTTATGTATGCTGCAGTCCTTTTATTATTTGCCTTTTCATTGTTATTGCCCTTGCAAAGATGTCTTAGTAGCTTTGATAAATTCAGAAAACAACATCCACTACAAAATCACTGTTCATCCTAATATGTATTAAGATACTGTCTTTTATAATTGAACATAAGATAGTGTTTAAATGTAAACACAATTTTTCTTATGTCTTTTAAATATGCACAGATGTGTTAATGTTATTTTAAAAGTTTCTTTAATATTATGTTGTTTCCTCCTTTGAAATACAGAATTTGATTTGCTGCTAATGTTATTTCTCTTTTGCCTTCATTATGCCTTTTGTTTTCTTTGTAAGAATTATTTATTATCGGATTCCAGCACACAATGTCTTCAGGGAACATCATCAGGATCATGAAGGAATGTGTTCAGCAAATGCTTCCTTTATGCAGTTTCACCTGCAGAGACTCAACGGGTCTCACAGCATGAGAAGTAAGGTCTGAAGATATCTACAAGTTACCTGACTGTGAAAATCAGGCTGCACATTTGAACAACATCTTTTTTTTTTTTTTAATAGTGGGAAAAGTTTTTTTCATAAATTTACCCAGCCGGGCTCAGTGGCTCACACCTGTAATCCCGGCACTTTGGGAGGCCGAGGCGGGCAGATCACAATGTCAGGAGTTCGAGACCATCCTGGCTAACACGGTGAAACCTCATCTCTACTAAAAATACAAAAAATTAGCTGGGCGTGGTGGCGGGCGCCTGTAGTCCCAGCTACTTGGGAGGCTGAGGCAGGAGAATGGCGTGAACCCGGGAGGCAGAGCTTGCAGTGAGCCGAGATTGGGCTACTGCATTCCAGCCTGGGTGACAGAGCGAGACTCCATCTCAAAAAAAAAAAAAAAAAAAAAATTCACCCACACCATGGGAGGAGTACTGGTTAGCTACTTAATAAAATTTATATTCTGACTAGATGCCACTCATTTCCAATAATTTCACCATAGTAATTCCCTATTACCATAATATACCACATTATAGCTATAATCATTTTGTTTTTCTTCTTTCACATGCTATATACATTTTTTTTTCTTTAAATGCACTGTCTTGTGCTCTATAAACAATGTCAAAGAATTGTGGTGAATTTATCTTTCTCCTAATTTAATGAAAAGAATTTTTGTTTTTTAAATTAACATAATACTGTCTTGCTAGCTTTTGGTGTGTGTGTTATTATAGATGAATTGTTTCTCATGGGGGTTTAGTTTACAGAATATTTCCTCACTTATGTAATAAGCATAGTAATTGATAGGTATTTTTTCAACCTCACCCTCCTCCTTTCTTCTACCGTCAAGTAGGCCTCATGTTTCTTGTTCCCCTCCTTTGTTTATATATACCCAGTGTTTTGCTCCCGCTTATAAGTGACAACATGTGGTATTTGATTTTCTGTACCTGTGTTAGTTTGCTTAGGATAATGGCCTCCAGCTGCATCCACGTTGCTGCAAAATACATGACTGTGTTCTTTTTACCGCTGCAAAGTATTCCATAGTGTAAATTTACCACATTTTCTTTATCCAGTCTACCACTGATGGGCATTTAGGTTTGGTTCTGATTTTGCTACTGTGAATAGTGCTGTGATGAACATATGAATGCATGTGTCTTTATGGTAGAATGATTTATATTCATTTGGATATATGCCCTATAATCAAATTGTTGGGTCAAATGGTAATTCTGTTTTGAGTTCTTTGAGAAATTGCCAAACTGCTTTCCACAATAGCTGATCTAATTTGCCTTTTCACCAACATTGTAAGTGTTATGTGTTCCCTTTTCTCCATGATCTTGCCAGCATTTGTCATTTTTGACTTTTTGATAATAGCCATTCTGACTGGTGTGAGATGGTATCTCATTGTGATTTTGATTTGCATTTCTCTAGTGATTAGTGATGTCGAGAATTTTTTCATATGCTTTTTGACAGATAGAATGCCAGCTAGACTAGTAAAGAGAAAAAGTAGAGATGACCCAAATAAACACAACCAGAAATAACAAAAGGACATTACCACTGACCACACAGAAACTAAAAAAAAAAAAAAAAAAAAACCCTCAGAGAACAGTATGAATACCTATATGCACACAAGCTGGAAAATCTAGAAGAAATGCATACATTCCTGGACATATACAACCTCTCAAGACTGAACCAGGAAGAAACTGAATTCCTGAATAGGATAATAATGAGTTCTAAAATTGAATCAGTAATAAAAAGCCTACCAACCAGAGAAAACCCAGGACCAGACACATTCTAATTCTAATTCTACCATAGCCGAATTCTACCAGATGTAAAAAGAAGAGCTGGTACTATTCCTACTGAAACTATACCAAAATATTAAGGAGGAGGGACTCCTCCCTAACTCATTCTATGAAGTCAGCATCATCCTGATAACAAAACCTGGTAGAGATACAACAAAAAAGAAAACTTTAGGCCAATATCCTTGATGAGCATAGATGCAAAAATTCTCAACAAAACACTAGCAAGTGAAATCTAGCAGCACATCAAAAAACTAACCCACCACCCACCACGATCAAGTAGGCTTCATCCCTGGGATACAAGGTTTTTTCAAACCTTGCAAATCAATAAATGTGATTCGTCGCATAAATAGAACTAAAGACAAAACACATGATTATCTCAATAGATGCAGAAAAGATTTTCCATAAAATTCAATATCCCTACATGCTAAAAACCCTCAACAAACTAGGCACTGAAGGAACTGACTTCAAAATATTAAGAGCCATCTATTACAAACTCATGACCAATATCATGCTGAATGATCAAAAGCTGGAAACCTCCCCCTTAAAAATCTGAACAAGACAAGGATGCTCTCTCTCACAACTCCTGTTAAACATAGTACTAGAAGTCCTGGCCAGAGCAGGCAAAGAAAAAAAAAATAGAAGTTATCCAAATAGGAAGAGAGGAAATCAAACCATATCTGTTTGTAGATGATGTGATTCTGTATCTAGAAAACTTCATAGTCTCTGTCCCAAAGCTCCTTGAAATGATAAACAATTTCAGCAAAGTTTCAGGAAACAAAATCAATGTACAAAAATTAATAGCATTCTTATACACCAACAATATCCAACATGAGAGTCAAATCAAGAACACAATCCCATTCACAACAGTAACAAAAAGAATAAAATGTCTAGGAATACAGCTACCCAGGGAGGTGAAAGATCTCAACCATAAAAATTACAAAACATTGATCAAAGAAATAAGAAATGACACAACCAAATGGAAAAACATTCCATGCTCATGGACAGGAAAGATCAATATTGTTAAATGGTCATAGTGCCCAAAGCAATTAATAGATGCAATGCCATTGCTATCAAACTACTAATTACATTCTTCACAGAATTAGAAAAATACTATTTCAAAATTTATATAGAATCAAAAAAGAACCCAAATAGCCCAGAAAATTCTTAGCAAAAAGAATCAATCTGGAAGCATCACGTTACCTGACTTCAAAATATACTACAAGGCAACAGTAACCAAAACAGCATGGTACTGTTACAAAAACAGGCACATAGACTGATAAAACAGGATATAGAGCCCAGAAATAGTGCAGCACACCTACAATCATCTGATAGTTGAAAAACAATGAGCAATGGAAAAAAGACTGCCTATGCAAAAAATGGTGCTGAGATAATTGGCTAGCCATATGCAGATTGAAACTGGACCCTTTTCTTATGTTATATACATAGATCAACTCAATACAGAATAAGGATTTAAATGTAAAACCTAAAACTATAAAAATCCTGGAAGATAATCCAGAAAATATAATTCTGAACATAATACCTGGCAAAAAAATTCATGATGAAGATGCCAAAAACAATAGCAACAAAAACAAAAAGTGACAAATGGTACCTAATAAACTAAAGAGCTTCTGTAGAGCAAAGGAAACCATTAATGGAGTAAGCAGACAACCAACAGAAAGGGAGAAAATATTTGCTAACTATGCATCCAACAAAGGACAAACATCTAAAATCTAAGCAATTTAAAAAATCAACATGCAAAAAACAACCCTATTAAAAAGTGGGCAAAGGATACATTCAAGCTCCATAATGTGATAGTTGAGATATATCTTAAAAGTTTCTTAAGTGTCATAGGATGTAACAGACTATAACAAAACAGAGAGCTTGGCGAGCTCACCTAGTCATGCTTTCTCCAGAGTAGCTCTATTTTTTTTTCCTTTTTTTTTTTTTTTTTTTTGAGACGGAGCCTTGCTCTGTCACCCAGGCTGGAGTGCAGTGGTGCGATCTCAGCTCACTGCAAGCTCCGCCTCCCGGGTTCACGCCATTCTACTGCCTTAGCCTCCCGAGTAGCTGGGACTGCAGGCGCCCGCCACCACGCCCAGCTAATTTTTTTTTGGTATTTTTTAGTAGAGACGGGGTTTGACCGTGTTAGCAAGGATGGTCTCGATCTCCTGACCTCATAGTCTGCCCACCTCATGCTGGGATTACAGGTGTGAGCCACTGTGCCTGGCCCAGAGTAGCTCCATTTTTATTTGTTGTATTGAAATCAGTTTCTGAAAACCACTATTGCAAGTGATCAGTTTAGTAGATTTTCACCTCTGTAGATACTATCCACAGCTACCTATCTCCCAAAGGACTTTTTTTTTTCATTTCTACATTTTATATATCAATGAGGTATTCTTTGTGCCTAAAAATCTAATACCCAGATATTTAGCATATGCAGTGACTAAGCTCTTTTCAATCTTTTGTCATTCTAAAGGAAACCTGCCAGTCAATAAACTCCATTTGTTTTTTGGTTACAGAAATAGTATATGAACTTCAAATGCACTTGGTGTAGAAAGTATTGTTGATTATGTATTTGTTATATTATTCACATCTAATGCATCAGAGATGAAACAGCTATGAAAATCATAATGTTGGGAAAAACTTGAAGATATATAGCTATTTTAGTATTTGCTAAACAAGTAAATTACCACATATAATAGAAAAATCTGGAAAATCTGTGAGTTAATATTAAGACTGTGATGACTGATACCTTAATGCACTTTTCTATTATTAATCTCTATAATTACTTCCAAACACAGTAAATATTGCCTTCATTAATTCTGTTACTCGGAACTTTTAACTGTAAAGATTACTTGTAGTAATCTTTAACTCATCACTTTCTCTCATTCTTTACGTTCCATTCAAAGATAAATCCTGTCTGCTCCACCCACAATATGCATCCTGTTGGCCTCCAGTTTTTATCTCCCCTTACAATATCACCTTGGTCCAAGCTATTATCATCTATCTCTTACCTGGACCACTAAATTACCCCAACAACTTGACTTTGTGTTTCCACTCTACATTATCTTCATTCTAGGCACATCCTAGAGTCTAAATTCTCTATATATCTTACATTTTCTACATTATCCAGTCTATTCTGTACATAAAAATTATAGCTATTATTTTAGAATATTTAACTAGTTATCTCATGTCTTAAAAGTTTTCAAAGGCTTTACAATATTATTAAAATCATAATCCAAATTCTTTTTTCTTTTTCTTTTTTTTTTTTTTTTGAGACAGAGTCTCACTCTCTCGCCCAAGCTGGAGTGCAGTGACACTATCTCAGCTCACTGCAACCTCTGCCTCCCGGTTCAAGTGATTCTTCCACCTCAGCCTCCTGAGTAGCTGCGATTACAGGCACCCGCCATCATGCCCAGCTTTTTTTTTTTTTTTTTTTTTTTTGTACTTTTGTAGAAATGGGGTTTCACCATGTTGGCCAGGCTGGTCTCAAACTCCTGACCTCAGGTGATCCACCTGTCTCTGCCTCCCAAAGTGCTGGGATTTGCAGCGTGAGCCACTGCACCCGGCCCCAAATTCTTACAGACATCTAAAGCCTCCTTGTAATTCCCTTTGACATCATTTTTCACATCTCCTCTTCCTCACTTCAACCCACACTTTGCTTCTTCTCAAAACAACATGCTTGCTCTGGACTCCAGGATTTGACACTTACTCCTTCTATCAGAAATACTCTCCTAAAGAAACTTGTATTGCTTTGTCTCTCAGTTTTTTTATCTGCTTAGTTTTCACTACATCAGAAAGCCTTATCTGACCATCCAATGCTATATATTAAACTGAACCATGTAATAATGCAAGTTTTATATATTTTGGCTTTACAGTCTATTTGCCTATGGTAATTTCCACTCTCCATCTCTCTGTCATATGTTTTCATGGACTTTGCAGCACTTAATAACTGTCTAATCTCATACTTAGTTTTTATGTGTTTATCGACTGTCTGTCTTCTCCTACTAGATGGAAGCTGCACAGTGATGAGACTTTTATTGCCTTTGAACAGCATCCAGCATAGGAAGCAATCAAGTAAATAATCAATTAAAATGTATTAAACATATAACGTACCATTTTATAGATTAAATTTTTTTAAAAAAATCTCTCATTTTATCAAGCAAAAATTGGAAGATCTGTGATAAAATAACTGATTTGTATGAATCCAGACCTTTTTTTCCAATTTTCTTGTTTGCCATATATGTCTTTTTATTTAATTTTTTGTTATTACATATTCTAGTGTTTGAATATGTAGTTAATTTTTTATTCTATGAAGAACGTGGAGACAAATGGCAACTCTGGCTATGAAGAGTTATGTGTTTCCAGATTTTCTTAATGTACTATATGGTGTATGAAGGACACCATACTGCGACCTGGATAGAAAAAAGGAAACCACATGTATTCATGAAGAATAAGCAGCTTCTCAGCATTTCCAAAGCTGTGTGATCATAATAATTGGAATAAAGTTCTTAACCCAGAGAGTGCCAAGTCACTGAGATAATATTTAAGAAGCCTCTTAGTAAACCAGTAACACACACATTCTCTCTCTCTCCCCTTTATTTCTTGGCCTGTTATTTCCAATTTGTTACGAGATATGTATATATAACTCGTTCTCTATAAAAAGGAACACATATATTTCTGTTAAAAACAAAAAATAAAATCCAAGATTACTCATTATTAGTAGTAACATATTAATATTACGTATTCTGCCTTTATCTGCTTTTCTTTCAAATTTATCCTTGTATTATAATACATCATCAGATCAATCAATTATGTAAAGTAAATTAATTGTAAGAAATGTTATCAATATTTTTGGTCAAGGGTTTCTCAACCTTGGCACCATGGATGTTTGGGACCAGATAACTTCATGTTGTGTGATGCTACATTGTGCCTTATGAGACGTTTAGCAGCATCCATATTCACTAACCCATTACATGCCAGTAGCACCCTCTCATGTTTCACAATCAAAAGGATTTCTCAGCATTTCTAAATGTTACCTGGGAGAAAAAAAAAAGTCCCCAATTGAGAACAATTATTATATTTATGTGTTCCTCTTCTTTCAACTCTAACCACCTGTAATGTCCATAGAATAACTGTCAAGGGGAAATTAATGTCTACAAAGTGACAAACTTATCCCCTTAGACAGGACTACAGAATGCTATTTTGGAAGAGAAGCTCATGGTATAAATCTGTGAAATGTCTGCTTTCAGAATTATAAGGTAAAGCTTAATATGCCTTCCATTTCAAAAGTACAGTTGCACTGAAATGGTAAACTATGCTATAAGGGGAACTAAAAAAAACAATGGTCCTGACCCTTATGTAGGCTGTGGGGGAAAAATGAAACAAAATTGATATTTGTGCTGTCTATAACATTAAGTCCACAAAGACAAAAGAGTATATAAAACTGCTAAAATAAGTTAACTCTGTACCATGGGCCATTTCTTACTTTACAAATAACTAAATACAAAATTTTAGAAAAGGGAGATTAATAATAGAAAAGTGCGTTAAAATACCATGTCATCACAGTCTTAACATTAACTCACAGATTTTCCAGATTTTCCTATTATATGTTGACACACAGAGCCTCATTTGGAGGGTGGGTGATAATTAAGTTTTGACTATGTTAAGGCCGTATAAGTCTTGCGATCTTGAGAAGTCAGGAATAGAGCTGCTGTTGAGAAAGATAGTCTTATGAATGCAGTGTTTTGACCCCCAATGGGCCATAAGAGAATTGTCCTTTGGCATGTAACACTTTCTTACCAAGAGATAAAGTGTCCTCATAGCCTATACTGGACTTATTACCTTGTGTGGAGACATTTTTATTTGTTTCAGACTCAGTATATACTCGATTGTTGTGCTTAAACGTGTGGTGTATGGCACCTGGACACTCCCTCTGCTATATCTGTCTTCTATGAGGAGGGGATGGATCCTTCTACTGCAACACAAAACGAGTTCCTGCAAGCCAATTGGCCTAAAATGGTTGCCAAAAGGGACTTGCTGGCGATAGGAGATTTTTGCCCACCATTGGAGATGATTTTGTCCAGGTCTTCTCTTTGTGGGTAGAATGTTGTTCCATCCAGTGCTTGACTGCACAGTGTTTTTCCTGGCAACTCCAATACCAAGATGCAGTGGTAAAGGGACTGGGACTTCTATGCCTGGTGAAAGATAATAAACGTCACTTGCTCAACAGATGTACATATGAGAAGACTCATCTTTGTCTAGATAGGATTTAAAGTTATTGCGTTGAGTCAGTAGGCCTGGGAAGTGAGTCTTCAGAGAGAAGATGACTGGGTCTTATGGCATCACAACATAAAGATATAAAAAGATGAGGATTATTTAGCAAAAACTGCTTCAGGAGAAGCCAAGGAGACAGGAAGAAAACAAAGAGAGCCTATTGGTTGAAGAATAAACATGTATCATTTCACATTTTTCTCTGTTCTCCTGATTAACATTAGATAATTGTATGCATCAATGTACCTAAAGATTTTCCTTGCCCCTAAAAAAAAAAATCTTACATTTGGGAAAGCAGTTATTCAAATCATGCATTTATGCTTTTATTTAAATGCAACCTAATGCAGAGAAGTTACACAATAGGTATACATATGCAATGTATACTTAGAGACACACAAAGAAAGGAGACATTAGCCTAACTGTGGAGGTTAGGAACAATTATTAGATTTTGAGACAATCTACTAACTAGTTTCCTGTCATCCACATGGTTTGTCCTCATGTTCATTCTTAGTCTCAATCATGATATCTGGTGGAAGAAATTATGTTAATTTGGACTTCCTCCCACATCCTCTTTTTTCAGGATCCAAACTTTTTTGTTTGTTTGTTTGATTGTGCTGTATCTCCAACTCCTCATCTGTTACCAAACATGCTCCAAGATGGGTTAGTTGAAACTGTCCTTTTCCCTACAATCCAGTGTCAATCTGTAATTTATTTAGCCCTATGTGACTTAATTTTAATAGAATATAATAGCAAACTAAATTATTTGATGGCTAGCATCACAGTATTAAAGTTAAAACAAGAGAGAATTAGGGGAAATGCTGAGAAATTATTTCCAATTATTTGGTTTGGATGACCAACACTTCGATGTGATTTGTGTGATTCCAACGATGTCCTAGATTTACAATACATTGTTTTGTTTGCAAAAGTATATGATAAAGGGTTTAAAAGACAGATTAATTAAGATATGAAAATTGAGTAAGAGGCTTTTTTCCCTCCATCTCATTGTGTGGTATTGTTTCCCTAAGAAATGGCTTAATCTCTTTAAGAAAGTTTTCTTAACTGTGAGAAAGAGAAATATTAAACAGATAAAATTAAACAAACTTAAAAAGATACGATTAAAATTGTATCTGCCATTAACATTTTATGCAAGAATATCTAAAAATGGTCAATAGACAGTAAAATATAGCAAAACATTGTTTTTATAACATCTTAAAAAATGAGTTTATATTTCAGGCACATGTTTTGATTTATGTGTGTTTGATTTTATATAATAATAAGCTAAGTGTTGTTTAAATTTGATTGGAGAAAGCATGACTTGTTTCTAGTTAGGTGTGAATTTCTTGGTAGTAGGTCACTGAGTACAGTAGAATTTGCAGATCCCATAATGATATATGCCTTAGAACCTTTCTTGAAACAGTTGCTTTTGTTTTTATGCTTCTAATTTATAAGGCCCATAAAGAGCAGGTAAGTTCATTCTAATATATTTTGTTATTGAAAACATAATAGGCTTCTCTTCCACATATGAGGGCTCTGATAATGCAATTATAGAACTGTGCCAACTTTATGGTAATAGAAATAATCCATAAAGCAAAATTAAAGAAACAGAAAAACTGCATACATTAGAATGATTCAAGTATATACTCATGTTCCCTTGAAATATTAGAAAAGTTTAAAATCTGCTGTTTTGGCTTCATTTCCTAATACATATTAGAAAAAAACTCTTCAAAATGTGAGTCAATTGTTTTATACAGAAAAATAAAATAGTGGATATGAATGGGTATATTGAAAATCAACACTATTTAATAATACCTAAATGTATAATTTTGTAATGATAATAATTCATACTAAAGACTAATTTTAAAAATTAATGATCTTGTTTTTCAGATAATACAGTTATTGCATATTTTACAGGCTTATTACTAGACATAGTCCTCTCCAAATTAAATATTTCTATCAAAACTACATAAACTTACATGAACACCAAAATAGTTATACAGAAAGACTAGCAGTATAAAATAAATATGCCTTAATTCTTTTTAAATGGAAATTTAATTTTTTTATAAAAATGAAATAGTACTCCTGAAAATTGGAGGCAATTAAAAAAAACCAATTATATTTATGATAACTGTAAGAACCAAAAAGTGTTAGTTCTCAAAGGAGAAATTCTACCTCTTTTAGGAAACCAACAGAGGTAACTTTCATAAAGCAGTATCTACATTATTTTTTCTCACAACCTTACAGGTAAAGAAATGAGTTGCCATTCATATAATTTTATGCATGAATACATATACATATATATGTGTGTATATATATACACATATATATGTGTATATATATATATATACACACATATATATGTGTGTATATATACACATATATATGTGTATATATACATACATATATATGTGTGTGTATATATATATATATAAACTCACATGTACATCTGTAATAATAATCCATGTGTATTCTAAAATGCACTCATAACACGGGCACAGCGGCTCACGTCTGTAATTCCAGAATTTTGGGAGGCCAAGGCGGGTGGATCACCTGACGTCAGGAGTTTGAGACCAGCCTGGCCAACATGGTGAAACCCCATCTCTACTAAAAATACAAAAATTAGGTGGGCATGGTGATACACTCCTGTAATCCCAGCTACTTGGGAGGCTGAGGCAGGAGAATTGCTTGAACCTGGCAGGTGGAGGTTTCAGTGAACCAAGATGGCACCACTACACTCCAGCCTCGGCAGCTGAGTGAGACTCTGTCTCAAAAAATAAAATAAGATAAAATAAAATGCACTCATAAAGTGGTACTTAAAGATAAGCATGAAGAAAATATTATAAAATCATTATTTTATATTTATTTACTGTAAAAATTATTACATTTTTATTATAGCAACATGATGCATTATTATTTCTGAAAATTGGAATTTAACTCCTTGTTATACAGTAAATAAAAATCTAATTTTAAGTTAAATTTATTTCGATAGTTGGTTTTAATTGTCATCAGAGCTAGAGAAGATAATCACACAGACACATTGATGCAATATAAAAAAAAGTTTATTTCTGAAGATAAGAAGTTTTAAAAAACAATAATTTTAAAAATTCTCTATCCCTACAACAATGTTTATTTTTGAAAAGCAGCTCAACTCTTTTTATTGTCTCAGTTAGCTTAAAAGTACAAATCGTTTGTTATTTACAAAGAAATCTGCTGTAAAGCATCTACTGACAGTGAGTTATTACTACTAAAGATGTCAGCAAATTTGGAAATGTCTTTCTGTAAAGAAAAATAACTCAGGTTTAAGTTCAATATGAGATATTCAGTGAACTTCTCAGTAACAGAAAAGCTTTTCAGAGACATTACCTAATATATTACTGATATTGTAAGTAACTTATTTTAATTTCTTATTTTATAAAAGTAATCATATAAATTATATAGTTTATATTTTAAAACATACTTTAAGTTGTCATAATTTTCTAAAAAACAACAATTAAAAAATAAGTTCAACTTTTTTCCTTGTTGAAGATTTTGCTACATCTTTAATGAAAAAAGTGAAACACGGCAGTACCCATACTTTGTTCTGGGACATAGTTAATTTCCTTGGAAGCAGTGACATTTCTTCAGACCCCTTTTATGATTTGGATGACAGTACCTAAAAAGTGTTTAGCCTAGGACAGGGTTGCTAAACCTCAACACTACTGACAATTTGAGCCATCAATTCTTCATTGTGTATGCAGCAGGAGTGGGGGGGAGAATGGGGCAGCTCATCAATATCCAATAAGGTAAAGTTCATAATATCTTTCATTTAATAAAAAAAATTGTGCCGGGTGTGGTGGCTCACGCCTGCAATATCAGCACTTTGGGAGGCCGAGGCGGGCGGATCACAAGGGAGTTCGAGACCATCCTGGCTAACACGGTGAAACCCCGTCTCTACTAAAAAAAAAAAAAAATACAAAAAATTAGCCAGGCATGGTGGCGGGCACCTGTAGTCCCAGCTATCTGGGAGGCTGAGGCAGGAGAATGGTTTGAACCCGGTAGGTGGAGCTTGCGGTGAGCCGAGATCGCGCCACTGCACTCCAGCCCGGGCGACACAGCGAGACTCCATCTCAAAAAAATAAATAAATAAAATAATTGTTAGTATATAAAGAAGTAGAAAAATATAAACCATAATTAAGGAGAAAAATAATCAATTCAATGAAACCCAGAACTGGGTTGCAATTATTATAATTGTATTCCATATTATAAAAATTAAGTAATGACCTGGAAGCTATAAAAATAACCATATTGTATTCTAGAAATTAAAACTATATGTAAGATAAAAACCTATATGGAATATTAACAGTTGATTAGGCACTGTAGAGGAAAAGGTTAATGAAAAGACACTATAATAGGAAGTATGCAAATTAAAACAAAGAAAAAGAACAGATTCTTAATAACCTGTGGTGCATCTTCAAGTGATCTGATATACATTGAATTGGTATCCCCAAAGGAAAGAAGAGAGAAGTAAAAACAAAAATATTAAAGAAATAATGCTGAACTTTTTCCAAATTCATGGAAAATCTTAAACCCTAAGAACTAAGGAAGTCAATGAAACTCAAGCACAAAAAATATGAATAAAAACGCACCAAAGTAAATCATAATCAAATATATTAAAATCATTGATGAAGATAAAATTTTAAAAGCAGCTGGGAGCATGTATATATTACATACAGAGGAACAAACATAAAGATAACAGCATTTTTCTCATGGAAAACTATGCAAGTGAGAAAATAGTGGAACATTTACTTAATAGTACTGAGAAAAGAATAAACCTAAAATTCTATGTCTAATGAAATACCTTTTAAAAAAAGATGAAATCAAGAATTCTTCAAACATGTGAAGGCTGATTTTATCTCAAGTAAACAAAATCCTATGTGTGATCTTTCCAGTTTGGTATGGGCAATTATAAGGTTTTGTCTGGTAGGCTTATTGTGAGAAAGCTCTCCTTTACTCACAAGACATGGTGAGACAAGACCATGAGACATGGTCAATGCATCGCCGTTTCTAAAGGAAGTTGCTGTTATGTACTCAGGTCACCTGAGGCAGCCGCGCACACATAGCTCATCTCCACTCAGAAGATTCCTTATCAGGGACCTCTGCTAAGGCACTTTTTAGGCAGCTCTGCCAAGACCTCCTTATGGGAAAAGCCTTGGATGATGAATTTTTCTCTGCCTTGACTCTACTTTTCCACTCCAAGCACTTCCTTCCCCTGACTCCCTCTGGACCTACAGGTCCAAGTAGAGCTAGGAAACGTTTTTTTGGGGCTCTCCAATAACAAAATAATTCCTTCCACTTGGATTGCATGCATAGGACTCTTGTCTGGTGCCATTTCTTAGGGATGAAACAAACACTTGGGAGCCAGCCCTCTTATGCCTCTTATTTAGACTGTTGCAGTAAGCATATAAGGCTTAATTGTTATTTTCAGTTTGGCTCGTTGTCCTAACTGATCACACTGACAACCTGGCAGCCCAACAACCAGCAGATCCACCTTTCAAAGACCGTTAAAGTTTTTCAGGCAGAAAGAAAATGCTACTGGTGGAAATAAGGAGTACTCGAAACTGTAACTACAGGGATTAAGATGTAATCTTTTTTTCTTACTATTTAAATCTATTTAAAATAGAATTTTATTTAAACTTTTATTTTATTTGAAAATTTAAAGAAAAATACTAATATTCAGTAGGTTTTAAATTTATATATAGGCTTATATTCGCAGAAAGGGTAGATGGAGAGAAATAAAGGTATGCTATCTTAAGGTATTTATACTGTATGCAATGTGGTATGCCACAGTATTCCTTGAACAGAGACTGTGAAATATTAAAGAAGTGTAGCATAACCTCAAAGCAACAACAACTCTAGAAAAATAAAGACTTTTAGCAAATATGCCAAAAGAAGATTAAAAAAACATAGGAAATAATTAATCAATAAAGATATAGAAAAAGAGAAAAAAGAAAACAAAGAGATGGAACAAACTAAAAATAAATAGCACAAAGTTAGTATTAAATATAACCATGTCAATAGTCACATTAAATATAAATGGTCTAAACACCTCAATTAAAGAGCAAATATTATCAGATTGAAAAAAAAAATCAAAGCCCCGTAATGTACTACATGTAAAAAATAAACCTGAAATTAAAACACATGCATAGAATCAAAGTAAAGGAATAAATAATTAATATGCATGCCCTACTAACACTAAACAAAATAAATACCAACTATACAAATATTGGATTAAATTTCATGACAAAGAAAATTACAAGGAATAAAAAGCTCTCTCTCAATGATAAAAGTGTTAAAACATTAAAAGTGCATAGTAATTCTAAATATTTAGGCATCTAATAACAGAGATATAAAATAATACAAGGCAAGAACTGATAGACTTTCAAGAGAAACAGACAAATCTAATCTACAATAGAGCAGACTGTATATTTGTCCTCTCTTAAAAATTAAAAAAAACAAGAAATTATTAAGTCCATAGAAGAATTGAACAACACTAATTAACCAATTTGATCTAAAAGACATTTAAATTAGAACACTTCACTATCAAGAGCTGAATATATAGTCCTTTTAAGTGTGCACAAGTGTGAAATCCTTAGTGGTGAAAGACTGAAAAATCTCCCTCTAAGATCAGAAAAAAGACAAAAGATATCTGTATTTATCCCCTCTATTCAACATTGTACTGGAAGTTCTAGCAAGCAGTGCACTAAGGCAAGAAAAAGAAATTTACAATTTACAGGCAACCAGTAAAAACAGGAATTAAATACATCCAGTTTAAAAAAGAAAAAAGCCTCCTTTTTTTTTTTTTTTTTTTTCTAGCACAAAGTACCATCGTTTAGGTAAAAAAAAAGTCATAAAGTGTGTGAATGTATAATCAATGAGTTTAGAGAGATTATTGGAATCAGGTAACTAATATATATATAGAGAGAGAGACACATATTTACAAACTCTAGCAAATAATAACCATAAGTTATTTTTAAATTATTTTTTGAAATAACATAAAATGAAATGCTTAGCTACAAATCTGTGAAAAACATGTAAAAGAATTTCAAAAGACACTTCTCCAAAATAGATACTTGGATTGCAACTAAGCACAGAAAAAGATGCTCAACTTCATACGTTTTCTGCCCCAATCAAGTTATCTTTTATTTCTGTAAAAATCTCTCTCTCTCCCTCTTTTTCTTTCTTTCTCCCCTGTCCCTCTCTCTCCTAGATAGATAGATTAGCTAAATAGGTAGGTAGATAGATAGATAGATTTTTTTTTGTCTGTTTATCTGTTTGTTTCTTTTCAGAATTTACCACCATTTTGTAATTTGGTCTCCCTGCTTTATGTGAGATCAGTGATCATAGATGTCTTCTACTGTTGCTGTTCCGTACTTCTTAGCTAATATAACTTTAGAAAGTCCATCTTCATATGATTGTCCTTCAGAATTGCAATTGCCTGTTATTTATACACAGTTGTAGTTTGCAATTTTTTTTCTATTTCTCAGTGTTTGGGTTATTTCAAAAGGGGGAAGAGGAAACTAACCTAGTCCCCAGCCATTTTGAGACAGATGATTTCAAAAACCAACAAAAGATCTTAAATTTTAAGGACAACAGGCCTAAGGGCAGATAAAATTAAGGCATAAAAAGTCAAATTCAAGACGACACAAAAGAAGTAAAGAATATTGAAGGGATGTAGCATTAAAAATCATTAATTACAGACTGTAAAAGGATACCATTTTTAAAAAAAGCAAAGGCAAACATATTTATATTTAAAATAGATCTTTTGAATGTTTTAAAAATTTATTTCACACTCTCCCTCCAAGATTTCAATGACTTACCTCACTCAGTTTTTCCCTCCTCGAATAAATCATTTGCACTAGCAATCAGAAAGTTTAAAGTATAACTTTGACTTTACATGTCCTCTGCTAAAGATTATTCACTGGCTTCCCATTGTTTACATAATCCCCAAAGTTTTAATAAGCAATCAAGGTACCCATAAAACTATCTTTCTTAAGATCTCCTTTTACTACTGGTTCACACTTACCTATTCCCAAAGCACAAATCTTGCCAATTCTGGCATACAACATGTTATCTTATATCTCTATGCCTTTCATTATGCATTTCTTTTTTCTAGAACCCCATCAAATATTTTTTGTTCATTTTTATGATTATTACTTATTTTTCGTGACTAATTTCAGGTTTTACTTGTCCTTGAAAATGTTGCCTACACGCTCCTTTTTTGAATTATTGCTTACTCACTTATGCCTCAATCTTAGTGGAGACCGTATCAACATGTGTCAATATTTCTTATTTAATAGCCACATTTTCTGAGTTTTAAAAATATACTTATGTTTTTTCCCCTCTGCATCTGGAGTATTGTAAGCAATCAATAACATACTTTTGATCTAAACTCGGCCCATACTATTGGCAAGAAAGTCTGCCAACTGATTGAACACGTAGGGGTGAATAAGATATGTGCTGGTATTGATTAGAAGACAAACATACTCTATTGAAAAAGCAAAATTTCATCATACTATATAGTGAAAATAGAGCAAGATATAATTCAGGGGACACATTCAGGGAAAAACTAATTTGAGAACTTGATGATGACTGCTGGGATATTTATATTCTTGTCACTAGAAGAGTGAGATAAGCCAAGATTAGAGTTGTCATAACACAAACTGAAACAGTGTGAGACTGAGACAGAAATATGATGCCACCACTTCTCTTTGCACAAATTATGGTAAATTCAAATGAACAATTACAATGGTGAAGTATTACTTTTGGTTAACATTGGAAGGGGAGTTTCTTTTGAGTTGTTCCAAGTAATAAGGAGAAGCTTGGGTTTAGTTGTTGTTAAAAGAGCTTTGATGAACCTGCAGTCTCTAGAAAATGTTAGTATAGAAGACATTTTTATATTACACAGAGAGGAGTCCTATTCACAGTAAATAAATTATATACTTGCAAATGGACATTTTCCTGCTGTTATATTTGCATTTATGGCTCAATTGAATAAAATCCATAAAGTAGGAAACATTAAGCTTGTATTCTCTTATTTTTGAACTTTAAGTCATGAGCTTGCTGAAGTGATTGATTTCCTTGATGAATAGCTTTAAAAAGGGCTGATATGAATGACTAGAAGACCAACATTACAATAGAGTTGACCTCACCAATGAAGCAATAAGATCTATTCCCAGGTTAAATAAAACAGAGTCCTCAACACAAAGATGTATAAGTCCTTTGATAGTAGAAGATAACGTTTCACTTAATTTTCTGTTTATCATCTATTAAAATTTGTCGATGTTAATAACAAATGCTCTGTATCATGGTATGTTTTAAACATTACATTAAATTGTGATAAATGTAGCCTTCAACATAGTAATAACATAGTAAGCACAAATTATTATTGTCACCATTATCATTATCATCATTGAGTTAAGAAATAGTTAATTTCTAATGAAGTGTAACAAATCAGCTTATTATTATAATTACTGTTTTTTTAAAAAAGTTAAGATTTAAGGTGGTTTACTGAAAAGTATATTGGCATTACAGTGATAGCTGAGTTAATGTTCCTGCTCTAGCACTTATATTAGTAAATGAATATTGCAGAACAAATCATTAACTTCTCCCAAACCCCATTTTCTTTATTGCATAATATGAATAATAATATATGCTACTTTTTCCAAAGTTTAGAGTATATTGTTTTATAGATGTTTAAAAAATAAAAAATGTTTATTTCTATTGTGTTTACAGTCTTAGTGCTCTAGAGTTGAGGAAAAAAGATGGCAATTATATTAAAATATGAAATCAATAAGTTATTAAATGTTGTATATTACAAATCAAGAATTTGAAGCTCTAGAAGATTAAATTCTTACAGTTATTAAAATTAGGAAAATGGGGAACACAAAGATGATTATAGCTTGTTAGCACATGTTTAACTATATAACTCAGAATAGAGCTCTACCACTGACTTTGGTCAGAAGCCTATAATCCCCACACTTCCTTCTGAAGTAAAATTTGTAAGTGTCCATATACCAATTTTTATTATTACTCCTATTGTTTAAATTTAGTTTGGGTCACGGTGATCACAATTTGTTGCCATCTGGCAGCTGTTTGCCAGCACGTGTGAAATAAGTTTTTCATCGCATTCAAGTTCTAAGTGGACAGATGGCCACACTGAAAAATAACCATGACGTTTGTAACTAATTGATATCCTTTCTGGGAGACTCAGCTGAGAAATCAGAAACTGAATGTGTGCTGAGACTGAACTCTTTAGTTACCCCGTAGGAAAAAACTGGCTGTAAGTTTTAGATATAAGAAATTATCTAAATATATGATTTTGCATCGCATAAAGTTGAGAAAGGTATCCTCAGAGAGTAAGGTTTGATATAAATAAATAAATAAATAAGTAAATAAATAAATAAATAAAGTGTGCCTATGCACGTGTGTGTATGTGTGTGTGTAGTTGTAATGATTCAAAAGATAAAAATTTAACTCTATATCCCCAAGTAATATTAAACTTATAATTAAAATTTAAAAATTCACTACCTTTTTTGTCAAATTTGTGTTTTAAATCTAGCATTACAAATTATTTAAGTGTTATTGGTATAATTAAATAAACTTTCATTTTCTTCCCAAATTCTTAGTGCCTTTGTAAATAAATAGCTAGCTCTGCTGTCAACACAGAGTTCTCAGCTACCTTATAAGAAGAATCTCTCTGTAGCTCCCTACAGAACACTAAATCAAATTCACTGCATAAGTCTTCTGTCATAACAATTTTTTCTACAACTATTTATCTTGGAAAATATCTTTCAGTCTATTTTCCATTTAGCATTTCCCCAGAGCAAGGGATTTTTAAGATAACACTAGAAGCTGTTTACACATAACAAATGATTATGGATCCAAATTTCACACAATGTTTCTGAGTAGTAATACTTCTATATTCCTCAGGAGAACTATAACATTTAGAAAACTAATTATAATTTACTATAATATGTAACATTTCTCTAACTTAAAAAATATTTTACATTTAAAATTGATATATTTGAATTTCTTATAGCTTAAATAGATTTAAATTATCACTAGGGATATTTATTGATTTATTTTCAATTCACCATATATATCAAAATTATTGCTTTCGAAAAGAGTATCTCCTTATAGAAATTATCATTGGCAAAATAACGGGTTATGGTACATCTCCTCAAAGATTTTCTGGTTTCTCAAACTATTGGAAAGTTTTGGCAACAATCTATAATTATTAAATGTCTTAATATTTGCCTTGAAAAATCAAGAACTTAAATGTCATTGCAACTAAGAAACATATCAGAAACTTAAAACATATGTTTATGTAAGTATGTATAAAATATAATATATTCTAATGTTTCCTATAATATTAGCAGTCTTAGGGCTCTGTAATTATGGACAGTTTCAACTGAGCTCAGAATCTTCCACTACACTTAAGTGCCCAGTTTAGCATTGTATTAAGATTTTAAAATGTTCAAGTTATAGTATGGTAATTAGCATGCCTCCGGTTTCTTCTATGTCATATGAAGGGCAAAAAAGTAGTGATTGTTTATTAAATATTTACTGTATATACAACACTATATCATTATATAGATGTTTTACATATACAAATATATTCCTAATTAGAACACACCAAGGTATATTTTATTATTGCCATTAAAAAATGACCATTAGACATGTTAGGTAAATATGCAAAATCAAATAGCAAGTAGCAAAGCCTACCCTGGAAAGGCGTTCATTTTCACTACAAAGTACTCTCTTTCTGATTCTATAGAACAATTCTAAAGTGTTCCACAAGTAGGCTACGAAAGAATTATTGACCTTTTTTTTCTAATTAGCAATACTAAAACCAAATAAAGTCAAAGTAAAACTACACACCAAATGTGTCTGGGGATGGGAACACAAAAACCCTAAGCCAAATACAAGCAAATCAAATCTGACAATGTATAAAATAATTATACAACATAAAAAAGTTGGATTTACTCCCAGAATAGAGGACTAGTTCAACTTTTAAAAATTAATCATTGCAATTCATCAAATCAAAAAACTAAAAAAGAAAAATTACATGATCTTGTAAATTAATGCAGAGAAAAGCATTTGACAAAATACAATGCCCATTTCTGATAAAAACTTAGCAAATTAGACATAAAAAAGGGATGTCTTCAATCTGATAAAGAATATCTAAAAACATACCTTCTGGTAGGATTATACTTTCCCACTAGATACAATAAAAAAACGAAAACTTCAGACCAATATTCCTGATGAACATAGATGCAAAAATCCTCAGTAAAATACTATCAAACTGAATCCAGCAGAACATCAGAAAACTTATCCACCACGATCAAGTTGGCTTCATCCCCAGGATGGAAGACTGATTCAAAATTTGCAAATAAATAAACATAATTCACCATATAAACAGAAATAAAGACAAAAACCACATGATTATCTCAATAGACACTGAAAAGGCCTTCAATAAAATTCAACATCCCTTCATGTTAACAACTCTCAATAAAATGGATATTGAAGGAACATTCCTCAAAATACTTAGAACCATTTATGACAAATCCACAGCCAATATCATAATGGATGGCAAAAGCTGGAAGCATTACTCTTGAAAACTAGCACAAGATAAGCACTCCCTCTCTCACCACTCTTATTCAACATAGTGTTGGAAGTTCTGGCCAGGGCAATCAGGCAAGAGAAAGAAACAAAGTGTATTCAAATAGGAAGAGAGAAAGTCAAACCGTCTTTGTTTGCAGATGAGATGATCCTGTATCTAGAAAACACCATCAACTCAGCCCAAAAGCTTCTGACACTGATAAGCAACTTCAGCAAAGTCTCAAGATACAAAATCAATGTGCAAAAATCACAAACATTCCTATACACCAACAGACAAGCAGAGACACAAATCAATAATGAACTCCTATTCACAATTGCCACAAAGAGAAAAAATATCTAGGAATACAGCTAACAAGGGAAGGGACGGACCTCTTCAAGAAGACTACAAACCACTGCTCAAGGAAATCAGAGAGGACACAAACAAACAGAGAAATATTCCATGCTCATGGATAGGAAGAATTAATATCCTGAAAATGGCCATACTGTCCAAAGCAATGTATAGATTCAGTGCTATTCCCATTAAACTACCATTGACTTTCTTTACAGAATAGAAAAAAAAAACTATTTTGAAATTCATATAGAACCAAAAAAGAGCTCATATTACCAGGACAATCCTAAGCAAAAAGAACAAGGCTGGAGGCATCAGGCTACCGAACTTTAAACTATACTACAAGGTTGCAGTAAGCAAAACAGCATGGAACTGATACAAAAACAGGAACATAGACCAATGGAACAGAATAGGTAACTCAGAAATAAAACCACACATCTCTAACCATCTGATCTTCAATAAACAAGAAAAAACAAGCAATGGAGAAATGATTCCCTATTTAATAAATGGTGCTGGGAGAAGTGGCTAGCCATATACAGAAAATTTAAACTGGACCATTTCTTTACACCTTATACAAAAATGAACTCAAGATGAATTACAAACTCGAACATAAAACACAAAACTATAAAAACCCTAGAAGAAAATCTAACAAATACCATTCAGGACATAGGGATGGGCAAACATTTTATGACGAAATCACCAAAAGCATTTGCAACAGAAGCAAAAATTGACAAATGGGATCTAATTAGACTAAAGAGCTTCTGCACAGCAAAAGAAACCATCATCAGAGAGAACAGACAACCTACAGAATGGGAGAAAATTTTTCAATCTACCCATCTGATAAAGGTCTAGTATCCAAAATCTATAAGGAACTTAAGTACATTTACAAGAAAAAAAAAAACAACTGCATTAAAAAGTGGGCAAAGGACATGAACAGACACTTCTCAAAAGAAGACATACGTGTGGCACAAACATACAAAAAAAGCTCAAAATAATTGATAATTAGAGAAATGCAAATCAAAACCACAATGAGATACAATCTAACATTAGTCAGAATGGTGATTATTAAGAACTCAAGAAACAACAGACACTGTCAAGGTTGTGGAGAAATAGGAATGCTTTTACATTGTCAGTGGGAATGTAAATTAATTCAACCATTGTTGAAGACAGTGTGGCAATTCCTCAAAGATTTAGAGCCAGAAATACCATTTGACCCAGCAATTCCATTACTGAGTATATACCCTAAAAAATAGAACTCAATCTATTATAAATGTACATACGCATGTATGTTCACTAAAGCACTATTCACAATAGCAAAGACATGAAATCAACCTAAATGCCCATCAATGATAGACTGGATTAAAAAATATGGTACATACACACCATGGAATATGATGCAGCCAAAAAAGAAATGAGACCATGTGTTTTGCAGGGACATGGATGAAGCTGGAAGCCATTTTTCTCAGCAAACTAACACAGGAACAGAAAACCAAACACAGCATGTTCTCACTTATAAGTGGGAGCTGGAGAATGAGGACACATGGATACAGGGAGGGGAACAATGCACATTGGGGCCTGTTGGAGGAGAGCAGGAGGGTGGGTAGAGTATCAGGAAAAATAGCTAATGCATCCAGGCTTAATACCTAGGGGATGGGATGATAGATGCAGCAAACCACCATGGCACACATTTACCTATGCTACAAGCCTGCACATTCTGCACGAGTACTCCAGAACTTAAAATCATTTTTAAAAAATCTAGAAAAAGCAACAATGTTTTCTCTCACCATTCTTATTCAACATTACAATAGAGTAGCCAAAACACTAATGAAGAAGAAACACAATGTTGGCGGACTCTCACTATTTGTTTAAAGACTCCCTGTAAGGCTATAGCAATCAAAAAGACTGGTATTGGTAAAAGAACTGACACATTGATCAAAGAACTAAAATATGGAGTCTAGAAATAAGCAAGAAAAATATAATAAACTGATTTTTTGACAAAGGAGTGAAGACATTTCAATGAACAAAAAAAATAGTGGCTGGAAAAATTAAAAACTTATATACCAAAAAGTGAATATAAGTACAGACCCTAGACCTTAGATAAAAATTAACTCTAAATAGATTTAGACCAAAATGAAAATGCACAACTAAAAAAATTAAGAAGAAAGCACAAGAGAAAATATGCATGACTTTGAGCTTGGCAATACCTTTTAAGAAGGAACAGTAATAATATTGTTCATAGAAGAACCCAATTATTATTTCACTTCATTAAAATGAAAAACTCTATCTTGTAAAACATACTATTAGGAGATCAAAAAGGCAAGAAAAAATAGAAGAAAAAATTGGCAAAATACACATGTGATAGAGGACTTCTATTCAAATTACACAGAGCACACTTAAAACTCAACAACATTAAACACACAACCTAATTAAAAATTGGGCAAAAGGTCTGAAGTGATACATGACCAAAATGATATGCAGATTGGAAACAAGCATATTAAAAGATGCTCAATATAATTTTCCATTAGTGTAATACAAATTAAAACAACTATGAGGTACTACTGTACACTATTAGTGTAATCAAAATCCAAAAACCTGAAAATATCAACTGTTGATAAGGATCCAGAGAAACAAGAACTCTCAGTGTTTGTGCATGGTATCATGGAATACTATGCAGCCAAGAAAAAAAAGGAATAATGTTTTTTGCAGCAAATTTGATGGGGCTCACTATCCTAAGTGATGCAACTTAGAAATGAAAAACCAAATACTGCATGTTTTCACTTATAAGTGTGAGCTAATCTATGGGTATGCAAAGGTATACAGAGTAGACATTGGAGACTCAGAATAGGGGAGGGTAGTGGGGGTGATGGATTAAAAACTATCTATTGGCTACAACATATACCACTTGGGTGATGGGTATACTAAAATCCCAGCTGTCACCACTATACAATGCATTCACATAAAAAATATACTTGTACTTCTAAAGCTATTGCAATAAAAAATAAAATAATGGCACAGCCACTTTGTAAAACAATTGGGCAGGTTTTTGGAAACTAAACCTAGTCTTCGCATATGATCCAATAATCATGATCCTAGTTAGATTTAAAAACATATTCACACAAAAACTGCACAAGAATGTTTACAGTAGTTTTATTTATAATTGACCCAACTGGAAGCAACTAATATGACTTTCAATTTATGAATGAATAAACAAACTTGGGCCTGCCTACAATGGAATATTATTCAGTCATAAAAAAACTAGTTATCAAGTGATAAAAAGACATGGATAAATCTTAAGTTTATATCACCATGGGAAAGATGGCAATCTAAAAGAACTACATGCTATAGAATTTCAAAGGATTATATGATGACATTCTGGAAAATGATAAACCGTAGAGATGGTGAAAAGATCAGTAGTTGCCAAAGGTTTGTTGCAGAGAGGCAAAATGAATAGATGAAACACAGGGGTATTCACAGGGTGGTGAAGCTATTATATAAAATGCTATAATGGTGAACACAAGTCATTACAAGATTTAACCTCTACAGTACATACAGCAAATTTAAAGCATGAAAATTAATAAAAATATCATTTAATAAACCAGAGGGGTCTCAGCATGCAATGGAGAGTGTGACAAAATAATCTAAATGTATTAAAAATGTACGAAGCAACTTCACGGAAGGGGTTGGCAGAATAAATCTCTAACATAAATAAATTTGAAATTGAGAGGCGTCTGTAAGACTAACGGCAAAAGGAATCATATATAAGCACTGTATTCTCACTGATACAGTTTTACTTTCCCAAGGGGTATAGGTTAATAATTCTGAAATTACTATATACATATAACGAAATTGAAAGACTAAGTGAATGAAACATGTTCAGAACCAGGTTTTTCAATGTTGGAATGAAATGTTACACATAAGGAGAAGAAGCTACATTGATCTATGTTGTAAAAGATTAGAATAGGCCGGACACAGTGGCTCACGCCTGTCATCCCAGCACTTTGGGAGGTCAAGGCAGGCAGATCACCTCTGGTCAGGAGTTCGAGACTAGCCTTGCCAACATGGCGAAACCCTGTCTCTACTAAAAGTACAAAAATTAGCCAGTGATGGTGGCGTGCACCTGTGATCCCAGCTACTCGGGAGGCTGAGGCAGGAGAATCGCTTGTACCTGGGAAGCAGAGGTTGCAGTGAGCCAAGAACGGGCCACTCCATTCCACCTGGGGGGTGGGGTGAAGAAATATTAGGGCAAGAGAGATCTATATAAATGTATGTTTAGTTCTGTATTGTTACAGATATTAACATATAGAACTATAAATAGATATATCTACATGCACAGGTTAGTAAACACACATATTTTTCCTCATTGTGCCAACTGAGGGACCTTAATGCAACCGTTTTCTAGCCTTGGGCAGGCACAGCACCCAGATTTGACTTTCCATACCATTTTTCAATTAAGAAAACCACAGCATTTCTCAGAATAAATGATTCTGTAACTGCAGCAGGAAATACACAAAGTAACTGTGAAGCCTTTTGAAGAACCAGAAAGTAGTAAAGAATCCAAAAATCAACACAAGAGCCCTTACATTGATGGAGGTATATCAAAGGGATAAAGAAACCAACTGAAAGCGTCCCAATGCCAAATCTCAGTTAGACCCAAAAAATAAAATAATATTGGATTGTAACCCAAAGTATAATATATATATCCAGGAGGTTATACTGATAAAAGTAAATGCTAAATAAATAATGGGAAAAGAGGCCAATTTCCTATGCAGAAGAATTTGGGATACTTTAGATGCTTCATCATTAAAATGTAGATACCACATTATTAAAAGTTGGAGCATATCTCCTCGCTCTGTAAGTGTAGTCTGTACGTGGTGACTTCCCTCCAAAGAATACAGAATGGAGAATGAGGAACAAAAGAAAAAGAAGTTAATTTATGGTGCTGAAACCTGATAAGCACTACCTAAGCCAGGTGGTTAGGGTTTACATCAAGAGTTGTAAGTCATATTGAATACGCTGTTTATGGTTTAATAAGTATTGCAATTTACTTCTGTGATTCCAAAAATCTCCCGAAAATCTCTTACCCTAGTCTGATCAAATAAAAAAAGAAAAGATAAATCCCATTTTGGAATCATTACACAAAATACCTAAAAGAATACTTCTCAAAACTGTCAAAGTCATCAAAAACAAGGAATGTCAGAGAAACTGTCACAGTCAAAAGGACTCTATGAAAACATCAATAATACATGTAAAGTGGAATCCTCAGTGAATATTGGAACAGAAAAAGATGTTAGGGAAAAATAAAGATTCTAAATAATGTATGTTCTTTTGTTAATAGGAATTTATCAATATTTAAATTAATTGTGACGAGTGTAATATAACAATGTAAGATGTTAAAATAAGTGCAACCAGATGTGGGGTACACAGAAACTCTCTGTATTATCTTTGCTATAATTTTGTAAATCTAAAGTAAAAATATTAAAAACAAATGCCAAAATGTGTATTTTTTCTATTAAGATTACCAATATATAAAAGTATAGATTATTTTAGTAAATAAATAATTAAAATATATAAAATGTATCTAATGCAATAAAATAAATTTCTAGTGGGTTAATGTGGCTTATGTACATATTCATTTTAGATAAAATAATGAACAAAAAGTGACATGTATCTAACTTCTGAAAGATTATAGAGAATACAACTAAATATTTATTTTATTGCTCTGTTCTAGTAGTAATCTTCCAGGTTTCTATCGCTGTATCATCCACATTTACTTCAAGTGTTATATGCATGTGTGTTGCTTTAACTAATATAAAAGTGTCAAGATCTGAGAATTGTACACTTTCCAACTTTGCATTCCATCATACAACATAATTCGTGGTTTGTTACTCAAGCAATATTTATTGAAATAATGATCAAATAAATGAATAAGGACATACTGTCTAGGCATATAAAAATGAATGTAATATCAAAACAGGATCAGATATCACTATAGAATAGTTTAAATTGTTACAAAACAAACTTTTTTCATTGCAAATGTGAAAATATTTTCTTAAGTTTGCTGTCATGTAATATCATATAAGATGATTTTTAAATTAATAAGATAAATCAAACCAATATAATTTAAAAATAATTAAGAAACTGAGATCATGGAAAAATATGTCTTCAAAAATGAGATAGGTGCATACATCAAATTACTATGGTACTTAAATGTCTTTAACCCTCCAAAAGTTTCCTGCAAATATATATTCATGATTTTCAGTAGGTTAAAAACCACAGAATTGTACTTTTTTAAATGGTGAAAATAATGATTTATGAATTATGTCTCAATTAACAAAAGTTAAGCAAATATAAAGATTTTAAGCATGTGATTCCATACATAAACATGGCATTTTCAAATTTTAGAAAGTTAATTATATAAAAACATAGCAATTGGTGAAGAATACATTATTTATAATGCAAAAACAAGTGAAAGGCATTTTTATGAGTAGTGACAGAATAAGACATGTGTTATGTATTAAATATATCTTTACTTGCATCTTTGCAAATAACACAATGGCAACTTCTATAACATAAATTTATATAATGTTAGGCATATGTAAGCATAAGACATTGATTTGAAGTACTGTTCAGCCAAAGTAGTTAAATGAGAAGTCAATAGGAATCAGACCAATTATTTGCTTTACTTGACTTAGATTAATCTAACATTAGATTTTAGAGGATCAGGGAAAATGTTTGGATACAATGTTTCAGATAATCCTCTACAAATACTAGTTCTCTCAGCAGTGTTTTTGAGAGGCATTGGGAGATAGCAATTGAGAGACTGAATAACCAACAAAACCTAGACTGCAACTAATCTCTATATTGCTATTTAAAAGAATAATCAGTGCTATTTGAATAGGAGTTGTGAGAGAGGGCATCCTTGTCTTGTGCCGGTGTTCAAGGAGAATGCTTCCAGCTTTTGTCCATTCATTATGATATTGGCTGTGGGTTTGTCATAAATGACTCCTTACTTTGAGGTATGTTTCTTCAACACCTAGTTTATTGAGAGTTTTTAACATGAAGGGATGTTGAGTTTTATTGAAGGCCTTTTCTGCATCTATTAAGATAATCATGTGGTTTTTGTCTTTAGTTCTGTTTATGCGGTGAATGTTTATTTATTTGCATATGTTGAACCAGTCTTGTATCCCAGAGATGAAGCTGACTTGATTGTGGTGGATAAGCTTTCTGATGTGCTGCTGGATTCAGTTTGCCAGTATTTTATTGGGAATTTTTGCATCTATGTTCATCAAGGATATTGGCCTGAAGATATCTTTTTTTCGTTGTCTCTTGGCCAGGTTTTGGTATCAGGATGATCCTAGCTTCATAAAACGAATCTGGGAGAAGTTCATCCTTTCATTTGTTTGGAATAGTCTCAGAAGAAATAGTACTAGCTTTTCTTTGTACATCTGGTAGAATTCACTGTAAATTCATCTGGTCCTGGGCTTTTTTTTGGTTGGCAGGCTATTTATTACTGCCTCAATTTCAGAATTTGTTATTGGTCTATTCAGACATTTACCTTTTTCCTGGCTCAGTCTTGGGAGGGTGTATGTGTTCAGGAATTTAACCATTTCGACTAGATTTTCTGGTTTATTTGCATAGAGGTGTTCATAGTATTCTCTGACAGTTGTTTCTATTTCTGTGGGGTCAGTGGTGATATTCCCTTTGTTTTTTTTTATTATTATACTTTAAGTTCTGGGATACATGTGCAGAAAGTGCAGGTTTGTTATGCAGGTATAACAAATGCTATCTCCTAATGCTATCCCTCCACTTATCCCCAATCCCCTGACAGGACCTGATGTGTGATGTTCCCTTCCCTGTGTCCATGTGTTCTCATTATTCAAGTCTGCCAATTATTCAACTCTGCCTTGTAGATTCTGGATATTAGCCCTTTGTCAGATTGATAGATTGCAAAAATTTTCTCCCATTCTGTAGGGTGCCTGTTCACTCTGATGATAGTTTCTTTTGCTGTGCAGAAGCTCTTTAGTTTAATTAGATCCCATTTGTCAATTTTGGCTTTTGTTGCCATTGCTTTTGGTGTTTTAGACATGAAGTCCTTGCCCATGCCTATGTCCTGAATGGTATTGCCTAGGTTTTCTTCTAGGGTTTTTATGGTTTAGGTCTTACATTTAAGTCTTTAATCCATCTTGAGTTAATTTTTGTATAAGGTGTAAGGAAGGGCTCCAGTATAATTTTTTATTGCATCTATTTGATCCTTCTCTCTTTTCATATTAGTCTAGATGAAGATCTAATATCTAGAATCTACAAGAAACTTAAACAAATGTACAAGAAGAAAATAAACAACCCATTGAAAAGTGGGCAAAGGACAGGAACAGACACTTCTCAAAAAAGACATACATGTGGCCAACAAACATATCAAAAAAAAAGCTCAACATCACTGATCATTAGAAAACTGCAAATCAAAACCACAATGAGCTACCATCTCACACCAGTCAGAATGGTGATTATTAAGAAGTCAAGAAATAACAGATGCTGGCGACGCTGCAGAGAAATAGGAACACTTTTACATTGTTGGTAGGAATGTAAATTAGTTCAACCATTGTGGAAGACAGTGTGGCGATCCCTCAAAGACCTGCAACCAGAAATACCATTTGACCCAGCAATCCTATTACTGGGTATATACCCTAAGGAATATAAATCATTCTATTTTAAAGATACATACATACATATGTTCATTGCAACACTATTCACAATAACAAAGACATGGAATCAACTCCAGTGCTCATCAATGATAGACTGGATAAAGATAATGTGGTACATATACATCATGGAATAATACACAGCCATAAAAAGGAATAAGATCATGTCCTTTGCAGGGACATCAATGGAGCTGGAAGCCATTATCCTCTGCAAACTACCACAGGAGCAGAAAACCAAATATTGCATATCCTTACTTACAAGGGGGAGCTGAACGATGTGAACACATAGACACAGAGAGGGGAACAACACACACTGGGACCTGTCAGAAGGTAGGAGAGGAGGAAGCATCAGAAAAAAATAGCTAATTCATGCTGGGCTTAATACCTAGGGGATGGGTTGATAAGTGCAGCATATCACCATGGCACATGTTTACCTATGTAACAAACCTTCACACCCTGCATATGTACCCTGGAACTTAAAATATAAAAAAATAAATAAAAGAATAATCAGGCTCACGCCTGTAATCCCAGCACTTTGGGTGGCTGAGGCAGGCGGATCACGAGGTCAGGAGATCAAGACCATCCTGGCTGACACGGTGAAACCCCGTCTCTACTAAAAATACAAAAATTAGCCGGGCGTGATGGCGGGCGCCTGTAGTCCCAGCTACTCGCGAGGCTGAGGCAGGAGAATGGCATGAACCCGGGAGGCGGAGCTTGCAGTGAGCCGAGATTGTGCCACTGCACTCCAGCCTAGGCGACAGAGCGAGACTTTATATTCTCTGTATAAATTATTGAAGCAAAGATACATGTTTAATTAGACAAAGCAAAATACTCTGAAGATTTAAAATTTCTGCAAAAAGACATTATGGATCTTTTTTTTAAAAAAAAACAAACATGGAATTCTAACATCCTTGATTTCTATTTCTTAGAGCATAGAGAACGAATTTATCCTAGACGTGTAATAAAACATCTAACTCAGATATTAGCAATTCTCAGTAAAGTACCCACAAAATATGAGCCTGTGACCAATTTAATTGTTCACAGTATTCTTTAAAGAATTTGAACTATATATACAAATAAGTTAGTTTTTTTATATGGTGCTATTTACCATAACCTTGTTTGTATTGATAGAAACCTTTCAAAATGTATGATTAGAATACCATAACCTTGTTTGTATTGATAGAAACTTTTCAAAATCTATAATTAGAATAGCATAACCCTGTTTGTGAATTCTGTTAAAGAAGAATGCTGGTGGTCCAAAAAGTTAACTTATGATTTTTCTAAAAGTCAATTGCATACAGCTATTTTCCATGTGGTAAGTTCATATGATCAATTCATCCTGAAGTAGTAGCAAATGTTTTAGGTACTAATGGCAAAGAATGGGGAGTGAAATGTATTTCTGCTTTAACCCTCTAGGAAATTACTCTGATTTTTCAAGAAAAAAAAATTACTAACAGTGCTGATTCTTGCAATCAGGTTCCTGTCTCTGTTAATGGGACACTATCAACCCTAGGACTCAATCAGTAACTTGATTGGCACATTGGAATTATCCTTCCTAACATATACAATTAAACAAACCACAAATGCAAGTTGTGTTGTCCTCCATGATGCGCAATATAAAACTGCTCATATAGCTGTTTCTTTACTATTATGTATTTGTCCTTCTCAATGGACTGGGAGCTCTATAAGACACAAGACCATATCTCCCTCTCCCTCATTACATTTCCCTGGACACTTGGCACAATTTTTGACAGATTTTAAGCTCTCAATAGGCGTTTGCTGAATTTAAAACAAATCTTCATGTCCTGTAAATTCAAACTCATTAATATATTTATAATCTGTTGGCCTCTCTCCATCTCCACTGTAATGGCTTTCATTACCATCCTGTCACTTCTAGCCTTACTTCTTTTCAATCTTTTCCCTGTTTTGCAGCCAGAGAGGCTTTTTTAACATACGTCTCTTATCATCCAGCCATAAGTTTAAGGGCCCTCATTGTCTCACTAATGCTCTTGTGATATAGCTATTGTTGTTGCTATTGTTTGTGGAAAACTGTAACTGTTCATTTTGCCACTTGGCTAACACCACCAGATTAATAATATCTCCTACTGAACCTCTGTGTTCCAGACATATAGAACCACCTCTATGTTCTTGAATATGTTATTTATTTATTTACCTCTAAGGTTCATAGTATCTTCTTTGATGAAAACACCCTTCCATAAAACTCTGTTTGGCTAACACCAAATATTATCCATGTCTCAGACCAGATATCAACAATAAAATATGGATGCTATAAACTTTTATGATATAGTTTGAATATATGTTTCTCTCCAAAATTTATAGGTTGATAATCACCAACGTGATAGTATTAAAAAGTAGGACGTTTAGCACATTGTTAGGTCATGAAGGCTTTGCCCTCATAAATGAATTACTGCTCTTATAAAAGGGCTTTAAGGGCCGGGCATGGTGGCTCACGTTTGTAAACCCAACCGTTTAGGAGGCCGAGGCGAATGGATCGCTTGAGCTCAGGAGTTTGCAACCAGCCTGGGCAACATGGTGAGACCCCCATCTCTATAAAAATACAAAAATAATTAGCCAGGAGTGGTGTGCATGCCTATGCTCTCAGCTACTCAGGAGGCTGAGATGGAAGGATCACTTGGACCTGGTGAGGGAGGGGGTGGAAGTTGCAGTGAGCAGAGGTCGTGTCACTGCACTCCAGTCTGGGTGATGGAGAGAGTCTCTGTCTCAAAAACAAATAAATTAACTAATTATAAAACTAAAAGGGCTTTAAGGACCTACCTTGCCTCATTTTTGCCCTTTTGCCCCTTACATCATGTGAGGACACAAATATGTCACCATCTATGAAGAATGGGCTTGTGCCAAACACCAAATCTGCTGGAACCTTGATCTTGGACTTCACAACCTCCAGAACTGTGAAAACTAATTTTTTTCTTGTCTATAAATTACCTATTTTTAAGTATTTTGTTATAGCTATACAAATGGACTTAGACAGAAATTGGTACCACAAAGTGGGGCCCTATTAGAACAGTTACCTAAGCATGTGAAAGCACCTTTCACATTACATGGGTAATGTGAAATGTGACTTAGACAGAAATTGGTACCACAAAGTGGGGCCCTACTAGAACAGTTACCTAAGCATGTGAAAGCACCTTTCACATTACATGGGTAATGGATAGAGGCTAAAAAGATGCCAATGTCCTAAAAGTAGCTATAGTGTATAACACAGCATTAAAAGCAATTCCGGAGAGGGCTCAGAAGAAGACAGTTGTAAGGAAAGCCAAATGTTCTTAGAGATTATTTAAGTAGTCATGATCAGAATGCAAGTAGAAATATACACAATGAGGTCCATTTGGATGAGGCCTCAGATTGAAATGTGAAACAAGGTCCTGGAAACTGGAAGTCATCCTTTTTAGAAAATGGTAAAGAACATCGCTGATAGTGCATGTGTTCTAGTGTTTATTAAAAGAGGAACTTAGGAGCCACAGCTATCACATTTAGCAGAAGAAATAGCTAAGCAAAGTGTCAAAGGTGCATCATGGCTTCTCTCTTCTCTTGGTTGCCAATAGTAGAATGTGAGAAATTAGTTTAAGATGGAATTTATAATTAACAAGGAAGCAGAGAGGATGTCAGCAAGATGTCCACCTAGATCCGACTAACACTCCCCACACTCCCCACCATGAAAGGTCCAAAACAATGAATAAACTACATTTTGATCATAGTGACTAAAGTAAAGCATTGGAGTACTGTAAGGGAGTTGTGGAAATGCTATAGAACACAGAAACTTAGGATGGCCACATACAGAAGGGAAGAAAACATCTCCCTTGACCGTTGCATCCCTCCAGAAGAGAACAACGTGGAACAGGAAAGGACAGCTTACTGTGAGAATAAAAAGTACTCAAGAGGGCCTCAGTGGCCCCTATCACAGTTGCACAATTGCACACTTGCAGTCTTGGCTACTGGAGAATACTGTGGTGTTGGAGAGATGAATGCAGCTTAGGAAGCTGCCTGCAGTTCACACAACTGCTCTACTCCAGAGAAGATGCCCATGCTATGCCCTACCACCCATGGCCCAAGCTGCTGCTGTGTTGCATCAGAGCCACTGAAACAGGTACCCAGAGGAAATGCCACGTTTCCTGCTGCTTGAGCCAACATGACACCCAGCCCCTTAGGGAACTGGATGCCCACTCAGTGCAGCAGGTAAGTTCAGCACTCTGACTCTAGGGAGCTGGACCTTGGGAACAGCAAAGAACCAGTGACCTGCCTCCAGGGACTTAGATCCCAAGGCCAGTGAAGAAGCAGCAGCATCCAGCACCTCAGCCTCTAAGGACCTAGAGCCAGCCCTGGTGTAGCAGAGTAGTCATGGCCAACAGTAGACAACATGATGCCCTGTCCCCTGGGGAAACTAGGCCCCAGCCTAGCAGAGCAACTGTGTTCCCAGGTGCCAGAGCTGACATGGCATACTGTCACCCAAAGAAGCCAAGACCTGCCTAATCTGTGTCACCTCACCCTCTTGGCCAAACAACCACAGTGTGCAACATCTCTGGTGCTGGTGGATTGGCCGTCCGGAGTATGTGATGCTGGGGCACCATACCTCCCTTGGAAGTGGAGTCCTTATTGCACTGCTCTCCACTCTGTGAAGTCTAAGCTACATCTGTGCTCAGTTGCTTCTGTGTTTTTTGCATCTAAAAGCACCCAGCCTCACAGAGCCTGGGCCACTGCTGTGTCCCACCACCAAAGGGTTCAGAGTCACCACTACATAGTATCTATCTCCTCTCCTGGTGACTGATTTGCCACTATGCCTGTTGGCTCTGGAACTTGAATTACAGCTATGTACTGCTCCCCACGACCTGACCCTATGAAACACTTTTTTTATTCCCCTCAGAGTCATCCAGTGCTATGCCCTGACTCCCAGGATTTTATCTGATGCTCAAAGCACCTTGCCCTACTGTACTGGGACCCAGATTCCCCAGAATATAGGACACCAAGGTATTTAGGGTGCCCGAGCAGCCATGACCACTCTGCTGGACCTGGGCTCTAGTTCTTTGGAGGGTGAGGTGTGGGAAACCCCCAGGATGAGAGTTATAGGTACATAACTGCCCCTTGGGCCTGAACTAATAGGGGACTATCTGAGAATCACAGTCTTCATCTTTGTGGGAGAGCTACTTCTACCAATGTCTTAGAGAGTGAATCTATGCCCATGTCAAAGCTGCCATAATAGTTCAGCAAAGCACTGAGCCAAGAACCCTAGCTCAACAGCTACTCTGAGGACTTGTCCCCTGAAACACAATGCTACTGCGGCTGCCTGTGAGCTACGTATCCTTCAGAAGTGAAGAAGAAATAAAGTATTTCCCAGATAAGCAACAGCTAGGGAATTCATCACCATTACACTAGCCTTATAAGAAATGGTTAAGGGAGTTTTTTTTTTTTTTTTTTTTTTTTTGACTAGAAAGAAAAGGAGAGTAATTACTATCATGAAACCATATAAATGAAGAAAACTCACTGGTAAATGTAAATATAGTAGTGCCAAATTTAGAATATTCTAAGAATATTCAGAATATTCTGTCATTACCATAAAAGTGTATAAATCTTGACAATCTCTATGAAAGTTAAAAGTCAAAATAGTCAAAAATAACTAAAGCTACAATAAGTTTGTAAGGAATACACAAAATAAAACAATATAAATTGTGACAACAAAAATATAAATGGTGAGAAATGAATAAAAGTTTACAGTATTTGTATGAAACTAGAGTGAAACTATTACCAGCTTAAAATCATCTACTATAACTACAAGAAGTTTGATGGAAGCCCCATGGTAACCACAAGGCAAAAATAAACTATAACGAATATGCTATAACAAGAAAAAGAAAGGAATCAAAGCATAGCACTACATAAAATCACCAATCACAAAGGAAGACAATAAAAGAGGAAGAATGAAAGAAAGGACCTACAAAACCCACAGAAAACAATTAACAAAATGGCAAGAGTAAATCCTTACCTATCAACAGTAACCTTGAATATAAATGGCTCAACTCTCCCATCAAACATTATAAAGTGTCTGAATGAATAAGGAAAAAAAATTTTCAACTATATGCTACCTATGAAAGACCAATTTTAACTTTAAGTACACACATTGGTTCAAGGGGGACGGATGGTTGAAAATATTCCACCCATATATTAACCAAAAGAGAACCAGAGTGGCTATACTTAAATCAGTAAAATATATTTTGAGGCAAAAATTGTCACAAGAAACAAAATCATTTTTTAATAGTAAAGAGTTAATCCATCTAGAGAACATAACAATTATAAATACATATTCATCCAAAATCAGAGCACTAAAATATATAAAGCAATTATTAATGAACATGAAGGAATAGATAGCAATACAACAATAGCAAGGGATTTCAATATTCCACTTTCAAAAATGGATAAATCAACCAGACAGAAAATTAATAAGGAAATTAATTAAAGTATACCTTAGACAAAATTGACCTAAAAATACATATGGAACACTTCATCCAATATCAGCAAAATATACATTTTTATAGTGCACATGAAACATTCTCTAGGATAGACCATAAATTAGGCCACAAAACAAGTCTTAACACATTCAAAAAGATTGAAATTTTATCCTGAATTATTTCTAGTCACAGCAGTATAAATCTATAAATCAATGACCTGACAAATCTTGAAAAATTCCCAAATTTGTGGAAATTTAACAAAATGCTATTGGACAACCAATTATTCAAAGAAAATATGAAAAGTTACATTTAAAAATATCTTGAGACCTAGCTGAAAAAAGCAGTTTTTAAAAATTTTCAAAAAAATATGTATTGCACAATTATACTGATATGTGGAATCTAAAAAAAACAAATATATAGACATAGAGAATAAAACAATAGTTACCAAGGGCAGTGGGGCAGAAAATGAGGAGATACAGGTCAACATATACAAATGAGCAGATATGTAGGATGAACAAGACTAAACATTTCACATACAACATGAGGACTTTAGTTAATAAAATGTATTTTGTTAGGGATTTTTGTAAAATAAATAGATTTTAGCTACTGTTGTCACAAAAAAATGTAACTACATGACATAATAAATATGCTAATTTTTTTATTATAGTAATCACTTTAATATCTATATGTACCCCATAACATCATGTTGTAAAATACAAATATACACAATAAAATGTATCTTAAAAACAGGAGGATGGGTGCAGGGGAAGTAGAGGTTAAAAATTTGGGAAAGTCTCGGCCTCAAAAGGCATGTTAGGGAGAGTATACCAAGGTTATGGCCAAAGGAATATTTGAAAAGGAGAATTATATGAATAGAAAGAAGCCAAATAATATTCATGAAGACAATAGAAGAGTGATCATTAAGGCATTTTGGAGATCTTTGAGGCTGCAATTCCCATCACAGGTCCAGAGTGCTAAGGTCTTGATTGTAGAATGATGTCAATGGACAGGACCTGGGTGCCAGTGGGACCTCTAGGCTGGCTGTCCCAGCTGCCTTAAGTTTCTGCTCCATGTATTCTGGAACAGCACTCCTTGGCTGCCCCAGCTGTGGCTCAAACAGTCCCCTATGTACCTTAGGCTGCCACTCTGGAGGAAACAAGAGGTAAACCTTGGTGGCATCCACACAGTGCTAACTCTGCAGGTGCACAGAGTGCAAGAGCTGGACAGGCATGGCTGCCTCCACCTGGATTTCAAAAGGTGCTTCAGAGAGCCTTAGAACCCAGGCAGAGGACTGTCACAGGGGCCAAGCCACCACAGAAAGCCCCACTAGGTTGGTGATGGGGCTGCCACTAGGACCCCAGACCAGTAGAGCAATAGGAAAGCAATTTCAGCCTGGGAGAGACTCGGGCATAGGACTCCAAGACTTAGAACTTCTGCATGGTTTGCTCCCAGCAAAGCCATGGGGATAGAGTTTCTGGGAGCCTGGGGAGCCAACCCTTACCCCAGAATTGGAAAGGGACCTGTTATTCCTTGCTTCTTTTCTATTTCTGTCTTTTAGAATGGAAATGTCTATTCTATGTGTGTCCTACCACTGTATTTTTGGCAGCATATAACTTGTTTGATTTCACAGTCTCACAGCTGGAGAGCAATTTGCCACAGGATAAACAGTACCAAATCCAAAACCCAACAGAACACACATTAAATCTCATGACTTGAGAATAATCTTCTTTAACTTTATGTCGTACCTTATGGACATATTTGTTTCAGGCTATTCATAATTTATTTTTTATAGTGTAAATTTAGTAAGCTCTATTTTTCAAGAAATCTGATAATTTCATGTAAAGTAGCAAATTTATTGATATAGTGTTGCTCATAATATGTGCTTTTATTGTTTGTAAGATCTGTGATGGTACCCCTCTTTCATTATTTAAACTTATAGTTTGTGTATTTTCTTTTCTTCTTGATTATACTTGCTAATTGATTGTCATTTTTAAAATCTTTTAAAGGAAACAAATGCTGTTTTACTAATATTGTATATTGGGTGTCTGCTTTGTATTTCACTGATTTCCTATTCTACCATTATTTTTAAATTTTCTTTTACTTTCTTTGAGTTTCCTAATGTTTAATACTAGGTCATCTTAAACCTCTCTTTACTTCTAACATAAGAATTTTAAGCTATAAATTTCACACTACAGACTACTTTAGCAGTAAACCACACATTTTCATATGATTTTATTTCATTATCATTCAGTTCAAAATATTTTCTGTGCCTCCTTGTAAATGATTATTTGACATTGATTTTCTCTGGAGACTGTTTATTATTTTGTAAGTGTATTAATCCTATTGATTATTTCTGTTGTGGCAAAAATATATTTAATCCTGTGAAATAAATTATTGAAAGTATGTACCAGCATATGAATTACCTTCACCAATGTCCATGGACACGTTTAAAAAAGTGTATACTTCATATGTTGAAGCTTTTAATTTTTGGTTGTATATGTTTAAGGTATACAATGTTTAAGGTATACAAAATGATGTTATGCTATATATATGAATAGTTAAAAGGTTACCAGAATGAAGCAAATAAACATATTCATTAACTCACATGGTTATCTATTCATTTTGATTTTTGGAAAGAGCTGCTAAAGAATTTTGTTTAGCATGAAATTAAAATATAGTACAACTTTATCACCAATATCCTAATGTTATACATTAGATCTGTAGACTTATTCATTCCAATCGTCTTGTACATTGTGTCCTCCAAACTACATCTCTCCATTTTCTCCCCGACTCATGCCCTTGGTAATCATTATTTTGTTCTCTATCTCTGTTGTTTTTGACTTTTTTAAAAAAAGATTTTTCATGTAAGTGAGATCATGCAATATTTTTCTTTCTGTGTCTGGTTTAATTCACTTAGCATAATGTCCTTTAGGCTCATTCATGTTTTGGCAAATGATAGAATCATTCTTATTTTTTAGGGTTTAATAATATTTTGTAGTATATTAAAGAGCTGAATAGACATTATTATACCAGAGAAGACATAAACATGGCCAGTAGGTATGTGAAAGGTGTTTAACATTAGTAATCATCAGGGAAATGCAAATCAACACCACTATGAGATAACACTTTATACCCATTAGGATGGCTATTATCAGAAAGTCAAAAAATATCTACTCTTTTAACATTTTTCAAAATACAATATATTAACTATAGTCATTATGTTTTGCAATAGATCTCTTGAATTTACTGCAATTATTTTAAAGATAAAAGATAAATGTTGGTGAAGCTGTAGAGACAAAAAAGAACTTTTGTTCTCTGTTGGTGGGAATGTAGGTTGATACAACTTTTCTGGAAAATGGTATAGAGGTTTCTAAAGAAACAGAAAATAAAAATACCATAATACCCAGTAACCCTTCTTCTGAGTGTATATCACACCCAAAATGAAATCACCACTTCATATCTATCTGCACTCCCATATTTATTGCAGCATTATTCAAAATAGCCAAGATATGGGAAGAACTGAAGTGTCTATAGACAATTGCATTAATGAAGAAAATTATCTTCATTAAAATCTTAATTTTAATTCTCTGGCAATATTATTTGCCTTGAAGTTTACTTGGTTGATCATTAACAAAACAATTCTTGATTTTTTAACGCAAAATTTGGCCATGATATATGTACTTTCAAGTAGTCTGTGTTTATATTTACAGTGCTTCTATTACTAACAAGAAACAGTTGAGCATTTCTTAAGAAAATCCAGGCTACCTTTTCCTTTTAATTGGTGTTTAGTCTATTCAAATTTAATGTGATTGTTGTTGAGGTTGGTATTCAGTCTGTTATTTTGTTATCTGATTTTTACAAGTCTCCTCCTCATTCTTGATTTCTACTGAGATGATAAAATGTTTTTTTAGGAGTCTGTGCTATCTCTTCTACTGTCTTATGAATATCCTTTTTTGTATGTATTAGAAGTTTCCCTACATAGCCCATTATGTATCATTAACTTATCACAGTTGACCCTGAAACAACATTATTTCATTTCAAAAATAATGTAATAAATCACATTATGGTATCTTTTATTCTTCTTGATGTTTTTATGATGAATTATTATATGTAAATTAATTTTTAGAATCAAAGACAATTGAATTCTTATGGCAAACGTCAGAAGGAGGAGAATAAAAGCAATGAAGATTTTTATTAATGATACATACTTAGGAAAGTGACTATCTCTGATGGATGGATAATATGATCAAATAAGATAACTATGGGCTTTGTATTAGTAATAGCTTATGCATTTAGTAACATGGCTCATTTTAAATTGTTTGAAATATCTAATATAAACAAAATAATAATGACAAAAAAATGAGTTACATCCAGTTTCCTGGTATAGAAAACATGCCCACTATATATTAAATACTAAAATGCATTTCAGCACACATGTATTTCATGTTTGAGTGTGCATAGAAACTGAAAATATATGCTAAAATATTAATCGTAATTATTATTACTAGAATTCATTAAACTCACACTTTCAAGCTAATATAATATGTTTTTTTACTTTTGGATGTGATAACTGCATTAACAAAAACATATAAGATTTAAAAATTAGGATGAAATCAACCAAAGGGAAGCAGAGAACAGTGAAACTAAAACTAAAACACAATCTGTTATAAATATTTTTATAATATCAAGAATTTTTAAAGTGTTTGTAGTCTGAGTAACTAGAACCAGTAAAGACAAAGAGATTGGATATAAGAAATATTTAATATCATTTATAGTAATTTGTCCAGATGATGTTATATAAGAAATGATATCCACTTCACTGACCAACTCTGCATTTGTTCTATACATAACTACTGTGACAGAGAGTCTTCCCTGATTTTGGTAAGATTCTAAAACTCTCGACATCCTTCTCCTTGCTTTAACTATGTATCTTTATTTTTAATTTCAATCTAACACTTCAATTAAAGGCATATATTTGAATTAATTTTTCTGATTTTTACCTCATCACTTCCACTTAGATGCAACTTCTATTTCTTATTGGCTGTATATCAAAATTTATTTGTAAGTTGAGGTATGGAGAGAGAGAAATATAACAGAATTCTTACTTAATGGATTCTACTTTGTAAATGAGAAGTCTAGTTCATCTACAAAAGATAAAGAAGAAATAATTTAAAGAAATAGGCAAATATCTAGAATAACTATTGAGAAAAAGAACAATAAGATATCAAGCAGCAATGAGTCACTTATAGATCTGTCATTCCACTTTCAAATAAATCATATTTATCTGGTGCATTCTATGGCCCCATGGAAGACACTTATTTCCTCAGATTTTGTTTTCAACCTTTTCAATTCTGTGTTTCTCTTTCTCTTGCCTATTCTAGTTCCCACTATCCTCTTCTCAGACATACTACGTTAATATTTCCCAATATGAATTTCCTACTAAAAGTGGATTTTTTTAAGAATAAAAAGATAAAATTGAAATACTGTGGTCAATAAGTGAGTAATAGAAAATAATACATCTGTTTTCCCAAGGACATAACTTACACATATTATGACCAAAGAACAATACTGCTTCCTTACTTGCTTACTATTTTAATGTTATTGGAGAGCAAAGGGTCTGTTCCTTTGAACCTGCCTCTAGTTACATGCAAGTATTATGACTTACTGTTACTAAGGCTTATTATTTGTCTTTCAAGGAATGTAATATAATCATTTCTAACATCTCTCCTATTAAAAACTGTTGTCTCCAGTGTATCTGAAACACTCTTAAGTCTTCCAGAATAGATTGAAGAAAGAATCGTGAAGCTTTGGGGAAAAAAAATCTCAACAGCTTAAACAACTGTTAATATTTTATTACTGCTTAATATGGTTTTGGACCAAGAGTATACTTTCAGAAAAAGAAATATTCATTAATTGATATCTCTATGCTAGATTGATGACTACAGGATAGATGCAAAAGTAGTACCAACCCAAGATAGTTAGTCCTTCCTGATTTTGGTGAGATTCTATAGTTCTTACATCCTTCTTCTTGTTTTAACTATGTACCTTTATTTTAAATTTTAAACTAACCCTTTCAATTAAGGACACAAATTTTTCTGAATTTTGACAGTTATGACTTACTCTTCGATGGACCTTCTATTTTGTTTAGCCTGCTAGCCAAAAGTTCTCCAAATGTCTAATAGTGGAGAAATTAAGCTCTTATGGGCAATAGGCATAGCCTTCAGCTTAATGAATCAGACAAGACTAGGTGAGGTCTCAAGATATATTTAATTGCATTATGAAGGAGAAAACACACAAAAAATGTCCTCCATTTATGATTATCTTCCCTAAACGCTTTATTATGTGACAATGTTTATTCATGTATTCATTAATTTGACTAATACTTAATGAGTTCTTAAAGGCCATGCACATTTCTAAGCAGTGAATGAGACATGCAAAGTCCTTGCTTTCATGAGGATAACAGAAAACAAACAAGTCAATAAATAAATACTTAATGTTAAAACAAGTAGTGAAAAATGCTTTGAAATATACTGAAATAAATATGTATACTTCATTATGCACTGTTATATTAATTCCCTATAGATTTAAACATTCTTATAACATTAAAATACCATTTTTTTTTTTTGAGATGGAGTCTCGCTCTGTCACCCAGGCTGGAGTGCAGTGGTGTGATCTCGGCTCACTGCAACCCCTGTCTCCTGGGTTCAAGTGATTCTTCTGCCTCAGCCTCCCGAGTAGTTGGGACTACAGATGCACACCACCATGCCCGGCTAAGTTTTGTATTTTTAGTAGAGACAGGGTTTCACCATATTGGCTAGGCTGGTCTGTCTCGAACTCCTGACCTCGTGATCTGCCTGCCTCGGCCTCCCAAAGTGCTGGCATTACAGGCATGAGCCCGGCCTTAAAAAGCAAAACTTTTAAATAATTTGACCAGCCCCACAATCAATTCTAGAAACACAATCACATCTACTCAGCTCCAAGCTTCCTGCTTTTGCATTCTGATCTCAGTTTCAATTAAAATGGTCAACTATATGGATATATTTGGACATATCAATTCTAGGTAGAAGCTTATGGCAAATCTCATCTTCCTATTATCATTCTACCTGAAAACTTTCCAATCACAAAACAGCGACTCTTCTTACAATTGAATTATGTTGTATTTAATTTGTTTTTAGCCATATCACCTTGATTTTCCTCCTCATCTGATACAGGTTATGCGGCAAATGCCCTATTGATGACCATTCTATGTTAGAGTAGCCATGTCCCTCATTCAGAGTATTTAGTTTATGCTACTGAAAACTATTTATAAGCCATTTCATTGTCTTCTTTCATTTTATATTCTTTGCCAACTAATATCTCTACATATACTTAGGTACCTGTAACTTCCCAATTTTCTGTTTATTTGTTTTCCATATAAAGACCTGCTATGTTAGTTTTTCAGTCTTACTTAAAATATGAAGCATTATATACATTATGCTTTATTTTTTATTTCTGATTTGTGTCCCAAACTTCAAAATAATGAGATGTTTTTCATTCTTGAATGTGTTCTATTGAATAGCAAGTGCTACTTTAGAACTTTTGTCATGTTTAAATGATCATTATTTCAATGTGTTAAAAATACAAATGATGATGAATTTCACAAATAAAATTCTGAACTCCTTCTCTAGAAGTCATCCTAAGTTATTTCTTTTGATAAATTATTCACTAGGATCAATCTTGAAGTTATTACTGGGCATCTTGAACCCACAGAGAGCAGCTAATTAGTATGAGTAAAGGTGTTAGCCAGAGTGTAGGCCATAGCTAATGTGCACTTTCAGTACAAAAAATCCTAGAGAGGTCATCTAAAAAGACATTTATTAACCAAGTCCCAAAGAGCTAGGATTAACCAACTCCTGTTCTATTGCAATGTAGATGGATTTTTGATGTCAAGTGAGTACCAGGGATCCAGGAAAGACCTTAATGGTAGTGTGACAGGTATGGACCTGTGAGAATTGTTTTTACTTGTAAGCCTTTAGAAGTATACAGCTTCACTAAATAATACAGCAAACATTCCCATTAAAAAACTTTGAAAACTTTGGTCATTATTAGGTCAAATGTGTCAGTGGGAGGGCGAGAAACAGAAACTACAATTTTTTTTCAAGTCTCCTGGTGAAATCCTCATTTGAATATTTTCTTATGATGTAAATTATTCAACAAGAATTATTCAATTCTAAGAGAATAACAAATGCATTTTAAAAATTGAGGTAAAATTTATACAACATAAAATTAGCTTTTGAAATTTAAAATTCAGTAGTATTAACAAAATTGTGCAACCACCCCCTATATCTATAACAAGTTCCAAAATATTATTATCATTTCAAAATAAAACCCCTCACTCATTAAGTAATCATTTCCTATACCTACCTTCTCTCAGTACCTGGCATCACTAGTTAGCTTATGTCTCTATGAACTTACCTATTCTGGATATTTCATATAAATGGAATTATACAATATGTGACATTTTTAGTCTGCCTTTTTTTACTTTGCATAATGTTTTTGTGGCTCTTCTGTCATAACATGTATCAGTACTTCATTCCTTTATATGGTTGAATAAAATTCCATTGTATGGTTATACCATATTTTGCTTATCTATTGATCTATTAATGACACTTGGGTTTTTTCCAACTTTTAGGTGTTATGAATAGTGTTGCTATGAATATTTGTGAACACATTTTGGTTTGAATATCTGCCTTCAATTATTTGAGGTGTATACTTGGAATGGAATATTGATCCTATGGAAATTTATGTTTAAATCTTAGACTAACCATAAAATTGTTTCTCAATTTTTATTGCTGTACCATTTTTATTCCCACCAGCAATGTATGAGGGTCTCAATTTCTTCATCTTTTTGCCCACACTTGTTATTTTTTCTTATTTATATATTATTATAGCTCTTTTCCTCCTTCTCTGGCTAGAAAATTTCAATGATTCTATTGTCAAGTTTGCTGATTTTTTCTTCTGTATACTCAAATCTGATGTTGAATCCCTCTAGTAAAATTTTTATTTTAGTCTTTGTATTTTACAACTGTAGCATTTCCATTTGGTTCCTTTTTATAATTTTCATCTCTTTACTGATTTTTCTCTACTTACCAAGACACCATTCTTCTGACTTCCTTTAGTTCTTTCTGATTTTTGTTAGCTCTTGGCATATTTAGTACAGTTGATTTAAGATCTTTGTCAAGTAAATCTAATGTCTATGCTTCCTCAAGAACAGTTTCTGTTAATTTTTTATTTGAATGGGCTCTAGTTTCTTGTTTGTTGGATTTTTTATTTTTAGTTGAAAACTGAACAATTTGAATATTATAATGTGGCAACTCTAAAAATGAGATTGCCTTCACCCTACTCATCTTGTTTTTATTTCTTGCTATGATTTTAGTTTTTGTTTGTTTAGTGACTGTTAAGTCTGTATTTTTTGTTATGTGTAGCCTTCAACATCATTATTCTTTAAGTTGTGGTCAGCTAGTGTTTTGACAGAGAATGTTTTGAATGTTTGGAATCCAACCAAAATCTAAACAAACAAACAAAAAAGAAGACGAAAAAAGAAAGGAAAAAGAAGTAGAAAGAAACAAAGAAAGCAAATGAAGAAAGAAGAGAAAAGAAAAATAGAAAAATTTCTTTAAGTCTTTGCACATTGTCCTCGTGTTGAGGCACTGCTTCAAAACTTAGCTGATGATTTACAACTCTGCCTTAGCCTTCACTTCCTGCTTTTGCTAAGCCTAAATATAGGCCAGAAGTGAATACACAGGGTTTTCTCAAGTCTTTTCTAAGCATGTTTTCTACCCAACGCATGCATGTGGATTTCTAAATTCTCCTGTATGAATGAGAATATTTAGTACCCTAATTTTCCAATTAAACACTCTTCTCAGCTTTGGCTTCTAGATATTTGCTGTATCTATTATTTGTCTCAACTGTAAGCTTTTATTCTAGGCAAAAATAGGTTATTCTTTGGTCTTACAATGTTTTTGAGTAATGTGTTTTTTAAAGCTGCCATTCCACTCTGAGAGGTTCTAGGGTAAATGAAGCAAATGGTAGCACCTTGCATAATTTTTTCAGTGAGTTCCTAGACAGGTTAGAATAGACAAGTACAATTTTTGTATAAGAAGGTCTTCTCTGTTCTCTCCAGAACCAATAATATAAGGGCCTCAAAATGGAAACATGAGTAGCCATCTTCAAGATTAATGCTGAGCCAGGGATCCTGGTAGTGTAAGAGCAAGTAAAAATTTTGCAAAGTTTCCTAGTATTTTTAGTTGCCTTTTTCTGATACAGAATTCTCTCAGTTGCTGTAAAGTTTTGACTATTTTTCAGAGTTCTGACAAAGTTGATTCTGACAGATGTTACTGAATTTTTCAGTATGTGTGTGAAGAATTTGGCCCTTGAAGCTACCTAGTCTGCTATTCACTGACATACATGACACATATTTTTAGGTGCATTCAATTAATGGTAGTTTCTAATTACTGTTTGCCTATTTCTTTCTGTGCATGTATTTTGTATATTATATTGAAATAATATAACATTGGCTCATCTCATGATAACACAAATCAGATTAGTCCAAAAGTTTAATTGCTTGTGAATCAATGAAAAGGCAAGAAAGAATATCTAGAAAGACATGTGATTTTTTTTGTAATTATTTTCAGACTCCACCTATGGAAAATGGTGTGGCATATTTAAAAATTCAGATATTCAAAGGATATTAAGGAGCAACCCAAATCTTTTCCATTTCTATAGTTTTAAAGCATTCTAAAATTTATTAATATAATTTTCTATATAAATACAGAGTTAACCATTATAATTTTTAAAATTTATCATTGCTCACTTCCAACCCTTTCTGTGTCTTGCTGTTTAGAATTGTGAAATATTTGTGTTTAGAAATTCTAAACACTTCTGATCCACCTTCAGTTATAAACATTTATTACTGAAATAAAAATTATATCTCCAAGAAACTAAGATCATTCAGTTTTATTTAGTAAGTGTTTAATTAAACAGTTACTCTATCAGGTACTGAGTAGGCACTGGGAATAGAATGATAAATGAAGTATGCCCTTGAAGAAGTTCACAATTCAGCAGAGGAAAGTAAAGTAAATTGTTGTGAGCCTTTAGTGGTCCCAGGGAGAGAAATTCTGGAACTTATAATTTTGAATATACCTTTTGCAACCATATTAAAATGCTTTTCTTTCTACTTTTTTACATTACATAGTGCAAAGTCCATTTAGTATAAATTTTCATTTCTAAACATAATGAACCTATTTAATATTTTAAAATAAACATATACAACAGCATATTAAAAATCATAATTCCATTGGCAAAGCACAATAAATCATTCATAATGCATCTGATAAGTTGAAGATTCTTTATAATAAAATATTTGGCAAACAATTAGCAATGACAGTGAGTTAACCAATCAAATAAACTGTATTGTGATTAATTTTTTAAGTAAAAAGACAATTTTCATAGCTGTAGCCTAAGTACAATGCATTTTCTTCTTTTAAGTCTAAAATTAGAAAATGCCAAATTCTGACTTCATTTTAGAGATACCTGCTTACAATAGGGCTAGATAAGAAACCAAAATGAAACAAAACTATAGATAAAAACTTCAAATCTTTTTTTTCAATTCAAACCCATTGAACGTATGACTACTCTTGTCATCTTTTTAAAAAATCCATTATCCCCACTATGCACATATTGTCAACAAATATTATCAGATTTACCCGGTTTTTAATCTGGGTCCATTTCTTGAATCAGATTTACTTTCTTTATAATGTTATTATTGAAAGAAAATTGTTGGCAAGATGGCTATTAAACTTATTTAAAATTTTTTAAATCTAAACTTTCCCTACTTGGCAATTTTTTTGTGCCATTGCTGTCACTCCTGAAAACACAACTACTTATGTACTTTATTTTTCTATGTAGCTATTCTTTTAAATCATTAATTTTTCTCTAATACATGGCTGATAACATGTCATAATGTAGCATGTTAAATGCCAAATTACTCTCCAAGTAGTTGAAGCATTAGAAAGATGTGAAATCACTCATCTAGATAATATATTATATAAGTCAAGCTCAAGAACACACAGAATAAGCTCATAAAATTAATGAAGGCCATGTATAAAGGCCATACCAAATAGAAACATTTTTGTTAATTTATCAACATTAATGGAGTTCAGTTATTTTAAGTTAGAACAAGTATTCAACATGAAAAACAAAATAATCTTATATAAATACAAGATTTCAGCTTTTATCATGAAATTAGGTCCTTTATTATTCAATCATTATTCTGCTAGTATTAATAATTGATTTTCCCTCTTGAATAGACTTTACTTTTTAGCATGGTTACAGGTTCTCAGCAAAACTGAGCAAAAAATACAAAGTTCCCATATATCTGTACTCCCTCATGTACACAGCCACCCCCACTATCACAAACTACCATCACAGTGGCATATTTGTTATAATTGTATAAGAGCTTTATTTTGAACCAGTTTCATTTATACAAGCAGATAATTTTATATCTGCAACCACTCCTACATGGATGTAGTATGCATTAAGTAATAGAAACTTTGAATGTAATTTTGGTTTCACATGCCTTTTTTACCATTATGTCTATTTATAAAATAAACAATGCTTATACTTCATATAACTTATGTTAAAAACATATGATAAACGTTAATTAATAAATAATTTGTGTAACTTTCTCTTCTCAATAAAATACTTTTGAAAAATCTAGAAAACTAACATAAGAGCAATCTTAAATTATTATGTTAAATATCAGTATTTGAGATGATGACTTAGTTTCTTCCCAAATAAATACACATTCATCTTTGAAGGTATCCATGCATTTTAAACACATAATAAATTTCATTGCTGATATCATAATTTAAAATGCAATTAAGTTTTTGTAAAAGAAGTAGATGCATTCCTCTAATAACCATTTTAGATTTCATTTTAAGCTATATTTTGTGACTAAAGTAGAGCACTTTTTTGGCTTATAGAATATTTGTCTATAAAATAGACATAAAGTATCCAGTAAGTTTTCCATGTAACGTTGTAGTAATATATTTTACCAGAGAATAAAACTATTTATGTACATTTTATTTTTTGATATTTTTGTTTAGAATTAAGGTAATTTGAATGGTTTTCTCTACTGTCTGTTTTTTAAATTAGCCAAAGTTATTACCATTTTTATACATTTTATACATTAAAACTTGAAGCTTCAAATAGAAAATTTCCACTGAGTTTAATCCTGATAATACCTGTTTCTGGCAGAGAGTCATTCCTGCTCAATTTTTTTCATTTTAATTTTGACTGAAGGCTTATCCACATTTGTCTTGGTATAAAGAGGTTAACAGAAACAATATTTGAACATATTTATTAAAACAAACACAATATTTGTATGTGAATTTTTAAATGACAGAAGTATCTATGTCTGTAAGTGTTCAGAAGTAATAAATGTGATTATTTTGACCTGACTTCAGATTTGTGTTGAAAGAGTCCATGTGGGCAAAACTTTTTTTTCCTGAGAGTACCTGAATTTCACTATTAATATGATGGTGTAGAAACTGTCATTTATTGTACAAATATTTGAAATTTATGTAATTATTTATTTTCATTTGAAATATTTATTGTGAAAATATTTTAAACATTTATTAAGATGATGATATGAAACTTTGCCAAAATTTTCAACCTTTTGTTGATACTCATTTCTTTATTCAACAAATCTTCAGTGAACAATTGCTGTGGCCCAGATGCTATTCTTACTGTTAGTAATATAATAGCCAAAAGAAGAGAAAGTCCAAGAATTCAGAGATTTTTATGATCTAATTTGAGACTTCACAAAATAAGCACACAAAAAAGTAAATGACATAGCATGTTACGTGTTGAAGCATGCTAAAGAGAAAGAAAAACCAGGGGAGTGTAACAGATACCTGTGGACATATGGAGTGTTTAATGGTCATTTTTCTTAGGGGGTCTAGAATAGATCACAGTGAGAAGAAAGTGATGTTTGAATAAAGCCCTGAATAGTTGAGTGAACAGCTTGTGAACATCTGGGATAAATTTTTAGTAGAAAAAACTGCCCAAGTGCAAAGGCTCTGAGGCAGGAGCATACCTGCAATGTTTAAAACAATTCAAGAAGACCACTTTTATGCTCACTACATGGGAGATGAGTAGAAAAATACATCTGAGAGCATTTGTTTGATGGCATAAGACAAAGTTTGTCATTTTATATATTCGTCTTTTATTATAAAAACTAGGAGTAAGATGTGGCACATGGTAGAATTTTGAGCAGAGAAATAACATGATTTGATTTAAGCTTCTAAGATTACTATGACGGATGTGCTGAAAATAGGCCTGTAGTAGGAAGGCAAAGGTAAAAGTACAGAAAGAAAGGTGAAAAATATATTTTAATAATCCTGAAAAAAGAAGAAGGTGACTCAGACCAGAAGAATAAATGTATGATCAATGGGGAAAAAAAATTGAGAATGAATTAATCAATATTTTAGAAGGAAATTTCTCTGTATGTAATATTCTATTTTATATGAATATATCTATATATGTAAGAAACCAACACACAGCTCTGTAGGTAGTCCTAGTTTTTCTTTACATTTTGAACAAATAAATCTTCTGACAGAAGCAGTGTCTCTTTTCATGTGTTGATTGTATTTATACAATTATTGCTGGTACTATTCTGTCTTTAGATCATCACTACCTCAAACTAGTGATCTATAATATCCTGCTTAAAAGCTCATTTCTAGTTAAAATTTTAAGAAAATGAGAAAATATGTTTATGTTTGTAGTTTTTAACCATGATGAATTTAATTCAGTGTAAACAAAAAAATAATTTTCATCAATTTTATGGATATGGCAGCTTTGCCTCTGCCAATATCCTAGGTTGACTGATTGTTGAAGTTGTTTGTTGCACAGAAGTAGCATATATATTTTTACAGCACTGCAGTTTTACCTAATGCTTTACCTAAAAACAGTCTTTGAGGTATTTTATGCAGACGTTTTGGAAAGCATGTGTACTTAATATTACTTTAGGACACAGTAATTTTCATATTTTTTCTGATTGCCATGCTCAGATTATAAGGGCACATGACTTTCCCTTTTTGATAAAACATGGAGGCATGTTGTCAGCATAAGGCTGGGAAATATGTTTTTCAGAGTCTCCCTCCGACCCCCCGCTCATATTGTCCTATGTTAGACTTGGCCAAGAAAGAAATCTAGCAAGACTTGGAAGGCAGAGTGGAAGCAGAAATCATTACAGTACTCTTGGTAGGTTGTGGTACATATACCTGATGACAAATATGGACAGCTATAACATGTTTCCTTCTGTTTGCATTAGACTGCTCTCAGTGCTGACCAGTTACAGCTCAAAGCCTGCTGTCTTGAGCTATAAAAGTGACAGTTCCCCCAGAAGCACTGATTTTCACAGCGGAAGCAGATTTCTTAAAGGTGGCAATTATATACCTCTTCACAAGTTCCTCTTTCATGATTCTGTTCCAACTTTCAGACATGCAGCGTTTCTCAGACTTTCCTACAAGTTCCAACTTGTCCACCACTGTTAATGCTTCCAGCAGATTCAGTGGCTGTTACTCATATCCTCGGATTCCCCTTTCCAGGGTTTCACTTCCCAGCTCCTCCTGCATTTCCAAAAGGTCTAATTTCTGCATGAAATCCCTCATTTTAACAATGTTTGTACTGACCAATTATACAGGCCAGTTACTCAGACTATGAGAAGTATTTTTAACCATTTCATAGTTTACATTTTTGAGACTATAGAAGTATATGCAGAAAGTGTGTATGTTAATCTATTTATAAAATAGAAAAATAGCAATATATCATGATACCTCATGACTTACACCAAGAGAAAAACCCTGTTTTAAAAAGAGAAAATGTTACATTTATTGATTGGCATGTGTAACAATTATAGTTATTATTAACATCTTTTGGGAGGTAACTCTGTATAAGACAGTGGATTTAAAACTTGCCACAACCCTGTATAGTGAATCTACTCATATGTACTTCCTGCAAGTGAAGAGATTGTGGCTTAGAGATGGCAAGGTCAAACAGATGTTGCAAAATATAAATGCAAATAGAATAATTCTAAAAACTGAGCTATGTCATAGGTGTATATGTAACTACATCACAAGGAAAAGGCACATGTAACGTAAAGAAAGACATAACATAGGGTATATTTGAACCATTTTCCTATTTCTAGCCAAACATTTGGGAAACATGATCTCCTGCCTTCATATAACATGTTTAGTTTGGCAAGATTTTGAACATGTAAAATAATCTCTGCTACATGGAGAGCATATTTATTTTAGAAGTCAAAACCATTTTTTTTTCAGATGGAGTCCTGCTCTGTTGTCCAGGCTGGAGTGCAGTGGCTCAATCTCTGCTCACTACAACCTCTGCCCCACAGGGTCAAGCAGTTCTCCTGTCTCCCTACCTCAGCCTCCCGAGTAGCTGGGATTACAGGTGCGCGCCACCATGCCTGGCTCATTTTTGTATTTTTAGTAGAGATGGGGTTTCACCATGCTGGCCAGGCTGGTTTCAAACTCCTGCCCTTGTGATCTGCCTGCCTTGGCCTCCCAAAGTGTTGGGATTACAGGCGTAAGCCACCACGCCCAGCCAGAAGTCAAAACCATTTATATATTTATCAGACTCTCTGCCTAGAAAATGGGCTGAAATGAATATATATATATATATATATTTATATATTCATATACATAGACATATATAGCTGTAATATGTAGACTCATCAATCTTAAGGTGAGTTATGAAGCTGAGAGGCATAGGTGAAAAGGGAAATCAAGTAAGCTTACCTTCTTCCTCAACTAATTAACCTAATGTCAGATTTCTTTTGAAAGTGAGATTACTTCTCCCAATAGATTATTTTATTATAGTGTCCAGATTATTGCTTAAGGTGATAAACTGTAGGGTTTAGTGTCTCTAAAGGAGCTATAAACTTCTGAGTTTGCAGAATTTGTAGAATGAAATTATCACTAGCAGTAGATGATCTGTCTCATTTACTAAATCATATAAATATAAAATCACTAATTATTGGCACTCAAGTAAAATGGTCTTCTGTCATATTTATTGGTTAATTATAGATTAAATGAGAAATTACCATTGTAAAGTATTTCTACACTTATTATTAAGAAAGTCTCATTGTGGTAGTTTCACAAAGTACGATATTTATAGATCTATAGATAAACATAATGGTGGTCTAACTATATAGCATAACCTGTATTTATGCCTAAACTGTAAAAGAATATTTTACAGTTCAAAATTGAAGATGCAATGAAGTCATTCTGATAGATTCATTTGATAATTAGTCTATGAGGCTATATAAAGGCATATGAATAATGACTTAGACAATTAATTTCCTTTCTTCCTCAGGAAATAAAATATAGTATTAATAAGTGTCTATTTAAGTCATTTTCCAATAGAATAATTTGCTAATAAAATAAACCCAGAGTATAGGTATATGAGCATAGTTTACCATATTACCAGATAGGTAATATGAGCATACTTTAAAAAATTATGAACAATGGCATCTATGCAAATAAATTAAGAATAAACTTAAGGTGAAGTTACTTATTGTACTCCTATCATGATCATATATTTTATCTATAAATGTTTCAGATCTGTAGTATATTTTATTTCATACTACACCTAAGCTTTTAGGTGCTGCTTGAGCTAATCTGTTAACAATGCAGGTTAGTTCTGGGATAAATTAATTGTCCTGGACTGCAAAAGAGTTCTTAGTGACACTTGAAAACCATTCCAATTTTTTTCCTATGATTTTTCTCCCTGTTTACATGTATGTTACTCAGAATCTTCATCATTCTCATTAAGTTATCCGTCCATCCCTCTTCACTAACATACCATTTAGATGATCTTATTGACTAGCCATTAAGTATAAACTATTTCAAAATATTGACCCTTTCTGCAAATCTATGTACACATATACACATTCATACTGCCTTTTCTTCAAACTCCGACATGCTGGCTTCTCCTGTTTAAGACCCGCAGGCCCGATTTCTGAGCTCTCATAACCATCTTCTTTCATCATCACGAATTTGACTTGGATAACTATTATGTGTTTCTCCCATGTCTTCAACTTCTTCCTGTCTGTTCTTTTTTATTATCTTACGATTATACACAAATATTTTCCAGTTTACATATTTTCCTTAAAATTGGGGCTCCTCTCTCATTGCTACCCCTGCTCCAAAACCACATATTCTCATCCATATGTGGAAGCTAAAAAAATATTTTGAGCTCATGGAAGGGAAGAGTAGAATCATGTAGAGCTTGGGAAGGGTAGCGGGAGGGGGAAAAGAAGAGATTGGTTAAATGATGCAAAGTTGTCACTTCTTGGCCTTTTGGCTAAGATCAAGTGATACAAAGTTACAGCTAGATAGGAGGACTGAGTTCTGGTGTTCTGCAGCACTATAGGGTGAATATGGTTAACTATAATGTATTGTATATTTCAAAAAACTAGAATAAAGGATTTTAAATGTTCACAACACCAAAAATGTTTGAGATGATTGATATGCCAATTACCTTGCTTTGACTATTAACACATTGTATACACATTAAACTATCACACTGTACCCCATATGTGATGTACAATTATTATGTCAATTAAAAACAAAAGGAAAAAGGGATTATTCAAAAAGAGAATATATTGAAAGAGAGACAAAATAGAAAAATAACATGTTTACATAGGAATATTCATGGAAAAAAATTAATGCAATGGAAGAGAACAAGTACTACAAACTATGATTCAATAAAATTATTCTGAAAAAAAATTACTGGAAAATACATAATGAAAAAGCAAACTATTATGAGGGAAAATGACCCAGAAGGCCAACAGAAATATGATGGTAAAATCATTAGATTTTAAAGAAAAAAATAATTATCTTTGGCCTCCAGGCAATAACGTCAACTCAATTAAAAATGAGATAAAATGAAATCATTATCATTTTTGACAGCATCTCTTATAACAGAAGATAATAAAGTAACTTCTGGAAGATATTCAAGACAATAAAATATGAGACAATAATTTTATACTTTTCCACACTATAAAAGCTGCAGAAAAACTCTTATAAAGAAACTGAAATCTTAACAAATTTAGCCAGTTGTGATGGCATGCACCTCTAATTCCAGCTACTTGGGAAGCTCAGGCGGGGGGGATCGCTTGAGCTTGGGGAGTTGAGGCTGCAGTGAGCTGTGATTGTGACACTACACGCTAGCCTGGGCAAGAGAACGAGAAAAAGAAAAAAGAAACTGGAATCTTACAAGGATCCAAGATGTCAGGGAGTAATGAGCTCTCTGAAAAGTCTAAAGTTGAATTTGCTTTAGATTATCAGAAAGACGCTGAAGAGACATCAACACAGGCCTGGAGGGGAGCAAATACATACATTGCTTATAGAAACACCAAAAATTCTTACGTGGTTTTTGGAATAGACTTGACTCCAGGGATAGTTTTAAGAATGTAAATAAATCATAGACACTAAGACATTTATTTTTACTGTTACCCTCTCCAAAAACAAAACAATCATATGCCATGGTTAGAATAACATACAAATCTTTGATTTACAAAGATACAACTTTGGTTAATTTGGTTCTTTTGTTAGAGTAATCAATGTCTGGTACTTCATGCTCATTCTCCATTCATTTTTTCTCTTCAAATTCTTTCTTTCCAGAAATTCTCACTCATACTACTATACTTGGAATAGAAAACTTAATATATTTTCCTGTAGCAAAATATTGTCAAATGAGGATTTGATATGCAGTCTCTGATTGGCAAATAGATTTGGTGAAGGGTGACAAAATTTATGCTGGATTTTTAACATCACAAATTACGTATTTTACATAATTCTCTTCTACATTGTTACTGGGTTGCTTCAATTATAATCAGCAACCATAATGTTGATCCAACAAAAATTAGTGCTTTATTTCCTAGTGTAATACAGGGTAGTTATCTCAACATAGGTAACTGTAGCCTATTTAGCATTAAATGTAATTCCTATCTCACACCAAATAAGCCAAAAAATTTAGCATAATTATTATTCTTTATGTCAGCAGTTTTAAATCCCATTTCATTTTCTTTACACTATTTTTATAAACTAATTTGGGAGGATATATTTTTTATTTTTAAAATTGGCAGATAACATTTTATATATTTGTTGTATACTATATGGTGTTTTGAAGTATATATACGATGTGGAATGACTAAATTTAGTGAATTAACATATGCATTATCTCATATAGTTTTCATTTTGTGGTAAGAGTACTTTACATTCACTGTTAATATTTTTTGAGACTGTAATATATTATTAACTATATTCATCATGTTACACAATGGATCTCTTGAATTTATTCTTCTTATCTAACTGAAATTTTGTTATCTTTTGATGAATATTTCCCCAAACACTCCTGTACCCTCAATCAGCACAGTCCCTGGTGACCACCATTGTACCATTACAGCAACTCAATACATGAAAACAACCTGATTAAAAAATATCACGGGCCAGGCACGGTGGCTCCCATCTGTAATCCCAGCACTTTGGGAGGCCGAGGCAGGTGTATCACAAGATCAGGAGTTGGAGAACATTTTGGCCAACACAGTGAAACCCCATCTCTACTAAAAATACAAAAATTAGCTGGGCGTGGTAGCACATGCCTGTAGTCCCAGCTACTCGCCAAGCTGAGAAAGGAGAATCGCTTGAACCTGGGAGGCAGAAGTTGCAGTGAGCTGAGATGACACCACTGCACTCTAGCCTAGGTGACAGAGCAATACTTTGTCTCAGAAAAAAAAAAAAATCATTATTGGCTGGGGCACAGTGGCTCACACTTGTAATCACAGCACTTTGGAAGGCCCAGGTGGGTGGATCATGAGATCAAGAGACCTAGAGCATCCTGGCTAACATGGTGAAACCCCATCTCTACTAAAAATACAAAAATTAGCTGGGTGTGGTGGCGTGCACCTGTAATCCCAGCTACTCGGGAGGCTGACACAGGAGAATTGGTTGAAACTGTGAGGTGGAGGTTGCAGTGAGCCAGATTATGCCACTGCGCTCCAGCCTGGGCGACAGAGCGAGACTCTGTCTCAAAAAAAAAAAAAAAAAATCACGATTATTAGTAGATTATTTTGTTCATTTTATTTAAAATATATAGCTCTATGAAATTTAAATGCTTGAATATTTGAGTTTCATAGGCCTTACATAGACACACACATGAGTACATATAAAAACTTGTGAAATCAAATAGAAAACATGTGGAATCAACCTAAATGCCCATCAATGATAGACTGGATAAAGAATATGTGGTAGATATACACCATTGAATACTATGCAGCCATAAAAAAGAATGAGATCATGTCATTTGCAGGGACATGGATAGAGTTGGAAGCTATTATCCTCAGAAAACCAACTCAGGATAAGAAAACCAAATACTGCATTTTCTCACTTATAAGTGGGAGCTTGATGATGAGAACATATGGATACATCAAGGAAGACACACACCGGGGCCTACTGTAGAGTGGAGGAGGCTGGGAGGAGGGGGAGGATCAGAAGAAATAGTTAATGTATACTAGGCTTAACACCTAGGTAATGAAACAATCTGTACAACAAATCCCTATGACACAGTATACATATAATAACAAACCTGCATATGTACCCCTGAACTTAAAATAAACATTTAATAATTAAAAAAAAGAAACTCCTGAACTCCAAGCAGTGTCTAACCTCAGGTTAATTGTCTGGTGGCAAAATGAATTGTCTAGTTTTGATACCGTGCTTAACAATTAGGTAGGATGTTACCTTTGGTAGAAGTTATCTAAAGACTACATGACACTTCTCTGTATTGTTTTGCAACATCTTGTGAGTTTATAAATATTTTAAAATTTTTAAATTTAAAAAATTGAGTCAAAATATTATAATTATTGTAACTACATGAGTTACAATGCAAAAATAATTTTAAAATTTAGTTTTCCTATCAGGACACATTGATTCCTTATTGTATAAGGACATATTGGTCCACTCATTTTTATTTAAAAGATGAACTAGGAAAAAAGGAATACATTTTCAGATCAGGGATCTATTTTCATTCAAGAGCAGCCATATTGAATTTATCGCTTTTTTCAGGTCAAGTTGACTTTGCATCAGAGACCAACACTTTGAAGCTTTTTGCTACAGGACCTCCTGAACCTGTTGCAGGACTTCATTTTGCGACTTTGCAGACTGGAGATCAGTCAGTCGCTCATTGACCTGCTGATGCATTACCTTTGAGCTGCAGTCTCGGTGGGTGCAGTTCAGATGGAGGCCTTTTCCAGGAAGAAACCAATCTGCTTTCTCTCTGGCCACTGTCTTTGTCTTTATTTTAAATTGCAAGGAATAAGATCACACATGATCCTGAGCCTTTAGTTCAGGTGAGGGTGAAAACTATTTTCAGTGCAATGACTGTTATGCTGACTCTTAGGACATGCCCTTGGAAACAGTGCCCTTTGGATATGGATTCAGTATAATGCCCTGTGCAAACGTTTGTCTACCTGCAGAAGGAGACTGCCAGGATCATAGTGTTGTTAGCAGAAGACAAAAGGTGAAATAGGAGCAGTGCCAGACACATGGTTACATATGGGGGAGGTGAGGATGTCCCCAGAGTTGGGGCTGCTGGGAGAACTCCTTACCTGTCCTACCTCCAGGCTCCCAGAGCTTCTGTCCCTGTGAGGCCCCCAGGTGCAACACAGCGCAGCACACCTTCATCAATATTTAAATTATAATATCTCCAATAAAAGTAGAAATAGATACTTTATGTCATATTTTAATGTTTTACACAAAACCAACGTGATCACATAAAAAGAAAAAAATTAACAGAATTGTATATGGATGCCTTAGGGATATAATTTTAAGGTCAGACTTATTAGGCCAGCTCAATTTAAGATAAATTCTAGTATATATAATAAAAAATATGAGGAATATTATATTTAAAGTTCCTCAAGAAATTTAGTCATGGTATGACATCTTTCTTTTACTTTTCTGTCTTTATTTTGCAATATTTGTTTTAAAGCTTTGTGCTCTCTTGATTTTATTTTCCAATTTAACAAAGGAAAGACACTTATTTGGTTTAACAATGCTGTAAATAGAGGATACAAAACTCTGAATTTTTTAAATTATTATTTTCCTTGTGTTTCTTAATCTTATTCCCCAACTTCTAAACAGTGATCTATCTGTTGTGGAAGTAGTTAATAATATTCATTATTATTCTCTGCATATCAATATTACCTATTACTTTGTTCAATGGACCAAGTTCCTAAAAAGTATACTTGTAATTATGATTTATAAGAATGCATATAGAAATAAATGAATAGGTAAAATATTATTTTGATTATAATTTTTACAGCTCCATTTTAATCCCTCAGCTCAATTTACATTATAAAATTTGATGTGGTTTTAGGATTTAATTTATCTTACACAATGATTCATGTATTTCATTTCTAGCATTGACAATAAGCCTCTCAATTCAAATAGTCATATAAGGTTCAATGTTGTAATAGTATTAAATTTATCGTATAAAATGATCTATAATTAATTTTGACAGAGTAATAAAATGTAAATATCTGTTAACAGTGGCACAAGTAATATCCACAAGCTACTGCATGTTGAAGGAAGAGTGTAAGTCTGTAATAACTATAAATTTCTTATAAGTGAAGAGATAAGCACTTATACCGCAATCATATAATCTTTTAGTTTTCCTATTAAAAAATAGAGCCAGTAGCACCTGTCCTGTCTAGCTGACAATGATTATATAAGGATCAAATATTACAATATGTATAAAAATAATTAAACATGTAAGGAGTTGTTTGGCACAGAAAATTATGTGTTTTATTTTTGTTACAAACAAAAGACAAATATTTTATTTTACTATGAGAGATGAGAACGCGTGATTATTTTTTCATGGTTAGAAAAAAATAGTAATTCAGGATCTTAGAATAAAGGATCCCTGGGTCTGTTTATTATTTCTTTCTTAGATTGTGACCTAAGAGGCAAACTTGAAAAATCTTCTATTTTAATTATATTTATGTAAAAGTGTCTGATTAAGTATGTAAGAATTTTTAAAAATGAAATTATAAAAGGATAACTAATAATAGTGTAATTGACTATCTTATGGTTACAAAGCAATGAGACAGGCATGATGGAAGATGGAAGTATTAGACCAATATGTCTTTCTGAAAAGCTTGTAATTTCAAATAAGAAATAATGTGCACACAAAAAAAGGCAATACAAGTAGAATTGTCTTCTTAAATGCCTTTATTTACAAAGGTGTGTTATTTCTTTAGTGCCTTGATTGCTATTTGTATGGCTTATTGATTAATGTATAATATATTTTGTTCAGTGTATATGCAAATACAAATTGGTCAGAACTATGCTTGTGTTTTCAGTTCTCACTCCAAAGCTTTCAAATTTTTTACAAGTGAATTCACATAATCTCCCAGTTATTTACATCTTTTAGACTCAAAAACTATATTTTAAATGTTTTTACTAATTTTTCTAGTTTAAAAACAATAGAAAAGTTGTTAATAATGATTACATTAGAATATCAGAGCTCCTAATAAAAAGAAATAATTTCTATAGATATTTTGATCTAAATGTTTCCATGTGCCATTGATTTCTAATGTTTTTGTCATTATAAATATTTAACTATGCATTGTGAAAAAATCATAAGTACAAATGCAAAATGAAATCATGAAATTACTATTATTGTCATCATGCTCATATAACAATTTTTAGTGTATTTTATATATATATGCAAATTACAACAACATATTTATATTGAAAACGTTGTTTCTTAGTCTACATTTAGTCATAAAAGTATTTGGTAACATCTTCCCCAAGCAATGTATGCTTATAATCTTACAATAAGTTTAGAATATTCACGTACTAGTCTGTAATATAGATATGTAATATTAATTTAACCAAACACCAGTTTCCCTAAGTATTTACAGCTAATAAACATTTACAAATGTTGTTTAGCTTTAATAATAATAAAAAATATAAACAGGACTTGAAATGCTATTAATATGCTTCTACCACCTTTGACAAAAATTGGCAAATTTTTAATCAGCACCTGGCTTCCTTGTTCATATCCGTGATTTATTAAAATTAAATTTTAGAGTTAATGTATGTTTAATATGATTTATCTAACTCCATGGAAATTTAACGGTGAGTTTTAAAACAACATAAAGCAATGATGTATGAGAAGTGTACAATGAAAATTTCTGTTTTGCCTCTCAAACTACAAGTGCTTTAATATACATTATACTATTTCATTATTTATATTTTATTGAGTTATTGTTATCTCATAAGTTGATATGACATTTAGAAAGATTAAATGGTTTCCATTCATTAATATAGAAAGTATCTACAGAGATCACAGCATAAAAACCACCACCACCAATCTCGTTCAACTCTAATCTATTATTTGTCTCTATACCACACAAGATTTGCCCAAAGAAGCAACACACATACACATTACAATAAAAAGACCTTCTTTAGGAAAATTAAAGGCAATATATTAGATAGGGTAAAATGACATATTTTTACATTATTTTATATTTATTATTTGAAAAGAGGAAATGAATGAAAATGAAAAGAGGATAAATGAAATGAAAAGAGGAAATTTTTATGCTTAAATTCACCTATGAATAATAATTTCATTTTGATGTAAATTTTTAAGATATAAGAATTTGAAAGATTTGCAGAGAGTAGGGGTTTTGAAGGTGGAGATCAACCAAAAAAACATTTGGCAAAGGTGGAAAAGTCAGCATTACAATGCAAAACTGAATAGGCTAAGATTTGCAAGGTAGACAGTAGGAGGAGCCTGAAGGATTTAATCCTTCTGTTCAGTACAATATTACTGAGGGAATTATGTCTTCCAATATAACATTGTGTATGATGTCAGCTAGAGAAGATAGGAATAACTGTATATTTGTATCTACAAGCCTTGATGCATATTCATATATGTATGATAAGCTTAGTTACCTCTTCTGTTATTTGCAGTGATTGTAAAAGCATTATCTTCTTCCTGCATTGAGAAATTCTGAAATGATTTCTACATAAGCAGGAGCATTATTTCCCCAGCACTGGGGAATGTCATTAGTTTCAATAGTTCTAAGGGACACATTTTTCTTCTTTTCACCATTTCTTCAAATGTCAAGAAAAAGTGATTACAGTTTTTCCCCATCAAGTAAGTACTCAGCACATCGTCATTACAACTGGAGACATTGTGAATACCTGTAGAACAAAGCTGAACACAAATAATATCTAATGATTCATATTTTTAAATGTGATTTCATCAGCCTTTTTTTCTTCTTCTTTTCTTTTTTCACCAGACTTCTACTGCCCAGAAAAATTATCTCTGACAGAGTAGATAATAGCAAGTGCAAGTCAGTGTTTCAGAAAGCCACTTAGATTCTTAAGAGAAAACTTGCCATTCTAGGAATCAAAATCTTGTTTTGGAATGTAAGTGTGCTTTGTGATTTAGACCTCAGGAAGAGTTTACAGCTGATCTGAAGAGAAACTCTTTAGAGGTCCTGTGACTATAGTGTCACTGGTTTTGTGCATGGTTATGTGCTTTATTTCATTGACTTTCACAATTAGCCCCAGGATTAATTTCACTTGATAAAGTCCTGAGCAAAAGTTCCTTTTGCAATAAAAATTCTTTGTTTTTCTTTTTTTTTCCAGACTAGATTATTCAAAACCACCATTCATTAAAGATTAGTGAACATTAATTAATTATTAATTACTGGGAGGGAAGATCACATGCATTTGCCTTGGGCTTGACAAGCTGTCAAGGATTCTTGCCAAGGCTGCCAAGCTCAGCAAGTTCCAGGGATGGTATGACACTGAACACTAAAAGTTAAGTGACATTCCTAAGAACCTGGAGGAAAGCATGTGAACAACAACATCAAAGACACTTCCCTTAAGTTTGGCTGTCTCTTGTTTGTGAAAAGATGGGAAGAATGATGTGAAATACTTTTCTCTGTTTAAAATCATCACATTAACTGTATATCATGAAAGAATTCCTTACAATAGTGCCCACAAAAATAATTTTAAGATCAGTAGTCAGAAAAGCATTATTATTTATCTTTATTTTTCAATAATTTCTACTAAATAAAAATAAGTGTTTCTGCAGATAATAATGTATTTAAAGCTATATTTAGACATAAAAAATCTGAAGCACCCTGATGATAAGTGTGTCTGAGAAACAGGCAGAATTGGGACTCTGATGCATTAGGCACACTTTAAAATTTAATTTCTAAATCCAAGATCTGCTCAACAGAATAGAAAATGAGATATTGTGCTATTCTGAGTAGAAGGAGTTCCGCTTAACTAAAAGATTTTTAATGGTAATAAGTATGTATATCTTTGATTATGTAAAATAAATTTATTTGAACTGTATTTTCTATCAACAGGAGATAATCTGTGCAGATCACAAAATATTCTAATTTACTCTTATATGTATCACTTCAGCATAAGGGATACTTTAATATGAACTACAAATTTTACCAGTTAAAGTATTTCACAAGTCAATATTTCAAGAATAGGTTTACATATTCCTGTATGCACCAAATTTAACATACAGTTAGGCTACTATCTATTTTTAAAGTTTTAATTTTTGTGCTTATGTAATAGGTGTATATATTTAGGGGGTACGTGTGACATTTTGATACAGGCATACAATGCATAATAATCACATCAGGGTAAATGGAGCATCCATCATATCAAGCATTTATACTTCCATTGTGTTACCAACAATCCGATTATACCTTTTTAGTTATTTTTAGATGTACAATAAATTATTGTTGACTGTAGTCACCTGTTGTGCTGTCCAGTGCTAGATCTTTTTTTTTTTTTTTTTTTTTTTGAGATGGAATCTTGCTCTGTCACCCAGGCTGGAGTCCAGTGGCTCGATCTTGGCTGACTGCAAGCACCGCCTCCCAGGTTCACACCATTCTCCTGCCTCAGCCTCCCGAGTAGCTGGAACTACAGGCACCCACCACCACACCTGTCTAATTTTTAGTATTTTTTAGTAGAGACGGGGTTTCACCATGTTAGCCAGGATGGTCTCGATCTCCTGACCTCATGATCTGCCCGCCTTGGCCTCCCAAAGTGCTGGGATTACAGGCGTGAGCCACCGCACCCGGCCCAGTGCTAGATCTTATTCTATCTAAATATATTTTTGTACCCATCCCCATTCCCTCACCACTACCTTTCCCAGCCTCTGGTAACCATCATTCTGCTCTCTACCACAATGAATTCAATTGTTTTAATTTTTAGCTCCTACAAATAAATGAGAGCATATGAAGTTTGTCTTTCTGTGCCTGACTTATTTCACTTAATATAATGACATCCAGATACATCCATGTTATTGCAAATGATAAGATCTAATATTTTTCAATGGCTGAGTAGTACTCCATTGTACATAGGTACTACATTTTCTTTACCCATTCGTCTATTAATAGAATCTTAGATTGCTGCCAAATCTTGATGATTGTATTAGAATGGTGCTGTATTAAACATGTGAGTGCAGACATCTCTTTGATACACAGATTTCCTTTCTTTTGGGTGTATCCCTAGCAGTAGGATTGATGGTCCTATGGGAGCATGGGAGCTCTATTTTTAATTGGTTGAGAAACCACTAAACTGTTTTCCAAAGCAGTTTTACTAATTTACATTCCTGCTAACAGTGCACCAGGGTTCCCTTTTCTCCACATATTGACTAGGATTCCGTATTGCTTGGCTTTGGCATAAAAGACATTCTAACACGGGTGACATTATATCTCATTGTAGTTCTGATTTGCATTTCCCTGATGACCAATAATCTTGAGCACCTTTTCAATATACTTGTTTGCCATTTGTAAGCATTATTTTGAGAAATATCTATTCATATCATTTGCTCATTTTTAATTGGATTATTAGGCTTTTTTTTCCTATGAAGTTGTTTGAGCTCCTTATATATTCTGGTTATTAATACCTTGTCAGATGGTTGGTTTGCAAATATTTTCTTCCATTCTGCGGGTTGTCCCTTCACTTTGTTGACTGTTTGCTGTGGAGAAGCTTTTAAACTTGATATGATCTTATTTGTCCATTTTTGCTTTGGTTGCCCATGCTTGTGGGGTATTATTCAATAAATCTTTGCCCAGTCCAATGTCTTGGAGAGTTTTCCCAATGTTTTCTTTTAGAAGTTTCATAGCATGAGATCTTAGATTTAAGTCTTTAATCCATTTTGATTTGATATTTTTATATGGTGAAAGATAGGCATCTAGTTTCTCTCTTCTGCATATGGATAACTAGTTTTTCAAGTACCACATATTGAGGAGAAATTTCATTTGCCAGTGTATGTTCTTGGCATCATTGTCAAAAATGAGTTCACTATGGATGTGTGGTTTGTTTCTGGATTTTTTATTCTATTTCATTCGTCCATGTGTCTGCCTTTATACCAGTACCAGGCTGTTTTGGTTACTATAGCTTTGTAGTATAATTTGAAGTCAGGCAATGTGATTATTTTTCCAGTTTTATTCTTTTTGCTTAGGATAGCTTTGGATATTCTGGCTCTTTTGTAGTTCCATATTAACTTTAGAATTTTTTTTCTATTTCTGAGAAGAACACTATTGGTATATATGATAGAGAATCTATATAAACCTTAGGATTGCTTTTTCTATTTCTGTGAAGAATGCCATTGGTATTTTGATGAAGACTGCATTGAATCTGTTCATATGGAAGCACTATTTTTAGTTGTTTGAGAAAACTCCAAACTGTTCTCCCCAGCAGTTTTACTAATTTACGTATCAAAATACTCATTACATTGAATCTGTACATTTCCTTAGGAAGCATGGACATTTCAACAATATTGATTCTCTAATCTATGAACATGGAATACCTTTCCATTTTTTGGTGTCCTCTTCAATATCTTTCATCAGTGTTTTAAAGATTTGTTACAGAGATCTTTCACTTCTTTGGTTAATTCCTATCTATTTAATTTTATTTGTAGCTATTGCAAATGGAATTTTTTCCTAATATCTTTTTCAGACTGTACACTTTTGGCACATAGAAATGCTATTGGTTTATTATTGTATGTTCATTTTGTATCCTGCAACTTTACTGAATTTATCAGTTCTAACAGTTTTATATAATTTTTTATGTAAGACTTTTGTAGGTACAGAGTAGGTTTATATATTTATGGAGTACATGAGATGTTTTTATAAGGGCATGTAGTATGTACTAATCACATCATGGAAAATGGGATTTTCCTTAAGTATGTGTCCTTTATGTTACAAATGATCCAATAATACTCTTTTATTTATTTTAAAATATACAATTAAATTATTATTGATTGTAGTTACCCTGTTGTGCTATCAAATACTAAGCCTTATTCATTCTTTCTAACAATATTTTTTTGTATTTGTTAACCATCCCTACCTTGCCCCCAAGGCCCACAACCCTTCCCAGACTCTGGTAACCATCCTTCTACTCTCTATTTCCATGGTTTCAATTGTTTTGATATTTTGATCTCACAAATAAATGAGAAAATGTGATGTTTGTCTTACTGTGCCTGGCTTATTTCACTTAAAATAATCACCCTCAGTTCCATCCATGTTGCAATTACTGAATCTCATTTTTTAATAGTTGAATAGTACTCTACCATGTATAAGTACATTTTCTTTATCCATTCATATATTGACAGACACTTAGGTTGCTTCTAAATCTTAGCTATTGGAAACAGTGCCACCACAAACATAGGAGGTGCAGATATCTCTTCAATATACTGAATTTCTTTCTTTTGGGTATATACTCAGCAGTGGGATTGCTGAATCATATGGTAGCTCAGTTTTTGGTTTTCTGATGAATTTCCAAACTGTTCTTTATAGTGGTTGCACTAATTTACATTCCCACAAACAGTGTACAAGGGTTCTCTTTTCTCCACATACTGCCAGCATTTATTATTATTGCCTGTCTTTTGCATATAAGTCATGTTAACTGGGGTGAGATGATATATCATTATAGTTTTGATTTACATTTCTCTGATGATCAATAATCTTGAGCACCTTTTCATGTTTCTCTTTGTGAACTGTGTCTTTTTTTGAGAAATGTCTATTCTTTTTCCTATTTTTAAATTGGATAATTAGACTATTTCCTACAGAGTAATTTGAGTTCCTTATATATTCTGGTTATGAATTCCCTGACAGAAATATTTTCTTCCATTCTCTGGGTTGTCTCTTCATTTTTTGTTGATTATTTTATTTGCTGTGTAGAAGCTTTTTAACTTGATGTGATCCCATTTGTCCGTTTTTGCTTTGTTTGCCTCTGCTAATGAGGTATTACTCAATGTCCTGCAGAGTTTTTCCAATGTTTCCTTTTAGTTGTTTTATAATATGAGAGATCTTAGATTTAAGTATTTAATATATTTGTTTTGAATGTATTTGGTGAGAGATAGGCATCTAGTTTCATTCTTCTGTGTAGGGATATTCAGTTTTCTCCACACTATTTATTGAAGAGACTGTCTTTTATGTTCTTGGCAACTTTGCTAAAAATGAGTTCACTGTAGATGTGTGGATTGGTTTCCAGGTTCTGTATTCTGTTTCATTGGTCTAAGTGCCTGTTTTTATGCCACTTCCATAACATTTTGGTTACTATAGCTCCATGTTATAACTTGAAGTGAAGTAATATGATTCCTTCAGTTTTGTTGTCTTTGCTTAGGATAGCTTTGTGTATTCTTTTGTGCTTACAAATACATTTTTGGATTGTTTTTCTACTTCTGTGAAGAATGTCATTGGTATTTTGATAGGGATTGAATTTAATTTGTAGATTGCTCTGTGTAGTATGGACATTTTAAAAATGCTTCTTCCAATTCAGAAGCATAGAATATTTGTCAATTTTTTTGTGACATGAATTTCATTCATCAGTGTTTTATAGTTTTCATTATAGAGATTTTTTCACTTATTTTGCTAAGTTATTTCTAGGTATTTAATTTTATTTGTGGCTATCGGAAATGGGATTACTTATTTAAATTTTATTTTCAGATTGTTCACTGTTGGCACATAGAAATGTTACTGATTTTTGAATGTCAAGTTTCCATCCTGCAACTTTATTGAATATATTAGTTCTAATATTTTTTGGTGGACTTTAGGTTTTTTGAAATATGAGATTATATAATCTGCAAACAAGAATAATTTGACTTCTTTTCTAATTTAGCTGACCTTTATCTTTTTTTTTCTCTGATTACTCTAGCTAAGACTTCAAGTAACATGTGAAACAACAGTGGTGAAAGAGGGCATTTTTGTTGTGTTGTAGATCTTAGAGGAAAGGTTTTTTAGTTTTTCTCCATCCAGTACGATACCAGCTATGAGCCTGTAATGTATGGCTTTTCTTATGTTAAGTTATGTTCCTTCTACTCAGTTTTTTAAGCGTTTTTACCATGAAGAGATGTTGAATTTTATCAAATGCTATTGTAGCATCAATTGAAATGATTATATGGTTCTTGTCCTTCATTCTGTTGCTATGAGGTATTGCATTAATTAATTTGCCAAGTTAAATCATCCTTGCATCCCAGGGATAAATCTCACTTGCTCATGATGAATGATATTTTTAATGTTATTGTTGAATTTGGTTTACTAATATTTTGTTGAAGATTTTTACATCAATATTTGTCAGGGATATTGACTTGTAGTTTTCTTTTTTGTTGTTGTTGTGTCTTTGTCTAATTTGGTAACTGGCCTCATAGAATGAGTTTGGAGATATTCTCTCCTGTATTTTTTAGAATGATTTTGAGTAAGATTGGTATTCATTCTTTTTTAATGTTTGGTAGAATTCAGCAATGAAGTCATCAGTTGCTAGCTTTTCTTTACTGAGAGATATTTTATTATGGCTTTAATCTCATTACTTATTATTGGTCTGTTCAGGTTTTGGATTTCTTCATGGTTCAATCTTAGTAGGTTTTATGTGTCTAGGAATTTGCCCATTTCTTTTAGATTTTCCAATTTATTGGCATATAATTGCTCATGGTAGCCACTGATGATCCTTTGAATATCTGTGGTATCAGTTGTAATGTCTCCTTTTTCAACAATTATTTTATTCATTTGAATCTCCTTTCTTTTTTTTCTTATTTAGTCTGTCTAAAGGTTTGTCTATTTTGTTTAACTTTTCAAAAAATTGACTTTTTGTTTCATTGATGTTTTGGATTTTCTTCATTTCAATTTTATTTATTTCTGCTCTGATCTTTATTGCTTTTTTCTTCTACTAATATTGGGCTCGGTTTTCTCTTGATTTTCTAGTTCTTTGTGGTGCATTGTTAAATTGTTTATTTAAAGTTTTTCTTCTTTTTTGATATAGGCACTTAGAGCTGTAAAATCCCTTGTTATTACTGCTTTTGACATATCCCATAGGTTTGGGTATGTTTTGTTTCCATTACCATTTGTTTTAAGAAATTTTTCAACTTCCTTCTTAATTTCTTCATTGATCCATTGGTCTTTCGGGAGCATATTGCATAATGGCCATGTGTTTGTTTGGTTTCCAAAATTCCTCTTGTCATTGAGTTCCAGTTTTATTCCATTGTGGTCAGAGAAGATGCTTGATATTATTTAAATTATTTTGAATGTTTTGAGACTTGATTTGTGACCTAATATATGATCTACTTTTGAGAATGATTCATGTTCTAACAGAAAGAATGTATATTCTTGAGCCATTAAAGAAAATGTTCTGTAAATATCTCTTAGAGCCATTTGGTCTATAGTGCAAACTGAGTCTGATGTTTCCTTGTTGAATTTTTGTCTGGAAGATCTGTCTAATAGTGAACTTGGAGTGTTGAAGTTTACAGCTTTAATTGTATTACAGTATTTCTCTTTAGCTTTATTATTATTTACTTTATATATTTGGATGCTCCAGTGATGGGTGCATATATATTTAAAATTGTATATCCTCTTGCTGAATTGACCTCTTTATCATTATATAGTGGCCTTTGTTGTCTCTTCTTATAGTTTTTGTCTTGAAATCTATTTTTTTCTGATATTCCAATAGTGAGTACTGCTCTCTTTTGGCTTTCGTTGGCATGGAATCTCTATTTCTTGATTTTCAGTCTACTTGTGTCCTTTTGGGTAAAGTGTGTTTCTAGTAGGCAACAGATCAATGGGTTTGCTTTTTCATCAATGCAGCTACTCTATGTCTATTGATTGGAGAATTTGGTCTCTTTACATTCAGTGTTGTTACTGATAAGTAGAAACTTATTCCTGCCAATTTCTTATTTGTTTTCTTGTGGTTCTGTGATCTTGTCTCCCTTCTATCTTTCTCTTCTGCCTTCCTTTAGTGAAGGTGATTTTCTCTGTTGATATGATGTAGTTTCTTCCTTTTGAGTGTGAGTGTGTCAGTCTGTTTTTTTGGTTAGAGATTCCCATTAAGTTTGCAAATACTATATTCTAACCCATTATTTTAAGCTGATTGTATCTTAACACTGTTTGCATAAACAAACAAACAAAAAGAAAGAAAACTAATAAAGACTCTATGCCTTTATCTCATCCTTATGCTTTTTAGTTTTGTTTTTTACTATTTATATCTTCTTATACTGTCTATATCTTGTAAAGTTGCTGTAGATATTATTTTGAATTGGTTCATTGTTTAGTCTTTCTACTTCAGATAAGAGCAGTTTACGTACCACAATTACAATGTTATAATATTCTGTGTATTTCTCTGTACTTATGGTTACCAGTTAATTTTGTACCTTCGGATGATTTCTTGTTGCTCATTAAAGTCCTTTTCTTTCTGGTTGTAGTACTCCCTGTAACATTTCTTATAGGACAGATCTGGTGTTGCTGAAATTCTTAGCTTTTTTTTTTTTCTTTTTTGTAGAAGTTTTTATTTCTCCTTCATGTTTGAAGGAGAATTACATATATGTAATTCTGGGATAAAAGTTTTTCTTCATTCAGCACTTTAAATATGTCATGCCACTCTCTCCTGGCTGTAAGGTTTCCACTATAAAGTTTGCTGCCAAACATATTGAAGATCCATTGCATGTTGTTTCTTTCCTTTTTTTATCCTTCACCTCAGGGAATTTGATTTTTAAATGCCTTAATGTGGTCTTCTTTGGGTTAAATCTTCTTGGTGTCCTATAATGTTCTTGTACTTGGATATTGATACCTTTCTTTAGGCTTTGGAAGTCCTGTGTTATTATTTTTTTGAGTAGACTTTCTATGCCATCTCTTTCTCTACCTCCTCTTTAAGTCCAATAATTCTGAGATTTACTCTTTTGAGGCTATTTTCTAGATCCTGTACATGTGCTTCTTTTTTATTATTATTATTTTGTCTCCTCTGACAGTGTATTTTTAAATAACCTGTCTTCAAGCTCACTAATTCTTTTTTCTACTTGATCAATTCTGCTATTAAAAGACTGATATAGTCCTCACAATGGCAATTGCATTTTTCAACTCCAGAATTTCTGCTTGACTCTTTTTAATTATTTTAATCTCATTGTTAAATATAACTGATAGAATTCTGAATTTCTTCTCTGTCTTATATTTATCTGAGGATTTTTTTTTTTTTTTATGGAATCTCACTCTGTTGCCAGGCTGGAGTGCTGTGGCACGATCTCGGCTCACTGCAACCTCTGACTCCCTGGTTCAAGCAATTCTCCTGCCTCAGCCTCCCGAGTAGCTGGGATTACAGGCATGCGCCATAACGCCCAGCTAATTTTTGTATTTTTAGTAGAGACGGAGTTTCACCATGTTGGCCAGGATGGTCTTGATCTCCTGACCTCATGATCCCCCCGCCTCGGCCTCCCAAAGTGCTGGGATTAGAGGCGTGAACCACCGTGCCTGGCCTATTTGAGTTTTTTAAAAACAGCTATTTTGAATTCTCTTTCTGAAAGCTCATATATCTCTGTTTCTCCAAAATTGGTCCCTGGTGACTTATTTAGTTTATCTGGTGAGGTCATGGTTTCCTCAATCATCTTGATACTTGTAGATGTTCTTTGGTATCTGGGCACTGAATAATTGGGTATTTATTATAGTCTGTGTAGTCTGGGCTTGATTTTACCCATTCTTTAGGGGAAGGGTTTCCAGATATTCAAAAGGACCTAGGTGTTGTGATCTGAGCTGCATCTGTTTATTAGAGGACCCCAAGCCCAGGAATACTGTGGTTCCTTCAGACTCACAGCACACTGCCTTCATAGTCTTGGAACATACCTGAAATAATTCTCTGGATTACCAGGTAGAGACTCTTGTTATCTTCCTTTACTTTGTTCCAAACAGATTTTCCCTTTCTCTGTTTTAAGCCACCTGGAGGTGGGAGTGGGGTGACACAAGCACCACTGAAGCCACCACCCCTAAGACTGTTCTGGGTTAGACATGAAGCCAGCACAGCACTAAGTCTCACTCAAAACCTGCTATAACCACTCCCTGGCTACTACCTATGTTTGCTCAAAGCCTTAGGGCTCTACAATCAGCAGGTGGCAAAGCCAGCCAGACCTATGTCCTTCCCTTCAGGGTGGTAATTTCCACCAAGCCCCAGGTGGATCCAGGAGTGCCATCCTGGAGCCAAGGACTAGAGTCAAAAACCTCAGAAGTCTACCTGGTGTTCTATTGTACTGTGGCTGAACTGGCACTCAAACCAGAAGACACAGTTCTTCCTACTCTTCCCTCTCTTTCCAGAGGTAGAGGAACCTCACCCCATGGCCACAACCATCTCAGGCTCATGGGGAGTACTGTAAGACCACTGCTGATGTTTCCTTACAGCCCAAGGGCTCCTCAGTCAGCATGTGGTGAATGCTCCCTGGCCTGTGACTCACTTTTCAGTGGAGTGGGCTCCGTTCTGGCCCAGGGCAAATCCAGAAATGCCATCCAAGAGCCAAGTCCTGGAATCAAAGACTTCAAGAACCTGTTTTCTGCTCTACACCCCTGTGGCTGAGCTGACCCCTAAGGTGCAAGACAAAGCCCCCTTTACTTTTTCCTCCACTTTTCTCAATCAGTGGGAATGTTGCCCTGTAGCCACCATACCTGGTAATGTGCTGAGTCTCACCTGAAGCCAGCAAGTCTTAGAGTCTCACTAAGGCCCTTGACATAGCACCTAGGTATTGCTGTTGGTAATTCAGGGCTCAAGGGCTATTTAGTTAGTGGGTAATAAATCCTGTCGGGACTGAGTCCTTGCCTTCAAGGCAGTGTGTTCCCTTCTGTCCAGGGTGTGCCTAGAAATGTTATCTAGGAGCTACGGCTTAGAAAGGGGGCCTCATGACTCTTACTGGTGCCCTATTATGCTGTGGCCTACACTGCCTTTTTAAGTTTATTTAGAGCCCCAGAGCACTTTAGCCCAAAATGGCAAGGCCTATGGAAACTCAAGTTCCAACCACTGAGATCAATGATTCACCTCTGGTTAGGGCTAGTTTAAATGCTCCCCTCATGGGCTGGCATCAACTGAATTTGGTCTGGTTTTTTCTTTCTGCTGTAACAAGGGGAACATTCAGTTCAATGCCAGACAATTACTGGCTCTCCCTCTCCTCCTCCCCGGGGCAGAGAAATGCTCTCCCCAACAAGATGCTGCTGGAGAGGTGGAGGAGTAGTGACATAAGTGATTCAAGACAGTATTTCCTACCTCTTCATTGCCTCTTTCAGGTGTATGAAGTTAAAACCAGGTACTACAGTGCTTACCCGATTTCTGTTCTTGTGTGTTTGTGTGTGTGTGTGTGTGTGTGTAGACAGCTGTTAAATTGGTGTTCCTGTGTGAGGGATGATATTGGAGACTTCTATTCCACCATCTTTCTCCATTTTTTTAATACTCTAAGTTTTTGCAAATATAAGATTATATCACCTTCAAACTGGGAAAATTTGACTTCTTTTTTTCCCAGTTTGGATGACACAAGCACCCTGGTGGCCACCAGTACTGGGAATTCACTGGCTCAGGCCTGAAGCCAGCATAGTATTATCTCTTAACCAAGGCTCCTGATAACCACCACCTAGCTATCACCCATGTTTCCTTAAAGCTCTAGCACTCTACAATCAGCCAGTGGCAAAGCCAGCAAGGCTTGTGTGCTTCTCTTCAGCATGGCACATTCCCCCCAGGCCCTGGCAGGATCTATAGATACCATCTGGGAGCCAGGGCCTAGAGTTGGAAACCTTAGGAATCTCCCTTGTGCGCTAATCTACTGTGGCTGAGATGGCACACACCCCTCAAGAAAAAGTTTTTTCTCAGTCTTCTCTCCTCTTTCCACAAACAGAAGAGTCTCTTCCCTATGCTTACCACTGCTCTAGTTCCATGAGTACTGTCTGCCTGCCGCCAATGTTCACTCAAGGACAAAGCCTCTTCAGACAGTTGTGGTGAATTCTGCCAGGCCTAATAGTCTCTGTTCAAGGCAGTGGGCTTTTCTCTGGACCAAGGAAGGTCCAGAGATGCCATCCAGCCATCCAAGAGCCACAGTCTGGAATTAGGGACTCCAAGAGTCCACTTGGTGCTCTACTCCACTTGGCTGAGCTGGTACCTAAACTGCAAGAAAAAAAAAAAAAAAAAAAACCTTTACTCTTCCCTAACTTTTTCTCAAGCAGAAAGAGTCTTCTCATTATAGCTGGGAACGTGCTGGGTCACACCTAAAGCCAGCATATCTCTGAGTCTCACCCAAGGCCCACTGCAAGTAACGCCTGGCTACCACTGCTGATTATTCAGGGTGCAAGGGCTGTTTAGTCGGCAGATAATGAATTCTGCCAGGACTGGCTTCTTCCCTTCAAGGCAACAGATTCCCATCTGGCACAGGGTGTGTCCAGAAATGTCATCTAGGAGCAACGGCAGGAAATGGTACTCTCAGGACTCTGCCAGTGCCCTATCCTACTGTGGCTGAGCTGGTATCCAAATGTCAAGACAAGGTCCTCTTTATTCTTCTCTCACCTCTCCTAACGCTGAAGGAGTCAGCTCTCTCAGTGCTGCAAGCAGTGCTGCCTGGAGTTGCGGAGGGTTGGCACATGCACTCTCCTAGCTGTCCCAGCTGGTGTCTCACTACATCTCATGTTCTCCAAGTCCACTGGCCCTGAGCCCAGCACAGCACCAGAACCTGCCCAGGACCTGCATTCCTGTAGCCTCTACTGCCCTTCAAATTCACTTAGGAACCCAGAGCCCTTCAGCCCACTGTAGTGATGCTTGCCACAACTCAGATTCCTACTGATGGGATGAGTGAACCCCCTCTGGCTAGGGCTGATCTAAAAGCTCCCTCCGTGGGTGTTGACTGAGTTCTGCTCAGTGTTGCTTTCCACTGTGACAGGGCAGGACTGAGTATTAATGCAGAGTCCCACAATCATTGTGATCTCCTTCCTACAAGTGGAAAAATTCTTTTTTCAGGCCTCACAACTGTTTCTAGAGGATGGGGGAGGAGTGGCATTAGAAATTTAAGACTGTCTTTCCTGCTATCTTTAGTGCCTCTTTCAGTGATGTGAATTTAAGACTCTGTGATTACTCATCTGATTTTTGGTTCTTATAAGGGTACTTTTTTGGGTGATCAGTTGTTTAATTTGGTGTTCCTGTGCAGAGGACGAGTGGTAAAGGCTTTATTTATCCATCTTGCTCTGCTGCTTCCCCTAGTTTCTTACTCTTAAATATAGATAGGGACAGTTTTAATTTGATCTTTCTTTACAAGGGAAATATAACAAAGCATTACAGAAATATAACAAAGTATTGCAAGTATTAATTTTTATACTCATAGGCCATTTGTAGTACAAATAATGCTAAGATGATCCGGAAAATAATCAGAAAGTTATGAATTTTGTTTAACAATGTATATGTCTTATTTACATGAATTTATGTAACATATAACTTATCAATATGCAAAAATAATTAAGTAGCACAATATTTTAAGAAAAAATACTGAAAAACTTGTATAAAAATGTGTCAATTTCTTGCCATCACCATCACATTCCAGAACAAACTCACCTAAATGAATGCTTATCATTATCTCTCATTAAACCTATATGCTTAAACTGTGCTTCTGCGATACATATAGTCTTTTTGTTTTTTAAAATTTTTTGGTTTTTTTTGAACCTTGAGTATTTCTTACCTTTTCATTATATTTCTCTCTCTCTCTCTCCTCTATTTTTTTTAATATGTATCAATACCCCATAAAATAATGAATGGGGCTAAACCTTATAATGAGTTAGTATAAAAGATTTTATCTTTTGGGATCCTTACTGTTCTATCTTTTGTAGATGCTGAAGAACGATACATTTCTTTAGCTTGTTAAACTGACTGTAAGTAGTAATGTTCTAGATGGGCTTGCTGAGTTGCAATCCACTAAAACAGAAAAAAAATTAAGATTTTTTTTTCTTATCTTAATTTTCCTGTACCAAAACTGCTATAACCTATAGATTAGTTTTTGTTGAGACCCAGAAATTTATAAGTTCATTTTCAGTATCTCCAATATCAAAATCTGATCATTATTCACCTATTTATTTGATCTGGTTAAGGTCTGTTTGCATTTGAAAAATCAACAACTGAGAAATATGTTTCTTATGTATGTTTCAGATGGGAAGTGATAAGATCTGAATACAGTCTTTAAGAGTGAAAATCTGCAGCACCACATCCATCTTTCAATTAGGTGCCAAGCATCTAATATGAGGTCTCTGGGTGTGAAAAACAAAAACAAAAACAGCTTTTCTGTCCAATAGTCTGTGGTAGCTTTGGAAACATGAAGTAGGGCAGGATTTCAAAACCTTTCCTTGGCACTATTGATATTCTGGGCTGTATAATTCTTTATTTTAGGGACTATCCTGTGCAATATAAATATTTCATCATATCCCTGGCCTCTACTCACAAAATGTCAGTAATACTCTAACCCTACACTCAAGTTGTTCTAGCTGTGGCAACCAAATATGTCTCCAAATATTGCCAGATATCTCCAAGAGTAGGATTTTTAGGCAAAACAACCCAGCTGAAGTAGAATAATAAGATTGCTAGTTTTATGACCATGTTTACTGTTAATATAAGGAATTCTTTGGTTTGCACATAGCAAAATCCAGTGAATGAGAAATAAATTATTTCTGATGAATGTGAAAAATGGTAACAATTTATATAAGACAAATTGGGCAACTATACGTTTTCAGGGTTCTTTCTCTTTAAAAGTGTTTTTGTTTTTCTTATAGGTTTTGCACATACGTTTATTTTTATGTGAATTGAAATTGCTGGTAGTTGTCTGTTATCTGTAAAGAAGAAAAGCTTTTACCCCTTTCACAAAGAAGAAGTTTAATTAGCCAATTACAATGCTGTGTTTATAATTGCAATAATATGTAACTGTGAACAGAGTTGGAGGAAATTCTCGGAAATTATCTAATCATCCAAATCTGTCATTCATGCATTCTACAGAAACAAGTTATTTTAAATAGATTGATCTTTAATCATAGATAAGAAAGAAAATATAAATACTAAGGTAGCAACTACCTTCCTCCATTTTTTTTCTTTCTTCCTTCTCCTCCTGCTTACTCTTTTTCTTTTAAATATTGAACTGCTCAAAACTCTCTTTGGGAAAAGTATGGATCACAGATGTGATTTCTGTTTGTTCTTCCACCCCATCCCACTCTCCTCCCACCGGCACAATTTCAACCTTGGCAAAATAAACCTCAAAATTAACTGAGACTTGCCTCAGTTATTATTATTATTATTGTTCCTTTACATAATGCATTTTAATATGTGATTAATAAATATAAAAGAAGTGAAGCAAATGCCCTTGGTTATTGATATTGTAAGGAATAGGTAACTGGTTTACGCTAATATCACCACAATGAACAACAACCATATTACTGGAGTAGGCAACTGACTCAAGAACTTAAGGACTATTTTCCCCGAAGAGATGACTTTGTAAAAGCAGTCTTGTAGCAAAAGATCTAATGGATTTTGAATTGATTATATATTAAATTGATTATATAAAATTATTTGTAATTATTTAAGATGGTTTGTTTGTTTGTGTAATATATAATTTCCTCTTTTTTTTTTTTTGGAGCTTAGATTTTCTTCAGTCTTTAAAGACTCAGCTTCTTATATGGGCTTTGGTAGAGGTTATGAGGTAGCACCCACAGGTCTAACTTAAGGCGAGACATGTTGGTTCTTTCCTGGCTTCACAAGAATGGTTACTGACTACTGTTGAGGCTAAAGCAACTCCATCTTGGATGGTAATTCATGTTGACTTCTGATTAACTCCAGTTGCAGGAATGTCTCTAAGATTTATACTTTTTTTACTGTCCCTTGTGGAAAAGCACTTACTGTAACTCTTACCCTTAGATCAAAACAACATTTATGTTATAAACATGTACTTAACATCAATCCTGCCCTTAGGCAAATTATAGCCAAAAAAGCATATTTCATTCTTGCCTTTCCCTGAAGGGTAAACTTCAATTGTGCTATATGTTCCTTCTGAAGCATGATACCCTTTCCCTGTGATATATAAGCCCTGGGTATAGGGGGTAACAGTGCAGAGATCTACCTGTCTTGCAGCTGCTGAAGACAACGCTTCTGTCCCTAACTTCCCCAATAAATTGCCTTTTGCTGACTAACTTGATTTATCTACTTCATTCTTTGATTTCTCAAATCCTTCTGCATTTGGGGATTGGTTTGCACATACAGGCCTTTCACAAAACAACCTTGCTATAAATGGCATAACTTATACAATAATATAGTGTCATAGCTTGGGAAGCACACAGGCAACAAAGACACTGACCTTGGGGAATTGAAGGCTGTGGTCTCTACTGTATTTCAAATAACAAACATTTTTCCATGCTACCTTTTTTTTGTTGATACATACAATTTTGCATATTTATGTAAAATATGATATTTTTATTTGCATAGAATGTGTAATGATCAAGTCAGAATATTTGAGATGTCCATCACTTGGAGTATTTGTCATTTCTAGGTGTTGAGCGACTGAATGGCCACATCCTCTGGCATACAGCAGACAGGGTATGTGTAGCAAGTGGGCTTCACATGGCCACCACCCTTTTCGGTATGACCATGTTCTTTTCCTTGTCACATAAAAAGCAAGGACTCAAGAAATAATCTTATATTACTTTAAATACTTTATTTTCTGATGAGCATTTAACAAAAATATTTCTTGTCTTTCATCTGAATTTAACAGATGCAGTGTAAAAACTAGAGTAAAACCCTCTTCAGATGATACTGTGTTTAATCGTATTTCTCAAGACTTGTGAAATATGAGAAATATTAACATAGATTATAAGAAAACATTCAGTGAATATGAAAAAATGACTCAGAATATAGAAATAATTTTACTTATTTCATCTGCCAACGTTTCCAAGCAATGACCAATAACATATATAAAGATTTAAGTCAGATTAAACATATGTAAATAAGTATATTGTCATGAAAATAAGTCTGAAGTGGTCAGATCTCTTGAGCCCTAGAGGTGGAGGTTGCAGTGAGCTGGGATCACACCATTGCTCTCCAGCCTGGGTGATGGGAGTGAAACCCTGTCTCAAAAGGAAAGAAAAACCCTCATTTCCACCGTCATGCAACTGAATAACCATAATTTACATATACACATATATATATTCCAGTAATGCTAATTTAAATATACTTCTCTGATACAGTTCACTATTCAATTACAATTATTATACTTCTTTTGTGAAAAAGATGCTTACAAAATCTTCTGATGTAATTAATGTTATGCTTTTCTAGTGCTTGTGTAATCCTAGCCTTAGACCAGGTAAATGACTTTAATTCCAGCTTTGTAAAGGCCCAAGACATAAGTTAACCATCTAACCTCATACCCTGTGCTTTTAAATTTATTGACAATGCAGCAAAAATGTGCTGTGGTTTGAATGTTCCCTCCAAAACTCATGTTGAAATGTAATTATCAATGTAATGGTACTGGGAAGTGGAAGCTTTAAAAATGGTTTCATGCTGTTCTTGTGGAGTGGGTTAGTTACACTAACAGTGAGCTCCTGACAAGAAAGATGAGCTTGGCCTGATTTCTCTCGTCTTGTGAGCTCACTTATGCCTTATGCCCTCCTACTATGAGATGACCTTTCTTAGATGTCCATACCATGCTCCTAGACTTCCCAGTCTCCAGAAATGAGTAAAATAAATTTCTATTATTTGCATATTACCCCATCTCAGGTATTCTGTTGTAGCAGTAGAAAACAGAATAAGACAAAATGTTAGCTAATACAACTTTGGAAGCTATGTAAATAAATTAGTCAAATAGAATATAATATACACATATACTGTCATAAATTCACAGACTACCTACTACTGAATTAGTATTAATTGTACAAATATTGATGGTAATTTTGATTTCACATTGTGGAAGAAAAACAAAGTCTTGGGACCCTCGAACTTACTATACCAAAAGAAAAGCGTGAGAACTGAGTTATGAAAAAACAAAACAAAGCAAAACAAAAAACTGCCTTCTTTCTTTTTTCCAAACAGACAGCTACAATGATAGAAAGTCACATATCTCTCCAGGTCACTTTCCTCACAAATTGCTCATCAGAAAATTCCTTGTGGGCCGCCAAATTTTTTAGAATACAGATTCTTCTGTGAACTAACCCTAAAACAGAGTACTGTTGAATCTCATCTTGACAATATAAATTAACAGCTTATCTTCTTAGGAACAGGACAAAGACAAAACTAGAAATCATATTTCACTCCTTCCTCCATGTTTTCTTTATCTTATGTAAAATGCAGATTTACTGAGCATGAAGCAAATGCATAATTGATTATTCCTCTACCCTTTCCTTTCACATGTAAAATATGAATTCACTGAGCACTAATCAAAGCCTTACAAGAATGTAACCACTTGCCTCATTGCCTACCTTCCCCCAATTTTTTTCTTTCTTCCTTCCCCTCCTGCTTACTGTTTCTCTTTTGAATATTGAAGTGCTCAAAACTCTCTTTGGGAAAAGTATGGATCACAGATGTGATTTCTGTTTGTTCCTCCACCCCATCCCACTCCCCTCCCCCAGGCACAATCTCAACCTTGGCAAAATAAACCTCAAAATTAATTGACACTTGCCTCAGTTATTATTATTATTGTTGTTGCTTTGATTTACAAGTTGTAGGCTATCATTTGAATCTATGTCAAATTTCCATTATCTGTAAAAATGGGTAGGAAAAGGTAAGCTAGAAATCTTTCAAATGATCTTAGCACAAACACAATAAACCTACTCTATTTGTGACTAGAAATAGTGTTCAGAGATTATTTTAAACCACAGGTTTGACCATTCAGGATAGATATCAATTCTTGGGGTAAAAAGTCAGAAATGTGAATATGCGACATTTTTCTCATGCTGCCTCATTTTCTAATAAGCCCCTCAAAATGTCATCTGACTCTAAAGAAATACATCAATTTTGAGTATTTAGTTATTATGAGGCCTGTGTTTTAAACTATCTAAAGATAAAAGTTAATTTAAGACAGCTTATGAGGTCTGCTCATTTTTTCTTTCCAACATAGAAGATAACCAAGATGTTAGATTTTTGTTATCCATAACACATTAACAAGGTTTTGTGAACCAAAAAGTATCTGAGACAGGTCTCAGTCAATTTAGAAAGTTTATTTTGCTAAGGTTAAAAACATGCACCTTTCTTCTGGGCGTGGTGGCTCATGCCTGTAATCCCAGCCCTTTGAGAGACCAAGGCGGGTGGATCACGAGGTCAGGAGATTGAGACCATCCTGGACAATATGGTGAAACCCTGTCTCTACTAAAAACACAAAAATTACCTAGGTGTGGTGGTGTGTGCCTGTAATCCCAGCTACTCAGGAGGCTGAGGCACAAGAATCACTTGAACTCAGGATGCTGAGGTTGCAGTGAGCCGAGATCACACCACTGCACTCCAGTCTGGTGACAGAGCGAGACTCCGTCTCTAAACAAACAAACAAAAACAATAAAACAAACAAACAAAAATCAAAAAACCGTGCACCTTTCGAGAAGGTAGACGCAGGTCTGTACGTTTTCTAAAGATGATTTTGAGGGCTTCAATATTTATAGGGAAAATGGTGGATATTGGGGAAAGAGGAATAAATTTTTAAAAGGTGTAGGTAGGTAAGAGACAAACAGTTGCACTATTTTGAGTCTTTGATCAGCCTTTCACTGAATATGCAATTTACAAGTTAGAGAGGGGTAGAAGTGTCTGCATTTTTGCATCAGAAGAAGCAATCAGATAACAATTTGTCTCAGGTGAGCAGAAGGATGACTTAGAGCTCTGTCTTTCCTTTGTCCTGCACCTGTGAAGATATGCCATCAATTTACATTGTCAGGGTGAAATTCAGCGAACCATTTTAGAGTAAATATCTTAGGGCCCACAAGGACTTTCCTAGAGGACAAATTGTGAGGGAGGTATTCAGCTCTTCTTCTTTTCCTTTGTAGCTATTTTATTTAGGAAGAAAATGGGGTGTAGGTTTGCCTGACAGTTTCCAGATTGACTTTTTCCTTTGGCTTAGTAATTTGGGGATCCTGAGATTTATTTTCCTTCCACAATTTATATCTAAATTAGGATTGGGAGACAATAATCCATGGGTCTTCTACACTTCTGCACATTTTGAGAGGAAGGTACCCTTTGTACCAGACTATCTTTTCCAGAGATTTGTATAGTAAACAGAATTAGACAATAAAGTGTCTTCCTCAGGAGTAAAGATGAGTCATGACTACTGACTTTTATCAAAGAATTTGATATAACCAAATTCAGAAACATGCATTCCTCTTTATAAAGGTGTCATGGAACCAAGACTACCTTCAGGTTCTCCTTAGCTTGATTAAATTTTCCACAGCTTTCTTCCTGACTCTACACCCCTGGCCTCACTTATTTTTAGAAAATTTATATTAGAAAATGTGTAGTTATAAATTATTTTTTGTCTCCTTTGAGATGTAAATCTTCACCCCTCCCAACCTCCCCATCCCCCACTCTGTTGGGAACAAGCCCCCAAAAATCTGGCCATAAACTGGCCCCAAAAATGGCCATAAACAAAATCTCTGCAGCACTGTGACATGTTCATGATGGCCATAACGCCAACGCTGGAAGGTTGTGGGTTTACCGGAATGAGGGCAAGGAACACCTGGCCCACCCAGGGCGGAAAACTGCTTAAAGGCATTCTTAAGCCACAAACAATAGCATGAACGATCTGTGCCTTAAGGACGTGCTGCTGCTGCAGTTAAGTAGCCCAACCTATTCCTTTAATTTGGCCCATCCCTTCGTTTCCCATAAGGGATATTTTAGTTAATTTAATATCTATAGAAACAATGCTAATGACTGGCTTGCTGTTAATAAATACGTGGGTAAATCTCTGTTGGGGCTTTCAGCTCTGAAGGCTGTGAGACCCCTGATTTCCAACTTCACACCTCTATATTTCTGTGTGTGTGTCTTTAATTCCTCTAGCACTGCTGGGTTAGGGTCTCCCCCACGGAGCTGGTCTCGGCACCCCTCACCATCCCCCCAATGCCCGTCCGTCCCTTTCCCCCTCCCACCCCCACCCCTCCTGTTCCCCCCCGCCCCTGCCTCTTGCTAGTTTTGCCTAGGAATGTCTTTTTTTTTTTTTTTTCAAATGGAGTCTTGCTCTGCCTTCCAAGCTGGAGTGCAGTTGCATGATCTCGGCTCACTGCAACCTCCGCCTCCCGTGTTCAAGAGATTCTCCTGCCTCAGCCTCCCGAGTGGCTGGGATTACAGGCACACATCACCACACCACGCTAATTTTTGTATTTTTAGTAGAGACAGGAGTTTCACAATGTTGGTGAGGCTGGTCTTGAACTCCTGACCTCAAGTGATCCGCCTGCCTCAGCTTCCCAACGTGCTGGGATTACAAGCGTGAGCCACTGTGCCTGGCAAGGAACATCTTATAAGAAAGTGACAGCCATCCGTTTTAAATATAATCATTAGGAAATATAGTAGCCTTGTCTCTGTAGAAGGGTAGGAGCCAAACTCAGATAAGCACAAATTAACAAACACAGATGGCTTAATCACATTAAACACCTCTCTGATAATGTCTCCATTACTTTTCTACTAACTCACTATAGTGCTTTAAAACTATTCTTTCCTTTTTTCAGTGAAGTTGGGGTCAGTCTGTTTCCTTTATCGTTATAATCTTGCTACTTTTCCTAATTTCTTGCCTACGGATTGTGTGAAGTGGTTCTTTCGGCTTCACAAAGAGGAATGCACAGAAGAAACCCTTTGACTTCTAGACGGCAATTTGCTTGAAAATGACTTTTCCTACTGCTAACGCAATAGTCTTAAATAAAGTCTACCTTGTTTGTTCAATCTGTCTAGTACAACAATTTTTTTGACATATTCCAATAACCTGTAGGTATTAGAGATCATGGAACTGAACGAAAGTAAAAACAAAAACAAAAATGCTGTACTCTGATTATTTATATTGCTCTGATTAACTGTCCTCTGTCTCTGACCCAGGAATCTCGTGTGTTCTACAAGTATCCATGAAACTGTGTCAAGCCTGAAAGTAGTATAAAATTCTCACACTTTTCACAGTTCTTGAAACTAACAATCTTATTTCAGCACTATGTAAGTCTCAGTTTCTCATATTAAATTTTAATAAGCCCTGCCATTCTGCTGGTTCTCTCATTAGTGTGTTAAATGTGACATTGACATATACTGATTATCTAGCTGTATGACAATGAGAATTTTAACAATTTAAAAACTAGTGCCCTTTTTATAGTGTTAATATGCCAATGTCCACCTCTCATTTTCAACAACGCAGTTCATATTATAGGACATTATTTTAAAGTGTATAGCTATTTATATGTCATAGATATGGTGAAAATTCAGTTCCACTATTGTTTTAGCTAGCTAATTTGTAGGAGGCAAATTGGTATAAGATATTTCACCATACCTTATCTCTCTACAAGTAGTGATTTCCTACTGTTTTCATTAAGCATTAAAAAGATATAAGATTATTCTTCTTTATACTAAGTCAGCAACTTGATTTTTTAGTTGTTGAAACATTTTTGCCAAACGCATTTGTGTGTGTGTGGAGGCATGATCAGGCAATGACTGTTTACTGAGTGCGTACTATTTATTGAGCTAGGCATTGAGAATATTTTAATGAAAAAGGAAAATGTAGTTAGTATGTTAATTAAATTTAACAGTATGTAGATATTTAATTTTGTATGGAGTCAATAAATGTGTTTAAAAATGTAAATGATAAAGGATAAAATAGCTTAATTTTTTTCTTAATATAATCTGGCTCATTTTGGCAAGGAGTCCAGCTGGTGAACATTGCTATAGGGATAAATATAGTTAGGATGAAAACAAATCCTTATTTTGTTCAAACAGCATATTAAAAAAAATTATAGCAATTCTGCACAATATCTCCCAGAAAATAGAAGCGAAGAAACAATTCCTAAATCACTCTATTAGGCTAGCATTACCCTACTACCAAAACCAGATAGAAACATTACAAAAATAAATACAACCAATATTTCTTCTCTTATAGCCATGGATGCCAAAGCAATAAGCAAACACAAACACAAGAACAAAAAAACACTTAAACAAAATGTGAGATAATTCTGTCTAACAATGTACAACATTAATTATTCACCACGACTAAGGGAGATTTATTACAAATATGCAAACCTGATTTCACATGGCCAAAAAAAAAAAATCAATACAATCTAACTCATAAACTAGATAAAGAAGAAACATTTATGGTCACATTGATTCATAGAAAGCATTTAATGAAATTGAATAATTTTTTCAAAAAAATGCTCAACAAACTAGGAACATAGGAAAACTTCCTAAACTTGATACAGCACACCTACAGACATTCTATAGCTAACATAGTTAATGCTGAGGAACCAGAGATATTCCCCTAAGGTCATGAACAAGGCAAGAATATTTTCTCTTACCATTCGTATTCAAGCTCATATTGGAAATTCTAGATAGTGCAATAAGACAAGAAAAGGAAATAAGGAGTATGCATATATCAAAGGGAAAAATAATACTGTGCCTGTTTCTAAATCACGCAATTGCCTGTATAGAATACCCCAAACAATGGACAGAAAATACTTAATACTAGTAGAACTGTGTACCATGGACATTGGTTATTTTACAAAACCAAATTATCCTATATATCAGTAATGGACAATTAGAACTTGAAATTTGAAATCACAAAACCATTTATAATATTACAAGAAAATGAAAAACATAGATATTATTCTAATAAATTATGTACAAGATCTGATAAAGGATGTGTGTCCAAACAAAGAACTTTAATTAAAAAATTAGAAAGCAAACAATCCATTCAAAATGGGCCAAATATCCGAAAAGACGTCAACTAAAGAAGATGTGCAAATGACAAATAATTTACAGATCATGAAGGCTAAAATGATCTATATCTGAAAAATGACATTTTGCTTAATATAAATACAGATAGCTTTATATAGAATTACTTATACATATTTGTATATATACAAGTTAGTAGACATGCATATATGTATATATCCATATAAGATTGTCAAGAATGAACCAGTAGCAAAGAGCACACTCAGAGCCCAGATGTTGATTTCTAATACTATTCTTCAGTTAAAGGAACCATACTGAAACATTGTAACACTGTAGTGCTAGAAAGTTAATCAAACAAACAAAACACTATAGGAAAAAATAAAGCTACTGTAATGGGAGTATGTCAAAAGAATACAGTAGCCAAATAAAAGAGCTCAATGGCCAAAGATGAAACCAGTTGAGCAATAAAACAAGTAAAATAAGTAAAGTAGTATTGGGTTACATACCAAAGTATAAAGTATATATTCAAGTATTCATATCAATACAAATAAATGACTGAAAAAATAATAAGGGAAGAAGAGAAAAATCACTTATGCAAAAGAATTCTAAAGAGTACAATTTTTCCAAAAAGTACAGTATGAAAAGAGAAAATAAAATATAGAAGTCTACTGAATAACAGTACTTCAGCTAGTTGACCAAGATTTACATCCACAGTGATAAATCATATCAATAGCATGTACCCTATACTATGATGAGAATGTACTTTCCACTGTGGTCTTCCTCCCAAAAACACATCAACCAAATCTAATTACTAAATAAATAAATAATTAGACAAATTCTGCTAGGGGGACACTCTGCAAAATACTTGACCAATCTTCTTTAAAACTGGCAAGGTCAAAAAAAAAGAAGAGGAAGTCTGAAAAACTCTCACTACCATGAGGAGCCTAGGAATAAATGAAAACTAAAGTCAAAATGGTATCTTACATGGAATTTTAGAACAGAAAAAAGGACTGGAATTATTGACAAAATATAGAATATGGCCTATAATATATAAACATTAATTCCTTAATTGTAAAAAATAAACCATACTAGTATAAGACTGTAATAGCTGGAAAAACAGCATAGGATACATGACAATCTGCTGCACTATTCTTGCATTTTTTTTTCTTTCAAATATGAAACAGTTCTAAAAATAAAGTGTATTAATTGTTTAGGCATGTGTATCAGAAGGTAGCATGGCTAAAGCAGTATAAGAAAATTTTAGTGAAGAAATATGAATATAATAGAAACTTTCCTTTAAGACTAGAAAAATTTTCAACTTATGAATACAAAGAAGGAAACAGACACTAGGATCGACTTGAGTGGGTAGGGATGGAGAAAGGAGAGGAGCAGAGAAGGTAACCATTGGTTACTGGGCTTAATACCTGGGTGATGTAATAATATGTACCACAAACCCCTGTGACAGGTGTTTACCTTTATAACAAACCTTCACAGGTACCCCAAAACCTAAAATAAAAGTTAAACCAAAAAAACCCAAAAAACAAAAAACAACAGCAACAAAAAACAGGCCAAGCGCAGAGTTTCAAGCACGTAATCCTAGAACTTTGGGAAGCAGAGGCAGACTGGTGGATCACTTGAGGCCAGGAGTTTGAGACCAGCTTGGGCAACATGGTTAAACCCTGTCTCTACTAAAAATACAAAAAATTAGCCTGGAGGGTGGCAAGCACTTGTAACTCCAGCTATTTGGGAGGCTGAGGCACAAGAATCGCTGGAACCCAGGAGGCAGAGGTTGCAGTGAGCCAAAATCGCGCCCCTGCACTCCAGCCTGGGTAACAGAGTCAACTGTCTCAAACAAAACAAAACAAAACAAACAAAAAAACCCTTTATTTCTTGCTTGGGTGGGGCTAAAGGACTTGTGTATGGGTGTGGGTGGGTATGTGTGAGTGTGAAACAGAGAAAGGATTCCACAGAAAAATGGACTGGTATTTTGTTTCCAAATGAATATCTTCACAGACAACACAATATATTTTATTGTATTTAAATATCCTCAGGTAACTAGTTCACAAATCAAAGAAGAAGTTGTATTCCTTAAGTAATGTGGAAGTTATCCAACTAAGTGATGATTTATAATATAAATATAATTGATTTGCAAAGAGTTACATTTCTAAAATATATAAGTTTTGGAAATGAAATTATAAATTATGTTAAAGGGAATTGGCTAAATCTGATTACAATGGGAAATTATTTTCTTATTCTCTTTAGATTACCTTTTTATTCATAAATAAAACGATTAAAATGTGCTGATTTTCTAAAATTCCCAGTTTTACTAGCTGTATATAAATAGATATTTCATGCCTTATGTTTATTCAATTTGAAGGTGTTTAAAAATTTCTTATTGTAAATTGACAAATTATGGGGTACAAATGATGTTATGATTCATGAATATAATATGAAATAATTAAATAAAGGTAATTAATATATCCATCACCACAAACACTTGTCTTTTTTTTTGGTGGGAACATTTGAAATTTACCCTTACCAATCTTGAAATGTACAATACACTACTATTAACTATATATACCATGCTGCACAGTAGATCTCAAATAAACAAACCTTATTCCTATAGTCTAATTGAGGTGCTGTAACCTTTGACTACCATCTCATCATTTACCCCACATCCTCAGCTTCTGGTAACTGCCATTCTGTTTTCTTCATTAATAAATTCAACTTTTTTAGATTACACATATAAGCGAGAACATGTGGAATTTGCTGTTTTGTGCCTGACATATTTCACTTAACATAATGTTATCCATGCATATGCACCTTGTCACAAACGACATAATTTCCTTTCCTAAGACTGAATAGTATTCTTTTGTGTATATATGACACATTTTCTTTATCCATTCATCTGTTGATGCACACTTGACTTGATCCTATAACTTGGCTATTGTAAATAGTACTGTGATAAATATGGAAGTGCAGACATCTCATTAACATACAGATTTCAAATCTTTTGAATAAATACCCAAAGGTGGCATTGCTGGATTATATAATAATTCTATTTTTCCATTTTCTGTGGAACCTTAATACAGTTTACCATAATGGCTGTATTAATTTAAATTGCCACCAACAGTATACAAGGGCTCCCTTTTCTCTATATCCTTTTTAACACTGGGTAATTTTTGTCTTTTTGATGATAGCCATTCTGATAGGTGGGAGATGAAATCTTGTAGTTTTGATTTGCATTTCCTTAACGATTAGATATATTGAATTTTTTTTCAAATATCTGTTGGTCATTATATGTCTTTTTCTGAGAAATGTCCATTCAGATCCTTTGCCCATTTTTTTATCCAGATTTGTTTTTGTAAAGAGAGTTATTTGAGTTCCTTATGTATTTTGGACATAATCTCTTATCAGGTCTATGGCTTGCAAATATTTCCACTCAATCTGTATATTGTCTTTTCTATACTTTACTGCTTTTTAATGTTATATGTCCAAATATTTTACTCAGTTAGTTTGTATTGAATATTTAGAAATATAATTATTTCATATTTTTATTTTTTAAAGTGTTTAGATATGTTTTTCAAAAGTTTGAAAATACTTATTAGTTAGCATGAATTATGATAATTGTGTTCATTACAACCACAGTAAAAACACTGAAAAGAAAGAGATGTCCATAGGGACAAAAATTGTAAAAATAGTATATTAACCAATAAAACCAGCAATATAATAAAAGTTAACAGATTATGGACATTAAAATTAAAAATATTGCTTTCATAATGTAATTAAATTTAACAAATAATTAGAAAAATAACAAAAATATGGCTGGGTGTGGTGGCTCATGCTTGTAATCCTAGCACTTTGGGAGACTGAGGTGGGCAGATCACGAGGTCAGGAGTTCAAGACCAGCCTGGCCAATATTGTGAAACCCTGTCTCTACTAAAAATAAAAAATTAGCCGGGCGTGGTGGCATGTGCCTGTAATCTCAGATACTTGGGAGGCTGAGGCAGGATAATAGCTAGAACCTTGGAGGTGGAGGTTGCAGTGAGCCAAGATTGTGCCACTGCACTACAGCCTGGGCAACAGAGCAAGACTCCGTCTCAAAAAAAAAAAAAAAATATATATATATATATATATATATATGACCTCTTCACAGAAAACTACAAAACATCACTAATGAAGACCTAAAAAAATATTAAGACCAATATATTCATATATTGAAGAACTTGGTATTGTGTGTTAATTCTTTTTAAATTAATCTTATTCTAAAAATGTATATCAAAATGCAAATTGCATATAGATAGAGCAGTCTTAAAGACGAATAAAAGCTGAACAATCAAATATCAATTACCATCAAACTATAGTAATTAAAATAATGTGGTATTGGTGTAAGTTTACAGAAACTAAAGTATATAACAGAATACAGATTCCAGAAGTACACTTGCTTATAAGTGACCACCCGATTGGGATCAATATCATATTATCAAGAAGAAAATTATCCTCCCTATCTTACACTATACACACATACACAATTTCAAGTGAATTTCAATGAAAAGGAAAAGAAAATTTAAAGCATTTTGATGACATTAAAGCATACAAAGAAATATGACAAAAATGTACTACTAATAAAAATATAAACTATAAATTGGACCATATTAAAATCAAGAACTTTAGTTCACAAAAGATAGCAATAAGAATAAACAAAACTACTAACAATAGAAAGAGTTACTGGAAATGCATATCTAAGGAAGGACTCAAATCCATAAGACAGATAATTTTTACTAATGACTAAAAATTGAGACAATACAACAGGAGCACTGTTTTATTGTTAGTAAGATATAAACAGTGCTCAAAATTATAAATAAGTTAAAAATGCAACTATAATGTATCACAACTAATAACCTAGCAGCATGGCTAAAATGGAAATATTGAAAATGTCATATGTGGTAAGGATAGGAAACAACCACAACTCTTATACACTGCTGGAGGAAGGGTAACTTGTTATAGTCACATTAGAAAATATTTCTGGGTTTTCCTATTACAATAAAACCTTGACATACTCTATGTTCAAGCTGTCATGCTTCTAGTTTTTTCTTTATATATTCACCAAAATGTCAGGTAGTGGGATGATTAGATTATACGTATTTATAGTGGAACAAATTTAAAATTATCCAAACACCCACAAGTAGTAGAATGGATAAATAATGTGTGGTGTATTCACACAACGAAATGCATAAAGCAAGGGAATAAGAGAACTAGCAAAAGGATGGATGAATTTTAGAGAGTTAATGCTGAGCAAAAGCAACCAGACATAAAGGAATATGTACTGTATTATTCCACTTGTATAAAGTATAAAATAATATGTGAAACTTACCTATTCTTGTTACCCTTTAGTGGGAGGGAGTGTTCTTAAAAAAAAAACTAATTGAGTCAATACTAATCACTATTCTGTATAAACATATTTTTTCCTGTCTTTGTTGTGATATAAATAAAAAATAAAATTGTATATATTTAAGTATATAATGTGATGATTTGAGATATGTATACAATGTGAAATGATTACTCCATAAAGGTAATTAACACATCTATGACTTCATGTAGCTACCTTTTGTGTGTATGAGGTGAGAACATTTAAGATCACTCTCTCTGCAAATTTTAGTATAAAATACAGTATTATTAACAATAGTCATCACGCTGTATATTAGATTCCCAAAACTTATTCATCTTATAACTGAAAGTTTATACCTTGTATCCAACTTTTGGCAGAGGATAAAAAAATACACCCAGAGACTAAAGAAAACAGTGCTGAAAAAATTCAGTGAACTGTGATGACTTTAAATCCAAAGGTATATTGCAAAAACATTTCTTCAAGAAAGATGCCAACTAAGAGAAAAAAAAAAAGAGCATAATCTATTGTGCATGCAGTATTGGAAAAAATAAACACAGACAATAAAAAAAGAAACATGAAATATATTAATGGGACCATTGAGGATATCTGAATGTGGACTGTAGATTACAATATTATATAAATATTGTATTGGCTGATTGTACCACATATATGGTCATTGTTATGATGTAATAGAATGCCATTTTCCACAGGAGATAGGAATGAAGCATTATGTCCACAATGAACTAGAAAACGATGCATATGTGTAGAGGAATTGGGACAAAATCATGATGACTGATGAAGCTAGAGGAAGTATATTTGGTTTATGATTCCACACTATGCTTACAACATTCTTATAGGCTTAAATTATTAAAGATGAAATGTTGGGAGAAATAAATTAGAACTACAAGTAGATCTACCCTTTCAAATGAATCCAGACCTTAGATTTTTATTAATTTGGTAGGATTTCTTTTCTGAAAGTAAATTGTTAGAAATCAGGTTTCCCCTGATAATAAAACATCTACCTGAAATTCAAATTTTGCCTCAGTAAAATTAGATAATACATATAATTAAATAGAGCATGGATATATATGTTCATGAAAACAAATTTCTGACAGTTAAATTTTTGTATATTTGAGAAGCAGTGTTGGTTAATAACATTGAAGGAGTATTCTGAGATTAATAGTTTAATATTAATAGTTCAATATTTTTAAAGGTACTTGTAACCAGGAATAAATATAGAATATTTTATTATAAATAATCTGAGATGGTTTGGCTGTATTCCCACAGAAATCTCATCTTGAATTCCCACATGTTGTGGGAGGGACCTGGTGGGAGGTAATCGAATCATGGGGGAGGGTCTTTCTCATGCTGCTCTTGTGATAGTGAATAAGTCTCACAAGATCTGAGGGTTTTGAAAATGGGTATTTCCCTACACAAGCCCCCTTATTCTCTTATCTGCTGCCATGTGAGATGTGCCTTTCACCTTCCACCACGATTGTGAGGCCTCCCCAGCCATGTGGAACTGTGAGTGCATTAACCTCTTTCTTTTGTAAATTGCCCAGTATCAAGTATGTCTTTTTTTTTTTTTTTTTTTTTTTTTTATGGAGCTTCACTCTTGTTGCCCAGTCTGGAGTGCAATGGTGTGATCTTGGCTCACCACAACCTCCGCCTCCTGGGTTCAAGTGATTCCCCTGCCTCAGTCTCCGAGCAGCTGGGATTACAGGCTTGCACCATCATGCCTGGCTAATTTTGTATTTTTAGTAGAGAGGGGGTTTCTCCATGTTGCTCAGGCTGGTCTCGAACTCCTGACCTCAGGTGATCCACCTGCTTCGCCTTCCCAAAGTGCTGGGATTACAGGCGTGAGCCACCACGCCTGGCCTCTAGTATGTCTTTATCAGCAATGTAAAAACAGACTAATACAGTAAATTGGTACCAGTAGAGTGGGGCACTGCTGAAAGGATACCCAAAAAATGTGGAAGCGACTTTGGAACTGAGTAACAGAGGCTGAAACAGTTTGGAAGGTTCAGAAGAAGATGGGAAAATGTGGGAAAGTTTGGAACTCCCTAGAGGCTTGTTGAATGGCTTTGACCAAAATGCTGATAATGATATGAACAATGACATCCAGGGTGAGGTGGTCTCAGATGGAGATGAGGAACTTGTTGGGAGCTGGAATAGAGGTGATTCTTGCTATGTTTTAGCAAAAAGACTGGAGGCATTTTGCCCCTGCCCTAGAGATTTGTGGAACTTGAACTTGAGAGAGATGATTTAGGGTATCTGGCGGGAGAAATTTCTTTTTTTTTTTTTTTTTTTGAGACGGAGTCTCGCTCTGTCGCCCAGGCTGGAGTGCAGTGGCGGGATCTCGGCTCACTGCAAGCTCCGCCTCCCGGGTTCACGCCATTCTCCTGCCTCAGCCTCCCAAGTAGCTGGGACTACAGGCGCCCGCCACTACGCCCGGCTAATTTTTTGTATTTTTAGTAGAGACGGGGTTTCACCGTTTTAGCCGGGATGGTCTCGATCTCCTGACCTTGTGATCCGCCTGCCTCGGCCTCCCAAAGTGCTGGGATTACAGGCGTGAGCCACCGCGCCCGGCCGGGAGAAATTTCTAAGCGGCAAAGCATCAAGAGGTGATTTGGGTGCTGTTAAAGGCATTCAGTTTTAAAAGGGAAACAGAGCATAAAATTTTGGAAAATTCGCAGCCTGACAATGCAATAGAAAAGAAAATACCATTTTCTGAGGAGTGATTTAAACCAGCTGCAGTAATCTGCATAAGTAATGAGAAGACAAATGTTAATCCCCAAGACAATGGGGAAGATGTCTCCAAGGCATGTCAGAGGTCTTCCTGGCAGCCCCTCCCATCACAGACTCAGCGATCTAGGAGAAAAAGATAGTTTCATGGGCCAGGCCCAGAGCCCCGTTGTGAATTCTAGGGACTTGGTACCCTGTATTACGGCTGCTCCAGCCATGGCTAAAAGGGGCCAAGGTACAGACTGGACTGTTCATTCAGAGGGTAGAATCCCCAAGCCCTGGCAGCTTCCACATGGTGCTGAGCTTGTGGGTGCATGGAAGTCAAGAATTGAGGTTTGGGAACCTTCGCCTTGATTTCAGAAGATGTATGAAAACGCCTGGGTGCCCAGTCAGACGTTTGCTGCAGGGGCAGGGCCCTCGTGGATAACCTTTGCTAGCGCAGTGTGGAAGGGAAAAGTGGGGTTGGAGGCTCCACACAGCGTCTCTACTGGGGCACTGCCTACGGGAGCTGTGAGAAGAGGGCCATTATCCTCCAGACCCCAGAATGGTAGATCCACTGAGCTTGCACCATGCTCCTGGAAAAGCTGCAGACACTCAATGCCAGCCCGTGAAATCAGCCAGGAGGGAGGCTGTACTCTGGAAAGCCACAGGGGCAGAGATGGCCGAAGACCATGGGAACCTACCTTTTGCATCAGCGTGACCTGGATGTGAGACGTGGAATCAAAAGAGACTATTTTGGAGCTTTAAGATTTAACTGTGCTCTGGATTTTGGACTTGCATGGGGCCTATAGCCCCTTTGTTTTGGCCAATTTATCCCATTTGGAATGGCTGTATTTGCCAAATGCCTGTACTCTCATTGTCTCTAGGAAGTAACTAACTTGCTTTTGATTGTACAGGTTCATAGTTAGAAGGAAGTTGTCTTGTCTCGGGTAAGACTTTGGACTGCGGACTTTTGGGTTAATGCTGAAATGAGTTAAGGCTTTGGGGGACTTTGGGAAGGCATGATTGGTTTTGAAATGTGAGGACATGAGATTTAGAAGGAGGCAGGGGCAGAACGATATGGTTTGGCTGTGTCCTCACCCAAATCTCATCTTTAATTCCCATGTGTTGTGGGAGGGACCTGGTGTGAGGTAATTAAATCATAGGAGCAGGCTTTTCCTGTGCTGTTCTAATGATAATGAATAAGTCTCACAAGATCTGATGGCTTTATTTATTTATTTTTATTTTTTATTTTTTTGAGACAAAGTCTCAATCTGTCACCCAGGCTGGAGTGCTGTGGCATGATCTCGCTCACTGCAACATCGCCTCCCAGGGTCAAGCAATTCTCTTGCCTCAGCTTCCCGAGTTGCTGGGATTACAGGTGCACACAACCACACCCAGCTAATTTTTGTATTTTTAGTAGAGACAGGATTTCACCACGTTGGCCAGGCTGGTTTCAAACTCCTGACCTCAGGTAATCCAACCACCTTGGCCTCCCAAAGTGCTAGGATTACAGGCGTGAGCCACCACGCCTGGTGATCTGATGGTTTTAAAAATGGCAGTTTCCAAGCCGGGCACGGTGGCTCACGCCAGTAATCCCAGCACTTTGGGAGGCTGAGGCGGGCGGATCATGAGGACAGGAGATCAAGACCAACATGGCTAACATGGTGAAACCTCATGTCTACTAAAAATACAAAAAATTAGCCAGGCATGGTGGTGGGCACCTGTAGTCCCAGCTACTCGGGAGGCTGAGGCAGGAGAACCCAGGAGGCGGAGCTTGCAGTGAGCTAAGAATATACCACTGCACTCCAGCCAGGGCGACAGAGCAAGACTCGGTCTCAAAAAAAAAAAAAAAAAAGGCAGTTTCCCTGCGCAAGTGCTCTTCAGTTGTCTGCCGCCATGTGAGATGTTCCTTTCAACTTCTGCCATGATTGTCAGGCCTTCCCAGCCATGATGAACTGTGAATGCATTAAACCTCTCTCTTTCGTAAGTTGCCCGGTCTCGGGTATGTCTTTATTGGCAGTGTGAAAGTGGACTAATATGTAATCATATAAGCAACAATTACAAAAGTTTAACATCCAAAATTATTTTTATAAAATGCAAGAAATTAAACTGTTACTATAACAAATATTTTAAAAATAAAAACATAAAAGCACATCAACCCTAATTAATTAATATGATAACTAAAAACTGTACCATATTTTAAAGTTTATACAACTTTTTCAATTACATTATCAGAGTAGATTTTTATACTTCTGTTAGGGATGTAGAGGACATACTACTTTAAATGTGAAGAAAATAGGTTTCAAAGGTTAAATAATTTGCTTAATTCCATAAGACTGATAGACGTTAAGATTTTACACACATCCTTTGAAAGAGTGTCACCTCGTAAACAATCTCCCCAAATCCTGTGTCACATATATATATTTAATGGCCAGTGTATGTCCATTTATTAAGTAGCTCTAATTGAGGAAATTTTCCATGGACACATATTTCTGCAAATCCAGTAAGAAGATATGGTGATGAAAGCTTCTGTTCTTGACTGTCTTTTAAAGAATATGTACTTGCGTAGCAAATAATCATGAAAGATAATGATAACGTTTTCACCTGGAGCACAGAATGGATTCATTTGCTATATACTATAATAAAGATAATGTCCTCTCTGCAGCAAAGGTTGGACATATTTGCTTAAAGTCCCTTATAAAAAATTGATGTTTACTAAACTTGGAATTTCTAAACTGTGAATCAAAAGCTTCACATGAGTAGAATTCACTTGGGCCTGCACCTGCATCATTCCCACAAGACTTAAGAGTGAGTAACTTGAAATGTGAGTAACTGGTAGCAATACGAAGTTCAGACAGTCAGCTGTGCTGTGTGTAATAAAGTCATTCATTTCTGATGCAGGAGCTCTGTATCTCCAGCCAGTATCCATGAAACTATGAAAAGCTAACTTGTTAAAGGCTAACTTGTTAACATGTAAGTGGGGTACAATTTCAGGCTTTTAAGTTCTTGACATTCAGTATGTTCACATATAAAAGTTATGACATGTTTATTTACTGCTGTAAGAATACTACTTTTGGTGATTTTTAACTTGTTAGCCTTCCTCCCTCCCTCCTCCCTTCTTCCCTCACTTCTTCCCTCCTTCCCCCTTCCCTCCTTCTAGTATTGTCAATTGAAGTTTAGCATCTTAGCCTCTGGAAAGGAAAAGAAACGTTTTATGAAGTGATAGCATTTCCACAAAAACATAAAACACAATCCTGAAAGTTCACATGGGAGAGTCAATCATACATTGCCTTATTCAGTCTCTATTTGTGATTTCTCATTGACAGACCCACTAGTAATAGAGAAAGGCAGGACTTTTGAATTCCAATCGTTTTCAGTTTTTTTTCTGAATATAGTTACTTCAGAATTTCCAATCAACTTTTTCCAAAATTTTGTTGGAAGTAAATGTCAGATTTGTGTTTAACTTACTGACATGTTAATGATTTTAATGAACTAATTAGTCTGTACCCATTTAAAATTATTTTAATGTAATTTTGGTAATTATTTTAACTAGACTTTACCTTCAGCTTAATTTTTCCCCATACAAAATGAAGCAGAGCACAAATATGAATTAGGAACTTTCATGAATAGCCTACATTAACAAATTTTAATTTGTAAATTGTGGCTTCATTTAATTTTATAGGTATTGAAGCTGATAGAAAGATTAGCCTTCCTAAAAAAATGGAAAATACTAATAAAAATTCTTCAGCATAGTGCTGCTGAAATCAACACAGATGTTAGAATACTTGAGAGAAAATTTTTGTGACTACAAGGTCATAAAGATTAAAAGTTATAGAAATATAGCAGACATGTCATGTCCAAAAATGTTTTGATGATATATTTAAATGATTTCAGATGTATTATTTAAAGGTTAAATTGTTATTGATTTACATGGAACATTCCCAATTAGTTTTTAAAAATAACAGAAAACTTATTAAACTTCTAGTAAATAGTTATACCAAGAAACAGAAATTTTTTTTTTTTTTTTTTTTTTTTTTTTTTTTTTTTTTTTTTTTTTTTTTTGAGAAGGAGTCTGACTCTGTTTCCCAGGCTGGAGTGCAGTAGCACTATCTTGGCTCAATGCAACCTCTGCCTCCCACGTTCAAATGATTCTCTGTCCTCAGCCTCCTGAGTAACTTGGATTATAGACATGCCTCACTACACCTGGCTAATTTTTGTATTTTTAATAGAGACGGGGTTTCACTATGTTGGCCAGGCTGGTCTCAAACTCCTGACCTTAGGTGAACCACCTGCCTTGGCCTCCCAAAATGTTGGGATTACAGGCGTGAGCCACCATGCCCAGCCAAGGAAATCTTATGTTATGAAATCTGGGTATAGCTTTTATATATCTTACATATGCTAACAATAAGTTAAAATATTTTGACTCTATAATCAAAGTGAAGTTTCAATGATCCCAAAAATTATTCAATGAAAAGTGAATTATTCTGTTAAGTAGGAACCAAGACTTGTATTTACATTATATTGTCTGGAGAACTATAGCCAATCAATAATATTTGTTTATTAAAAATTTTTGTAAATGAACCAGTGAAGGGGCAAAATACATGAAGAAATTCCAGTTAAAGTATATACTAATAACAAAATAATCCAATGATTAAAATAAAAATAAGAAACAAAATAAATTTTTTCTGATTTTAATTCACGGCAAAAATATAATTACAACAAACCAAATTCCTCACATATTTTTATAAAGAAAGAAGACAAGATTTTCAGGAGAGACATATTATTTCTGGTCCATTCCTTCAGCCCCACATCTAATCCATCAGCAAAGCCTGTCAAATTTTTCACATGTGCACAAATTTATTTTTCATCTTCAGCAGAGTCTTATATCAACTTACGTCTTCTCTTCATTAGAGTGCTGCAACAGACTCCCAAATTCCATCCATAGTTCACTACACTTCATACACAGCTGATCACATATCAGGTATAATAATTTATAAAATATAAATAAGCCTATCTTTCTTCTTCCTTTAAAAAATACTCTTCAGTGAGTTCACATACTATTTAAAATAAATTCAAATATGTTACTACACAGTCTTCAAATCCTGATGTTATTTGGCGCTTAATAATCTCTCCATTTATATGTTTATCATACTTTGCTTTTCTCATTATGCCCTATGAATCCTGGATTCCTTTTTTTTTTTTTTTCAACTTGGCAAGCAGTGCAAGTTACCACACACTATTCCATAAAACAAAAAAGCATTTTTCTTTTACACTTCTGGAGTTCAGACATCTAAAATCAAGATTATGCCAACATTGCATTTCTTCTGGAGGCTTCAGGGGAGACTGCACTTTCTCCCTTTTCCAGCCTAGTTCTTGACTCCTGTTCCCTTCCTTGCTTCTCTCTTACCTCTTGCTTCTATCACTACATGGAATATGAGCATCACTTTAATCTCCTATCTCCGTCTTATAAAGACATTTTGTGATTACATGTGATGCACTTGGAAAATCCGGAAAAAAATCTCTCCATCTCAATATCTTCACAAATTCAAGCGATAGGGACTTGGTCATCTTTTGTGGAGCATTATTCAGCTCATCACATTCACAAATATTTAAGCAATATCTAATGATATCACCCTGTAAGTTATTGTAATAGTTGTGAATGTTTTTAACTACTTGTAATAGTTTAATAACATCTTTTAATACATAGATATCCTCTGGTATCATTATTTTTTTCAACATTTTCTTGTGGTCTATACTAATATATTTACTTCTTCAGGAAGATGAGTTTAGCTAATTTCTTGTCAAGTTCTAAAATAAATGTTCTTGGATGGATTGGATAGTCTTACAGAGGTGTGTGTGTGTGTATGTGTGTGTCTGTGTGCACATGCCCATATGTGCCACACATGAGTGTGGAATATATTTTGGATTACCCCTCTTTTAGTTTGATTAGAAATAATTTAAAATAATCACCATCAAATTATGGGATACTGTTTTTGAGTTTAATCCAAAATATTTTATTTTTTCCTCTGGTACTATAAATGAGATCATTAATGTCCAATCTATTTCCTATTTGTTTTAATACAAAACTCATTTTATTTGATACAAACTTTTAATTTTACTATTCATTGAATTTAAAACATTTTTCTTTTACAAACAACATAGATATATTATACAGTAAAACAAGGTTTTTTAAAGTGTAAAATATTAATGAGTTTTGCCAAATGCATCCACCTATGGTACTATCATATGAATTATATTACAGAACATTTATATCAGAAAGTGTGTTTTGCTCTTATCCTATCAATATTACTCCCAGGGTGATTTTTCATTTTTAAAAAGTACATAGAAACATAATGTATTTTTCTTAATTGAGCTTGTAGATGATGATCTTACTAAATGTAGTTTTTATAGTATGTTTCTAGATTACACTGAAACCTCTATGTGTATAATTATGCTGTTTATGAATTATTAATTCACAGATCAATTTCTTCCTTTGCAATTCTTTTTTTTTTTAAATAATTCACTAGGTAGCACCTCCAACAAAACAGAAATAGCAAACTGAACCTGCTTTCTTTTTTCCCTATCTTAAGAGAAAATTAATCACCATTAAATTTGATGCTAACTCTTGAGTTCACAGATATATCCTTCATAAGATTTATTAACGTATCTTTTATTCCTGGTTTCCTGAACATTATTTTTCTAAATGAACATTGAAAAAACAGCCCTTATCTATGATACCATTCTCTCATTAAGAGGGAAAGACACAAGAGCAGAAATAACCTACAGCTTTGGAAACAATAATAACTCTTATTCACTTCTCATTGGCCAAAGCAAGTCACAGGGCTAAACCGGACACGTGGATGAGGAAACAGTCTCTTCCCATCAAGAGAGACTGAAAGTTACATAGTAAATGTCAGGTATACATTCTTTTTACCAGCAGATCATTAAATAAATTGCAGTATGTGTCCAATGTACTAAACATAGTACAGCTTTCTCCAAGGCTCATCAAATGTAAACTGGGTCACTTTCCTTTATTGATAAGCAATTTTATCCCTGGCTCATCATCATTTTCCATAGTACTTCTTAATAATTCCTGCTAATTTTTAATATCCAATGGGCTTTTTTTTTTTTTTTTGAGGTGGAGTCTCACCCTGTTGCCTAGGCTGGAGTACAGTGGCACAATCTGCTCACTACAACCTCCACCACCCAGGTTCAAGTGATTGTCCTGACTCAGCCTTCTGAGTAGCTAGGATTACAGGCATTCATCACTATGCCTGGTTAAATTTTTGTATTTTTGTAGACACAGTGTTCACCATGTTGGCCAGGCTGGTCTCAAACTCCTGACCTCAAGTGATCTGCCTGCCTCAGCATCCCAATGTGCTGGGATTATAGGCATGAGCCACTGCACCCGGCCTCCAGTTGAATTTTTGAGTTTTCTGGCTTTTCTTCTTTTCTTTCTTTGCCCTTTCCTTCTTATTCTCCTTCTTTCTCCTCTCTTTCATTCCTTTAATGATATTATTATCCACTCTGCTACAGTCACTCCCCTGGTCATACGTGAGACCCTGTTATTAATATCAATAAAATTCCTGCGTCAAGTCAATTTTAGTCATATCACTCTTCAACCACCATCTACTTTCTTGCTCATGCCCTCTAATGCTCCAACTCCATGAATTACTCAACTCATAGAGGCAAACATTCCTTTGATATTACCACCTATCACTTTTCCTTTGCCTTTTTTATATCTTTCTATTAATTTACCTAGGATTCTGTCTATAGTGTTAAAGGTGCCTCCTAAATAATGCAGTGCACAACGAACAAAACTATATTGGGTGGGACATCCTTATTATAATAATGAGTCTTCTTTGGAATGTTCATTATCTTCTTCACCCAAATTATGTTATCTTCTCGATAGAAAAATTTCATCATTCTCCTCTGTTTATCCAACCATCCTAGACAGCTTCTGAAACTTGAACTGCTCCAGAGTTCCAGTGTCATTCTGAATGAAGCATTTGAGTAGTGGGGACTGCTGTGTTACATCATCTCCCACTGAGAATTCCCATAATATATATATATATATTTTTTATTTTCTAATTTCCCAGTGCTAGCTTAGAAGCTGGAGTAAACTCATCATGACTGACATTCTCTTCTTCCTGGTTTTTAGGCCAGTGCCTCAGCTGCAAATGCTCAAGATCCTTTTCATGTGTGATTATAGTTTGAGTTTGAATAATCAACTTTAGTAACATTTTTCCCCTTTTTCTGTATTTTTGCTATGTTAGAACTTACCTGTTTGCAACATGGAATGCTGAGCTGAATAGAGGTGGGAAAAATTAAGGTAGTGCTGGGTTAACTTGGTTATTACAAGTATACGTTGTCTACTTTTGATTATTTCTTAATACACTCTGAAATGTGTGTAACTGTACTTCATTTCCATTTTTAAGTTTAGAAAACTGGTATTCTGTGTTTTGTGTAACTTGTCCAGAAAAGCTAGTAAATAGCAGAGCAATAAGTACACTTTTAGTTTTTTGCCTTGAGACAGAATATCTTAAGTCACTTTCATTGAATAATGATATTCTTCTGGTAAGAAATCAGGTGAAATGTTACTGATTTCAAGAAGATTTTATTGAAATTGTTGTGTCACCTAAAGATGAAAAACATGTGATGTTTATTCATGCTGCAAAAATAGTTTCTACAAATCTGTATTGATGACATTGCAGGCAATTGCCAAATATATTAAGAATAGTATGTATTATATTATACAATCAAATACGTAATTTATATAGTTATAATTTTAAAATGGTTTATTGATTTATTAAAGGAGATTGATATACAAATATTTGTAGATATTCACACATAATTATCCTAGATTCTAATCCATTTATATCCTCTCTATTTCAGCAGTCTGGTTAGAAGACAGCATATATATTAATTTAATGGGGAATGAATTAGTCAACTCAGGCTGCCATAACATACCATAGACTTACTTAATGACTTACACAACAGAAATTTATTTTCTCACAGATCTGGAGGCTACAGTTTCAAGGACGGAATCACAGGGAGTTTATTCCCTCCATCATGGAATATATAATTCCATGGAATACATAATTTCATTGTGGAATATACATTTTCCACTTATGGAATACATAATTCCATCTCTCCTCCCTCTCTTTTATTCTTGTAAGTTTACTAGTCCCATCATGGGAGTCTTATCCTCATGCCCTAATCTAACTCTAATTACCTCCCAAAGGCCTTACCTCCTGATACTATTACATTGGTGGTTAGAGATTCAACATATGGGTTTGGAGGGTGACACAAACTTTCAGTTCATAATGGGGATGGTTTAAATAGATTAAAAGGGCAATTATTTTCAGAATTCAGATATCACAATTTTCTTCTAAGCGAGTCACAGAAAAATTGAATCCTCCTAGGTTTTCAAGGTTCTCAATTATGATTAAAGTTATTAATTGAAGTTTGAATACCCTTGATTTTCCTGGCTTTATAAATCCTCAATTTAAGCAGGGTATTTCAAATCTGTATTTTATTAGCTCACAGTTAGAATAAAAAATTTATGTCATACTCTCAATCAGACAGGATTTGAGAGAATTAATCTGTTTTTGGATATTGTTTCTATTTCATTGATTTTCAACTGTGTTTGGTACCTTTTCTGTCATTTGACATCAACCATTGTCATTTTAATTTTATATATTTAAGTGTGTCTTTGAAATGCTGTTTACCTGTTCTAATACAAATAATTATAGGACAGCACACTAGGAGAGATCCGGAAAACATATGTCCAAGGAGTTTTCCCAGAGGCATTTAAGAAAAGACATTCATGAATTTTAGGGTATTTTAAGACAAAACTTAAGGTGATTGTTAATGAAACTGATAAATCAGTTACATATAAAATATGTTTATGTCACCCTATTAGGCAAATTAACTACTTTTATATGGAACACTTGATACGCGTGTTCATTTAGGAATGAAGGCATTGGAGATTTGAGGACCTATATGAAATGAGTGTGCTTAAAAATGCTTATTTTTTCCTGTTTTTAAATGAGATAAACTTTGAAATGCTGTGCTGACTTCTGTTTTAATTGACAAAAGTTACTTGCATACACTAGTATAGTATTTACATGTAAAAACTCTGGTGCAGTCAATATATTTTAAAATTTTAGTTTCACCGTTTACTAACTGTGTGACTCTTGGTGAGTTTTGCATCTCAGTTTCTTCATTTTTTAAATATAGATGAGCATAATTGCCTCATAGAGTTTTTATGAAGATTCAGGGAGCTAATATATATAAATTGCTTAGAATAGTTTTTGATACATATAGTACATAATCAGTACATGTTATTTGTTTTCACTGAATTATGACTGATTAAGCCGAAGCAGGAAAATGAATGGTTTATCATAGTTGATTAAGAACCAATGCAGTTGACATAAATAAAAGTACAAATAAGAATCATAGTGGCTTGTTATAGCAGTACAGGAAAGAATTTGCCATAGAGTTTGTGTATCAGGGAAATGGGTTATGGAAGTTAATAAAGAGAGGAAAGATAAAAGTGACATGATTTCTCATCTGTACATGGGTATTGGCTCATAGGATTAAATGGATCATATCATTGTTGACTCTCAATTAAACTTACTCTATGCCCTTCACTGGAGTTCTTGGTGTATTTTTTAAAGGAATACTGAGACTTGGTCAAATCACAGCTGAGATTATTGCATATCTAAAGCCAAATCTCCCTCTTTTACCTCTTATAATTGCAAGTGGGTTTAAAAATAGGGTTTGTGCAGGTGAAGTGAATAAATTGCTGTTTGTGATTAAAGAACTGGGAAACCATTCCTAAAATCCTTACAGAAGCATAGCATTCGTTGCCTCAAAACTGATTAGCTGAAATGTTTGTACACACAGGACAACGTGACCAAAATATTAATATATGATTTGACTAAACTTTACTAAAGCTTCTCTCCTTCCCTCGGGCCCCAGAAATTTGGCCAAAATTTGGCTTATCCTTAAGCTCTTCAAGGCATAAAAACTTCTTCTTAAAGGCCCTACTTAGAATCAGTTGATCTCAAGGAAGGAGATTATTTACTCATCTATTCAATAATACCCTATTACACCCTACTACAATACAATTGGTTCTTTCTAGCCTTGCTTATTTCTCTCATGTTAGAAAAGCCCTTTGCTTCCTGACTTTGAGATGCATGCAGATCTTGCAAAAAAAGCATTTTCTATTGTTATAGTGCCTATCCAGCTATTGCAATAGCAACCCCACCCTGCATTGAAACAATATGTACATTTTTCAAGTTTATTTTAGATTCAGTGCGTACATGTGTAGGTTTGTTACCTGGGTATATTTTATGATGCTTAGATTGGGCTATGAAAGACCCCATAACCCAAGTACTAAGCATAGCACCCAAGTTAGTTTTTAAATTCTTTTAAAGTTTTAAACTTTTCTCTGTCTTTCTTTCCTCAAGTCATTTTCAGTATCTATTGTTGCCATTTTTATGTCCAAGAGTAGTCAATGTTTAGCTCCCAAGTATAAGTGAGAACAACATGCACTATTTGGTTTTTGGTTTCTGCATTAATTTGCTTAGGATAATAACATCCAGCTGCATCCATGTTCCTGCAAAAGACCTGACTTAATTCTTTTTTATGGCTGCATAATATTCGATGGTGTATTTGTACCACATATTCCTTATCTAAACCACCACTGATGGACACCTACATTCATTTCATGTCTTTGTTATTGTGAATAGTGCTGCAATTAATGCAATAATGCATGTAATTTTCAGACACATTATAGGAGTCCAGATTTATTAAAATAGTAGTACTTCATTAATATATAGTAAAATGATATTTTTATTAATATTATTAAAGAAATATTTATATACATAATTTTTTATCTTAACTAGATTAAAGATAGTTTGAATATATATGCATATATATACATATAGCATATATCTATTCATGTATCTGTATATAGACATATATCTGTTCTTAGCATTTCCTAATCTCCAAATGTTTTAGGAAGCTGGTTTTAAGACAAAATTTAATGCAAAACCTGCAAAAACTAATGGCTGAAGGCTTCTTCTAATAATTAGACCAGAAACTGAGGCAAAAGTCCTTTATTGTCTGAATAATTTAATTAATGTATGACAAGGACTATACTAGCTTTTTATTCTTTAGATACTTTTAGATTCTTAGGGGTGACCCACACTTCTATATTATACCGTTCTCAAAGAAGTGATGTTTTTTGTTTACTACCTCAGCTTGCATAGACTTGTAACCTGCCTTTTCTCACTATGATAGCCCTTTCCAGATAAACCAAGTACCTAATGTGGGAGTTAGATCAAGTGTGTCTATCCCAATGATACATTCAGGGACCAAAACGTGACCACAAGATGTATCTCTCTCAAAGCATTAAATTACCTATGAGTTGGACCTTACCCAGGACACAGTTTCTTACCTGTTTCCCATATGTCATCATTCTAACGCAAGCACCATTATGGCACTTTGAATCTGACTAACAGTCACCTTGGAACCTGTGTCAAAAACCCTAGAAAGGACTAAGTAGTTATCTTTTCTCCAGTGTACAGTATTCAAGTAAATAATTATAGTCCCTTTGAGATCAAGCTGAAAGAAGTTTCGTTATGTACAATCGTCATGGTTTTACAGGGTTCTTCCTCTTGGGAATCTGGCCTCTCATTCAATCAAAGTGTTCTGGGTCTAAAACTGGCTGGGATCTGGAAACTGGGCAAGGCATTGTGACTTTATGCTGACGGCAGCAGCCCATCTTGGGCCTTGCCCTCCCAGGCGCAGCGGGCAGCCGGCATGATGACAGCGGCAACTACAGACGGCTGCCGCTGCCATCAATAGGATCATCAAGAAGTAGATGATCCTTCTTCTGATCATCTATCCTCCATTTCTTCTGAGGGTAGAAGTTGAGCAGAACATTGTTGTACTTGCATGCACCTAGTTTCTGGTATTAAGCACCACCACCTGGTTACTATTGTATTTGGTATTATCATTTTGTTGCTCCCAATGCACCTGGTTCTGTTACAACCTATGTTACCATCAGTCTTTGCCAAAAGGGGGAAACGCCACTGAGCTCCTTAATGATGCTGGCATTTTCTTATCAGTATATTATTTGATACCCCTATCTAATAATATATCTTCTTGTGGCCTGCCTGTGGAAAACAAACATCTGGTGGGTTTTCTGGTGTCATGTAGCATATTCACTCAAGCACACCCATGCTCCATGCCTTGACTCTTTTATTCCATTCATCCGCAGACTACCATGATAATTTAGGCATTAAATTTTATTTAACTTGGTTCATCAGCTTTTCTGTGCGTCCAGAAGCCCTCTAATGCTACTATCACCCGGATGTCCTTGCCACAGTCTTAAATCCTGTATCTCAGGAAAGTGGTCCCAAGTCAGTACCTCTTTCTTATCTATTCTCATGTGTGCATCCCTCGATCATACACCCTCAGAGTCAATTTCTACTTGGATATTTAATCCATTAGACGTGGGTTGCCCCTGAAAGGATGCAACTATGGGTGCGATAACTCCCTTCAACCAAAGTGAATTCTGAAGAGGCTGACAGTGGAAGGCTACCTGCTGACAGCACTCCCAGTAGCTGGGCAGTAAAACCGCATCAAAGTGTTCAACACCGAAGAAAAAGCTTTTTATTTATTCTAAAAAGCTTAAATGACATTTTACACACTTCATTTCCAAGATTCTAAATCCAAAATATTTTTTCTGGTGAATGCTATCTTTTGTTTAGGTTCCCATCTAATCTTTTAGATGATGTCAGAATTCTTAATAATTCTTGTTTATAAATAAATTTAAATAATTTTATATACATATATTTATATAAAAAATTTATTTATAAATTTTTCTTGGGTGTTGAACACTTTGATGCGGTTTTACTGCATCTTTATAAACTTAATACGTTTATAAATAAACGCAATTAATTCCAGTTTATTCCCTGTTTTAATGAAATTATTTGATATTATTTGCTCGATAATAAATAATTTAAAGGACCTTGGTTTCCATTATTTGTCTAAGTTTAAAAAAATCGAAGGGATTTTTTTTAACACAATCCATAACAAAAATTGTTTTTTATCGATTTCTTGTTTAGGTAATTATTATTCAGAATCATTTTATAAACTTGAACAATGAATGGAAAAATGAAAATTCTATTCTCTTCATTATAAGCTTATTAAAAGTACATTTACTATGTTTTTAATTTAGTACACTCTAAAATTATCAAGATATGATAAACACAAATTAGGACATTATAAAAAAAGTTCGTAGCTTTATTTTTTTTTTTTCTTTTTGAGATAGAGTCTCACTCTGTCACCAGGCTGGAGTGCAGTGGCGCTATCTCAGCTCACTGCAACATCAGCCTCCCAGGTTCATGTGATTCTCCTGCCACAGCCTCCAGAGAAGCTGGGACTACAGTTGTGCACCACCACGACTGGCTAATTTTTGTATTTTTAGTAGAGACGGAGTTTCACCGTGTTGGCCAGGATGGGCTCAATCTCTTGACCTCGTGATCCACCCACCTCGGCCTCCCAAAGTGCTGCAATTACAGGTGTGAGACATGGCGCCCAGCCAGCTTCAATTTTTTAATTCCATTGGTCCAATACAAAATTTAGGCTCGAGTAAAATATTCATAAGCACAAGTTATGTTTAATTTTATCATACTATATTTTATATTTAATGTAAGCAATTATATCAAAAAGTGTTATTCACATATATGTTAGGAAAATTTTGTTACAATTTCTGTCTGTTGGATGTACGCTATACTTTATTAATACTATATTTGTGTTTGTATCTAATAAAATTATCTTAAAATCCATGTTACATATTTGTAGTTCTTCTAATTTGAAAAATCTTGAGCAGGTGCAGTAGCTCATGCCTGTAATCCAGCACTTTGGGAAGCTGAGGCAGGAGGATCACTTGAACTGAGGAGTTTGTGACCAGCCTGGGCAACATAGCAAGATCTTGTCTCTACAAAAATTTTAAAATATTAGTTCTGGTATTTTATTATTTCCAGTACAAGCTAGAACTAAAATATACCCTAGAATTATAGACACTTAAAAGTGAAACTATCCAGTACATTTATTAAATTTTAAACTTTGCCTAAAATTTCTAGAAATATGAAATTGTCTAAATGAGGACAAAGATTTTGGTATTTATTTTCTACCTTTTTGTAATGCTGTCAGTACTTAGAAGAATATTTGACATATAGTTGGATATTAATGAAATATATTTTGAAGTTTTCTGCATATATAATAGCAAAATTTTTTATATTGATGCATATAAAATTTTTAATTTCCAATATCTACTTCTATTATTGAATCTATGTCTAAATCAATGATTTAGATTTTGAACTACATTGAACTGTCACTTTTATACAGAAGTACTCATTGCAGATTTGTGGTTTTCACCTACTCTCTAAGACAGAAAATTACCTATCATTATCCTACTGGCACCAAATTAATACTTAACAATTTTAGTGATATTATATAAGCATTAGTTGTTAATGGCTTTTTGCAAACCAGAATGGCATATTAAAATTGCTAGAATAATTAGTGGCATTGAGAATAGTTCAAGAAATGCTTTTTAAAATGAGGGAATGTGTTGACTGCTTAAGGAAGGAATTGAATTTAACAGACTATTGAAAGAGAAGGAGGTATGGGCTTGAGAAGAAAAATTGTAAATTAGATTTCAGACTTTTTTGAGTTGAGAGTATAATATTCAAATAGAAATTTCCTGTAAGAAACTAGAGATAGGGAACTTTAGCTCATGGTAATCATTATGTATGGAGGTACAATTTAGGGGCTCAGTTTCATAGATATAATAATTAAAACTCTGAGAAATGTGTGATATCTTTCAGAGGGATACACACACACACACAGATATATATGTTTTTATTAAGCAATTGGAGAAAGGGTCTCAAAAAGAATCTCTAAGCAAGAATAGCCAATGAATAAGAGAAGTCTGATAGAGTTACAGAAGCTGAAGGAAAAGACACTCCCTGAAATAAGAGATGATTAGGTGGTGGAAATAATGCCTTCTTCCCCAATCCCTACCTTGTCTTCCTTGGTATCTTTTAGAAGCATGCAGATACATTTTAGGACTGATGGTTTTATGTAAATGACATAACATTTCCAATATTTTAAACTTTATGTATGAGATAGAGACATATGTATTGTTAATGTGCTTTTATAGTGTTAATTTTATAAAAAATATTTTTGCAAATATACCACCTATAATCTGTCATTCAGAGAAAGTGTTTCAGGTTTCCAAATTTTATAAGATTCCTAAAATATGAAATATTAAAATATTTCTGCTATAATATACTCATGTAAAAAATGGAATTTCATATGCTTTCATATATCTTTATTAAGATGTTTACTTTGCACCAGTGATTGGTGTAATTTTTATTTACTATGAAGAAAGTTACTTAAAATGAAAATTATTTTTAAAGTAATAAAGTTTTTAGTCTTATTAAAGTACAAGCAAATACATATGAATATAAAATATGCAAAGTAAACATATTTTGCTTACTAAATTAAAATAATGTAATAGAAAGCATTATTGCTTTCAAAAACATTACTCTAAATTACCATGTCATATCATGTTACTTAGAATGCTTTTTTCCAACATTGCAAAAATAAGCAGATTTTAAAATTTGTTTATATGTAACAAGTTTTTCATTTTTATTTTATTTATTTATTTTAACTTTTATTTTAAGTTCAGGGGTACATGTGTAGGTTTGTTATACAAGCAAATTGTGTGTCACTGGGGTTTGTGTGTAGATTATTTTATTTCATCACCCAGGTAATAAGCATAGTACCTGATACATAGTTTATTGGTCCTCACCCTCCTCCCACACTACAGCCTCAGATAGGTCCCAGTGTTTGTTGTTACCTTCTTTGTGTCCATGTGTACTGAATGTTTAGCTCACACATAAGTGAGAACATGTGGTATTTGATTTTCTGCTCCTGTATCAGTTCACTTAAGGAATGGCCTCCAGATCCATCCATGCTGCTGCAAAGGACATTATCTCAGTTGTGCGTCTGTGTGTTTTTGTTTTCAATGGCTGCATAGTATTATATTTTGTGTATGTACCACATTTTCTTTATCCAATCTATTATTGATGAGCATTTAGGTTGATTTTATATCTTTGCTATTGTGAATAATGCTATGCTGAACATACGCATGCATGTGTCTTTATGTTAGAACGATTTATATTCCTTTGGGTACATACCCAATAATGGGATTGCTGAGCAGAGTGGAAATTCTGTTTTCAGTTATCTGAGAAATTCCTAAACTGCTTTTCCACAATGGCTGAACTAATTTACATTCCCACCAGCAGCGTATAAGCATTCATTTTTCTCCACAATCTCACCAGCACCTGTTATTTTTTTTGACTTTTCAATAACAGCCATTCTGACTCATGTGAGATGGTGCCTAATTGTGGTTTTGATTTTAATTTCTCTAATGATTAGTGATGTTGAGCATTCTTTCATTTGTTTGTTGGATGCATGTATGTCTTCTTAGGAGAAGTGTCTGTTCATGTTATTTACACACGTTTTAATGGGTTGTTTTTTTTTGCTTGTTGATTTGTTTAAGTTGCTTATAGATTTTCATTCATCAGATGCATAGCCTGAAAATATTCTCTCCCATTCTGTAGGTTGTCTGTTCACTTTGTTGATAATTTCTTTTGCTGTGTAGAAGCTCTTTAGTTTATTAAGATCCCACTTGTCAATTTTTGTTTTAGTTGCAATTGTTTTTGGCTTCTTTGTCACAAAATCTTTGCCAGGTGCAATGCCCAGAATAGTATTTCTAAGGTTGTTTTCCAGGGTTTTTAGTAGTTTTAGGTTTCACAGTTAAGTATTTAATTCATTTTGAGTTGATTTTTGTAAGTCATGTAAGGAAGGGTTCCAGTTTCAATCTTCTCCATATGGCTAGCTAGTTACCCCAGTACCCCATTTATTGAACTGGGAGTCCTTTCCCTATTGCTTGTTTTTGTTGACTTTGTCAAAGATCAGATAGTTGTAGGTGTGTGGTATTATTATTGGGCTCTCTATTCTTTTCCATTGGTCTATGTGTCTGTTTTTGTACCAATACCATGATGTTTTGGTCACAGTAGCCTTGTAGTATAGTTTGAAGTTGGGTAATGTTATACCTCTAGCTTTCTTCTTTTTGCTTAGGATTCCCTTGGTCATTTGGGCTCCTTCTGAGTTCCATATAAATTTTGAAATAGGTGTTTTTATTTTTATTTCTTTTGCCAGTTCTGTGAAGAATGTTATTAGATGTTTGACAGGAGTAACAGTGAATTTATAAATTGCTATTTGGGCAGTATTGCCATTTCAAATATATCAGCTCTTCCTATCAATGCACATTAAATATTCATCCATTTGTTTGTGTCATCTCTGATTTCCTTGACTAATGTTTTGTAATTCTCATTGTAGAAATCTTTCACCTCCCTGGCTAGCTGTAGTCTAGGCATAAAATAAGTTTATTTTTAATAAAATGAAAAGAAAATCATAGCATTTGCATATTTCAAAGGAAAACAACTTTTGTAAATGCTTTTCATTTTGATCTTTGATATATCAAATATAAGGCAATTACTAGAATTGTTATATCACTACCTGATATGGTTTGGGTCTGTGTCCCCACCAAATATCATGTAGGATTGTAATCCTATGTGGAGGTGGGGCATGGTGGGAGGTGATTGGATAATGATAGTGGAGTTCTCATAAAAGCATTAGCCCTATTCCCCCTTGGTACTGCATAAAATATATATATATATATATATATATATATATATATATATATATATATATATATATATATATTTTGAGTTCTGGGATACATGTGCAGAATGTGCAGGTTTGATACATAGGTATACACGGGCCATGGTGGTTTGCTGCACCCATCAAACCGTTATCTACATTAGGTATTTCTCCTAATGGTATGCTTCCCCTAGCTTCCGACTCCCTGACAGACCCTGGTGTGTGATATTCCCTTCCTTGTGTCCATGTGTTCTCATTGTTCAACTCCCACTTGTGAGTGAGAACATGCGGTGTTTGGTTTTCTGTTCCTGTGTTAGTTTTCTGAGAATGATGGTTTCCAGCTTTATCCATGTCCCTGCAAAGGACATAAACCATCATTTTTATGGCTGCATAGTATTCCACGTTTTATACATGCCATATTTCCTTTATCCAGTCTATAATTGATGGGCATCTGGGTTGGTTCCAAGTCTTTGCTATTGTGAATAGTGCTGCAGTAAACATGTGTTTTCATGTGTCTTTATGGTAGAATAATTTATAATTCTTTGAGTATATGCCCAGTAACTGGATTGCTAGGTCAAATGGTATTTCTGGTTCTAGATCCTTGAGGAATTGCCACACTGTCTTCCACAATGGTTGAACTAATTTGCACTCCCACCAACAGTGTAAAAACATTCCTATTTTTCCACAACCTCTCCAGTATCTGTTGTTTCCTGACTTTTTAATGATCACCATTTTAACTGGCATGAGATGGTATCTCATTGTGGTTTTGATTTGCATTTCTCTAATGACCAGTGATAATGAGCTTTTTTTCATGCGTTTGTTGGCGACATAAATGTATTCTTTTGAGAAGTGTCTGTTCAGATCCTTTGCCCACTTTTTGATTGGGATTTTTGTTTTTTTCTTGTAAATTTAAGTTCCTTGTAGATTCTGGATACTAGCCCTTTGTCAGATGGATAGATGGCAAAAATTTTCTCCCATTCTGTAGGTTGCCTGTTCCCTCTGATGTTAGTTCTTTTAATGTGCAGATCCCATTTGTCAATTTTGGCTTTTGTTGCCATTTCTTTTGGTGTTTTAGTCATGAAGTCTTTGCCCATGCCTATGTCCTGAATGGTATTGCATAGGTTTTATTCTAGGTTTTTATGGTTTTAGGTGTTACATTTAAGTCTTTAATCGAACTTTAGTTAATTTTTGTATATGGTGTAAGGAAGGGGTCCAGTTTCAGTTTTCTGCATATGGCTAGCCAGTTTTCCTAACACCATTTATTAAATAGGGAATCCACATCAGGCTACCATTGACTTTCTTCACAGAACTAGAAGAAACTACTTTAAATTTCATATGGAACCAAAACAGAGGCCATATAGCCAAGACAATCCTAAGCAAAAAGAACAAAGCTGGAGGCATCACACTACCTGACTTCACACTATATTACAAGGCTACAGTAACCAAAACTGCATGGTACTTGTACCAAAACAGATATATAGACCAATGGAGCAGAACAGAGGCCTCAGATGTAACGCTACACATCTACAGCCATCCGATCTTTGACAAACATGAGTTCTTACAATATCTGATCACTTAAAAGTGTGTAGCATCTCCCTCCTATGGCTCTGTTTCTCCTGCTCTAGCCATGTAAATGATCACTCCCCCTCTGCCTTCAGCCGTGATTAAGTGACCTGAGGCCTCTCCAGAAGCCGAGTAGATGACAGCATCATGCTTCCTGCACAGCAGAACCATGAGATAATTAAACATATTTTCTTTATAAGCTACCTATTCTCAAGTATTTCTTTATAGCAATACTTGAGGTAATTGCAAGCACTCACTAATATACCACTGTAATATTATTTCTGACGATTAAAGAACAGGATCATATATATGTATATGTGTATATATGTATGTGTGTGTATATATGTAATGTATATATAGATGCATGACATAAATGTGTTTTCAAAGAAAAAGAAAATAAAACATACTTGTTTTTATAATTAAATTTTAAAACTGAATTATATAGTTTTCTTATGAGTCTTATATGTTATTTTTATCACATACTATTTAAGTCATTTACGGAGTAGTAAAAATTTTGAAAACAAAATGCTTCCAAATAATGTTTCAAATATCTTGAAAGTTTTGGGAAAAAGAGTTATGTAAAGCTTTTTTTACCTGGAAGTCTTCTTTAATTCTCCTCTAGTTCTCTCATTTCAGGACTAGGCACCATTGTATCATTTGAATTAAATGGAAAGCTAAATTAAAAATAATTTCAAGTTAAAAATTAGTTTACATTTATGTTATAATGGCATATCAGTATCATTACTTTAACTACTAGCATACATCCTGCAATTAATAAATCAGGGAATGGTATTAGAAATTACAGATCTAATCATATTCATAATTCATACTTTCCAGTATTCACCCTAACTCTCACAGCAAAAGATATCTATTTGATTCTGAACTTGCAATACTCACAATAAAGTTTCAGTGTGTGATCATATATTCTTTTTTATCAATCATGTTAATTTATTAAACTTATTATACTGTTTTAAATACTACATCTCTTGTTCAGAAACACATATTTTTATATATGCTACCTGCTAAAGCATCCCCTACTTTATAGGTCTAAGAACTTCCATTTTCATGGCTATTTTTCTACAACAATCCATGTAGAAAACCTGTATTCTTTAAGGTTTTATAAAGCTTCCCTATTCTTTCCATTTATTACCCACTTAAACAAATAACTGGTACTATCCTCAATTTTCCCTATTACTGCTGCCTTCTCATCACCCTGTAATGAATTTAATTTCTCCAATCAAGATCTGCAAATTGATTTTGTTTCTTGAATATATTACCAGAAAGATGCACCATAAATAGATGCAGTGTCACCATGATTTTGTAATTTCAAGTAATGAGTTTTTTGTAGTTTCTATAAACACCAAATCTAGACTATTAACTGTATTTAAATCTTTTAGATATGAGCTATATATTATATATAATCTGATCCAATGTTAAAATTTTACAGAAGAAAGCTAATTTTACCTACATAAACAGAACAGGAATGCAGAAATGAGATGCCTGGTGTTTGTCCTCCGTGCCTTAAATGAAAACGACATTTGTTAAAAAAAATGCAGACTTTGGAAATTTTTGTCGTGTAAAATACATATACACAAATCTATGGACCACTGTGTGCCTTATGACCTGGATTCGGACTATGAATCCCTTTAATTTTTGACCTCTAATTGACTCTCATTCTAATAAAAGAATCATAATGATTATTTGCATTTGAGGTTATCAATGTCAAACTGGACTCTGTCCATAGTTCTTAAACATGTATGGATATTTCCCTTTCCTTTGGGCACAGTTAACTAAGTGAATGTCCATACGTTCTTTGGGGAATGACTGAGAAATCATTACCATGTATACATGCCACTGTGCATGATTCTTTATTCATATGGCGTCCCATCCTTTTCTTCTGTCAACAGTTTCTAGATCTGAGAAGTTCAAACATAAACTGGAAACCAGAAAAGAGAGTTGACTGCTTTTAGGAGTGGCTTCCCTCAGCTTTCTGATCATCCATCCTGGAATGCTTTCGCTATATAGATTTAACAGGCTTCTTACGAAAGCCAATGTACCTTGATCCTGGGAAGCCATGTTCTATTAATCATCTCTTGCTCTCCATACGTCAAGACCACTGAATCCCAATCTTTACAATAATTGTAATCTCCTTAACTTTAATAGTTAAGCATATCTATCTGACCTCTAATATTTTAGAATGCTACCATGTCCTTTGTAATCACCGAGTCCAATTCTGTAATGCTATCTCCTACTTTTAGCGCTGATCAAAAGACAACAATAACAACTGAGCTTAATGATACTAGTGAAATTCTTACCAATGCATCCTTATTGCTTTGGTGTACACAGAGCATCCTTTGAACCTTCCAAAAGAAAATGTCAGCTAATGAGTATTCTCACCTTATGTAATATGTACTCATGAGTATGCTCACATATGTGATCTTTTTCTTCTCCTTTCACTTATGACGGGTCATCACTTTTCCCAAGATTCCAAATGTCAACATAGTAGCATATTTTCACTGTTTTTCAGGGTGTTTACCAGGGTATTAAATTCTGTATCAGGATACGCTATCCACATATTTCAAACTCTCCCTGTTCAACTTTAAATTCCATTCTCATTGATTCAGTAATTTCAGGATTCAGTCATATACATAGTCCCCAAGCTTCTGCTAACACATGTTGACTTGGTACTCCAACTCCTTTGGCTAATCACTTTCTTCTGTTAGTAGTCCAAGCACTTTCTTGATTCAGATATATAGCAAACTGGCATGGGATATTTATGTTGTTTCCAAAGAAGAGTCAGAATTAGATCTTAAGGAAGATGTATGTTGTTCTTTAAGACAGATGCCTTTACATGTCTTTAAGAGAAAAAGGGCTTACCAGACTTTAACAAGGAGAACATAACTGCTTCTGTAGTCCCAGAATGATCAAAAACTGGGGATGGGATATTTTTAGCTTCATTCACCATTAAGTCCTCACCCTATAATTCTTTTGCAGTGAGGCCCTTTCCATAAGAATACATTAAAAACTTTGTGATAGAGAATCGACTTATCTGAAGCAATGTTTCTCTTACAATTCAGTCTTGGGCTTGGTTTTCAGCTTTTTCCAGACTCTGGCTACAGGAGATAAGTTTCTTTATGTATTACCAAAAAGGTCCTTTGTTATTTATGCTTTCCCTTATATTGGTAATTTATTTTATTGGTGATTTATTTTCTTCAGCCTACCCTTGTCTTACATAAATACCATAAATTCAATAGCCATTAGATGGCATATTCCTCTAAATATAATTTCTCTTATACCTCTCAAAATCCCGAGATTGTTTACATTTGAGCACATTCCCTTCCACTGATATTCTGTCCTACTTCATCTCCAGTAAACGTTTTAACAATTTCAAAACAATTACGTGCTAGGATCTACCAGTGCTCTAACTCCATTAAAGATGATGTTCTCATTGCAAGCTGCCCAGTAGGTGATCCAGTTTCCTATAAATCTCTGCATCATCACACTAGTCTTGGTAAAAAAATGTCATAGGTGGTGTTCTCTGGAAAGAGGATATTTAAACTCTGAAACTTGCATGCAAGAGTTTCATTAAGAATTGCTTAACAAATGAGGATTGGATAAAGAGAGTATTTAAACTCTAATGCAGTTGCAACAGAGGTCTCAGCTGATCTAACAGTGAGCTCTGGAGTTGTAATGGCTTTTCACAATTTTTCCATATCAGGCAAAGTTGTGGGCCACTGTGGCCCTGAGTTCAATGGATGCAATATGCTCAAATGAGGGACATAGTTTTGGGTAAGGCATCCTTCTCTATTGCAGACAATTAGTGGAGTTGGATTCATCTATGAACTATTAGAAACCAACACACTGGATAAATTAGTGCCTCACTTCCAAAAGCATCTACCAATGCATGTAGCCTGAGTTGGCTTATGTTATGGTAAACTCAGGCTTGATCTCAGATTAGTTTCTGAAATTCACAGAAACAAATTTCATAAATATTTACCTGGAAGAACAAAAGGAGAAAGCATTTATTCATATAAATCTGACTGTCACATTTCAAGGAGAAAGCCATGCACATTTACTCTCTCAAATTCTGAGTTACACATTCATATTGCTCTTCACTTTTCTTTGGGCATGGCATAGTATTATTAAAGAAAGCAAAGCTGAAGGTTTGCGATTCTATAAAGTAAGAATTTTGTGATGCAAATAAAAGGTGAGGCACTGTAAAATTTATCAAGTGTAAAGCTGGCCAAAAGCTATGCAGAGTTGGTCATTGCAGCATTAGCTGGGATAAGAGGTAGGGCTGACATGATTCAAGGTTGCTCAAAAGCTTTATCTGATTCAACAATTAAAGTAAAGAAGGGATGACTAATAGTTTTTATTCCATTTGACCAATACACATTGTTGACACTATCAGTTATGCCATTTTCATAAATACCTTATTGTTAATGGTGATGATAGTGGGAAAAAAATGGCATCTCAATTGAGATAACAAGCCCACAAGATGGCCAGTAGTAATTTTCACCTCCTATTTACTCGTAGTCTCATATATACCTTCTCACAATGAAGAGATGTAATATGTGTAACCTGTAGGGAATTAAGAAAAAGATGGTATGTGACTTCCAAGCCTAGGTCATAAAAAGCATTGTATCTTGAATTATTTGCTTTGACAGAAACTAGTTGTCATGTCAATAAAATACTCAAGAAGCAATATGAAGAAGTCCACATGGCAAGTAGAGGCCAGCTGCCAACAGACTTGTGATTAAGCCAACTTGGAGAAGATTCATTATCCTTAATCAAGTCTCCAGCTGCATTAGGATACTGAGCCACAACAATGAACTGCTCCAAAGTATTTGAACAACAGATACTATCTGAGATAATAAGTGACAATTGTTGTTTTGGGTCATTATGATTTGAAATAAATTGTTATACAGCAATAGGTAGCTAGTACAACCATTACATTATGAATACCCTGTCCTTTTATCAAAGTGTACCAATATGTATTACATATAATTGTAGAACTTGGCATGTGCCACGTTTAGGCTACTAGCTCCTGGATGACCTAATTCTCTCGTGATATTTTAGGACACTGAAACTATCATCCTGATTTTTCTCACTTGCCTAGAGCTTGGAGTACCACTTATATAGATCTTAAACCTTGTCCTGAGTTATTCTGACATGGCTTGCAAACTCAGTGGAGAATGTAGGCCATGGACATCTAAAAAGGAAAAAAAAAAAAAGAAAAACTTAAATTACCAAAAAACTCTGTCACAATAGGCGATTATTACAACCCACATCTAAGTTCCAAGAAGTAGTGGTTCCAGCTCCCATGACAGGTTTCTTCTGATACCGCCAAGACTATGTTAACCCCAAATTCACATTCATCAAGTGCCAATTAATTTTAGAAAGAAAGTGCGGGTAGAATAATTAATAGAAGGTTATAAATATATACATCTTTCTTTAATGAGATGAGATCTTCTCTGAAAATCCTAAATATTATTTAAGAAAATAGCTTCTTTATAAGGAATGGTTCAGCTACGGGAACCAACATTTGGAAACATTTTTCAATCTCCTTATGGCTTCAAGTGATTATTCATAGCAACAGGGGCATGCTGCAACCACCTAGTGAGTAGCTCGGGAAATACAATGGCAATAGAATTACAGTATCATAATTATGTTAGTAGGAAGAAGAACAAAATACTATCAAGTGAGTAATGAAATAGAGATATTTCAGAATGTAAACTGCAGAAGGAAGATCAGTTTCATTTACAAATCTCTCTTAAATACCTAAATCAGCATGCGTCACACAATTGATGTTCAACAAATATTTATTGAATTGAGAAATGAATGAATGAATGAATGAATGTGTCTTCCTAGGGTCTCTGGAGGCCAATAATGGACAGTCTCATCATATAAATGGGTTTTAATGGGATCTTTACACATGTTAAAAGCACCTGAAATGTGATTTTGAGTCAGGCAAGAAAAAAATGGGAAGATAAAGTAGCTTGAATCAAATGTCAGATACTAAAACTACCACTTGGAACATTTTATGGAGGCTAAAAAAAAAAACATAAATAAAAGTGTCCCAACTAATTTGGCAGGTAGGATAATTTCAATTCATCTGGACTATATATAATTGGCTTAACTTTTTTTCTCCTAGAAATCTCAAACAAGTGGGATCATGACAATATTTTAGTTACACATAATAATTCATATTTATACGTGATTTTTTTTTTTGAGACAGAGTCTTGCTCTATCGCCCAGGCTGGAGTGCGGCAGTGCAATCTCAGCTCACTGCAACCTCTGCCTCCTAGGTTCAAGCAATTCTAGTGCCTCAGCGTCCCAACTAGCTGGGCTTACAGGTATGTGCCACCACAACTGGTTAATATTTGTATTTTTAGTAGAGGCAGGGTTTCACCATGTTGGCCAAGGTGGTCTTGAACTCCTGACTTTAGTTGATCTGCCCACCTCAGCCTCCCAAAGTGCTAGAATTACAGGCGTGAGCCACCACACCTGGCCATGATTTTTAAAGCCCTGTAGAAGGCAATTTTATTTTGCAAACAGACGTGACATTGCTAATGGCTACCTAAAAGTTTTATTGGGAGTACTTGCTGGGAGAATATTTAAATGCTTGTCATGTACTTATTTATATCGCTAATAACTTATAGGAAATATTATTAGAAGGAATTTAATTAGTTTAGGCAAATGTGATAGAATTAAGATTAACATGACATAGCCTATTAATAAGGTTAACTTCATATAATATTTTATGTCTCAGTATTCTATACATACATTTTTCTAAAATTTAAGATAAACTAGTATGTGTTAAGTATGATTTATAGATACTTCCATATCTTATTTGTTATGTTGTGCATGTTGGATGTTATTACTATTATTCCTATTTTATGGAAGACAAAACTGATGTAAAATGACTTTCTAAAAGTCATAAAATATGAGAAAGATAGATGCCAACCCCCAGATTTTATGACTTCAATATGTATTCTCTCCATCTTTAATCATAGCCTCTTGCAAAGTATACCAGAACATGGTCAAAGAAAAAAATGTGGTTCGGTTATGTCAAAGTTTTCATATATGAATGACTAATCATGTCTTCAGAATTTATTGCATCTATATGTTTCTTACCTTTAAAACAACAGGAGCTTTTATCAAGCAGTGCCTAAAAAATATTTATTGACTAATAGTGGTGTCTCAGCATACTTCTTATTGAAAAGCCTGAAGACAGTTTTAACAGTGGCTTTTCTAAAGTGCTTACAATCTAGTAAGACTTTACAAACAGATAAATAAATAGTTTTGCATATATGATATTGTTTTGCTGAAGGCATATGCAGAGGACAATGGTAACATAGAACAGGACACTTAATTCTGCCTGGTTGTGTCAGCAATGCCTCTATTGGGAAAACACACCCAAGATGAGAATGGGAAGATAAGGTGATAACAGGCTAAGCAGAATTATAGAGCGAGTGATAACAACTTGGACACAGACAAATGGAACTGGAAGATTATCATGTCTGTGGGGGACTACAAGCCATTTGATATTATGATATAATGAAATTCAGGAAGGAGAATGTCAGGAAGTCACTAGATAAATATAGAAATGTGGGCCCTTCATGAGTTCTTGATTTGTAATTTTAATTTTACTTAAGTGATGATAGAAAATTAACGAATATTGAAACTTTTCTAAAGCACTGTCTAACCTTCCTGATTATAAAGCCTTCTCACTAACAGATGTCTGAAATATCAAAAATACTTCAATTCCATGGGTGCAGAAGCAGTAAATAGAAAAAAAATATATTTTAAAGGGCAAGTGAGGAATAGATGACTTTATGTTTTCTAAACTTATGTAATCTCATAGTGGGCATTCCTTCTCTTGGCACTAACATAGAGTTCTAGAGGTTTGGCACAGCTGTGGTATGCAAAGGCAAACTTGTCACAGAAGCACATGGTTTGAGACTGTCAATCTTTTTCACTGTTTGTATCCAAAGTCAAAAACACATTTTGACACACAATGGAATCTCAATAAAACATTTGTGAGTAATAAATGAATGAGAATAATAATAAGATTGAGGTAATCTATTGAGCAATCACTAAGGATTTGCTTTTAAATACAAAATAATTAGAGTCTTGTGTCAGCTTGTAGATACAAGTTAAGTTGCAAAGGATGGCTTGTCAAGCATTACTGTTTCTGTCACATTCAGAGGAGATTGATATTTCAGCAATAGCATTCAGAAAATATATGACATGTGCTCAAATACTGGTTGTATAGATAGTTCTAAACAATGGAAAAAAGGAACTATATTTCAAGTTAAAATGAATACAGATTAAATTAGGATGGTGAAATTTTCTAATCACATTTCCAGTTATTGTAAAAAAAAAAGTTACTTTTTTCCCCAACACTATCAAAAGATTCATACAGAGTTGACAGTTTATCAGTCAGAATAGAATAGGGTATACTGCAGTAACACATACACAAAGGTTCAAAAGCTTTGTTGTATAAAAAATAGTAACAACAAAGTTTACTTCTCAACAACTTAAAGTCTGTTGTGAACTTGGAAAATGTTCAGGGCAACAGCTTTCTCAACAGTGAGTCAGCGATGCAGGCTGGTGGTGGTTCCACATACTGTAACTAAATTGTCTATAATAAACGACTTCCCAGTTGAAGGAGCAGGGAAAGAAAGGTGGAAAAAATCAAGTCCCAACAATTAAATGTTTGCTTTCGGAAATGACACAACTTCTATACACTTTTCATTGTCTGTAGTCAGTGAAATGATGACACTTAATGTTAAGTGGCCAGGGAAGCAAACTGAAAAGAACAGGGAGTATCGAAGCTCAACTTTAATGTCTACAGTTGATATATAGATACACGAAAATTGTAAAATCAACCTCAATCAGTCTCAGTTTTAAGTGGGAAATTCCATTTCTTACTATAAATTCCTTACTCTAGCTCCATGAGAAAGTGAGAAATACTGAAAGGACTGTGTATCATACTCAAGAAATAAAATCTTCTCATCTGATGATAGTGAATAGTCTTTCTCTATGATGCGCTGAAAGAAAGGTTACTTGGGTCTAACACATCATCACAAGCTTTATTTCTAATTAGCTGTCTATATTTGACAAAAATTATCCCTAGATGAGATTCAATTCTTTTATCACATGCCAAGATTGATAAAATGTGTATCTCAGTGCAAATTAAGGGTTCACAATTTCCCTCAAGCTCTCAAGTATGCTAATTCTTGCATGTTCATATTATTATGGTACCTATTTGGTTATAACAGGTTTAACAATTCTAGAAGAGGAATTCCTTTGATCAAATATAAACTGATCTTTCTGAATATATCACAATGTTTGACTCTCTGTGTTAGTATTTATATCTAATAACTGTTTTGATATTAGTCAGCTTTATATTTCATATTCTTGTGAGTAGAAGTAGTATTTAGTCATTATCCAGTGACTGCCCTATTTAACAAAACAACTGTTAATAAAATGGTCTTTGGAACATAAAGAATCTGCCAAGGTTTCCCAAATTGGTATCTTATAAGAAAGAGTCGAACAAATATTTTGGAGACTTATTCACTTTCCAGTACTTAACAGGTATTATGATATATTTATATTTGGTGACAATTAGGCATTAAATATCAATTAAAGTTTCCCTTTTAACATTCCCAGGGGTCAACAATGATCTTGTGTTTTTCTCTTAAAAGGATAATGAAGAAAGTAAAATAAGTGCTGATAGAAATCTGGGAGAAAAGCCACCTTTAAAAAACTCAACAAACAAGATGTATTCATTTAAGAAAAACTAGCAGAAGAAATTCACAAGGCTAATTTGTCCTGAGTAGTATGTGAGTCAGTTAAACAGCCAGGAAATTCAATGGCTGAATGCTTCACTGGCTCTGCCACCCAGTGGGCAGGGCAGAGCGCATAACTCAGACTATCACCTGCTGGCTGATAGTGCTCTACCGGCACATGTGTCTTATACTTTCCCACTGATAAGTGATTAACCCCATGTACTAGGTTCATTCAGCAGGACTCAAGTGGTTAAACTAATTAAATTGGTGGTGCCCAACATTAACCACCACATGAATTCCAGCTGCACTTCTCCTGAAGCGGGGCAGACATTCCCACCTGACTTCAGGGCCAAAAGGATGCCTGCTGAACTTCATAAGGAGAGAACAAATGTTTCCTATAGTTCAAAGCTTTCTCTAAAGCTACTTATACTAATCATTTCAGAATATTGTTTATTAAAATGATTGTAAAACTGTAACATGAAATCAGTTATTGTCTCTAGCCTTTTTAATAACTCTTACGTAAAGCTTATCCACCCAAGCTGATAGCTACTAGCTTAGTCATTTTATGGTAAACATCATAAGCCTAGGCATTTTAAAAAAATAATTAATTTAATTATTCTTTGATTCACCCATTTATTCATTACATTCACGTATGGAAAATTGACAAGTAAAATATGACAATTGGACAAATAGGAAAATTCCATAGCATTAAAGAAACGAGTTGGGTTATGGTAGTTTATTTATCCATTTATTTATTTATTCTGAGACAGAATCTCGCTCTGTCACTCAGGCTGTAGTACAGTGGCACGATCTCAGCTCACCTCAGCCTCGACCTCCCAGGCCCAAGCAGTCCTTCCACATCAGCTTCTCAAGCAGCTGGGACAATAGGCGCGTACCACATGCCTGGCTAATTTTTCTAACATTTTTGTAGAAATGGGATCTTCTTATGTTGCCCAGCCTGGTCTTGAACCTCTAGGCTCAAGCTGCCCTCCTGCATCAGCCTCCCAAAGTGCTGGAATTACAGGCATGAGCCACCACACCCTGCCAGTAAGAGAAAAAAACAAAACACACAAACAAACAAAAAAAACTAAGAAAAAACAAAGAGAAAAAACAGGACGCAGTCTCAAATGTTAGTAAGTAACTCTTAAAAATCCAAACAAAAATTTCAACACTGGCTAGTGATTTGGTTTAGCACTTATGAATGGGACAACCAAATATACAAATCCTTTAGATACAGTTGTTTACTTGCTTCCCAGTATCTATTACTTTCTACTTCTCATCAAGCAATTTTGCTTGGAACAGCGAAGTGTCTAGTTAAAGTAATACATTCCTGAATTAGTAATCTATTGCTGCATAACAAATAACCACACAGTTAGCGGATGAAAGCAACATCATGTACTATCTCCCTATTTCTGTAAGTTAGAAACCTGGGCAAAGGACAGCTATGTTCTCTACTCCAAATGTCATAATGCTAAAATCTAGAAGTTGGCTAGGCTGCATTCTCATCTGAAGCTGGGTATTCTCTTTCAAGCTCATTTAAATTATCTGCAAAACTCAGCTTTCTGTGGTTATAGGACTGAGCTTCTCCATCTGTTGCTGGCTCCTGGTTGGATGTCATGCTCAGCTCCCAGACATCACCATTAAGTCCTCTCTCACCACAGCAGTTTACTTCTTCACAGCCAGCAGGAAAATGCTTCTTCAGTCAGCTACATAAGAAAGCAATCAAGGCCGAGCCCGGTGGCTCATGCCTGTAATCCTAGCACTTTGGGAGGCTGAGGTGGGTGGAACACCTGAGATCAGGAGTTCAAGACCAGCCTGGCCAACATGGTGAAACCCTGTCTCTACTAAAAATACAAAACTTAGCCAGGTGTGGTGGCACATGCCTATAATCCCAGCTACTTGGGAGGCTGAGGCAGGAGAATCGCTTGAACCCAGAAGATGGAAGTTGCAGTGAGTCAAGATCGTGCCACTACACTCCAGGCTGGGTGACAGAGCAAGACTCCACCTCAAAAAAAAAAAAAAAACTATCAGGAGGATAATTTTCCCAGATCCTGCCCACACAGTGGAGAGGAGTTGATAGATGGCTTGGCTTGTGCACCAGAAGGTGCAGAAGGTGGGGCTCCTAGGAACCATTTTAAAACTTGGCCCACCACAATCCTATCTACTGTTGCAATTAATGGTGACCATGTTACTCAGTTTGGGCCAAAGAGTTATTTGCAAAAGTGCATAAAGCAGGGTATACTTTCATGAATAAAAACACCAAATTATTTGACTAAGAGGACTTTGTCCCTCTTTCTTTCTTTGTGAATAAAAATTAAACAGAAGGGCTGGAGAAGCAGCAGATATGTAGTAATGTAGAAGACAAAAATAGACACAAATGAAAGCATAAGAATTAAAGAAGGCTAGGTTGCCTACATCTTCAATGAACCACTTGATTAGTTCCATACTGCTTTACTCAGGACTTATTTTTATGACAGAAATAAATATCCTCACTTGTTTAAATCACTTTAGTTGGGCTTCAGCAACATAATCTTTCAGACTATCTAAGACCTTTGGCAAATATAGTCTTTTTTTTTCTTTTTTTTTTTTTGAGATGGAGTCTCACTCTGTCGCCTAGGCTGGAGTGCAGTGGTGCGATCTCGGCTCACTGCAACCTCCACCTCCCAGGTTCTAGAGATTCTCCTGCTCAGCCTCCCAAGTAGCTAAGATTACAGGTGCCTGCCACAACGCCCAGCTAATTTTTGTATTTTTAGTAGAGACGGTGTTTCACCATGTTGGCCAGGCTGATCTCGAACTCCTGACCTCAAGTGATGCACTTGCTTTGGCCTCCCAAAGTGCTGGGATTACAGGCGTGAGCCACCACACCCAGCCCAAATATACTCTTAATTGAAAAAAAGAGTTATATTCAAAAACTTAAAGATGTGATTTTTAAAAACTGAAATAAATTATTTGATTTTGAATTCATGTTTCTTTGGAGGTTATTTTCTGGGATTCTATTTGAATTTGTATATCACTCATCCATTATGCTTATTTGCATATGAACTTGCATCCCCTGTTTACCTTTCCAGTATAGAATTTCTGCTTTGCCTCTCTGTCCTAGCCTTCTATTTGTCCAGTAAGCGAAAAAAATTCCACTAGTTCCTGTTCTCTTGGATGTTTCCCTGATACATCATCTATTCTTGCCCATCAGAAAGCAAAATCCTCTTCTTCATTCTGATGCCATATTATTTCCAGACAAAAGCCCAGCTGAGAATAAATTTACATTCAGGAACAATGTTATCACTGTTCACACAATTTGAACCTCTTTTTTACCTGGAACAGTACTGCTCTTTCTTGTTTGTTAGACTGGATCATTTATGATTACATGATTGAATGATTGTATAGTAATTAACTTCACCCTAACTGACCTCTGTCATCTTGAGTCCCACCAACAAAACAAGGACTACACTTTCCCTCAAACTCATTCACTCATTTTCTGCATGTTTCTTTTATAACTGACCTGTTTTACTTAATTCCAAGCAATAATCCTCTTTTTGGAGACCCAAATATATTATCCCAATTCAATATATAGTCCTGGGTTTAAAATCTTCATTTGTCAGCTTTCTTAGCCAAACCATACAATTTGATTTATTTCTTGCCAATCTGTTTTTTACTCAAAAGAGAATTTAACTTAAAAACTATGTATCGGCTGATCTGAGAAATTATCTATTATGTAGTTTTTCAGTTAGTAATAGAAAAAAGCAGAAAGAGTGGGTCTCTTGTATATGGATGCAAAATACGTGAGGGCTGCACATATGGATGAATTTGAAGGCTTTTCTGAAGTGTGACACAAGACAAATTAGCCACATGTGCTCTTCCTGGGTATTTACAAAATTTCAATAAAAAGGAATTGACTTTTAGTATTGCTGATAAAATTAACAGATTATTATACAAAATTTAAACTTGTTTATTTTCCTTTTAAATAAATCAGTTTTTTGATCCACATATTCAGGTGATGAGGTCTCCTTGTAATTCCTCAGGCTGATCAGATTTACTTAGACATGAATGGGTAGCACTTACTTAACTTGTGAAAACATTATAATTTTATTAGAGATGATAACAATGTTCAGTCTTCAGAAACATGCACATATATTTAGTGTCTAAATGATTTGTGAGGTTTAAAAAAAAACGTAGTGGATCCTATAGCTTATATTTGTTTAAGTTAGTGAGATTTACATGATGATGTCACCATTCATAAAATTTTCCAGAGAGGTTGCCTGTAGCTTTTTTCACTTGAGATGTCATGTGGATTTATTTAGAGACAAGAAGCAGTAAGGGGTCAAGATATTTTAAGTCTACATCAAGAAAAAGACACAACACATTTTACTTTTTAAGAATTTAGGCTTTTGACATTGTAATTCTTCTATAAAAGTGTTGGAATAATGTGTATTTATTCATTCAGAAATGAGTTCAAACTTGTGTACTTATTCTTTCAAGCAACATAGAGTCAACACATACTATAAGCCAAATATTATCAGGCACTGGTATAGATGACTGAATAAAGATCTTTGTCTTCCATAACAACTAATACTTACTCAACACTATGTACTGGAAACTATTTTACATATGTTATATGTATTACTTCAAATGATTATCTCAACAACCTTATAGGATGAGATTAGTGTTTATGTTAGGTTATTTATTTATTTATTGACATGGAGTTTCGCTTTTATTGCCCAGGCTGGAGTGCGATGGCACTATCTCGGCTCACCGCAACTTCTTCCTCCCGGGTTCAAGCGATTCTCCTGCCTCAGCCTCCTGAGTAGCTGGGATTATGGGCATATGCCACCACACTTGGTTAATTTTGCATTTTTAGTAGAAGCAGGGTTTCTCCATATTGGTTAGTCTGGTCTTGAACTCCTGACCTCAGGTCATCTGCCCACCTTCGCCTTCCAAAGTGCTGGGATTAGAGGCATGAGAAACCACACCCGGCTTATGTTAGGTTATCTTATTTTAAACATTTTACAAATGAGAAAACCAAAACACAGAAAGGAAATTTTCCTAGTAATAAGTATTTTCTCAGTAATAGAAAATGAAGTGGGGATTCAAAATAAGGCAATATGACTTTGGCATCCAGAATCTCAAAAATTCCAATGTACTTCCTTTGAGGGACTTGGGACTTGTCTCTCTAAAAGTATCAACCCCATAATAGCTAATTTATGTCCTATATATATTTCATAAACATCAGAGAGGAGATATAAATAGGTATGTGTTGCAATAATATGCAAATATTTGTGTATCTTTACTATCAAATAGTAGTTCTTTAATAATTTATTTTTAGAAGAATTTTAGATTTTCAGAAAAATTGAGAATATAGTACAGAGAGCTCACATCTATCCTTTCACACAGGGGTACCTGTTACTGACACCCCCACATGAGTATGGAAATTTTGTTGACACTTGATGAATAAATATTAATACATTATTATTAATAAAAGTCTATACTTCATGAAGTTTTTCTTAGTTTTTTTTTTCCCCCAACTTTTGGAAGTTTTTACCCAACATATTTTTCTGTGGCAGCATCCCATCTAACACATCACAGTAACCTTACCCATCATATTTCATTAGGCTCCTCAGTTACTCAGACTTTCCTTAGATGACATTGACAGCTTTGAGAAGTATTGGTCAGATTTGTTAAGAATGTCCTTCGATTGGAATTTGTCTAATTTTTTTTTTCTTTGTTGATGTGTCTGTTCAGATAGATTATACATTTTTTTTTAATTGGATCATTTTGAGTGCTAAATTTTAAGTGTTCTTTGTATATATTGTATACAAGTTCTTTATCACATATGTGTTTTGAAAATATTTGCTCCCCGTCTGTAACTTCTCATTCCACTATTTTAACAGCATCTTTCACAGATTCAAAGTTTTTAAATTCTAAGAAATTCTAACTTATCTTGTTTTTTATTTATTTTTGTCACAGATTCAGTTTTGGTATTATATCTAAAGACTCATAGCCAATCAAAGTTCATGAAAATTTCCTTCTGTGTTTCCTGATAGAAGTTTATAATTTTGCATTCTACATCTAGATCTATGATCCATTTTAATTATAATAAAGTGTATAAGATCTGTGTCTAGATTTATTTTTTTGCCCATGGACGTCAAATTGTCCTCACATCATTAATTGAAAAAGGTACCCTTTATCTTTGATTTGTCATTGCCTCTTTGTCAAGGTCAGTTGCCTATCTTTTTTGTGAGTCTATTTCTGGGCTATCTGTGCTCTTCTGTTTTTCTTTCTTATTTTAACGTTTTTAAAATTTCAACTTTTATTTCAAATTCAGAGAGTACAGGTGCAGGTTTATTATATGGTCAGATGGTGTAATGCTGAGGTTTGGGGTACAATTGATCCCATCACAAAGGTCTTGAGATTATAGTATTTAATAGGTAATGTTACAACCCTTGCCCCACTTTCCCCCTCCACACTCTAGTAGTTCAGTGTCTCCTATTGTTATCTTTATAGCCATGAATACCCAATGTTTAGCTCCCCGACTTATGAGTAAGAACATGTGGTATTTAGTTTTCTGTTCCTGCATCAATTTGTTTAAGATAATAGCTTCCAGCTATATTCACTTTACTGCAAAAGATGTGAAGTTTTTCTCTTTTCTGAGTGTGTAGTATTCCACGGTCTATTTGTATCACATTTTCTTTACTTAATGTATAATCAATGGGCAATGAGGGTGATTTCATAAGGCTATGATGAATATACAAGTACATGTGTCTTTTTAATAGAATGTTTTTTGAATATATACCCAGTAACAGGATTACTGAGTCTAATGGGAGTTCTGTTTTAAGTTATTTGAGAAATCTTCTGTTTCCACAGTGGCTGAACTAATTAACATTCCCCAAAATGGTGAATAAGTGTTCTATTTTCTCTGCAAACTTGTCAACATATATTGTATTTAACTTTTTAATCATAGTCACTGACTGGTATAAAATATCTCCTGTGGCTTTGATTAGCATTTTGCTGATGATTAGTGATGTGGTACATTTTTTCATATGTTTGTTGGCTGTGTGTATGTCTTCTTTTGATGTGTCTGTTCACGTATTTTGCCCACATTTTAAAGGAGTTATTAGTTTTTGGCTTCTTCAATGGTTGAACTTTCTTATAGATTCTAGACATTAAACCTTTGTCAGAAGTAGTTTGCAAATATGTTCTCTCATTCTGTAGGTTGTTTGTTGATAGTTTCTTTTTGCTGTGAAGAAGCTTTTAGTTTAATTAGGTTCCATTTGTGAAATCTTTGTTTTTGTTGCAATTATTTTTGAGGTAATTTATAGTCCTAAAATCTTTCCCAAGGCTGAACGTACAGAATTGTGTTTTCTAGGTCTTCTAGGATTCTTATATTTTAAAATCTTAAATTTAATGTTTAATCCATCTTGAGTTAATTTTTGTATATGATGAGAAGTGGAGTTTCAGTTTCATTGTCCTGAAAATGGCTAGCCAGCTGTCCCAGAACCACTTATTGAATAGGGAGTCCTTTTTCCTTTACTTAATTTCATCGACTTTATTGAAGATTAAGTTACTGTATGCATGCAGCTTTATATCTGTGTTCTCTTTTGATATGGTTAGGCTTTGTGTACCCTCTAAATCTCATTTTAAATTGTAATCCCAATAATCCCCATAATTCCCATGTGTCAAGGGAGAGGCCAAGAGGAAGTAATTGAATCATAGGGATGGTTATTCTCAGGCTGTTTTTATGATAGTTGGTGAGTTCTCATGAGACCTAAAGGTCTTATAAGGGGCTCTTCCCACTTCAAACATGTATTAGGCCATTTTTATGACATGCCAGAAACTGGGCAATTTACAAAAGAAGGAGGTTTAATGGACTTACAGTTCCACATGGCTGGGGAATCCTCCCAATCATGGTGGAAGGCAAAGAGGAGAAAATCATGTCTTACATGAATGACAGCAGGCAAAAAGAGAGAGAGCTTGTTCAGAGAAACTCCCATTTTTAAAACCATCAGATCTCATGAGACTTATTCATTTGCGCAAGAACAGCACAGGAAGGACCAACCCACATGATTCATTTATTTCCCACTGGGTCCCTCCCACAGCACATAAGAATTTAAGATGAGATTTGGGTGGGGACAGAGCCAAACCATATTAAGGTGACACTTCTCCTTCCTGCCACTTTGTGAATAAGGTGCCTTGTTTCCCCTTTGTTTTCTGCAATATTTTTAAGTTTCCTGAGGCCTCTCCAGTCATGGTGAACTGTGAGTCATTTAAACCTCTTTCCTTTATGAAATACCCAATATCAGGCCATTCTTTATAACAGTATGAAAATGGACTAATACAATAAATTAGTGTCACAGAGAGTGGGGCACTGCTATAAAGATACTGGAACATGTGCAAGCGACTTTGGAACTGGGTAACAGGCAGAGGTAGGAACAGCGTGGAGGGCTCAGAAGAAAACAGAAAGATATGGAAAAGTTTGGAACTTTCTAGAGACTTGTTGAATGGCTTCGACCAAAATACTGATAGTGATATGGACAATGAAGTCCAGGCTGAAGTGGTCTCAGATGGAGACAAGGAACTTGTTGGAAACTGGAGCAAAGGGATTCTTGTTATGCTTTAGCAAAGAGACTGGAAGCATTTTTCCCTGACCTAGAGATCTGCGGAATTTTGAACTTGAGAAAGATAATTTAGGGTATCTGGCAGAAGAGATTTCTAAGCAGCAAAGCATTCAGAATGTGACTTTGGTTCTCTCAAAAGCATTCAGTTTTATGCATTCAAAAAAAGATGATTTGGAATTCAAATTTATTAAAAGGGAAACAGCATAGAAATTTTGAAATTTCGCAGACTGACAGTTTGATACAAAAGAGAACCCTATTTTCTGAGAAGAAATTCAAGCAGGCTGCAAAAATTTGCATAAGTAATGAGGAGCCAAATGTTAATCACAAAGACAATGGGGAAAATATCTCCAGGACATGTCAGAGGTCTTCATGGCAGCCCCTCCCATCACAAGTCCAGAGGCCTAGTAGAATAAAATGGTTTCACGGGCAGGGCTCAGGGCCTTGCTCCTTTGTGTGGTCTCAGGACTTGGTGCCCTGTGTCCCAGCAGTGACTAAAAGCAGCCAACATACAACTCAGGCTGTTGCATCAGAGGAAGGAAGCCCCAAGCTTTGGTGGCTTACACATTGCATTGAGTGTGCAGGTGCACAGAAGTCAAGAATTTGAGATTTGGGAACCTCCACCTAGATTTTGGAGAATGTATGGAAACAACTGGGTGTCCAGAAGGAAGTCAGCTGCAGGGATTGAGCCCTCCTGGAGAACCTCTGCTAGAGTAGTGAGGAAGGGAAATGTAGGGTAGCAGCTTCCGCAAAGAATTCTTGCTGGGCATTGCCTAGCGGAGCTGTAAAAAGAGGGCCAAAATCTTCCAGACCCCAGAATGGTAGACCCACTGGCAGCTGGCTCTGTGCACCTGGAAAAGTTGCAGACACTCAATGCCAGCCTGTGAAAGCCAGTGGGAGGCAGAATGCACCCTGCAAAGCCACAAGGAAAGAGCTGCCAAAGGCCATAGAAGCCCACTTCTTGCATCATTGTGACCTGGATGTGAGACATGAAGTCAAAGTAGATTATTTTGAAGCTTCAAGATTTGACTGCCCCACTGGACTTTGGACTTGCCTGGGGCCTGTAGGATGTAACTAACTTGCTTTTGATTTTACAGGCTCATAGGTGGAAGAGACTTGTCTTATCTCAGATGAGAGTTTGAACTTGGACTTTCGGTTAATGCTGAAATGAGCTAAGAATTTGGGAGGCTATTGGAAAGGCGTGATTGTGTTTTGAAATGTGAGGAGATGAGATTTGGGAGTGGCAAGGGGCAGAATGATATGGTTAGGCTTTGAGTCCCTACCCAAATCTCATCTTAAATTGTAATCCCCAAATGTCAAGAGAGAGACCAGGTGGAGGTAATTGAATCATGGGGGCAGTTTCCCCCATGCTGTTCTCATGATAGTGAGTGAGTTCTCATGAGATTTGATGGTTTTATAAGGGGCTCTTCCTCCTTGGGTCTGCAATTCTCCTGATAGTGAGTGATTTCTCATGAGATTTGATGGTTTTATAAGGGGCTCTTCCTCCTTGGGTCTGCATTTCTCCTTCCTGCTGCCTTGCAAAGAAGGCACCTTGCTTCTCCTTTACCTTTGCCATGATTATAAGATTCCTGAAGTCTCCCCAGTGATGCTGAACTGTGAGTCAATTAAACCTCTTTCCTTTATAAATTACCCAATCTTGGGCAGTTCTTTATAGCAGTATGAAAATGAACTAACACATCTTTTATGTTCCATTGGTCTCTGTGTCTGTTTTTCTAACAGTACCATGAGGTTTTGGTTACTGTAACCTGATAGTATAAAGTTGAGTAATATGATGCCTCTGGCTTTATTTATTTTGCTTAGGATTGCTTTGGTTATTGAGGATCTTTTTGGTTCTGTATAAGTTTTAGAATAGGTTTTATGGTAATTCTGTGAAAATGTATTTGGCAGTTTGATAGAAATAGCATTGAATCTACAGATTGCTTTGGGAAGTATGGACATTTTAACAATATTGATTATTCCTGTCCATGAATATAGAATGCCTTTTAAATCATTTATGTCATCTATGTTTTCTTTTAGCAGTGTTTAGCAGTTCTCCTTGTAGAGATCTTTTACCTCCTTGGTAAGATGTATTCCTGGGATTTGTGTGTGTGTGTGTGTCTATTGCAAATGGACTTATTTTCTTGATTTTACTCTCATCTTAAACATGACTGGTGCATATAAATGCTACTAATTTTCATAAATTGATTTTTTATTCTGAAACTTTACTAACGTCATTGATCAATTCCTGAAGCCTGTTGGCAGAGTCTTTAGTGTTTTCCAGGTATAAAATCACATTGTTAGCGAAGAGAGATGGTTTGACTTCTTCTTTTCCTATGTGGCTGCCTTTTACTTCTTTCTCTTTCCTGATTGCTCTGGCTAGGACTTCCAGTACCATGCTGAATAGGAGTGGTGTGAAGGTTGTCTTTAGTTTTTCCATCTCTCTCAGGAATGTAATAATTCATAGATTAGGTTTATTTACATAGTTCCATATTTCTCACTTTGTTCATTTTTAAAAATTATTATTTTTTCTTTATTTTTGTCTGACTGAGTTAGTTTGAAAGACTTGTCTTCAAGCTCTGAAATTCTTTCTTCTGCTTGATGAAATGTATTGATAAAATACTCAATTGTATTATGAAATTTCTTAACTGAGGTTTTCAATTCCAGAAGCTCTATAGATTTTTTTTAAAATAATGATTAACTCTTTCTTCATTTCCTGAATTACTTCAGAAGTTTATTGGTGTTTACATTGAACCTTGTTTGGGATCTTCTTGGCCTTCCTTGCAATCCATCCTTTAAATTATTTATCTGTCATTTCTGAGTTTCCATTTTGGCTAGGTGTCTTTGCTGGAAAGCTAATGTAATTCTTCAGTAGTGTCACTACATTTATATTTTTCAGGTGCCAGAATTTTTGTGCTGGTCCCTTCTCATCTGGAGATGCTGACACTTCTACTATTTGTAATTTTTTTTTATGTGAATCGGACTTTTTTCATTTTCTTTCTTTCTCTATAATATTATTGTTTCCCCTTTCCTCTTTCCTCCCTCCCTAGCAGATACAATTCTAGAGAATGTTGGAGAGGGTCTTTTGGCTTTGTTTCTATAGCCCTATACACTCTGTCAGCAGATTTTATATTGGACTGTGTGGTTTTACCTACAAGCTGGTAGATAATGATTATGGGTAAGAGTCAGCTAAGGCCAACACAGCTAAGTGTTCACTTACTCCTTATTTACTGGGAGAAGCTCTCTATTGTCTCAGGCAATGGGCTGACCCATATGTCACACAGGTGTCTAAGCTTTCTGCTCAGCCCCAGAGTGTGGTGGGTGCAATATGGGAAAATCTGGACTGGGTAGCCCTGCCTACAGGTCCCCTGATGGCAGGCACAGGTAAAGAGCAGAGGGAGAACCCAGTGAGAATCCACCAAACACCCAAAGGTGTGACTAGGTGTGGAGCTGGGAAACCTCCTTGGCCCCAAGATTTCTGCATGGAGATGGGGAGGCAGCCTAAACTCCTAAACCAGGAGAAGGGATGCCCCAGATGCCTAGAGATATGACTAGGCATGAAATGGATAGGGCCCCCTTTCACTAGGATCCATGCACAGGAAAGGTGGGGTAACTCAGGCTGTTGATTCAGGCATGGGGGTGCTTTGAATGTTGAGAGTTCTGCCAGGGCATGCAGGACCGAGAGTCCTGCCGTTCTACAATCTAGGTAAGCAGGCTGTGCCACCCAGCAAAACACATACAGACTGGTTCCAGCTCACCATGCTGGCCTTGGCTACAAGTCATCCCGTAGAAGCCACGGTTGTAGTAGCTTTCCTCCTACCACCGTCTTGTGATGGGGAAGAGCACAATTCCAGTGCCTATTGTTGAGGCACTTTCCACATTTCTGGCTTTGGTGTTCCCTACCTTGCTCTAAAGCAAGTGTTCCAATTTCAGACATGAGAACAAAATGCCTTTGTATTTATGCTGCCAGGTAACCAAATAACAACTTGCCTTATATGTGCCTGAATTAAAAATGGTGTCCTTTTCTTTGTCCTGGGTCAGGGAAAATGTCTGCAGGTTTTCCCATTATTTTCCCTCTCAGTGTCTCCAAGCCATTCCCCAAGTTAGCTGAAGGGCTTAGAAGAAACAAAGCACTCTTCCTAGAGCAGCCCTAGTGGAAAAGTGAGTAACAGAGGGGGACTGTCTGCCTTTCTCACATACTGGGGCTTCACTCACTTTTATCAGCCAGATCACACCATGTGGGCTGTTTGCCCACATTCTCCTATCAGGGATTTGGAGTATCCATGGTTTTGGTGGATTCCTGTTTTCCTTCTTGAAATGCTTATGGACTTAATCTTTATATATATCTTGCTATTTCCAAGCGGCTAAGGCACACTAAAAGCCTCTAATCTGCCATCTTGGGGGAAAAAAAAACTATTCTTTAGTTTTATGTGTCTTTTCTTTTATTAATAAAATATTCTCATGAATACTATAGCTTTATAGAAAGTTTTGAACTTGGGGATGTCAGGACTCTAACTTTGTTCTTCTCTGTCATTGTGTAGGCTATTCTAGGTTTTTTGCCTTTCCACACAAACTTTAGAAACATTTTTTCAATATTAATAAAATGCTTACTTGAATTTTGACTTGTGTTGATAAATATAGGAAGAGTATACATCCTAAATATATTGAATTTTTTATCCATGTCACAAAACATGCCTCCATTTATGTAAATATTTAGTTTCTTGTACCAAAGTTTAGTAGTTTTCCATATTTAGATCTTGTGCATATTTGGTTAGAATTACATCTAAGTATTTCCCTTTTATGGTGGCATCATGAATAGTGCTATATTTTTTATTTCAAATTCCAATGGTTCATTGCTGGTGCATGGAAAATCAATGGGCTATTGTGTACTACCCTGTGTTCTATAACTTTGCTGTAATTGCTGATTGGTTCCAGCAGACTTTTATTCATTCCTTTGCTATTGTTTACATGTCTTTGGGAGGAAGGTTTTGTCAATTTTGAGAGATTTTCTACACAGGTGCTCATGTCATCTATGGAAAGGACAGTTGTATTTCTTTCTTTCCTACTCACACACTGTTTTCCTATATTGTCTTATTGCACTGTCTAGGAATTTCAATACACTATTGAATAGTGGTTAGTGAGAGGGACATCTGTTTTTTGTTCCTGATCTTAGGATAGAGTCTAATTTCACACCATTAAGTATGATGTTACCTGTAAGTTTCTTGTATATTTTTATCAACTTCTCTATTATTAGATTTCTGAAAGCTGTTCCCATTTTGGATTTTGTTGAATGCTTTTCCTCCACTTGATGTGATAATATAGCTTTTTTGTGTTTACTCTTTGATCAGATGGATTATATAAATTGATTTTCAAATGTCAATTTAGCCTTGCATATCTACAAGGAATCTCAATGGCCATGGTGTGTAATTCTTTTGAAACACTTTGATTCAATTAGCTAATACATTCTTGAAGATTTTTGCACTTGTGTTCATTAGAAACATTGGTCTATAGTTTCCTTTCAATGTCTTTTTCTGTTTTTCATATTAAGGTATTGATGGCTTTATAGGATTAGTGAAGAAGTGTTTCCTCTACTTGTATTTTCTGGAATAGTTTGGAGAGAGTTTCTATTTTCTCTTTAATAGTTTTATAGAATTCACTGGTGAAATTATCTGGGCTTGGTGATTTATTTTTGTTAGGTTTTTAATTATTGTTTCAGTGTAATTAACGTGATAGGCCTAGTAAGATTGGTAGTACTCGTGTGTTAGTTTTGGCAATATACTTCCTTTAATGTATCTCTCAATTTCATCAAAATTATCAAATTTGAGCCAGGCATGGTATTTCATGCCTGATATCCTAGAACTTAGGGAAGCAGAAGTGTGAGGATAGTTTGAGCCCAGGAGTTTGAGACCAGCCTGGGCAACATAGCAAGACTCTGTTCTCCCAAAAAAGAAAAAATAATAATCTTTCAATTTGTAGGTATAGAGTTGTTCAGTGTATTTCTTTATTATCTTATTAATATTCATGGGGATTAGTAATGATGACCCCTTTTTCAATTTTTTTTTATTGGTAATTTGTTGGTTCTCTTATCTTTTACTTTTCTTTTTTAATCTGGCTGGTGATATGTCAGGTTTATTGATCTTTCTAAAGAAACAGGTTTTAGTTTCATTGATGTTCTCTAGTGTTTTCCAGGTTTTAATTTCATTTATAGTAGCTGTGCATTTTATTATAACTCTCTTCTCCCTACTTTTGGCTTAAATTTTATTTATTTCGCTAGTGCTTTAACACTCCAACTTAGATTATTGATTTCATATTCTCCTACTTTTATAATATGTAAATATATATATGGTTTAATTATTTAGCTGCATCAAACAAATTTTCATAAAATATATTTTTAGTTTTAATCTATTATAATTCATCTTATGTTTTGACTATGTGTTATATAGAACTATGTTATTTCATCATCAAATATTTTGTGATTGTGCATCTACCACTTTGTTATTTACTCCTAGTTTAATTCCACTGTAGCCAACCATACTTCATATATTTTCTATGACTTTAGATTTGGTAAGGTATATTTTATGACCCAGAGGAGATTCTCAATGAATGTTTCATGTGAGCATGAGAAGAATGTGTATTTTGTTATTGTTGGATGGAGTAAGCGATAGTACTATTCAGGTTAATTACATACTTACTGAGTTTTGCCTGTTTGATCTTCATTTACTAAAAAAAAAAAAAGGTGTTTAACCTTTCAGCTATAAAAATGGATTTTTCTGTTTCACTTTGCATTTCTGTTTATTGCCTCATGTGTTTTGATGATGTAATGTTAATGCATACATATTAAAAATTGTTATGTCATCTTACAGAATTACTTCCCTTATCATTAGCTAATGCTTCTCTTGACACTAATAATTTCCTTGTTGTCATGATTTATCTGAAATTTAGATAGCTACTCCAACTTTTTTTAATTTAAAAAAAACTATTGTTACTTTGTCATATCTTTCTTCACTCTTTTGCTTTAAATTTGTGTCTTTACAATAGCGTATAGTTGTGTCTTTTATTTTTTAAAATCACTGTGGCTGTGTCTTTTATTAGTGAATTCAGACTATGTATAACAGTGATACTTATTAGTACTTTTGAATTAACATAGGCCATGCTTATAACTTTTTTTCTATTAATTACACTTTTCTTTGTTTCGCTTCTCCCTTTCCCCTGTAGGTGGAATAGGAAGACGAAGGCTGGAGTTGGATAATGATCCTTCTATTATGAGCTTTGGTAAGGTCATTTTCTGGAGAGTAGGCTTTTGTTATAAATAGTTCACTGTATTATTTCAAAATGATTACATTTTTCCCTCCCCTTGCTGAAGAAATGAAGCATCTTTTTCTTGGCTCTTCATGAGAACATGATGTGGTTCCTGGAGGGGAAACACATGACAGTGTATGAAACCTACCTCAGTCTATGATCTTAGGAAACTCTTTCTTACCTAGCTAATTAGACTCTACCATTGGTCAAACTTACCATTTTAGTATTTCCACAAATTTACAAACATGACAAGTTCTGCTCCAGGTAAGCTGACCTCAGCAGTGTTTTTCTGTACTTGTCTCTTTCTCCAATATTTGGAGTTGCAGTTCTCCCTGTGACCTCAGTTTTCAGTTTGCTTAGTTTGTTTGTTTTTCTTATTATTTATTTACTGTTATTATTATTATTATTTTTTATGGAAAACATGGCATAAATAACTGTTTTGGAAAGTAGTCCACTAATAATACTTTGGGGACTAAAGCTACTGTTGTGGTAAATTTTTCTTAAATTCTCAATTTTTGAACCAGTCCTGAGTGTCCAGTTAAACATATGTGTTTTAAATTATTTTATTTTAATTAGATACTTTTAATAAAAAAATAGAATGCAGACTATTTACTAAAATAAAGAGTGGTACAGGTTACTTTAGGGATGCATATGCACTGTGATCCAGGAAACTCCAATTAACAATATAGCCTTGGTGATATAAGATGCAGTGTTGTAAGAACAGGTTAAAAAAAAAAAAGCAGTTAAGATAGTGTATCTAGAGAATGACATAAAATAGGGACGCAGAATATCTACTGAGTGATTCATGATTTATGTAGCCTGAACACAATCAGTATTCTTCTTCCTGCTCTGAAACTGGATTTCTCTTTGTTCAACCTGATTTTGAAAGAGTGAAAATGGCATTTTAGAATTTATTTCAATGCTGAAATACATTGAAATGTAATATATTACATGCAATACATTGAAATGTAATGTAGGTATTTATGAAACTACAGTCATAACAAAATCTCTAAATAATAATTATGTTTAGACTTATATTTCCAGCCAAACATACACTTAAAAAAAAACCCTAAAACGATCACCTCTTTAAAGATTAAGAAGATTATGGTATTTTTAATTTAACATAATTTGATATAAAAAGCTTCTTAAGAGGAGAAATTGTGTCTTATCATTTGTCATTATTAAGCAACATAATGAGATAAAAATATAATTATTTAATATACATAAATAAAGATTCTTAGCCAATGCATATATTCTCTTGATGCTACGTGGTTTCTTAGATCTACCATTTGCCCACAGAGGCAGGACTAATTCCTAAATGGACTAAGTTACATATTGTCTTTACTTGCTTGAGTCTATTTGTTTGGCATTTCAATTTATTATAATAGGGAAAAAGTGAAATTTTCTTTCATAATTTTTAGTGTCTTTACCTTTTGGTGCATATGGTCTAGCTTTTATAAATTTGGTCTGTTTTTATAATTAGAATTTTGGTAAACATTGTATGAAATTTTCCTTAAGAAATCCAAGTGTTGGTTTATAAAAATGACTAGAATATGAGTTTAAAGTGGCTCTTTTTCCTTCTTCATATGGGATAGTCATAATTCGTATTAGTAAAACTCAATTGCACATTTTCTTCAAAAATGAGGCAATTCTTCTAATTCAAATGAACATACACGTTTAAATACAGTAGCTGCTCTTGAGAATGTGTGTCAGTGAGCTCAGTAATTCACCATTGGTGAAAAGTGATCTGTACTAAAAAAAAAAAAAAATGAGCATCCAAATTCATAGAGCCTATCAAGAAATTCAGAAAGCCTATCAACAAGAATAATGCACATACCTTTCCAACACTGTATGAAGTGAGAGGACGTGAGACAAGGTCATTCTTAAGCAACAAATTCTGAAGACAGAGCAAAGTGTTATGCATATCAAGCAGGTTGTGAGGTCAAGGTGCAGAAAATATCACAACATAAGTTAATGCCTGTGAATGACACCCTGAAAACAACTTTTAAAAGCAGCCCTGACAGCTAGAGCATCTGCAGAAATTACCTCCACATTAAACGTTACTTGGTGCTCCAGAACGGGCCTCTTGCTAAGGAATATATTTGACAGGTATACAAAATAAATGTAAATTGTTAAAAAAGGCTATTTTTGTCTGTTTATTTTAAAATATAACTGCGTTTTTAATTTTTTTATTTTAAAAAGCAGTAAAATATTTACATTACAGATAATCTGACAATACATTTCTAAATTCATAATTTTCGAACTATCAAACTATTTTATTGAGAAATGTAGGGGGGTGAATACTAAAAATAAGCTGTGCCTTTATTTGGAGTTCCATTAACAATTTAATGTTTAAGAGAACCAAGAAGACAGAGATCAAAGGTAAAGTGGAGAGGTGAACTTAAAGTTAAATATACAAAAATAAATATGAAGAAAAAGAAAGAAGCTTTATAGAGAGGACTAAAAGTTCTGTGATGGAATATTTCTAAATTTTGAAATTTTTGACTTCAAGAGAGATGACAGTCTATATAAACAGAATTATTTCCCTAAGGTTTGGGGAATGGTCATGTGACAGTAAACCTCCTGATGGGCAATGGGTTCTTTCATTTTCTTTGACTCTTCCTGTTACCATACTTGCTTCTCCTTTTCCAGCCATTGCATTTTCCTAAGTTCCCCTCATAAGCCTGTCATTTTATTGCATCATTTCCTTAGATTTATCTCAATTTCTCAATGTCTTTCTCTTTACTCTGAATGCTTTTATCTCTCCAACTTGTATTACTCTGGTATACACATTATTCAATAGAGGTTTCTTAGCTATCATCATATAAAATAAAAAATTAAAACATATCAATCATTCATTGTGAATCAAGGGACAAGATGAATGTATTATCTGCTTTACCATATATTGTTTTTAAAACAGCTTTTTCATAACAATAAGTTGAATATCATTATTTTCATTTTAATGAAGAGTGAAGCTAGGATCAGGAAGATAATTGACGTGTTTGAATGTCAGTAACAACAAAGCTTGAGAGTTTCAACTGATAAAAGGTAGATTCTGGGCTCATTCTATAAGGTCTGCAGTCTAGATCTTTCAGTGGAACTGAAATTTCTCAGGCAGCACTTCCTAGCTTAGATTAGTTACTTTCTCTAGCCTCACAAGTGTCTTTTCTAATATTTTAAAGAATGTTACATCACTATTTCCACACGGAAAATATTTAGAGAGCCCAAGGGAAACTTTAAAAGTCTTGGCAATGATTTTGAGGTATAGAATGTCTTAATTCCTATAAATAAACATGTCTCCCAAGCAAAAACAACAATGATGATATTTAAAATATTTTAGTGACATTGCTACTGCAAATAATAGGTCACAGTACACAGTATTATTCCAGAAAAGTAAAGTAGGTGAGCGCAATAAATTTTAAAAAGAAAATAACATCACTTTCTAGTTTTAACTTTGTTGTCCAGAATCAGGACGTGTGGACTGGAAACTCAAGTGGGAAGAATTGCCCATGACCATTCCCAAAACTTTAAGGAAATAATTCTGTCCATATAGACTGTCATCTCTCTTGAAGTCAAAAAGGCTCTTATTTTCTTTCAAAATTTAGAAATACTCTATCACAGCACTTTTAGTCCACTGGTCCTCCCTAAAGCTTCTTTCTTTTTCTTCATATTTATTTTTGTGTATCTAACTTTAAGTTCACCTCTCCATATTACCTTTCGTCTCTGTCTTCATGGTTCTCTATAACCTCATGACGATTCTGTATCATCTATTTATCTTTCACTCCACGTGAAGTCACAAATCACCTATGTAACCAAGCTGGTCATGATTACTTGTATTCATCTTTGACAAACATTCTCATTTTGCTTGATGCAGCAAAAGCATTTCAGGAACAGATATTCTTTAGAGACTGTGGTATTTGGTATTTGAAGACGATATGTTATTTGTGTTGATTTTTCATGCATCCATGTACTAAGAAAGTCCTGTGCCCATAAAGGAAAATATGTCTGTTATTTTTGTTTGCAAATTGATGAATTCATCCATCACACTATGTCTTAAGTAATGTTGTGATTTTCTCAAGCTTTCAGTAATATGCTGAGCTTATCCAATACCTACAAGCGATGCCTGGTTGTCTTTCACCGCAGTCATGTTTAGTTTCTAGCATGCAGCTGCACCGGAAGGTGGCAAAACATCTAGAGATTTAAACATGGTTTGGTATCTGGAAGAGGGCATGGTACATGTTTATATATGCATTTAAATTTATTTCTCTGTAGAAACAGATGAAAATATTTATTTTTGGTAAATTAAATATGAAAATGAAATTACCTGTTTGATAATAAAAGCATCTTATTCTCTTCTAGATCATACTATATTGAAATATTATGTATACTTAATATCACAGGTGTTGTGTTATTGGGACTATGCTGAGAATTTTATACCCATTTTGGGGATACAACATAACTGAGATTGAATCAAATCAGCCATAGAATAGTACGTGTGACCCTATCTTTAAATTAATTAAGTGATTACATCTCCATTACCCATTTCAGAAGCGCTGGGGGGCAACATCAAATAGTCATTAGTAAACACCATGAAAACGTACTTCCCTAGATTGGTGATCAGCGATCTCTAGTGTGTGTGTGTGTGTGTGTGTGTGTGTGTGTGTGTGTGTGATGTATTAGAACTGGAGATGTGGCTATTCTAAGGTAAGGTCAAACTTCTGTTAATTTATTCATTAATTTAGTTATTTGTTGACATGAAAAATGTACGTATTAAGTATCTTAGTGCCAGACATTTTGTAAAGCATAAGAATACAGTAGTGAATGAGAAAGAAATGACATTTCTCAGCATGATTCTTTCAGTTCAGCAGATGACTTCCCAGAAAGAGAATTATACTACTGACTGGTAAAGCTTTGTTTATTAAGCCCATTTTTTAAAATAAATAAAATAGAGAAATAAGAGGATATTTGGCCAGAAGAATGTATTTCTCTGCAGTGTGTTTTCCTTAACTCTGACTGAACCACCAAAAAGAAGTGTTGCAATAGTTTTACCAAGATTAAAGATTGCTGATTGGGCCATATTTTCTATAGGATAAGCATAGAAGGATGTAGATAAATTATAATTTATATAGGGCCTTGGGTAGTCAAATGCCTTTCCTGCTCCAAAAGATTCTCTGCTAACTTCTATTTTTTATTTACATTTCTTTTTTTTCCATATGATCTTTAAGCTCTTTGAGAGTAAGGGCTATTGCATGTCCAGTGTGGATGCAATACTATCAGTAATAAGTATCTGTGTAACAAATGAATAATCACTGTCCAAAAAGACAGGACAGATTGTGAGCACAGAGGAAGGATTTGCATCTGAGGTAAGCTAAAATAAGTCAAACCCTTAACAATCATGTTGATCCAAAGAGCTTGAGACAAATAGGAACGCAGAACCAACCTACAATAAGTGAGATTAAAGCAAAGGGAGTGTGGCAGACTGAGCCTAGAAAAAGCAGCATCTGAAATATAGCCACAGCACCGTTTTTGTTTTTTTTTTTATGAGCTTGCAATCTCAACTGTAGGCAGGGATAAAACTCATGTATAACAAGCCAACTTGGACAGATGTTCAGAAGACACCATTGATTAAAGGGTACTTGTTTAGCTGAAAAGTTAATTCACTTTGATAGATGAGTACTTCACTGCAAATGAAAATTCCATCTTGCTTTATATTAACACCTTCCATAGATAATTTGAAACTAACTGAATTTGATCTTATTATTTTTTCTGAGATATTTTAAGCAATTCATAAAGCAATTTTAATTTTAAATGCTATTTTCCTTGAAAAGGAAAAATAAAATTAATGAGCACACGTTTTCTGTATTTTAGAAAAGTGAAATAATTCTGATTTATCTCTCTAAATTTTATGTTCTAGTTCTTCAGGAAATACATCCAATACAAGCACAAACATATGCAAATATTGACCAGTCGATGACTATTGCAGTTCTCAAAAATGATATAATGCTCAGGATATCTAGCAATTTCTTTACCTTTTTATTAAATATATGAATTCTGTTGTGCAAATGTAAGATGGGATTTGGACCATAGTTTTACCATAAGTTAGAATCTGGAACATAATTATCAATCTTAAAGATAAATTTTAAATTGCATTTTTTTATTTTATCATTGTAAAAAGTAGTTATTAGTGCCAGAAGATAGAAGCTGTAACGGATGAATAGCTTTTTATAAATCAGATAAAAATGCAGTAAAATATAATAAAATATATAAATATGTAATCTGAGTCATGAAGTTGTATAATATTAAACCCAAAATTAATATTCAGATAATTTATCTAATTTTGGGGAGTATATAAATATAATATTGTGGTGCTAAAGTTGTATTTTTAATTGTTGTCAACTAATTTTTTAATAAAACCATAATAGGTATTTCAACAACAAATTTACCAGTTAAGATAGATACTTTGTCATGCAAATAATAGAATTCTTAAGAATTCAGAAAGAACCTAAGTAGTTTTTTCCATTTACATACAAAATATCACAAATTGCAGGTTTCTTTCTTTCATTTTCCTTTCTTTTACTTTTTTAAATATGATATCCAGAAGAAGTGCTAGGGCACTGCCCATTGAAATCAAAGGTGCTGGATGCTTTACTACATCGTTCAGATCTCTATTCTGCATTAGGGACTTGTCCCCACAAATGCTGGAAGTTCTGCCAGCAGATGGATCTCATCTATTAGTCCTCTCTAGTTATTTCCTACACAGAAGACAGCTGCTTTGCCCGATTCACGTCTCCTTCATAAGGTGGCCCTACCACAAATTACTGATCAAGGCAAGGGTAAAAAGGCCTACCCTTCTCCCCAACTCTGAACAGCCTAGAGGGATCATCTAGCTCTAGTGGCTACAGTGGAATGAACTAAGGCCTTTGATAGAACTGCCTTGTAGCCAGAGCTCTCCTTTTGCCCAGCCCTGTTTCTTTCCCCTCATTTTCACAAGTTTTGATCACTAGGCATCACCTTAATAAATGTTGTACACTCTGATCTCACTCTTGGGGTTGTCTTCCCAGAGAACTTAAGCTGTGATATCAGAAATTCCTTACAAATATAATATATTTTATTATATAAAACCCATGATCCCAACAAGTTCCTCTTCATCAAAGTTTGTACATTCCCTACAATTCCCACATAACCTACACATCTTCAACCCCTCAAACACTTTCACGGAATCCATTGTAACTCATGAACTATTGGAAGCAAATTTCTTTTTATATCTGCAACATAGGCATAGATGCTAGGCATCTGCTTTTTAGGGTTGCCTAAAAGGCAACCCTTTCTCAGTGATAAATTAACTCCTAAGAGTCTGGAGCAGAGATTCCACTGAGCTAGAATGTTGGATAGTGGGGTTTTATAAAAATGGTATGTCTCTCAGATACCTAGCTAGATTTGCCTAATAGCAAGCACATGTGTGGTATTGTAAATTATGGTGTATTGTTATGAAGCTTTACAAAAAATAATTTGGCTCTGAACAGCACTCAGAATGCTTATATTTATTATATAATGTTTGTTATTGCACAGCCATGTGCATGCACAGTAAGAAAAAGATTTACTAAGGCTGCAGAAGCTTTCATTGTATCTTGTCATCATTCCTCTCTTTTATGTTGCTTACAGTTCATGGCACAACATTATAAAAACTGTCCTGAATATGTTCTTAATATCCAGTCCCCTCTATCATTTCTCACACAACCCTAGTTAAATCCTACTCTCTCTGAAACTGCACCAAAGCAGTTAAGTGAGATTGTAGAAAACAGTAAAAGCATGCTGACTGGAACTCAAATTTGTGTCTTCTAATAAAGTCCTGTGTGGGGGACAATGATATCTCATTTCCTTAGATTATTCTTGTTCTATATGAGATTTTACACTTCCTCCTTCTTCAAGCCCCCGGCATTCTGCCACATTTTAACTTTCTGATAATATCCATATGCTTTCACCCCCACATCTACAAACAAATTTCTTACCCACATAACCCACCTTCTGCCCACCTGTCAACTGAGTCCTGTTTCCTGTCACGTACTAACATTCAGGTCCAAAAGTTATATCTTCTCTCACCTGAGATATCAAGTCCTTCCTCTCATAGAATCATTCATCATAAAACGTTCCGTAATGTCACACCATGTTGTAAAACTCTCTTGATTCTATGTACCTCTCTAGCCTCATCTCTCTGCTCCCCATAGAAAACAAGACAATTTAAAGTTTGTTATAATTGTTCCCTTCACTTCTATTTCCAAAATTCCATCTTGAAACCAAAGTTCAACCATTTCTTCCTTTGTGTTTTACCAGGCCTCTAGAGCAGCACGTGTTCTTGCCATAATCTATAATGAAATGATACATTGCAGAGAGACAAATTTTCTCATGTATCTGAATCTCCTTTCCTGGTGCTTCCTCATCTCTTAATCTCTATACTCTGGAGTGTCCTGGGTCTTGGACCTCTTCTCTCATCTATCTATGCTCAGTCAAGCTCAAGGTTTTAAAAGTTTTCTATAAACTGTTAGCTCCCAAATTTATATCTTGAGGCCCTATTTTTCCTGGACTCCAAATTTGTATATCTTACTTCCTCATTTGCATATCCAATTGGATGACTTAAAAGTCAGTACATTATAACCAAATTTGAAGTGCTGATTTCCACCCTCCTATAGGCAATAGACTTGCTCCTTCTGTTGTATTATCCACTTCAATAAACATAAACTCTGTTCTTTATTTGCTCAGGATAAATTTCTGCAATCATCTTTGATTCCTTATACTCCACATCTATTAAACAAGTAAATTACTTGAGTTTTATTTTCAACACATTTCCAGGGTTTGATGCCTTCTTACCTCCTCCATTATTTTCGGACTCCTGCATTATTGTAATTGACTCATAAATGGTCTCTCTGCTAGAACTTTTACTTCTGTGATTTACTTCTAATTATTCACCACACAGCAGCTGAGGCCTTCCATTAAAAACAATCAAGGAAAACAATTTCACCCTTCCATTTCGTGTCTTCCAATGGCTTTTTATTGTACTTGGAATAATGTCTAACTATCAGCATTAATATAGAACTATCACTAATGTCTAAATAGCACCAGTTTTAGCAGAGTCTCTTCTCCCTCTTATTCTGTCAATTTCCTCATTCTGTGAGCTCCATGTCACTGGCCTTCTTACAGGTACCAGGAAACACCACACACTGTCTATCTCAGAGTCCTTGCCTTGGCTCTCATCTTGGCAGAAATTCCACTTCACAAATACCTGCAGATTTGCTTATTTACTCCAGGCCTCTGCTCAGATATCTTCCCAAGCATCTCCCAAATATGCCACCATCCCCATTGCTGGGTGGGAATTCCACAGCCCCACCCCCATTTTACAGATGTACTTTTTCCTATAGCACTTACAGATTCACATATGTAAATGATTGCTTACTGGATTGTGTCTGCTTCCCTCCTTTGGAATATAAACTCTGGGAAGACAGAGGATATTTTTTGTTTCATTTTCTTTCCATTGAGTTTCCAATGTCTGGAACAGTGCCTGACCCATAGTTTCCACTCAATAATTACTTGTAAATAGACACACATTCATTTTGACTCTACTTGAGTAGATATTTTTTAGATATTTTTTCCAATTACATCATTCTGTAAGAAAAGTTATAAAATTGCCTCCACTGATGTTTTCGACCAGTTCTGCAATCCATGAGGTTTATTGGTTCTACTGCAGGAATAAATTCCAAACTGAGGGCGCGAATATGTATTGAGCACCAACAATATGACATGCATAATGTTTGGTATTTTTAAAATGTGCTTCTCTTAATCCCTACAACAATGTTATGCATTTAGATATCTATCTCATTTACAGAGAAAGGTGATGATGTTTTTTGATGATAAGCAGCACTCATATAAAAATACATCTCTCTCAATTTGAAGTCTTTTATCTTCTTGTGATGCCTTGTTGAATCATGCAACTCTATGTGCCAAAAAATTCTATTCAAGAAAAATTTATTTTAGGAATTCCTTATCAAAGCAACTCTACTGATGTGGACAACAAACCATTTACTGATAGAAGTGAATGTATCATACAGCTGTAAATCATATTGTAGTAGCTATATTAAACTGAATTAATTGCCAATATGTTCTTCCCAAATTTACTGTGTCTGTCATAAAGAAGTAAGTCCTATAAAACTTCAGCATTACTTCTATTATTAAATTTACTTTAGTTATATTGTTTTCTGAGCTTTAATATAGATATATCAACCTTGGCATTTGAAAAAAGAGATTACACATTTTAGAGTATTTGAACCCTCAAGAAATGTCAAAGTTTTAAAAATTTTTTTGGCAGTTTGTTTTTAAAATTCTCTTACATTCTCATTCTGTTTCCAGTATTTTAAAGGTAAGTATTACTCATTTTTTTCAAAGTTTATTTGTTATTCTCTTCTAATAAATTAAGCATATGATTTGCTTTTTCTTCTTTATATTTCTAACCTCTGTAACTTCTCTTTTAAAACAATTTTGCTATCTTAATTGGTGTTGGCAAAACTTCCAATTTGATATCAGCTACAAATTTCATTTACATACTGTTTTCTCCATCTTCCAGATCATTAATTAAGTTGTTAAATAAGATCAGCCCTCACACTGATCCCTGTGGCACTCCATTAAATACTCTGACATTTTGTTTGTTATACTTCAGTCAGTTTTATATCCACAAGGCTCTGCTTTTATCCAAGTCAATTTGAATTTTTTATCACTATTCCATGACACTTATGAAATATTTTATTTGCTATTTTTAAGTAGATATATTCCACATCCTTGACATTATTGCCTTCTCTGCAATGATTCTGTGATGAAAGTAGCCTGGGAGTTGTCTTTTTATTGTGGCTTTTAAATTATGATTGCTCAAATAAAAAAAAACTTAGATATTTTATCTTACTCTGTCTTTAATTATGACTGATTTAACTACCGAATTCAGTCTTTTTTTTTTTTCTGGAACCTGTATATTTTTAATTCTGGTTTATCTCTAATTCTACATTACTTTTCAAAAAACACTTAATTGATGCAACCTTTTCATTGATAATTTTGTTCATACTGAAACAGTCATAATATCTAGAATCACTGGAGGAAGTTTCATCATGTCACCCTTTTGTGTTGAATTTATTACTTTTTCACATTTCTGTTATTCTTTATATTTCAAATCAAATATTTGCTAATTTATCAGAAAACATGCCATTCATTGTTAATCAAAACTATTTTATATTCATTTTGCATAGATTTTATATGGTTCTTAGTGTAGATTTAACAATTTTAGTTAAGACTTGGTGGAATTCCTGTGAGATCTTAAATTATGCATGGAGCATCTTTATTTGGAGATTGCTCTTACAGTATGTAATAATACATCACACCATCATTTCCCAAATTTTAGACCTATTTGTACATTTTCAATCTTAATAATAGGATAAGTGTATCCCTTGTAAAGCAGTTTAGATAAGCGGTATTATAAATTATGCAATCTTTTTGAAAGCTACTTCTTTTACTTAACTTAATACTTTTGAGGTTTGCTCCTTCTTTTCCCTCATTTTTTTAACTTTTATTTTAAGTTCAGGGTTACATGTGCAGGTTTTTTACATAGGTAAACTGTGTCATGAGGGTTTGTTGTACAGATTATCTCACCACCCGGGTATTGAGCCTAATACCCATTAGTTATTTTTCCTGATCCTCTCTCTCTCCCCACTCTCCACCCTCCAAATGTACCCAGTGTGTGTTGTTCCCCTGTACACATCCATGTGTTCTCATCATTTGGCTCTCACTTATAAGTGAGAACATGGGGTACCTGGTTTTCTGCTCCTGCATTAATTTGCTAAGGATAATGGCAAAGGCTCATTTAGAAAGACAGAAAATAAATTAATGGATGTCTAGGGCCTAGGTGATTGTGAGGAGTGAATGCAAACAAGATAGAATTTACTCTGAAATGATGGAAATATTTTAAAGTTAGATTATGAATATCAATATGTAATTCTGTAAAAATACTAAAAAGCATTAATACTGTACACTTAAAATGTCATAACATTATATAAATCATATCCCATTAAAGCCTATGAAACATAAACATGTCAAGAAAAAAGAGTTTAGATAAATTTATTTCTTCAATATCATCAAAAATGCATTGGCTCTCATTTGACATGCATTTCTCTTAGAATAGTCTATTGTTAAATATAAATAAGAAACAAGAGTTAATTTATAATAAAACTTTTATTTTTTTATTTTGGTTACACCATTTCTTCTAGCTTAAAGACTTATGGGCTACAAAATATATTGTAACAATTCATAATGCAATTATACTAAATCTGCTGTTTCAAAAAGTGCGCCGAGCACTGAATATTCCAAAATAAATGAGACACAACTTAATCTTTGACAGAAGACAGTGCTGGAGATCACTTATCAAAGATAATATGAAGGAGAGAAAAAATGAACTGAACCTTGGTTTTTATAGAACAGATCCCAAAGGAAAAATAAGTCAATTTGACTAGTAGAAACTTTCAAAGTCTCAGAAGTTACAGGACTAAGGTATTAGGAAAGGAAAGAAAATAAGAAAATCATCACTGGTATTAGTTAGGCCTCTAAGTCTTTTCCCTCCACTTTCAAGCTCTAATTTCTACCCTTTAGTGATAAACATCTATTTTCTGGAACACTTTTCAGTTAGATTTCTTCAGGTAAAGAAAACAAGTGTGTGTGGGAGACACAGACTTGAAGAACTGGAAATTTAAGTGAAAAATAATTTCACTCTGAACAATGGATAACCAAGCTTCCTCTTTTTGCTCATTTTTCAAAATGTCCCTACTCAGACCTTAAGTTGAAGGATTTGGAGGATTTTTTCCTGGAGGATAATGAACTGCTCTCAAGAAAAGACTTCTATACTGATATATGTGGGTTGCACTTATGACATAAGCTATTGACTAGTCATCATTTATAGCTCATTAAAATAGTTCAGTCATTGAAAAACCCTAAGCATTAAAATTCTAAATAAATATGATTGAAAAGCCAATAGTGGACACATGAAGAACTTCTCCGATAGTAAAGAAAAAACAAAACAAACTATTAAAAATCAGAAGACTGATAAAACAGAAATAGAAGGAAATAGGAGAAAAAAATTGTTAGAAACTATGTTTTATATATTAGAAATGTAATAGAAAATGTTTATTTAGAATAAATAATTGGAAGAAATTAAAAATGTAGAAAAAGAATGGGCCATCCCATTACTGGGTATATACCTAAATGAATATAAATTGTTCTATTATAAAGACGCATGCATGCATATGTTCACTGCAGCACTATTACAATAGCAAAGACATGGAATCAACCCAAATGCCCCTCAATGTTAGACTAGATAAAGAAAATGTGGTACATATGCATTATGATATGCCATGCAGCCATAAAAAAGAATGAGATCATGTCCTTTTCATGGACACAAATGGAGCTGGAGGCCATTATCCTTAGCAAACTAACACAGGAACAGAAAACCAAACACCTCATGTTCTCACTTATAAGTGGGAGCTAAAGATGAGAACACATGGAGGGGAACAACATACACTGGGGACTTTCAGAGGCTGGAGGGTGAAGGGTGGGAGGAGGGAGAGGATCAGGAAAAATAACTAATGGGTACGAGACTTAATACCTCGGTGATAAAATAATCTGTAAAACAAAGTCCCATGATACAAATTTACCTATATAACAAACCTGCACATGTACCCCTGAACTTAAAATAAAAGTTAAATTATTTTTAAAAAACAGAATGGTAGGAATTAAAGCAATACAACGTTCAATGAATAAAACTCAGTATTTTCCAAAATTTAAAATAAAGCAAAAGGCAAAAATAATAAAAATTGAGAGAAGCAATGAGATGGGAATGACTTCTAGAATCAAATAATAACAATGAATGAAAGAAGGAAGAGAAAATGTCTGGTAGATACCTTTAATTAAAACAAACATTCAGAAAATTTTCTAGGACTGAAGAATTTGACTTTTCTAGTTATCCAATGAGTGCCAATCTCAATGTACAATAATGGTAATACAAAGTTATTAGTATTCAATTTCCAGACATAAGAGTTAGCAAATGTCTTAAAGCTTTTAAAGAGAAACAAAACAAAATTTATATTATATACAAATTGTTGAAAATCATACTTTCTTGAGTTTTCCAAACACAGTATTGAATTGTGATATAACAAGATTAAATAATGCAAAATACAATAGTTGGTGAAAGATTGAAAACATTTCCTACATAAAATTCTTTATTTTACTTTACTTGTTTCTAGAGCTGCATAACCAAGCTGCAAATTTGGTTGTTTTAAACAACAAAAATGCATTCTTCATAATTATGGAGGCCAGGAGTCCAAAAGCAAGGTGGGAAGGACGTGCTCCCTTCCATGGCTTTAGGGGAGAATCCTTCCTTGTCTCTTCTGGTTTATGGCGGCTTCACATGTTTCTTGGCTTCAGGCTGCATGACTTTAATCTTTATACTTCATCTCCACGTGACCTTATCCCATTTATGTTTGAATCTCAAATCTCCCTACGTTTTTTTCTCACAAGAACACTGGTCATTATATTTGGAAACCATATTAAACCCTGGATGACATCTTCTGGAAATCTTTAATGTAATTTAAATATGCAAAGACTTGTTTCTTGAATAATGTCACATTTACAGATTATGGGGGTTAGGCACAGACATATCTTTTTGAGGCTGGTATTCAACCCATTAACCATATCAACTATTAACCAGGTGAATATATAAAATTAAGGTAAAATACTAGAAAATTGATCTCCCACGCGCTCTTTCTTGGAATCTAATGCAATCTGTGCCTTACCAAACAATGAATTGACCAGGAACTAGTATCACAAGTAACCAGTGAACAAGAGTTCTGACAGAGGAGCTTACAAAGTAGAAGTCTCCCAAATGAAAGGACCGTTTCATGTCATTAGCAGTGCATCAGGCCAGAGTCCAAATTAAGCAGAAAATAATAAGAATTCAAGAGGGAGGACTCTAAGACAAAAAAAGAAGTATAATTTACACAGTTAAGCATTTTGAAAATATTGGCATGTATTTAGCAGATCTGGTGAAACAGCTGAAATAGTAATGTAACTTTTATAAACTAAGTTAATACATGCAAGGAAAATATTAAGTTTAGGAAAAAATAAAGACATATGCAATGAAAGAAACAATATATGACATGCTTTAGCTCAGAAGTGAACTATAATTATATGACAAGATACACATTGATTGTATATTTAATTAACAATTGTGATGAATCTCATTGAAAAAAAGGAAAAAAAAAGAAGTGGTTTTAAAAATTGTTAACAGAAAAGATGTAAAGCTTCCTCTATGATACAGGATGTTACTAGATAATGTTAAAGTTGATAAAGGGCAAAATAACAGTATTTCATGTTATAAGGGAGGGTGGAAAAGAAAGGAACAGGTTAGAGTTCCACCTTTTGTCATCAAAAGTGATTTTATTAAGTATAATTTTTAAACTATGTTCATATATACCTTTAATTATAATTTTAAAATTTAATGTTATTGGACTGAATGACCTTATTGGATATCTGTGTAAACACTGTCATTTGAAGTTAGAGTATTTTGAGGTTTATAAATCACATAATTTGGCATTTTTAAAAAAAACTGAAAAAAGTGCAGATATCAATAACCCCACTTTCATGCTAAAGATATTTGAAAAATAGTGGTATTTCAAAGACATATGCTTAATAAATGGCAATATGATATTTCAGTCTGATTTTCTGTTATCTAATATTGTTCATTTTCTAGTATGATTCACTCTAATCAATGTTGAACAATACTTTCTTTCATTGAAATTTTTATGTTAAACAAAATATAACATTGTTATTTTTTATGAAAATTTTACAAAAGTTACCTGAAATGTTTCTAAATTTTTCCTCTGTCCCCTTTGTATGATTTTTTCCTGTATACCCATTAAATTTGGCATATCATAGTTGTTTCTTCCCTAGCTATTCTTGGAATCACAGGGCAACCAAATGTAATTAGGCAACCTGAACCAAATTGTACCCATAAAAGTAAAGCTTAAGTTTTCAAATCCTGAATTCATCATCTGAAAATGATTGCCTTAGGATATTTATACCAAGTATTGTCTCATCAGCATTCAGCACCACTGACAAATCATAAAAGAGGGAAGAAACTACAGACGCACAAGAACAGATGAAAAAAAGACTTGCAAACAGAAAATCAACACCCACCATGCTTCAAGGACCCTGGCTGCAAAAACATTGTTCTTTCATTTTAATGGAGCTCTCCATTTTCAAATCTATCTTGAGACAAGCAAATTGCATGCCTGTTTTGTCTGGTCTGCATAATAAGTATCCCTGCACACAACTGTATACATACAGCTTAAAGGAGGGTTTTCTTGGTTCTTTTTTGTTTTGTTTCTTCTTTAAATGCCCTATTTTGAAACATGACTTAGGATAGTATTTGTGTTTTTTTTCTCTTGAGTAATCCCTGTTAAATATCAATAAATACATTATAAATATCACCCAAAACTCCACATCAGTAATTTCGTTATATTATTTTTTCTTCTCATTCATTTCCTAAGAGAAATAAACTAGTCATTTTACTAGAATAAAATAAAATAGTATAATTTATTTTAAATCAGTATTCTATCTGACATCCATATTTAGTGAAAAGTAAAAACTGCAGAGGGAATAATTATTTAAGTGTTTCATAGAACTCTTTTAAAGACATCAGATATAGACAAAAAATTGATGTTGGAATAAAGGATATGAAAGCCACAGAGAATCATGTTTATGTTAGAATAAAATCTTGATTGCTGTTGTGATTAAAAGATCAGAGAACATGTAAGTGAATTTTAAATATATAGGTATATAAAATTCTGTATAACATCCAAGTATATTGCTTTACTTTCATTAAATTAAATTGGATGAGGAGCTAAATATATGTCATATGTGAGAAGAGAACTAAGAGCTTTTTTGTTGTTATAATCTTATTATTTTTAGTCTAGTTTTCAGAAAACTTTAAGCCTAGCCAGTATATCCCATTTAAACCATACTAAATCTAGAATTAGAAAATTATGATATTTAGAAAAGAGATCCTTATTTCATTTGTCTTGAATATTTTGGAAGTTGCATTAGTGATCTGTTGCTGCTAAACAAGTTAGTCCAAATTTCCTCCTTAAAATGATAAATATTTATTGTTCCAGTTTCTATGAGAGATGTAAGAGCATCTTAGCTGCATGATTCCAGAGCAGGGTCTCTCATAAGATTATAGTCAAGCTGTGGAACAGGGATGCAGTTATCTCAAACCTCTAATTAGGGAGGATGCCTTCCTAAGTTCACTTACATGGTTCTTGGCAAGCTTCAGGACATCTGCATGTGAATTAACTCACACATTTGCTGGCTGTTGGCTGCAGACTTTAGTTCCTTGACATGTGGGCCTTGTGTAGGCTATCTGAGTGCCCTCACAACACTGCAACTGGCTTCTCTCAGAATGATGACAGAGGGAGAGAGGGAGGGGGAGAGAGAGAGAGAGAGAGAGAGATCCAAGAGGAATATTGAAGTCTTAGGTAACCTAATCTTGGAAATGCCATCTTATACTTTTACATATTCTGTTCGCTAGACGCAAGTAACTAAGTTTAGATGGCACGCAAAAGAGAATTAAAGTTCACCTCTTGAGGGAAATGATACCGAAAAATTTGTGGACCTATCTTCAAAATTACTCCAAGAGTCTTATTACCAATATTTAATTTAAATTGTAAGCACTACTTAGAGAATCCAAACTTCTGCCTATGTTACAATCAGCAGCTACTGACATCTTTTAGCCAATGGCCCATAACAATTACCTGTCCTTGTCCATGCACAGGGTATGTAAGCACAATTTAGGGATCAGGAAATCTTTACTTTAATATTAATAACTATAATATACTCTGCTACTGATGCTAAGCTGCAATTGTTAAATAGTGAGAAGCTCTTCTCATTCTAATCTAGGATGAGAAGAGGTCTTTTCAAGCTCTTCTCACCCTATATTACAGGAATTCATTATACAAATGCTGAAGATACGACTTCCTCATCTTCTTCCATGAGGAATAAATTTCACAAGATATAAGCAACAATATCATGCTAATATGTTGCCTGACATGGATAGTCTATTACTAACATGGAATAAGTGTAGAGATTCTGTTTCTGTTTTCCCTTTATCACCAAATTCACTGATTTATCTATGGTAATTCAAACATTCTCTCCTATTAGGAGGTTATTACAAACAAGGAGTTATCCTGAGACTAAATTGGATATCGACTGAACAATGCAGAAACTAGAAGGATCTCTACAGAGCTAAGTGGGAGATAAAATACAACCAACTTATTCCCTTGTTTGGATAATGAAACCGTCTCATTATTTTCCTAATTACTCTGTCACTTCATGATCCCTACATCTAAAATTTGCTGAAAATGTTAAGAATAAAAGTTAACTGGTGAACTAAAAAGTAATAAAGCACCAAAGGAAATTGATAAAAAGAAACAGCTTCTTTTGTAATTGAGAAAAAAAATCAATTTAGCAACCAGAGGAAAAATAATAAAGGCAGACATGTGCCTGTTGGTAGGATTTACATGACTTAGCAAGATTATTCATCATCAGAATGAACAGAATTAGCAATTTCTGTGAGGGTAAAATTTTTAATATTCAAAATTAGAAGTAGACCTCCTGGCCAGTGGGTCACACCTCCTCACATCCTAACTGCCCAGTGAGAAGGGTACAGGTATAAAGTTTATAGATACTAGATATATATTCCTTAAGATACTTGCTTTTTTGCAATCCTAAAAGAAAAAGTAAAATCAGCCATGTCTTATTGCTTTTACTTACTTTTGATCTCAGGCTTCATTTTGCTGAATATGAGCAAAGCAATCATTTTTTAAAGCTGTTTTCCAATATGCTCATTCTCCTGTAGGTATATCTGATATGCTCATTTCTTTTTTGCCACTTCTCTTTGTATTTGTTTCCTAGAAATAGCTTTGTACAACTTACAGCTTTGTGTAATCTTGTTATCTGTCACTCAACTTTTATTTGTACATAACCCTTCTTCATGTTTACTAAGACCTACATTTCATATTACATAATGCCTTTCAATGTGGCATAACAATATTAAAAATGTTTTAAGTAGTATGAGTGGTTACTTGAAATAACCCTTTAATTGATGTTGTTAATAAATTATTTTTTTCCTTGAAAGGATTCAAATTCCTAGTTCAAAGTAGGATACTTCTATACAAGGTAAATGTTACTCAATCTTAACTATTGGCATGCTTTTCTCAATATTTATTGATTCACACATTTTTTGTAACTTTTATTAATTGTGACTGTTAAATATCAACATGATGTAAAATGACTAGCATTGTATCTGGTATATAGAAGTTATTCAATATATGTTAGTTTTCTCCATCTTTCTCTTTATCTCACCTACAAAATCTAATGTCTTTGATCCTATAAAATTCTAATATCAAATTTTCATAAGATTTTTAAATCTTGAAAAGATATGAAACCATTATACTGCATGATTCTTTTTATACAAGAACATCAAAATCATCATTACTTTTGAGATGCATAGATTCACTCAGTACAAAGCACTCTCAAGTTAGCAGCAATGCACATTTACTTTTTATAGAATAAATAAATTTAAGGAGGAGATTAGATTATTTTCTAAAATACCTAAAAAATAGGATAATTGGTAGTATTTTTGGGTAAAAAAGTAGCCTGTTTTTAACTGACCCATGACAATGAGGTCATATTTAGGATGGAATGATAATTTTATTTATCTTATTCCTTCAGTTGCATTTTATCATGTAAACACCAATGTTTTTGTGCAAACTTTCTCTTCATCTGTGAAAGTATCTTTTCTTTCTTATTGTCAGTTTCCAGAGTAACTGAAATGGGTTTTGCATATGTGAAAGAACATTTGAGTAGGACATATTAAAAGCTAAGGCTTTAGAATTTGACCCTTTAAAAATAGATTGGTGACCTATTCAATTTTAACATCCTGAGTTTCAGTTTCCTCATCTTTCCAATGAAATATTTTATACGACCTCTGAAGATCATTAACTCTACAAATTTTTCAATTCAAATAATTTGAGATAAATATGCAAATAAAATGAAATAGAAGAAAGCCTTATTTCAAGTTTTAATATTATTAAGTAAAACTTATTAAATAGAATGTAATTTCTCCTCTTTTATCTCCTTTTTTATTTTTATTCCATGACTTACTGACTTTTACTTAATTTCTACTGTGAACCTGTAACTTCCCTTAAGACCACAGCCATTTACTGAAATTACACAACCTTACTGAGTTATCTAATAATTAGTTCTACCTCGAGAGAACTATTATATCGATTAGCCCTCCTGTGCATAACATCAAGACATTCACATTTGTTGTGGGTGGCAGCAGGTTTACTATCTGTGGTATAATCTAGAAGGAGTCTGTTAGTAGGAATTCAAGATAACTTGTTACCTTGACAACAACAGGAAATGCCTGGCTACTCAGCATGTGTCTCTGCAGGCTCCCAGGTAATTCCTCAGATATTAACGATAGAGTGCTTGTTACACTTATATCTTTGAAATACTGTTTTTTTATGTGAAATTAAATATACTGGGTTTGTGCTGCATTATAGTCTATATTGTAAGCAGAGTTGTGTTTTTGTGTGTTGGTTATCTTGATTTCTCTCATATTTTAAAGTTACCTCTTCTATATACAGACAAAATGATTTCTGAGAAGACACATCTGAAATACTTCATAGGGCTGGTCAGTTTTCAGAAGATTTTGTGTAGAGGTGAGGTGTGTGTGTGGGGAGTAGGCGGCTTAGGAGGTGGTATGGGTGTGTGCTACCTGGCTATATATTTCAGTCACAGATGGAACAGGCATTTGTATATAATTAATTAAATTTTATTGACTAAACATCATGGCATCAAAACAAAACTCAATTTTTATGAACCTAATTGGAGATTTTATTATGGCAGTTCTGCCACGGCTAATTGCAGATTTGGGATAGTAAATTCTCTGCACATCTTAAGCTCTAGTAGCTGAAACAAGGATCTAAGGAAGAATAGACAAGAGGAAGATTGTCAAGATTCTGTGAACTTAGTGCCAGAATCAAAACAAATATAAAAAAAACTTTCAGATGAAGCCTCAATAACAGATTAATGAGAAATGTATTTTTGTTGGAAACTGTGATATAGAATCTTCTTTCTATTCTGGAGATAATAATTCTGAAATTACAGCTTCAGAGTAATCATGATTTAATAAATTATACAATGATGAGAAAAAATATATTTCGGTGGCCACAATCAATTATGAGTAAATAAAAACATTTTAGCTCATATTTGGTTACTAAAATTAAATCATTTAAGTGGTACAAGAATATATATTATTACTATTTTAAACATTTAATTAATAAAAATAGGCACTCTGCATTAATTCTCAGTAGCCATATCTTAGTGTCCAGATACCCCTTCACCAGATTTTCCTCAAGCAGCTTTTGATTTTTTCATGTTTCTCTCATTACAGGCTGGATAATGTTGTAGCAAATTGAAAAAACATAGTATTTGTTAATACAACCAGATGTATTTTTTGCTTATGTTACATGTCCATCACAGTTTGATGAGGAGGCTTATCTTTGTCATTCAGCCACCGAGGATGATAGTGATTCCATAGCTACATTTGTTTTCATGATCACAAAAGTAAAGAAAAGATACAATGGTGAACTATAATCAGAATCTCAAAACTTTGGTGTAAAATCAAGTAATGACAGTTCTGCACACCTTAACTGAGCCAAATCAAGTCATTTATCTAAAAGCTAGCTTAAAGGGCAGAAGTACATTCTTTTAGCACAGACAGGGTACTGAACATTTGTGAACATGAATTTAGTCTACCACATCTACAAAGCATATATGCTACTGACTGTTTTGATTCTTGTCCATCCTCAATTTGTGTTCACTCATGAACATCTATTAGCATTTTCTCTGTACTATGCATTGTAATTGGGAGTGTCAATATATAATTATTATTTTTAATTGCAAATTGTGTTAGTAGAAAAAAGTAATAAATATTCAAATTCAAAGTATTTTGTCTTTCTATAATTAAGGTGGTAGTAGTATATTTCAGAAATGTATTTGGGTACATAAAAGTTGACCAGAATAGAGCATTCCTGTCTTCACCACTTGAAAAAACTTGTGTTTCAGTTGAAATACTTTATGTTGTTCAAAAGAACAACAAAAAGAAACTTCAATTTTTTTGGAAAAATAAAAGAGAAACAGTGCAAAATAATTTATTAAAACTTTCACTTATGACCCTGATAATCATTCAGTTTATCGTCAATTATATTCAGTGATAAATCTGGCAGTTGATTGTTTTGCACAAATAGATGGAAAACTTGTAGATTCAGTGATATATTTGGTGGTTGTTTTACACGAATAGCTGGGAAACTGGGCATAAAATTTACATCCTTCTTTAATATTGCTTTTATTATTTCTGCTTCAATATGTTTTTAAAGGAAGAAATTTATTTCAAATAGAGTAGCTTACAACTACCTTCTAAATAAAATTTAAATCATATACATTTTCAAATACTGTTCAAACTTTTATTGGTTATTACTATGAAGTTTGTAAAGGGGCCTAAAACCATACCAGTATTCTTAGAAAGTAGACACATATATCGTAAGGTAAACTTTGGCATTACCTTGCTCAGACTCTCAGCAGATTTTTTTTTATTGTTCCCTGACTTGATTTTCTCGTCTCTAAAACATACATAATGTTATCACGCCTAACTTCACCAACTTAACATAGTTACTATGATGAGGAAATGAAATAATGGCTGTGGAAATTGATTGGGAATTGAAACAGTATATAAATAGGAATCTGTGAGCACCCTTTGACTTCTAACAAGGTAATTTTTACCAATATATAACTCTACAAAGAGAATCTTTTATGTCACATTCGATACCAGCTGTCATTTTAAATGTTGTAAAAAGAGTGAAAAAGGATGTCTGCCTTATGATGCTCAGCAAATATTAAACTGCAATTATTTCTCTCTAGACACAGAAAAAATACATATGTGGTTCAGTGAACACACACAAAAATAAGTCTTCCCAGGGAATTCACTATTTTAGTAGGCAGAGTAAAGCCAAATGCAGGAAAACCCAGGATATAAGAAACATCTCAAAGAGTTGCAAAGATAAACTAGCAGAAAACTCTGCAGGTAAATATAGAAGACAAGTCCAAAAACAAGCAAGGCAAAGAAAACGTGGAGAAAATTTTTGGAACAAATCAACTGGACACAAGCTCCAGATGAAATGATAATCAATAAACAGACAAAATATGTTGGAAAACCTTTATTTCTACAAGAGCACTGGAGAAAGCTGTCTTGAGGTTTCCATTTTTAATCTTCTTCTCACCCTGACACCATTTTCTTTTCCTTTGAATGGAAACATTACTTAATCAAAGGATCACAGCAAGTTTTTATTTAAGAAAACAAAGCAATAATAACCAACAAACATTTTGAATCTCTCTTATCCAGGAGGTTTCCCTGCTAATATAAGAGAGTATGTGAACTGAACTTCCCAAGAGAAAAAAGAATTGATGTACCCTTTGTACTTCTCCAAAATATTGTTGAATGACTGTACATTGTCACTGTGCAGAAAATCGAGCTTTCAAATAAACTTATATGACAATGTTGGTTGGCATGTTCTACCTACCATTAAAAACACAATCACATTAAGAGAAGTTAAATTTTATGAATTAATTTTTAGTAGACTATTATCACAATGAATGTGTTCGGAATCTTTCTGTTGCAATTTTTATTTTAAAATGTTGATAAAATCATGTAAGTGCATATTTTAAAATTTTGTTTTTCTTGTCTATAACTCAAATAACGCCTTTTATTTGAAAGATAAAAGTCCTGATGAAAATCTTTACTGCTTCTCGTTCCTCTTATTTCAACACATTCATAAAAATACACATGATATAATTGATATTTTTTCATGAACTCAGGCTTTTTTATAATAAGAATTAATTGTAGCTTTCTTCAAACTATTAAACTGTACATTCAGAAAGGCTATGAGGCTTACCATTAATTAGTAGTAAAAAGTTAATATCATGAAATACTTACAACTTCAAATATTTTGTCATGCACAGTATTTATAATACATTGCTATATGAATAAGTGTAGATGTTACACATTTGTTTTTTCCTAATAGTGCTATATGTGTATTGTACACTGTCAATGTGCAGAAAATAGAGAACAATCAAAATATATGGAAAGTTGTAAATTAAAAATAAAAATGTCATTTAAGGAGACTTAAATAGGTGGCTACATAGCTCCACCTCTAAAAGGGACTGATTTTTTTTTCTAAAAAACTTCTCAAAGATAAATAATTGACTGGGTATCATTCTTAAAAATAAGATAATGAGATGGTTCTAAGAGGGAATGCCTTACCACTGATACAATCAAATTAAAACTACCCTTTACATATACACATAATAAGATGTTTCATGATTATACAGATTCATTATGAAATAGGAAGTACAGAGAGAGGCTTACATGAAATGAGTCTAGGAATGGCTGTGAAATCTGGATTGCTTCATAAGACAAGATTGATATCATTAGGAGATAAGGTTGTACTTATTATCAGGGAACAGAAGATAAAAAGGCATACATCAGTTTAGCTCATCTGAATTACTAAGTAGCCACCACTTTATTGTATATGACTGAGAAATATAGAATTTTGATTATTTTACAAACTATGTCTATTTGGCTACTTCTTTGGCTAGCCAAGAAAAAGATTATGTCCATGCACAAGCTCTTTTTTATGCATACATCACTGAAGCATATATTTGGAATAATACCTGAGTTTTCTATAGCAAAAAAAGGAATATAAAAGACAAACAACAATAAAAGTTTGGGATATAGAGAATTTGGATAAGATAAAGAAGAATTACAATTATTTGCAGTAAAATTTATCTCCATTGAAGAATGTAAGTAGTAATTTGTTTCAGTGGAAACTCAAATGTGCAATATCTAGGAAAAATATGAGATGCTCCTCTAATATCATGGGGTCAGTAGAAATAAAGTAAAATGATATGGAGAAAATAACAAAGATGTATGTTAGAGTACTAAGTACTAAATTACACATAATTACCAATTCTGAGTAACAGATCAGAGCAACACGATAAGTACATATAGTCATTGTCGTCATCATTACCTACCTTATTCTGTAAAAAGATCTGGTTTGAACAAAAATTTTTCTCTATAAAAGACATGATTCTCACAAGAGGCTAATTTCAAAACAGAACCTCAGTGATTGTGAATACAAATATAAATTTTAAAACACTGAAAACATATGAACAGAAAAATCATGTTACTTACACGGGATTAAGCCCAGTTGGTTCCCTAAAATAAGTAAGCATATATAATCATATTATAAACTCAATAGTATATAATCTACAGAGTTGTGATGCTAAACATTTAAGATAGTTATTTAGTTCTGCATTAAGTTAAATGTGTTGTAATTCACGAAGGCAAAACATTCATAATTACAGGAGGATATAGATAAGATTACAGGGTATACATGTGAAACAATTGACATAAGCTATTAAGGACACAATCAGCATTGTAAGTAGCTAAATATAGTTTGTATTTATAAATATAGTTTGTATAAATATAGTTTGTAACTCTTATTTTCCTCAAGATTGATGATAGCAGATCTTTATTAACAGCTTAACATTTTCCAAGAATTGCTATAGTCATTCCAGGGATTTTCCTTGTTAATTAAATTCCAAAAATAATCGAATGAGTAAGGCACTGTCTTTCCTTTACAAATTTAAAAATAATAAATAGTAGAGTATAAGAAAGGAGAAATACGATCCATTAAAACAATAGCGAGGGAATAAAATTTATATTGTGTAAATGTAATGAGAGTTGTTGCAAGAAAATAAATAAACTATAAATATGTTTTATCAAGAGACAGAAAGGGATGGCAAATTTACCTTAAAGCACAGCTTTGACTGCATCCTATATAATTTAGTATTTTGTATTGTAATAATTTTGATACTATTCACATTTGTAACAATTGTTTATATTACTTTATCAGCCCAAAATTATTTATTAAAGGCAACTTTAAATTATCCAAGTATCTTTTTCTTATTTAAATGGTTATTAATGTCTCAGTTGACTGCAGTGGTACTCATTATTTCTGTCATATGAAATATGCTATATTGAAATTATGATATAATCATTTAAAATGGAGGCATTTTCGGTTTTGGTATAAGATTAATATATGCATATACAATATATAAAAATATAATAAATAAGATATACACATATATTTTCACTTGCATATGCCTGATGAGCATGTGTAATCTTAAAACGTATATATAGTAAATATAATATATGCCTATTGAAAACCATGCATTTATTATATTTATTATCTTCTTTGTCTTCAAGTTGTTAAAATGTGTTAAACTATGCACTTACTAAATATCACAATGAAAATAAAACAATCTTTTCTAGAGAGCATATCTTATAATAAAAGTTGAAAAATGCAAAAATTTGAAATGTAATTGTTTTATTTGTAGATATAATGTTGAATAAATAGAAGCACACTAAAAATGCAGTTTTCTAAATAAGCTATTGCATATGCTTAAAGAAAATAGAATATTTATAATATTATATAATGATGTTGAAAATATTTATTGTTGAATTTTAAGTAAAATGGATAGGGAATTAAATTTTAGCAACTGTAGAATTATAATTCTATAAGATTACTTTTGTGTGATATAAGAGACAGACTTTCAAATGTGTTATTCTGGTTGGTGTGGAAATCAGTGATTTACTTCTTCATAAATAAATGTCTATGTAATCATTTATATTAATGTACATGCATAAATATATGTATGCATGTACATGCGAAACATGAACCCACATATATTTCTTCAAATATTGTACCTTAATAATAAAAGTAAAATAATACATTTTTCTAAAAAGTGAGCCAGGAGTTTACCTTAACGAGGACAAGAAAAAATACTTATTAATTATGCATGGATGTCGAAGGTTAATACAAGCCCTTTGAAAACAAAGGATTCAAATGATATAAATGAGTGCTTGTTTTTTATCCAAGTAATGAATTTAGAAAAGTCTAAAAACAATAAAAACACAGAATATGACAACTTTTTTTCATCATTAGCTTTAATGGAGTTGTAAATGGATACAATTATGTTTCCTAAACAAAAAATTATTTTAGAAGTGTATCTTTTTAATAGAAGGAAGTATGGTAAAGTGGGCGTCAAGTTAGCTTAACAAAGACAACAATAAATCATTAGAAAATTCAGAAGTTCAGATTTTGGCAGTTTGGGATCAACAGTTTCATATGACCAGAGATTTTTATACTCAGTTTCCTTCTGAGAAAACTATCCAAGTGTTTATTAATGACCCATATCATTCTGTAGAAAGTGGATAACTTTTTCTAATCATTTGCTTTGAGGCATATGTTTAGATTTCTTGATACTTATTATACTTGAAAATATAACCCAAGATAATTTAAAATGTTTTGTTTCCTAACTCTTCAGCTACTACAAAACTGTTACATCCTATGCAATCAATTATCTTCACCACAATAAAAAACATTCTGCATATATAAATAGATTTATAGGCCAGGCGCCGTGGCTCAAGCCTGTAATCCCAGCACTTTGGGAGGCCAAGGGCGGTGGATCACCTGAGGTCAGGAGTTCGAGACCAGCCTGACAAACATGGTGAAACTCTGTCTCTACCAAAAATACTAAAATTAGCCAGTTGTGGTGGTGGGCACCTGTAATCCCATCTACTCGGGAGGCTGAAGCAGGAGAATCGCTTGAACCCAGGAGGTGGAGGTTGCAGTAAGCCGATATCACACCACTGCACTCCAGCCTGGGTGACAGAGCGAGACACTGTCTCAAAAAAATTAAGAAATAAAAATAAATTTATGAAATGAAAACAAATTTAAATTGATACAAATAACAGCACAGTGCTGCAGTAGACATATTAGAATAGTTTATTCTTTAAAGCAAAGTACATACAGGAAGAAGAAAATTAAAACTATAATGCATTATTGGCAAGCAATATTCAAAATATCACTAAAGTTTTGTATTTTAAAATGCAATACTTCCTGATAACTTCAGTTTCTCTATCCACAGTTTTAAAAAGACGAGATCTCCCACATATTTTTATCTTTTAACTTTGTTGCTAAAAATTTAAGTTGAATATTATGTGTTAGTTTCATTTTAATTTGATTTACTTTGATGTATTTTTAACTAGAAAATACATTAAAACATTAATACAGAGGAAAAATAAGTACTTGTATTTTGATTCTGACCTTAAGTTGAATACTCATGTTGCGCTTCTACGAGAACGTAGCAAAGTGACAAATTTTATTGTTTTCTAAAATAAAAATTAAAAGGTTAAGGGTGTACTTAAATTTTTTTTAATTTTTAATTTTTTTTTTAATTTTTGAGACAGAGTCTTGCTCTGTCACACAGGCTGAAGTTTAGTGGCTTGATCTCGGCTCCTTGCAACCTCTACCTCCCAGATTCAAGTGATTCTCCTTCCTCAGCCTCCAGAGTAACTCGTACTACAGTTGTGCACCACCACGCCCATAGAGATGGGGTTTTGTCATGTTGGTCAGGCTGGTCTCAAACCCCTGGCCTCAAGTGATCTACCAGCCTCAGCCTCCCAAAAGGCTGGGATTACAGGCATGAGCCACCGTGCCTGGGCATACATCTAATCAATATTTTTCAAAAATTTTATCCTGTGGATTAAATAAAACTAATTTTATATTTTATTTTCTATTTCATTGATTCAATAAATAAGACCTAAACACCTACTCTTTTCCAAGTCCAGTTTAAATGCCAGACTCATAAATGTGAGCAAATAAAACAGCCAAACAAATCCACAAATAAAAAGCATCAGAATCACTGCCGTGATGAATATTATAATGGACAAGAATATATACTTACAGTTTAAAAATTTCACTTAGCTAAAACTTAATATTTATAGGCAAGAAATATTGATTCTATTATTTATAGCTTAATTGGATATAACTTATGAACATGTTTCAATAATGGTATTTCTATTCATTACATAGTAATGTTAGTTGACTAAAATCTAAAAATAAAAAGAAAAGCCTGGTTACATTTTCATAGATATAAGAAGAAGAGTCCCATGTGGCCTATTTGAATCTGCTCCATCTCACAAGCACTTTTTTGGTAAAATTTACTTTTAAATAATGCATTTATTCTCAGAAATCAATGAAAGTTCCTCATACTTCATATAAAAATTGAGCAGGCAAGTTTTAGTGTTTTTTTCCACCATTCAGTTAAAGGCTGCTTCTGAGGCTTGTGATGATGTGATCTTTAAGTCATTCATCCATGATAAAGAGATAGAAAGGGAGCCTGGGAGCATTCTTGTGTTCATTCTGCAAAGGTTGTGTTCAAAGACAAATTGAAGTTATTCAAAGTCTCTGTATGACCGCTCTAAGCTTCAGTTAAAAGGTTATTTTGTGTTCTTGGCTTAAAACTGAGTTCAGTTAATATCATCAAATGTTCAAAAATGACACTAATTTCCACAATACAAAATATATTTTTAAAATAGAGTGTTGCCCAAGACACAAACTAAAGCCAAGAATTATCTTTCCTAGATATCAAGTATTGAAATCATTATTCTTTTAAAATACCCCATCTTATCTTGAAAACCTTTTTTTTTTGTTTCAGATAAGTTCTTGCTCAAATAGCATATCCAAATATAGAGCTTAATGTTTTCCCCTATCCAGAGACTATTAAAAACCTATATTATCCAAATTTGAATGTGTTAAATCCCCAACATTTAATGGAAAAGCAATAGAACTTATATCAGGAATAAAGAAATGTTGAGTATTTCTACATGAAGCTAACTTCAAGTTATGCAAATAAATGGACATAGAAAAATGAAAGACTGTGGTTTCAGTCCAGGCTTCTTAGGTCCCTATAGCTGTGACACTGGGTAGTAACTTAAAGTTTTTTAAACTATAGTTTTCCTAATTAGCATAAATTAAAATAAGCAAAATTATCTCACGGCTGTAATATATGACTCCTGGACAAAATCACGTTTATTTAATCTACTGATATAAGGGTGAAAAGTAGTTTGACAGAGATTTAGTAATGTTTCCATTTGTGAAATCTGATGATTTGTATAGAGTCCTAGGGCCTGAACTTTGTACATTTTAAATTTGATAGTGAAGCAACCACTTCACCAAAAAAAATTATAAAAATTATAAAATTGTTAATTCATTTTTCCAGATTTATCATATACATTTTCTCTATTTGTCTTTCTGCAATGTACTTTTGGATAATTGATTCGATTTGAAGAAATATAATTCACTGAGGGCAGACTGATTTTTTTAATTGCTTTCTTTCAATATTAAAGTTTTAATTTATTTAAATACATCTGTTGAGTGCTTACTATTAGAACAAACCTTATTTTGAAGTATCAAGTGTGATCTTTGAAACTTCTCCACTTACCAGCTTGTGAACTTGAGCAAGTAACTTTTTTTACAGCAAGTTTCTCAGTTTCCTCATTAATAATGGTGAATTAATAATAACACATTTTTAGATTTGTAAATAGGACTAAAAGGAGTTAATATAAAGTCTTAGAATAATATTTTGAATATAATGATCTACACATAAGTATATGTTATTTTTACTGTTATTACTATGGACAGGAGTCCAGCTCCTGGTTAAATTTAAATGTGTGATTGTTAAGCAATAACAAAGGGGAAAGCTGCCTTCTCCCTTCAGCAAGACTTGGTGCTCGGCCAGCGCACTGCAGTCTCTAGAGGCAGTTGCAGTCAAGGATTTAAGCTCCCTAGACCTGGTATCTTCATTCCTAGTTTGGTCTCTTGATCTGAAGCCTTATGCAGAAGACCTTTACAGGATGGAGACTTCCTTTTGTGGGAAGAAAGGGGAAACTTTGAAATATCTCTCCCATTCTGGATCAATATCCACTGCTTTTCCATTTAGTCCTTCTCTCTCACCATTCTCCAACCCCAGGGTCCATAAAACTATGGAATAATCCCCAAGTCTCTGCTGCTTCTCCTGGTCCTCCACGACTCAACATTCCAGGCAAGACAATGGCAGGGGGTTCAAGTTGTCAGGGAGGGGAAGTGACTGTTTTCTCTGGTTTTAGCCACTTATTTATACCATAGCAACAAGTGATTAAAGGCTTATCTTTTTCATTTTTGGCTTGTTGCTGTGTTCAGCTACTCTGACACCCAGCAGCTCAACTCTCCCCAAGCTCATCTGAGCTCCTGACATATGGGTGATGGGTGACGCCCTTGATTTAAACTTTGGTAATGCTATTCTGAAACTCATCAGTGTTGGATGCTACTAGATCCGTTCCAGAGCAAACGTGAGAGTATTTCATTTCTTTAGAAATTAACTGACTGGAGTTAAAAGAGAATATTATAGCCTAGGATTCTCAAAATTAGAAAATTACTGTATCATTATAAAACAGTTTACAACTGTAGGCAGAACCAAGAGTTTGTATTCTGAGGAGTTTTTACAATAACAGCAGAATATTTTCCTCGATAATATTGGCCAATTTAAAACAAATAAACTGGTACCGTGCTTAAAAAATGCATTAAAACACATTAGCTCTCAGTTATCAAAAATAAATTCATAGAATTTGATAGCAAAATAAAAAAATTAAAATTACAAATCTAATAGTAATATAATAACTAAGACTATGGTTTATAAGTCTTAATCATCCCTCTAGCACTTACAAACTCTGTGACTTCAGAAAATTATTAAAACTTTATTTCTGCTTTCCTACATCTGAAAAATATGGAAAATAATGTCCTACTGCTTGTTGTAATAATTGAGTATACTAACATAAATGATGTGTTTAGAATGTCTTCCATAATAGTTATTACACAAATGCCAATTATTAAACTATTTAAACTATTATTTTATTATAATAATATCCATATTATTTTTCAGTATTTAGTAAACAAAATTTAAATGGTTTTCTGTTATGTGGAAGTCCTGGGTAAATCTATTCAATGTTTACTGATTTGAAATAACAAAATATCTCTACATATTACGAGAGAATAAAAATAGTCTGATTTATCACAGGGGGAACAATTGACAGCTACTCTGAAAATTAGCAATGTGGAGTATTGAGCAGAGTGCTAATTAGAAAGTAGGATTTCACAGTTGTACCCTGGGATAAGGGCTATTCCAGCCTGAAGGGCTATTAACACAATTGGAAGATGTGACTGAAGTTCAAGTTATCAAAGAGGTGGGATGAGAGCCAGGCCAATAATTGTAAACTTCTTAATTCCTTCATTAAGCTTATTATTTTTCCAGGCCTTTTATAACATCTTTCAATTTTAGTGCAAATGTCTTAACCTTCATAACAGCTCTAGAAGTGTTATTAGAATGCTACAGGAACTTCCTTCTAAATAGCATGATATCTGTACCCAGTTTTCCCCAACTCCAATAGCTTACATATTTCTATTAAAATATAGAGTTTTATTCAACATATACACAATTAGTGACTAGCCAAACCATTCAGAAATAAAAAGTGTGATTATAAATGATACTTGAAAACTGTTTCCTAAACAGCAATCCTATCATTCCAGAATTTATACGATCTTACAGAAATAGCTGCCACTTGTGGCCAAACATCCTTGGTAAAGAAGCTAAACTGAGAGAAAATGATTTCTGGTTGGGGGTCAAAAACATTTCTGGCTAGAGGTCTTCAGCATGCGTTATCAGAACAACTATATATAACAAGATGAACTTTACAGACACAATGGTGGCATGTTAGAAAAAAAAAAAGTAAATCCTGATGGTCCCAATAAAAGAAACAGTGAACAAAGTGGTAGTCATTTCAGCAAATGGTCCTACTGATTGGACATGGGTGATCTGTGCTTGGTCTGCACCCCTTTTTTGAACAAACAATAGCAACTGTTTTTCTCTGATCGTAATGACACTCAATTAGAGTTTCATTCTCCATTATGAGTTTGCCAACTGGCAGGACAATAAGCAATACTACCTAAGGTAATGAATATAATATTTCTAAGATTTATATTCAAACAAAATTTTTTTTTTTTTGGCGGAGTCTCTCTCTGTCTCTCCGGCTGGAGTGCAGTGGCGCTATCTCGGCTCACTGCAAGCTCCGCCTCTCAGGTTCACGCCATTCTCCAGCCTCAGCCTCCCGAGTAGCTGGGACTACAGGTGCCCACCACCACGCCTGGCTAATTTTTTTGTATTTTTAGTAGAGACGGGGTTTCACCGTGTTAGCCAGGATGGTCTCAATTTCCTGACCTCATGATCCGCCCGCCTAGGCCTCCCAAAGTGCTGGGATTACAGGCGTGAGCCACCACACCCGGCCCTCAAACAAAAAGTTTAAATGAAAAAAACAAAATAACTTAGAGTTAAAATATTTTTAAATTTATGTGCACATTTTTAATTAAATTAGTGGTATCTGAAATCATTTATCACTCTCTAAACTCATGTATTAAATCTGAAGATAGGAGGGTAGATGGAATAGTATTATGCTAGTTAATCATTGACAGGGTCTTGCTGATTTTGTGCTTAAGTTTCTAAGGTATTAGTCTTCTAATTGATGAGTATATACTTCTGCATCATGGATAGCTAAGGCTGTTACTTCCCCCTTTTCAATTTCCATACCTCCTTCCTCATGCAAAATCTCTCTGGAATCAGAGGTTCTCTAAAATTATGATAGAAATGGAGGTAATTTAAATGCATGTGCACATTTTCATTTCTGTTCTCTATAACTCAAAATAAGAGAGAAGCTAAAATTTAAAAATTAAAATATATTATGTAATTACTATTTGAAAAATGTTTTTACTTATACTAGTCCTATTTAGGAAAGAATGTTATACAAATGAATTTACATGCTACTAAAATAAAACATTGGGGAACCTCTCCAGCACACTGGTCTGGGCAAGATTTCTTGAGTAATACCTCCCAAGCATAGACAACCAAACCAAAAATGGACAAACGGGATCACATCAAGTTAAAAAGCTTCTGCACAGCAAAGGAAACATCAAGAAACTGGAGGCACAGCCCACAGAATAGAGAAAAAAAAATGTTTGCAAGCTATCCATCTGATAATCAGAATATACAAGGAGCTCAATTCTATAGTAAAATTATCTAATAATCCAAATAAAAATGTGTGAAAGGTCGGAATAGATATTTCCCAAAAGAAAAAATGTGAATGGCAACCAGATTTATGAAAAAGTGCTCAACATCACTGATTGCCAGAGAAATGGAAATCAAAACTACAATGCAATATCATATCACCCCAGTTAAAATGGCTTTTATCCAAATGACAGGCAATAACAAATGCTGGCAAGTATGTGTGAAAAAGGGAAGCCTCGTATACTGTGGATGGGAATGTAAATTAATACACCCACTATGGATAACAGTATCAAGGTTCCTCAAAAAACTAAAAATAGAACTGCCATAGAACATATCCAAAGGGAAAAGGAATCTATATTTTTCATTTTCAAGTGAAAATTTAAAAATTCCACATTCAAATATTAGATTACAGTCATGTGCTGCATAATGACTGTGGTCAAATAATGTATCATTTCACTCTGCTCTATGATAATGGGCAAAGTTATATAGGCATATCACATCAATTAATAAAATATTCAACAAATATGGGATAGTATTTGTAAATTATAATAAGTATGGTACTAATGAGAATGATAGTACTATGATTAATTTCACAGTTAATTTCAAAGGAATTAACTGTTATGACATTATTTTAAAATTCTATTTTTATATAATATGAAGATGAAAATTATTAGTAATTTCACTACATTTTATGTCAAAACATTACAGTATGTTAAAATCAGTATTCCTTCCTTTTTAAGTTCATGTTAGTATTAGTAATAATTTAAATTATTTTTTATTTATGTGAATAAAATGGAATACCTAATCTTTCAGTAATGTTAATTAATGTAAGTGTAAATTGCAAAGCATTGTCTCATTTTTCTCTAGTTTCTTTTAAATTATAATTGTAGTGTTATACTTTCTTTGGAATTCTTGTTTCCCTTAAGCATTTTTGTAAAGTAATTTTGAAAACAGAAAGTTTAGAGACAAATTAAGATTATTCATTCTGCAATTTATTTCTTAATTGATTTAGCAAATATTTATTCAACTCACACTTTTCTGTGCCCATGACTAAGAAGCACACAAAATATTTTAGGAGAAGGCCTCGTCTTTCATTGAGCAGCAATATCTTTTGATTACAAACATAAATACTGCAAGAAATCTTGTGGCATCTTAACCATTTCAGTGACAGCCTTCAAGTGTGTTGGCAACCTTCCTGATTTATGCAGGTTCTCCTCTTGTCTGATCAGCACCCTTTCACATGCCTAAGTATTTTCCTTTGTAAGATAAATTACATATTCAACCTAGGTAACCCACATATAATGCCTGAATCAAGAAGGTTGAACCTGGCAGGAAATCATGTATATTATTAAATAAAAATTAGTCCACAGTTCAAGTTAGTTGGCAGCTGTTCTTGAATGATCTTATTTACTCAGGTGTCTTCCATCCCATATATTTTTTATAAGTTTTAACACTAAATTCCCAGAGAGAGTGTGGCTTTTCCTGGAATTACATTGGCCTCAGATATTGAACAATTGTTTTACCTTAAACAACTATATGAAGAGCTACATTGTCCTCCTAGTATTCTGCAATATAAACTGAGAAAACTTTCTGGAATCTACACACTATTACCCACTGAACTATCTCACTATTCTACTTTACTATCCAGAAATTAGGGCATTTATGCCCCCTAGAATATTAGTCCTTTTGATACCATTGCCATTCTAGATTACAATAAAACTGTCCAACAATTTTGTACATTGTGGTTTAGGCATAACGCTTTATTATTATTATTAATATTATTATTATTATTATTCATTTGAAAACTGAGAAACAGCTACACCAGCTCTCCTATGCCTGATGCTACAGCTATAGTTTGATATACTGTCATGTTAGATATTGAGATCTTAATATGAAATGCATCCATAGCTTTTCCAAATTTTAATAAGGAAAATCTTCTTAATTAACATTATCAGCAGACTTCATATATATATATTCACATATAAATTATATACATATAATATTTTATGACAAGAGAAATATTCATATTTATTTTAGAAAATATATGAACTACATTAAAATCACAAAATAAAATAAATGTTACTCTTATCACTAGTGATTATAACTCAAAATATTTATATTGTGTACTGTAATCAACATTTTAACATAAAATACAGTGGACAGTTTCCATGTTCTAAAGGGGCATACAACATGATTTTTTGATACCTGTGCTTTTTTTCAAGGATGCAAAAATATTTAACGTATTCCCTATTATCAGTCACTTGTTTCTTTAAATGAAATTATCACAAATAAACTGGGTACGTATTATTTTGAATGTATATCTAATTAAATTTTGAGATAAATCCTAGAATTGAAACGTTTGTGTAATTTTCTGAGAACTTTCGAAAAATTTTAGAGAACGTCTTCTAGTGAAGTTATAACAATTAATATTGACACTAATAGTCTTATTTACATCCTTGACAAGAGTATATCAATTAGATCATATTTTACTTATTAGATGACCCAACTTAATTATGTGTATGAAAAAATTGATATTATTAACTTTCATAATTGAAAAATCTCAATAACTTTTTGGTGTTTGGCAGAACTTAATCCAGTAGCTACAAATTGTCACCAAGGTGTGGTTTTCATTCCTTGGTCTGCCCTGTCTTCTTTGGTTGTAGTTCTAAACCTGGCTCTTTATTTTCCTCAAATTCCTACAGCACTCATATGCAGGTTAGTTAAGGGAGAGGGTCCTTTTTCCTCTAAGTATTTCTAGCTTACTTAAAAATATAGAATTTATGGACAGTGTCAACATGTATGATGTGCTATATACCCATAAATGGGGAGGTGATTACTTACTCCAACACAGATTACCAAATGAAGAGTTTAAGCTCTTGGGAAGCAGAAAAAAGAAAACAATATGAAAAGCAGACAAAATATGTGTTGGGTTTAATTTAATACAAATGTTTATTTTAAATATTAATTTATATTTTATATATATTTGATGTGATCAGCAACATTATTTTTAATTGCATTTCATTTTTTTTCTGTACTGGTATGAGTTTAAAATCAAAATTTATATTAATTAAGGGATCTTTTGTCATTATGAAAAGATAATGTGTATATATGTATGTGCATGTATACACACACACACACACACACACACACACACACACACATTGGCATACCTCAGAGATATTGCAGGATTGGTTCTGCACCACTGCATAAAGAAATAATTACAGTAAAATGTCACAATTTTTTTGGCTTCCCAGTGCATGTAAAAGTTATATGATACTATAGCCTATTGAATGTGCAATAGCATATGTCTACAAAAAAGTACATATTTTAATTTAAAAACACTTCATTGCTAAAACATGTTAACAATCCTCTGAAACTTCAGGCAGTCATTTTTGTGTGTGTGTGTGTGGTGGAAGGTCTTTTATGATATTGATGTCTGCTGACTGATTGGTGGTTGCTGATATTTGGGGTAGGTGTGACAGTTTTTAAAATCAGACAACACTGAAGTTTAATGCACCAATTGACTCTCACAAAAGATTTAACTTTAGCATGTGATGCTGTTTGACAGCATTTTACCCATAGTAAAACTTCTTTCAAAATTGGAGTCAAATCCTCTCAAACACTGGAATGTTTTATTAATTAAGTTTGTGGAATATTCTAAATGCTTTGTTGTAGTTTCAACAGTATTCAGAGCATCTTTACCAAGAGTAAATTCCATCTTAAGAAACCACTTTCTTTGCTTATCTATAAAAAGCAAATCCTCATCCATTTAAGCTTTATTGAGATTGCAGCAATGCAGTCACTTCTTCAGACTTCACTTCTAACTCTAGTTCTTTTGTAATTTCATCCATTCCTCTGCCCCTTCCTCCACTGAAGACTCGAAACCCTTAAAGTCATCCATGAGGGTTGGAATCAGCTTCTTTCAAACTCTTGTTAATGTTGATATTTTGACCCCTTCCCATAAATCACAAATGTTCATAATGGTATCCATTGAAAGAGCTTAAATAATTTTTCAGAAAAGTATTTATTTGTCAATAAAGATATAAATATTTTCTCATAAATGACATGAACAGATACTTCACAAAAGAAGATGCACAAATCAACAACAAACATATGAAAAAATGCTCAACATTGCTAATCATCAGAGAAATGCAATGAGATATCCTCTCACACCAGTCATAATGGCAACTGTTAAAAAGCCAATAAGCAACAGATGCTGGAGAGGCTGTTGGTGGGAATGTAAATTAGTTCAGCCACTATAGAAAATAGTTTGGAGATTTCACAAAGAACTTCAAGTAGAACTACCATTTGACATAGCAATCCCACAGCTGGGTATATACCCAAAGGAAAATATTCTATCAAAAAAACACATGCACTCGTTTGTTCATTGCAGCACTATTTACAGTAGCAAAGACATGGAGTCTACCTATGTGCCCATCAACAGTTGACTGAATAAAGACAATGGGGTACATATACACCACGAAATACTAGACAGCCATAAAAAGGATTGAAGTCATGTCCTTCACAGCAACATGGATGCAGCTGGAGGCCATTATCTTAAGTGAACTAATGCAAGAACACAAAACCAAATAGTGTATGTTCTCACTTATAAGTGGGAACTAAATATTGAATGTGCATGAACACAAAGATTGGAACAATAGACAGGACAACTAGACAGGGGAGGGAAGGAGAGGGGTTGTGGGCTGAAGAATCACCTGTTGGGCACTGTGCTTACTGCCTAGATAATGGGATCACTGGGACTCCAAGCCTCAGTGTCACACAAATTACCCATATATCAAACCTGCACTTGTACCCTTTAATCTGTAATAAAAATGGAAATTATTAAATAATACAAATTTACACTGCTAATAAAGTTCATTCATTTTTCTCCTGAAAATGGTTTATAATTAACCATTACTTTTAAAATAAACTTTAATGTTCATAGATATCGAGGTTAACTGGGTTAAATAATACACCTATGCTAAGCCAAAAAAAACTTAGTGCAATAATTCCACATTAAATTTTCTTAAAGATCAGGCTATTTTTGTATTTATAGATTTTTTATATAAAATTTTAAAATATATTAATCTGTAATGTGTAAAATAAATATTATAGTATGTATGCTTCAAAAATATCTATTTGTTCATTTTTTAATTCTAAAGAAACTGTCACACAACACCAATTAAATTGATGACTTATAGACAAGTAAAGCTCAATGTAGTTGAACCTAAGTTGAGAACCATGATGCTGGAATTGAAGCAGCAGTCACAATAGTGCTGTATCATGAGGTTTTCTTACTATTTTATGTAGTCTCACAGAGAAGTACATCAATAAAGTCATTATTTATATAATACTGTTCTATTCAGTAAAATCACAAATGAATGAAATAACCATATAATTAGAGTCTTGTACATTGTTTTACCAAATGGAGCATATTTAATAGTCATAACAATGACTTAATGAAGCTGAGATTAGGAACTATGTTTGCATGATCACACTAAAATCAAACTCTTCAGGAAAATAGCTTGCATTTTAGTTACTTTACTGAAGGTGAACATAACCTAATAGCCAACTACATCTAGACATTAAGAAAAGACAATTCAAGCACTAATAGAACCAGTGCCAAATAAAAAATAGGTTAAATTGTGAAGAGACACTCTGAATATGTTGTTGATACATACAATACTGTATCCTGGGTTGAAAGTTAAGTATATTTAGAATTTTTATGCTATTGAGTTATATGTTAACAGGCAATAAACAATGAGAAATAATTCATCAGCAACATTTAAGAGAAAATTATTAAAGCAAATAATGTCTCCTTTACAAAAGGTGCAAAATAATGTTCAGAGTGAGTTGAGAGAATTCAGGATATTTTTTCAATATTTTGGAGAGTTTATTTCCTAAGAAACAAAATGACTGTCATAACATATAAATAATATGATCAGTAAGTGGTGGCTGTATTTCCATTATATAATAAGTCGGCTGTCATTTGAGCAAATACAACCTTCCAAGAGAGAAAAGTTACCAATAGACTTGCCACCTATTTTACACGACACACTTGAAAAATAATTCCTGACATTTTATAAACAAATATGCATTCCTACAAATATTTTCAACACATGTATTATTACTAAAATATTTTATTCTACTAAATTCTATGATTGTCACTACAAATATGGATGGCATAATTTTGTAAGATTGATCTAAGCTGAGCTCTAAATTTATATACATTCTAATTATTTAATACAGCCTATAGTCTACATTAACCTTGCATAAGACTCAGAGGTATGTAAAGGTGTAACACTATGTAGGAGAAAGCTAAACGATAGAAGAAAATACAATTTTTCTTCAAAATAAAGCAACTGGAAATCATGTATGGATTTTCTTATTATATTGTGCCAACAGACCTTGGCTTTGGTTCTAGGCAATTAGGTTTCGTTTCATTTAAAGATTTCTAAAAGACTGAGAGAAATCTGGGTAAAATGTTAAATCTAAGGTATTACTTGCCAACCTGACACTTTTATCCCTTAACCACAAAAACTAAGTTTAGAAAAGAACAATCTTGGAATATTCAATTAGAGTCAAATATTACCACTGACAATTCACTTTCTTATTCTACATCTATATGGCCATGGGGGAATAGTCAGAACATTTCAGAACCTAATATAAATCCATAGCATAGTTTGTTTTAAACTATATTTATTCCTAGGAGGTAACACTTTCAAAATAGTGAAAGATGGAGCACACAGATGTGGTTTCTCCTTTTCTTCTCCCTGAATTTTCACTGATCTTTTCTTACACTGTGTAGGGACCTGACAATCAGGTCTAGGATTGAAAGCACTTAAGCTGGCTCTATTCCTACTTTGATTATCAAATTGTTTAGTCATATCTAGCTTTGGAAAAAAATGAGCCAAGTGCAACAAAATTTCTACATGAATCTTAAAAACTAAAGATTCAGAGAGTAGTAACATGTTTTATTAATAGCTATTAATTAATAAGTAATATTTATTGTTTATTTTAGTTCAGGCAATGCACATAAGTTTCCTCATTTAATCCTCACAGCAAGAGTTGTTACTATTATTATAACTATGTGTTAGTTATTATTGTCATGTTTTGAGTGAAGTCAGCAAATCTTAGCATTTTTAGCTTATTGGTATAATCAATTATTTGAATAGAAAGCCCATAATCACTGTGCTTGGAAGTTTTGATAAACAGCATCTAACAGAAAGTGGAATCGTATATTTAGGCTATCATATCATGAAAAATAGCTATTGAAACTGCATTAATATTCCAATAAACTATAATGGGTTAAGACATAAGTAATCAAAACACTGTGATAGGAAATTGATTATGAAATAGAGTGAGCCATCAGTTCGTAGCCACAGCACAGGAATAGGACAGACTGAGGAATATTTTTGTTTCTTTTTTTATGTTTTTCTTTGTGTGTTTAAAATCTGGCTTAGGGTAATGTTGAAAAATAATAATTTTAACTATGGATTGAAAATAAAGTAACTTAAAAATATGTGGACATTGTCAAAACTCTGGTTGTTTTTTCCTGTACAAAAGCACGTGTAATTAAAAGAAGATATTTTAATTTATTGAATAGTATCCTGTACATTTTTAAAGTATGTAGGATTCATCATGATTACAGTGGGATATTAGTCTATCATTTTGTAGTGGATTTTAGGATAAAATCTGAATATAAGAATGTGCATCAGAAAAGGTTGATCATTTACACCTAATGCTGCTTCCTATAAAATGCGTTAAACAGGATTCATTTAAAAATATATCACCTTAGGCTGGGCGCAGTGGCTCATGCCTGTAATCTCAGCAATTTGGGAGGCCAAGGTGAGTGGATCACCTGAGGTAAGGACTTCGAGACCAGACTGGTCACCATAGTGAAACCGATCTCTACTAAAAAATACAAAAATTAGCTGGGTGTGGTGGTGTATGCCTGTAATCCCAATTACTTGGGAAGCTGAGGCACGAGAATCGCTTGACCAGAGGTTGGAGGTTATAGCGAGTCAAGATAGTGGCACTGCACTCCAGCCTGGGCAACACAGTGAGACTCTGTCTCAAAAAAAATAAAAAATAAAAAATATATATATACATATGCCTTAGAAAGTGTTCAATAAGGGCATAGTACAATGTGTTTTTCATTAATAACTCCAAATTTTTCTCTCAATATTTTAGCTTAAGTATATTTTGTCAAGTTAAGGGCTATATAAATTGTATTTGTAGTCATTTAAGAATTTGTAAGTAAAACATTATATCTGTCTCTAAATCAAAAGAGATAATCATAGGGAAAGCATAGCATTATGAATCATCATCAGGGTACACGGATGGATACCATCTCATAATTTTTTTATATTGTCATTGAAAAGAAGATCTCCAGGCTGGGTAACAGAATGAGACTCTGTCTCAAAAAGAAAAAAAAAACAAAAGATAAGAAAAAATTTAAGAAAATAAAAGAAAACCCACCCAGAAGAGATAAATCAGCTAAATCCGTATCACAGAAGATTTATCTACATCGTAGCAAAGCAGCGTGCTTCACATATAACAAAACTAAAATTAATTTAAGGCACAATCTTTGATTATTCTTAGATGTGTAAGAAAGCTGAGCAATTTTGTAGTTACCAAAATGTCTCAGCTTTACAACTTAGTGAGTTTTCAAAAGAAAAGATAATAAAATGTATTAAAAAGCTTAAATACGGTCCTATACTATTCCACATAGGTATCATATTGCCAATTTCAGTTATATAAGTATATAAAATTACATATGAAGTTAGTTATTTTTCTGTGTAAATGGTATCTCATTGAGTTTTCTTCACTACGATTACAGAGAGAATAGATAAGCACCTGCCTAAAAATAGGAAAGATATCTAATTTTCAAATTCCAGAACACTTCCATCAATGGCTGCACATCATTGATTTCTAAAACAGTTTATGAAAGAGTGGTATTATTTCTTTGAAGGCTTGGTAGAATTTACCAGTGAAGCCAGTTGGTCTTTTTGTGGAATGTTTTTAACTACTCAGTCTCTACTTTTTATAGTTCTATTCACATTATCTCATTCTCTTTGAGTCAGTTTCAATCATGTGTGTCTTTCTAATAATTTGTCAGCTTCATCTAGGTTATATAATTTATTGGTATGTAATTATTGATAGTGTTCTTTAAGAATCACTTTTATTTTATCAAAATTGGCAACTAATCACTTTTATTCCTGGTTTGGCTTTTTAATGTAGGTGTATACATATAGCTACACATTTTCCTGTAAGCATTGCTATTGCCAAATCCATAAATTTTGTTATATTCTGTTTTGAATTTTTTTATTCATAGTGAGGGAATCCTCCTGTATGAGTCATAAGATTATGGTTCAGTTTTGAAGATATTTATTTTAATTCATATCAAAAATATCATAAAATACTTTTTAAGAGATAAATTATTAGCATTGTCTCATATTACCTCAATTTTGTCTGTCTTTTTAGGCATCTGGTTATGATTGTTCTTGTTGAAGCCACTAGAACCACCAAAGTCTTATCTGTTAATAATAACGGGATTGTCACAGATTCTATTGATATGGTTCTTGCATGTTCTCCATAATACCCATTGTTCCTGGGGCTAAACCAATAAAAATTGACTAAAAAAATTTAGCTTCTCACATATATTTTATAATTAGATATAGCACTATGATATAACATGTCTGATCTGGCTTCTCCAGCAACTTCCAACAGGGGACAAAAAATTCTTAAGTTGTGGAGAGTTGGCTGTCAGGCAAATTATGAACAGTGGGAAACAACAGATAAGAGAGAACTGGGAGATTAATCTTTTTCCTTTTATCTCTTCAATAGACAATTCTGGGACATGGACTCTCGGTACAGATTGCCCAAGACATCTCACATGACCAAGCAATGGGACATGTCTCTTCTTACCTCATGAAACAGTGAGTAGTTGGCAATACACAACATGTTTATAATTTGTCCTTTATGCATCACTGTGCTTTTCCATAGTTCTTGCTGCACTGGAATCATATTACATTAAGCATTAGCACATATATATTCCATCAGGCTATGTTTCTAATGAGCCTGAGCCAAGATAGTATATATCAATAGTATCTCTATAAAACAGATTATGGTAGGTGGGCTGGAAATAATTATTGACATTGATGGCATCACAGTTAATTAAGGTATGGTTAATTTTAATAAGGTGCAAATGGGTGGCAAGGAGATAGGAGTTCAACTACATGTGGTGCATAGTAAGAAAATGGTTAGCACTATTTATAAAGATCATGGTATAGAAAAACTCATTTGGGATATTTTAATAAATAATAATATTATATATACCCAATTTAATTATCAAAGCATGCACTCAACAAACAAACAGGGCCTCTTTGGCATCTTTAAAAATAGTATTTTTCTTAGCAGGGACAGAAAATATTATGCTGAAAATCAGCCTCAGCATCTGATTATAAGCATGAGAAACTATAATGTACACAGCATATCCAGCTTTAATAGGTCTTCCCTTCAAGTTAGGTCTCTGGATTGAAGACAATTGGTTAGACAAGCATAATTTTTTTTTTTTTGGACAGAGTCTCACTCTGTCATCCAGGCTGGAGTGCAATGTCATGATCTCAGCCTACTGCAACCTCTGCCTCCTGGGTTCAAGCAATTCTCATGCCTCAGCCTCCCAAGTAGCTGGGATTACAAGTGCCAAGCACCATGCCTGGCTAATTTTTGTATTTTTAGTAGAGATGGGGTTTCGCCATGTTGGTCAGGCTGATCTGAAACTCCTGGCCTCAGGTGATCCCCTCACCTTGGCCTCCCAAATTGCTGGGATTACAGGCAGGAGCCCCTGTGCCTGGCTGACAAGAATAAAATTTTTTTGAGTTCTTCCTTTCTCTTTCTTCTTCCATGTTTTAGCAATTGTTTCTTAATCAGTATCTCTATGCATTTTCTATTAATTCTCCATCCACTGAAGTTTGGTTTATGCCTAAATCATCTAGAGCTCTCTAAGATTGCCAAGGACTTTTCAGTTGGTGAACTCAAACTATCCTCAGGGATTTGATCACTGCTCAGTCTGTGTGGTTAGCCATTCCTTGTCTAAACTCCTCCCTTACGTTGATAGCTACCTCTCCCTGCCCTTGCCTATGTGACTTATTTTAGTCTTAGTTGTTTCTTCTGCCTTTATCTTGCTGAAAACTGTGACTATTTATTTTAATTCAGTATTTGATCTTCTTTTATGTAAACTTTCACCCTCTTGGGCAATAATCTATTTGTAAATAATCCACGTAGAATACTATGTAAGACAATCATCCCCTTAAGTAAACTGTCCATATGAGACCCAAATCTGGAGCTGATGTCTAGGTTTCTCCTGAGCTTGACTCATGGCTTTGCCTGGATAGGCCAGACACTTGAAACTTGAGATTTCTTACAGATTTGCCATGACAACAAAGTCTGTTTATAGCTCAGCCATTCCAGCACAGGATACACTTAATCTTGAGGAACCAGAGAAGAAAGCCTTGGGCCCAAATTCAACCCTGCCCTTGCCCTACCTGACTGCCCTCACTGCCCCCAGCAGTGTTAGAGCATGCAGCCTAGGAGTACTGATCTGAGTGTTGGCTCCGTGAAAACTTCCAGAAATGAGGCCAGTTGTCTGACCCCAATTTATACCACAGTCAAAGTCTCAAGTGATTTAAAGAATATAAAAGTGAAAATTCCCATCCAAAGGACAGCAACCTCAAACATTAAAGCAATATCAACCCACACAGATGAGAGACATCCGATGCAAGAACTCTGGCAACCCTGAAAGCCAGAATAGCTTCTTACCTCCAAATGACTGCACTAGCTCCCCAGCAATGGCTCTTAATCAGACCAAAATTGCGGGAATGACAGACATAAAATTCACAATCCACATGGCAATGAAGATCACGAAAATTCAAGAGAAAAGTTGAAAGCCAATACAAGAAATCTGTGGAATCCAGTAAAATGATACAAGAGCTAAACAATTAAATAGGAACTTTAAGAAACAACCAACCTGACCTGATAGAGCTGTAAAACTCACTACAATAATTTTATAATACAATTGAAAGTGTTAACAGCACAATATATCAAGCTAAAGAAAGAATCTCAGCACTCAAACAGTAATTCTTCAAATCAACTTAGACAACAATGACGACAAAGAAGAAGAAGAGGAAGGAGAAAATTAAGAAGAAAGAACATAAAAGAATGAACAAAATCTCCAAGTTTTGTAAATAGATTATGAGATTATAAAAAGGGACAAAACCTATAACTCATTGACATCCTGGAAAGAGAGGGAGAGAGAGCAAGCAACTTGGAAAACACATTTGAGGATATTGTCCATAAAAACTTCCCCAACCACACTAGAAAGGTCAACATTAAAATTTAGGAAATTCAGAGAATTCCTGCAAGATACTATGTAAGACAATCATCCCCAAGACACATAGTCATCAGATTATCCAAAGTCAAAGAAAAAGAAAAACAAATATTAAAGGCAGTTAGAGAGAAGGGGTGGTCACCAGCAAAGGAAACCCCATCAGGCTAACAGTGGGCCTTTCAGCATAAACCTGAGAAGCCACAAGAGATTGAGGGCCTATATTCAGCATCTTTAAAGAAAAGAAATTCTAATGAAGAATTTCATCTTCAACCAAATTAAGCTTGTAAGCAAATGAGAAATAAAATCACCTTCACCCAAGCAAATGCTAAGGGAATTTGTTACCGCCAGACCTGCCTTGTAAGAGGTCTTTAAGGGAGTGCTAAACATGGAAAAGAAAGACAATTACCAGTTGCCAAAACAACACAGTTAATACATAAACCGTTGACATTATAAAGCAACTACACAATCAGGTCTACATAACAATCATCTAACAACATGATGATTGGATCACATCCCACATATCAATATTAACCTTGAATGTAAATGGGCTTAATGTTCCCACTTAAAAGGCACAGAGAAGCAAGTTGGTTAAAGAAGCAAGACCCAACTATATGCTGTCTACAAGAGACCCAGCTCACATTCAGTGAGACCTATACCCTCAAAGTAAGTAAAGGGATGAAGAAAAATTTATGAAGCAAAGGAAAAGCAAAAAAAGAGCAGGGCTGATATTTTTATTTCTGACAAAACAGACTTTAAACCAACAATGATCAAAAAGGACAAAGAAGAGCATTACACAATGATAAAGAGTTTGGTTCAACAAAATTTAACTATCCTAAATATAGATGCACCCAACATGGGAACAGCCAGGTTCAAAAAACAAGTTCTTAGACAAATGTAAAGAGACATAAATGGTCCACATAATAAGAGTGAGAGACATTACACTCCACTGACAGTATAAGATCATTGAGGCAGAAAACTAATGAAGATATTTGTGACCTAAATTCAACCCTTGACAAAATGGAACTACAGAACACTTCACCCAACCAAAACAGAATATACATTTTTTTATCCTCATATAGCACATACTCTAAAATAGACAACATGCTCAGGCATAAAGGAATTCCCAAAAAAACTCAGAAAAACTGAAATTATACCAACCACAATCTCAGACCATGGCACAATAAAAACAGAATCAAAACAAAGAAGGTCTCTCAAAGTCATACAGTTACATGGATATTGAACAACCTGTTTTTGAATGACATTTGGGTAAATAATGAAATTAAGGCAGAAATCAATAAATTATTTAAAGCTAATAAAAACAACGATACAATATACCAGCATCTCTGGGAAACAGCTAAGGCAGTGTTAGAAAAAGTTTACCGTGCTAAACGCCCACATCAAAAAGTTAGAAAGATCTCAACTTAACAATCTAACATCACACCTACAGGAACTGGAAAAACAAGAGAAAACCAATTCCAAAGCAGCAGAAAAGAAATAACCCAAATGAGAGCCAAACTGAATGAAACTGAGATGCAACAAACCATACAAAAGAACAGCAAAATAAAAGTTTGTTATTTGAAAGAGTAAACAAGATTGCTAAACAGCTAGCTAGATTAATAAAAAAAAAAGACAAGATCCAAATAAACACAATAAGAAATGACAAAGGGGACATTATCACTCATCACATAAAAGTACAAAAAAAACAAAAACCAAAGATAATTACAAACAATTCTATGCACACACACTAGAAAACCTGGAAGGAATGGATAAATTCCTGGAAACATGCAACGTCCCAAGATTGAACCAGGAAGAGTTTGAAATCCTGAACAGATAAATAATGGGTTCCAAAAATGATTCAGTAGTAAAAACCTACCAACCAGAAAAAGCCCTGGACCAGATGGATTCATAGCCAAATTGAACCAGATGTATAAAACAAGAGCTGATATCAATCCTACCTTAACTATTCCAAAAAACTGAGGAAGAGAGACTCCTCTCTAACTCATTCTATAAGGCCAGAACCATTCTGACACTGAGACATGACAGAGACATGATGCAAAAAGAAAAGTTCAGCACAATATCCCAGATGAACATAGATGGAAAACTCCTCAGCAAAATACTAGCAAACCAAATCTAGCAGCAAATCAAAATGCTAAGGCATCACAATCAAGTGGGCTTTATTCCTGGGATGCAAGGTGGGTTTAACGTAAGAAAATCATAAATGTGATTCATCAAATAAACATCACTAAAAACAAAAACCATAGTATCATCTCAATAGATGTAGAAAAAGGTTCTGATAAAATTCAACACCCTTTCATGTTGAAAAACCTCAACAAACTTGGCATCAAACAAACACACCTCAAAATAATAAGAACCATCTATGACAAACCCACAGCCAGCATCATACCGAACAGGCAGTAGCTGAAAGCATTCTCCTTGAGAACTGGAACATGACAAGGATGCCCACTTTCACAATTCTATTTAACATAGTACAGGAAGTTCTAGCCAGAAAAATCAGGTAAGAAAGAAAGAAAAGATATGCAGATAGGACGAGAAGAAGTCAAACCATCTATTTTCATATTCAATATGATTCTATACCTAGAAAACCCGAGAGTCTCTGCCCACGGAACCCTAGAACTGATAAACAACTGCAGCAAACTTTCAGCATACAAAATCATTATTTAAAAGTCTGTAGCATTTCCATATACCAATAATGTCCAAGCTGAGAGCCAAATCATGAGTGCTACCCCATTCACAATAGCCATGAAAGAATTAAATACCTAGGAGTACAGCTAAGCAGAGAGGTGAAGGATCCCTGCAATGAGAATTACAAAACACTGCTCAAAGAAATCAGAGATAATACAAACAAATGAAAAAAAAATTCCATGCTCATGTATAGGAAGAATCAGTATCATTAAAATGTCCATACTGCTCAAAGCAATCGACAGATTCAATGTTATTCTTATCAAATTACCAATAACATTTTTCACAGAATTAGAAACAAGACTATTCTAATATTCATATAGAACCAAAAAAGACTCCAAATAGCCATTGTAGTCCAAAACAAAATGAACAAAGTCAGAGGCATCATACTAGCCAACTTCAAACAATACTACAGGGATATAGTAACCAAGACAGTATGGCACTGGTACAAAAACAGACACATAGACCAATGGAACAGGTTAGAGAACCCAGAACTTAAGTCTTGCCCATACATCCATCTGATCTTTGACAAAGTTAACAATAACAAGAAATGGGTAAAGGCCTCCTTATTCAATAAATGGTACTGGGATAACTAGCTAGCCATATGCAAAAGATTGAAACTGGACCCCTACCTTGCATCATATACAAAAATCAACATGAAATGAATCAAAGACTTAAATGTAAAACCCAAAACTATAAAAAAATACTCCAGAAGAAAACTTACAAAATACCATTCTGGCTACTGGCCTTGGCAGTGATTTAATGTCAAAGGAAAGCAATTGCAACAGAAACAAAAAAATGACAAATCAGACCTAATGAAACTAAGTAGCTTCTGCACAGTGGGAGAAATTATCAACAGAGTAAGCAGACAACCTACAAAATGGTAGAAAATATTTGCAAATTATGCATCTGACGAAGATTTTATATCCAGAATCTATAAGCAACTTAAACAAATTAACAAGCAAAAAACCAAACAACCACATTAAAAAATGTGTAAAGGACATGGTCACTTTTCAAAAAAAGACATACATGTGGCCAAGAAACATATTTAAAAAAATGCTCCACATCACTATTCATTAGAGAGAAATGCAAATTAAAACCACACAAAGATACTATCTCACACCAGTCAGAAGGGCTATCATTAAAACGTCAAAAAGAAAAAAAAAAGAAAAAAGATATGAATGAGGTTGTGAAGAAAAGGGAACATATACACTGTGGGTGGGAATATAAATTAGTTTAGGCACTGTGGAAAATAGTTTGAAGATTTCTCAAAGAATTTAAATGGAACTGTCATTTGACACAGCAATCCCAGAATTGGGAACTATACACATGGGGGCTTTCTTGAGAGTTGAGGGTGGGAGGAGGGTTAGGATCAAAAAACCACTCATTGGGTACTACGTTCATTACCTAGCTGACAAAATAATCTGTATACCAAATGCTGCTACATGAAATTTACCCATGTAACAAACCTGCATGTGTATCCCCCTGAACCTTAAAAAAAGTTAGAAAAAGTAGGAAATACAAACTGAAAAAAACATGTAAAGTTCAAAAATAAATAAATATTTTTTGAAACCTCAGACCTAGCAGAAGCACCAATTTGACCTTTTTTAAAATAAAACAATGACCTAAAATTTATTTCAAAATGAAGATTGGACTCTGCAAGACATATCCCTTCTATCCAGCTTCATTGCCTCTCAAACTGCAACCAGATTTAGTCTCAGTGTCACCAATGGGTAGCAAAGGCCCCTTTCCATCATTTTCTGGGTCCACATGAATACCCCCACTCCAAATTTCAGAATTTCACTCTTTCTCAAATATCCTAAATTTTGCATTGAAAATTGTACATGGTTGTTAACTCAACTGACATTGTATTTCTGAAAACAGTATGATTATATTTTATGTCTGATTTTCATCAAGTTTGATTTGTTTCTATAGTATATAAGAGATGCTTTTAAGGCCATCTTAGAATATCTCTTATTTTATACCACAATTAGAGTTAAGAAATTAAAAATCTGAACTTGTCATTTTATTTATATAAGTATGTCAGGGCATTTTAAAACATTTACTCATTTGATAAACTTTGTAATTAATTTTTTCTTCATATAAGTGAATAGAAATTTGATCTCCCAAGGTATTTGCTTCATAAGTACTTAATCATAGTCAAAAATAGGTAATAATTTGATTAATGATGATGCTTCTGTATATCAAGGATAATAAGCCTTCTATTTGCCATTGGCAAGATGTTTAAACCCATCTGAAAATTCTTCATTGAGGATCTGTTTTCTGAGCCTACTTACGGTATTAATTAACTTACTGGCGAGGCCCCTGTCAAAAGATAGGTCTTAACAATATTTCTAACTCAGAAAAAAATTACATGCTAAACAAGTGTTAGAAGGTTGAAAGGCCAGAAGAAAACACTCAGATACAGAAGAGAACGTGTAGAAGTAGCTACCACATTCAGAGCAGGGGAACAAAATTAAGATGTTACCTTTAATTGTATTAAACAGTGTGGAGGAGCGGTCCCTGTTGAGCTTTGACCCAAATCTCTAATAAGTGATTGATGCCAGGTTATTACTGATAGTTCAGGCCCTTGAAGAAAGGAATCCAGATTTCATAAAAGAAATATTGTCTAAGTGTTTCTAGAGCCTCATAAATTCTAAAAAGAACTCTCATAGAGCTATAAATCAGTTCCCTGGGGAGGGAATGCCAGCCTACTGAGATATTAGCCAGAAATAAATTGTTGGTGCATTACAACTCTTATCCCAAATTGATAAAGAGAAATTCTCCCAGCGGACAGACCTACAAGCAATACATTTAGTTTTCTATTCCATATGAAGAAATAATTTGTCTCAACTGTGGTTATTCCCTAATACCTTGGAAGTGGCAAATGCCCGGGCCAGTTTGTCCGAGTCCAGACTGGAATAAGATGAAAAATTCAGTGATAAGGAGACCTGAGGATGAAGTATACAGATAGACCAATGGACAGAGGTAATTAGAATACATATTTGCATCTCATGTTAATTTTTACTGGTGATTATTCATCAAAAGGATGTCTCTCAACAAGCAGGTAGATAAGTGAATATAATTTAGTATATCTCCAGACATCTTCAGTGCTTGTGTAGTCCCATGTATAGTCTATAGTGACAAGGATAAAGGTTGCTTATCTGCCCAACTGCATGGGCTAGCCTTTTACCACAGCTTTTCTTGCTACTTCCACTCCTGTGTGCGCAATTTTCCAGCACCATACATCAACAATTAGATGTCAGCATCATTGCTTGGGAATAACGGTTGGTCCCGCTTTGGCAAAGGAATTATATTTGAACCTTCGATCTTCAGGAATCTATATATTCCATAAATGAGTTTGCTTACTTATCCAAAGCGCCCCAGCCAACACTATGATCTAAAGACTTACAGAAAGCCTTTTTAATACTCATGGTATTGCCTATAACATTGTTTTAGACCAAAGGATGTATTTTATGTCTGCAAAGTGAGCATAATTGGCTCATGATCTTGGGATTTATACATTGTGCAGCATACAACCCCTTTTACTAAAAATCGGCCTGATTAAATTTGGGAGCAATCTGTTTAAGATTCAAGTAAGACTCTTGCTCAAGGTCAGCAACATGTAAGATTGGGGTAACGTTTTCCAGGATGTGATAAATGATACAGTAGCTCCATTAGCTAGAATATATGGATCCAGGAAACAAAGGGTAAAAGGAAGAAAGGCATCTCTTACCATCTCTGGCAGTGAAACATTTGAAAATGTATGTGTCTAGTCCATACAATCTTAGCCTCTTCCTCATTGGAGATCCTGGAAGTGAGCATCATCTGTCCACTATGGTCTACTCAGGACAGTGGAAAGCAAGCAAAAAAGTATTCTACTAGCTAAGATAATGTCATGATGACCGAGAGACATTGGAATTGCTGCCACTTGTAGTATGCCCATTCTGCTGCCCCTTCTTTATCCTGGGATTGCAACCACTAATTTACACATTGCCATAAGTACTTTCTGAGGAAAAGAAGTTATGATAGACCTCGCAATTGGGATGCAGATTATTATGATCATTTCTCTAAGAAAAATAATCAGCCTTTGTAAGAATGCTTTTGCACAATAACTATAATAAGCATTAAAAAAAATTGCACAGTCCAGATTGACCACTAAGCATTGTTGGATGTTTGTGTTCTCTAAAGGCCTTCTTAACTAAAGACATAATCAACTAACTGTGCTTTTGTTTTCTGTTCCTCTATCATTGGTATTCCAATTTTTGCCCAATGTTTGCCTTCTCAATTTCCCTCCTTCTCCAGAGTCAAAATATAATCTACCAGTATGCTTCAAGGTGAATACCTTCACTTGCTTCCTTAAATCTAGGAATCCAGCTGACAATCATTCAGGCTCTTGCATCTGGATTATCACCCCACAAAACATGAAAAATGTTTTAACACTAAGACATTTCTTGCTAAAAGAGATTTAAATCAGTAAATATCTTTATATGAATCTCATGTCCCTCAACATTTTATTTGTTCTCCCCTCTATTTTGTTCATTGTTATGATATGTGGTCACTTAATAGCACTCTGATAATGCAGTTACTCAAGGCTTAAAGCTCTTGCTTTCCCTGACCTACAGGAAACAATGCAACTTTTCCTCCTATGTCTGTGATTATTCTGTTTCGGTCATTATTTCAAGCTCTTCTTGCACTTTGTTCAAGGTTCTCATCTCCGTTAACTCTCTACGCTTATACTGGATGACCACATACATGTATCTTCCTTTATTTCTTACTAACATGCCAACATGAATCTTTAAGCTTTTATATATCTTGAGTGACAGTCTGAAATTGTTCATTGCCTTTGTATATAAGACACCTCACAAGGTAAACATCTCAAAATTGAAACAATCATCCCTCACAAATTTGCTTCTGCTCATACAGCATCTCCTGGCATCCACGAACTTGTCCAAGACCAGTGATCATACCATCAGGTGCACTAACAAGAAATGTCAATATAGAAATATTAGCAACATGAATAAGACCTGTCTCTCTGCCTTACTTTTAATATCTGAAATTCACTTTTAAATATAATTAAATTTTTATATAATCTGTAATGAAAATCACCCCTTATACTTTCATATGTTAAAATTGAATGTCAGTTTAATTATAATAGTATGTTTATAATAAAAAAGAAAGACACTACAATAATAATACAGATTGTAAAAATTGTCAATTTTATAAACAAAAAATTAATATCTTTCAAACAAATATGGGAATATGCATTTACAGTTAATTCAAGTATTTAGAGTGAGTGTATTAGATAAATAATTTTAGAAAGGCTATCATATTTATTTTGAAAAAACAAACGTTTAAAAAAGTAAATCAAATTACAAGCAGAATACTAGAGATTATTTATATAAAAATTTTAATCTATATGGAATTGTTTAATGCATTAGCATTTATAACACTGAACATAACACAATATTTAAAATTTATATTTAGCAATGTAATTCAACTTAGATTATTAGTCTTAGCATAAAAGTCCTTATTTTTCTGTTTTATTGTAGAGCTGGTTAAAAAATATCTTGCTGTAGGATAGTTCACAACGGAATGAGAGCATTCACTTAAGATTGAAACTGTATGGTACCATAATAATAAGCTTCAGTAACTATAGGATAAAGCTAATATCTAGCATTTATGAGAAATTATTGTTTCTGTATTGTATCTCAAAATTTTAAATATGTCTACCTAATTTTACTCATTTCAAAATATATCTAAAATAAAATTTTGGATTTATGCATGTATCACTCCATGATGATGAATTTGGGCTTCAGATGCAAACTGATTTTTATCCTTTGGGCCTTTGGCTTTTGGTCCAGGTGCTTATTCATTACACTTCTATGTTATCCCAGCATAGTGCCTCATCCTTAATAAGCTAAGAGATACACGTGTGTGTGAAATTAATTAATTAAGAACAAATCTAAATATTATGTTGGCTATCTTTCAATTCTACCTCTCATTGTGATGTTAGACCACATAAGTTATAGCATAATAAAGAGTTACTTGTTACAACTGCACTTTATCTTGTCTCAAAATTATAGTAATAGATTCTAGAGAAATTTCATCATTTTTCTATAATGGCTTTCCAAAGTAATATACTTAAGCACAAAATTTCAAATTCAACTAAAAACTCTAATACCTTACACTGTCGAGTGTTCAATATTAATAATACATACTGACACTGGCTTTGCAAAGATTCTTACAGCTAAAATCTTTTGCTAAATCTAAATGTCATCGTGATAGCCCATACGAATAGGATTCTAGAATTCTTCCTGATTTCTCTCAGGCTTCCTAAATCTTAGACTTAAATCCATAAAACTTAAAAAGATAAACTCTTTAGCTTTCAATGGCAAATTTAAAGCAAGGCAGAAGAAAATCAGAAAAAAAATACAGTTAGAGGGTGAAAAAATGAAAAAAAAAAAAAAGAGAGAAAGAGAGAGAGGACCATTGCCTGGCTGTTATTTGCCCCTCAGCAAGAGCCATAAACCAATCATATGTCAGACACAGGGGCCTGAGAGACTTAGTATATCATATTGACTGTTTTAATCAGCCAGAATCCTGCTGAAACTTGACTGAAACTTGACTGAAACTTAGTATATCATATTGACTGTTTTAATCAGCCAGAAACCTTCCACACCAGGGGAACATTCACTCAGTGCAGTATCTCAGATACACTGGAAAAGTTTCACAGGGCTATTAAGATAATGCAGTTTAAGTTCATCTAAAGTAAATGCATTTGTTACCTTGCATCCAAGATATCTGTCCTTATGTGGGTATAATTTTACATTATTTTGCATGTATATATCTTTCAAATGCCCATTGAGATATTCATTCTTAACATAAGAAATATAAGAAAATTCATTATAAAGAGAAATTTTTAACAGATTGATGTCATAAAGTATGATAAATTTAGAAAACTCAATTTTTTAAATACGAGAGATTTATATGCATCATTTTGCAAAAATTCATGTATTATAAAATAATCTTTTGATTCATCTTGAAAGCATGGGTGTATTCAAAGAGTAAGTAGCCTCCTCTGGAATCCTACAATAAAACTGCCACTAATAATTCTCATAATCATGTAACACAATAACCTATTTTCAATAGAGTGTTCCTGGCTCAATTCTAACTCATTTAACTCATTTAATACTCATAGCAATGCTTTAAGATAGTTAAAAAATTCATTTGGAGATGAGCAATATGATATACCCAAGCTCACAATTGCTCAGTTATTTTGTTTTTCATCCAATCTTTAGTTAATATCTCCTATGTGCCGAAAGTACAATTATTAACAGATAAAATTTCTGTTTTTGGAGATCATGATTCTTTGGTTTCTTCTATAAACTATTTAATAAGCAGTAATAACATTATCTTTTGGTGTTTTCATAGAAAAGTATACCCTTAGTACTCATAAATCTTTACCTCATATTTTGAAAAAAGGAGGGGCAAACTCAATTATTACAAATTTATTTAAGTTTGCAAAATGTCTTGTGTTAGTACCTTCTGAGTCAAAACAGGTTATGAATAAAAATTGTAGTGTAAATACACAGTGTCTAAACACACTAGCATCAAATGGATGTTAACTTTTTGCTTTCTAACTGAAATAAAACAATCTCTAGCTTAAGGCATAATTTAAAGGAAACATTTAAATATTCACTAAAAATCTGTGATAGGAAGATATACAGAGATTTAGAGATTTTTATGTACACGAAAAAAAAAACAGAAAATACTATGAACCAAAGTGAGGTGATTAAGATGGCTATTATCTGGAAGTTTTAGATTTTGAATTCAGATAGTCAAGCATGCATTCCCTGCTATCTTGTAAATCTCCAATTGCAGATGTAATGCTCTGTGCTCATTTATCTGAATTCCAAATCAGACCCCTAAAATGGAATCTTTATACAAGATGCGGTATCTCAAGCATCAAAAAATGGTGATGGGGTTTTTACAATAAAGCTTTGAGTCATTGTGATTCTGAGTCCTTGGGCTAGAAAAGTAAGCAAGAAAAAGGACATAATGTTTCTATTCATAACTAATCTATTGAGATTAGTGTATATAATACTTCATAAAAACACATGTAAAGGATTTTCTTAAAAACTTGATCTTTTATCCAGACTTAAACGAAGCTTTAAATTATACTATAATGTATAAAATAAGGAACAAACATCATTTTGCTTTGTGACAGTCCTTATCTTTTCTAAATTAAATCTTTTCTAATTCAACTCTTCGTACTTTTTCTGCCCTACCCTCCATATATTGTCTTTCCATACTGTCAAGTCCTTATGTCAATCCATTGCATGCCTACATTTTAAGAAACGTGCTTTTTCCTTTCATTGTCTTCACTAAAATAAGTTTCACCTATTGAGATTCATATTTCCTTCCTTCCTTCCTTCTTTCCTTCCTTCCTTCCTTCCTTCCTTCCTTCCTTCCTTCCTTCCTTCCTCCCTTCCTTCTTTCTTTCTTTTTCTTCTCGGAGTCTCCCTGTGTCACCCAGGCCAGCGTGCAGGGCACAATCATGTCTCACAGTAACCTGTGCTTCCTGGGTTCAAGTGATTGTTGTGCCTCAGCCTCCCGGGTAGTTGGGGTACAGGTGCTCGCCACCACACCCAGCTAATTTTTGTTTTTAGTAGAGACATGGTTTCACCATGTTGGCCAGGCTGGTCTTGAACTCCTGACATCAAGTGATCTGCCTGCCTCGGCCTCCCAAAGTGCTGGGATCACAGGCGTGGGCCACCACGCCCAGCTAAGATTCATATTTTCTATGACAATACTGGACACGATCTTTATTTCTAAGTTTAAATATTATAATCATTTAAAATGTTTTTATATAATCTTTTTAGAATAAGAGTGCGGCTTCTTAACATGTCACAGTTGTGTTTAATAATTATAATAAAACAACAAATAAAAACAACAAACACATAGTAATTTTTATGCTACACAAATTTCCTAAGTGCTTAAACCATGTGAACTATCTGAATCATCACAACTCTAAGAGAGGCACAATTGCCATTCATGTTTCATAGCCCAGATTCAAACTCAGGCTTTCTGATTTCAGAATCCAATATAATACCATTTCCACTGGGACCCTTTACTACCTTAATTCACTTAAAACCTTCGTCAAGAACAAACAACATTGGAGAAAAACTGCCACTGAAATGGTCTCTCACAGTCCAACAAAATTCCAACCTGAATACTTTATTTGATCCAGTATAATAAATATATCAGTTGATACCAACATATTTTGTGCATTTATTTCATATGTGTAAAAATTCCAAAATAATGTGAATTGTTCCATAGAGTTCAGTGTGGCTGAATTTTGCTTATTTAGGGTTTATAACATGTCCAACCTGAGTGGCTAGCATCCTTGGAAGAAAAGAAATGAACTCTGACTCATTTGTTTCTTTCAAATATTTGGTATAATAATTGGCCTACATAGAAGAGAGAAAAAATCTTTTTAAACTGAAAGTTTAAAAAACTATGGGTGAGATATGCCCCCATGCTTAGAACAGGAGGTAGGGTCAAAGCCAGTAACAAATTCTGGGGACAGCAATGAACAATACATCTCTTCGAGGACAAGTACAGTGTATCATGTATTACCAACACTGAAATAGAAGTTGTTTCCAGTGTTTTGTTCCTTCTAAGTTTTTAATTAAACTTGAAACTTCAAAATTTTCAACTAAAAACACCATATATTGAGTTCCTTGGTGTGATGTTTGAAAAGGAGGATACTGAACTTAAAGAAGTTAATATCTGGTTACCTGGTATAGGGAACACAGATATCGACCGATAGGGAATATCAGCAAAAGGAGCCTAAGTGCTAGCATCCTTCTTTTGTTTGTTTGTTTTTGTTTTCAGATGGAGTCTCGCTCTGTCACCCAGGCTGGAATGCAATGGCACGATCTCAGCTCACTACAACCTCCGCCTCCCGGGTTCAAGAAATTCTCTGCTTCAGCCTCCCAAGTAGCTGGGATTACAGGCACCTGCCACAATGCCCAGCTAAGTTTTGTATTTTTAATAGAGACAGGGTTTCACCATCTTTGCCAGGCTGGTCTTGAACTCCTGACTTCGTGATCCACCTGCCTCGGCCTCCCAAAATGCGGGATTACAGGCATGAGCCACTGCACCCGGCCAAGTGCTAGCATCTTAGACAACACCTCTCCAAAAATACCAAAAGATTGAGAAAAACTGGGTTATTTTAGTGTGGGAAGTGCAGGTATAAACTATTTCTTCTTAAACCTCAGAAGACTTGCAAATATCCTAGCTGGGACTATGGGGGTGAAGTACAAAATTAAGATAAATTATTCAAGATATAAAAATTTGGCAAAAAATTACTTTGTGTCCTTTAAAGTTATTCTTTAGCATTAAAATTTAAAGTCTAAACGATTTTTAGAGATTCAAAAGATATCACCAAAGGCTGTCCTGTAGGAAATTAAGCAATTTAGTATCTAACTTAGAAATCTTTTATTTAGCTTTTTCCTTTCTTTCTTTTTTCACTGGGTATACAAATCAGTCTCTGTATTCTCCTTGGAACCAGCTTTTGTTATCTTGTTGATTTCCTCATTAAAGAGATAAAGAAATCTGCAACACATGACTTATTTGTGAGTTATGTTCTTAACTTTTTGCAAGGAATACTTTGACAACACATACACTAATCCTATAACAAATGCTACTAACAAACACTACATTGCAATATTTCAACATTCACAGATGAACATTCAAAAAAATTCAAGAAATCTCTGAGATGTCAGAAGTAAAAGCAGTCTTTCTCTTATTAAAAAAGAAATGGGGAAGGAAAGCAAATTAATTGAGAAGAAGCTCAGAAGTCTGGAGATGTCAAGGTATATTTTCAAGCACCTAACAAGAAATGTGGAGGTTTCCTCAATGCCAGGCCCGTGTCCTAACCTGAAATCACTTAGGTCTGTCACCCTACTTTCACGTGGAATGTGTTTTTAACAGTTCTATTTCTGTCATGATTATTATATTCAAACCAAGGGTTCACATCTCATTGTCATAAATGGTAAAACAAACAAGCAAATAAACCTGTTCTTTAGCAGCTGGGCCCATATTTCATTTGCTCAATTGCTCTGTCATGCTTTGAAAGACAACGTTTAGTAACATTAGGGATGCAACCTTGCACCCAAGTCTTGTTGATGAGTATGCACTTATTTTTGATTTTTTTCAGACTTTGAAGTTTTAGATAAACTTTACTACTGTTCTCACCTCCTCAAAAAATATACTAAAACAGTAATCCCAGGACTTTGGGAGGCCAAGGATGGTGGATCACCTGAGGTCAGGAGTTCAAGACCAGCCTGGCTAACATGGTGAAACCCCATCTCTACTAAAACAATACAAAAAAATTAGCCGGACATGCCTGTAATCCCGGCTATTTGGGAGGCTGAGGCTGGAGAGTCTCTTGGACTAGGGAGGCGGAGGTTTTAGTGAGCCGAGATTACACTGCTGCACTTCAGCCTGGGCAACAGGAGGGAAAACTCTGTCTCAAAAAAAAAAAAAAAAAAAAAAAGAGAAGGGGCATGGTGGCTCACGCCTGTAATCTCAGAAGTTTGGGAAGCCAAGGCTGGTGGATCACTTGAGTTCAGGAGTTCGAGACCAACCTGACCAACATGGTGAAACTCCGTCTCTACTAAAAATACAAAATTAGCCCAACGTGGTGGTGCACGCCTGTAATCCCAGCTACTCGGGAGGCTGAGGCAAAAGACTCACTTGAACCCTGGAGCCAGAGTTTGCCATGAGCCAAGATCACACCATTGCACTCCAGTCTGGGCAAGAAGAGTGAAGTGTCTCAAAAAAAAAAAAAAAAGAGAAAAGAAAAGAAAGAAAGAAAAAAGAAATATACTAAAACATAGTTCTTTCAATATGTCCTTTTTTGTATATTTTCCTATTAGAAGCACAGTCTCTGGGAGTAGTAGTTTAAACATGATAAATTATTTGTCCAATCAAGGGTCCGCTTATCAGCTATAATCTCTGTGTCCCTATGTTGCATGCAAATCATAAAGAAATAATCAAGTCTACTTTTCTCAGAAAGATAAATTGGAGGAAAAAATTCACAAAACCTCTAAGAATTTATTGCCTGCTTAGTGTTACTTCTCACCTCAAATAATAAACTTAAATACGGCAAATATAATTCACAACAAATTCCATTGATCAGCCTGGGATATTCTCAACAGCCAACTGACTGAGACTGACTTTCAGACTTTAAAACAGACTGTGACAACACTGCTCTCCGGGGTCCTGTTCATATTACCTTTAATTTTGTTTTACTGATTTATTTTCTTCTACTCTGCAACTTAAACTGGGACTTTAAACTAAATCATACATATAATATACATGTAAGATCTTATATTTGTTTAATTTCAGAGTCCATGCCTAAGTTTCAGAGGGGTTAAGTGAGAAGTCTAAAGTTAGAAAGTTATGGTGTGATTGAGATTGAACTTAAACAAGATAGCTTGAACACCCAACCAACAAAATAACTATCTGATAAAATGCCATTTGTTTGCTTAGTGACAACTTTATATTAAATAAATAATATAATGAAATATATTTGGAATAAAATATTAGACAAACTACTGGCTTAGATGAAAGCATATTACGGTTGGCTCTTTGTATATTCAGGCAGTTGTTTCCAGGACTTCTGGAATATATCAAAATCCATGCATACACAAGTTCTGCAGTCAGTCCTGTAGAACCCATATATAAGAAAAGATGACCCTCATGGGCAAAGATTTCATGATGCCAAAAGCAATGTCAACAAAAGCAAAAATCGACAAATGGTATCGAATTAAATCAAGGAGCTTCTGTACAGCAAAATAAACTATAAATAGAATAAACAACTTACAGAATGGGAGAAAATTTTTGCAAACTATGCATTGAGAAAGGTCTATATCTAGCATCTGTAAGACACAAGGAAAAAGTCAAACAATTCTTTAAAAAGGGGGCAAGGGACACGAACAGACACTTCAAAAGAAGACATACATTCCTTGAATACTCTATTTTCCATCCATCTTTTGTTGAAAAAAAACCCCACATTTAAGTGGGCCCATGCAATTCAAATCCATGTTGTTCAAGGTTCAAATGTACTTGCAAGCCCTGAATATTCGTAAGTTTGCTTTTGTGGCTGACCGCCACAGTTACTACTTGAGACTGTCACTACAGCAGTTACTACTGTTACTGCTTGAGACCATCATTACAGCAGTTACTATTGTTACTGCTTGAGACCGTATTATGACTGAATGAAGGGAGGAATGCAGAAATGATAACAAAGAAACGAGAGAAACTGTTTTAAGGAAAGGCTAGCATGGGGAAGAATAAGAGAGCTCCCTGCTTCTAGTGAGTAAAGGCAGCCCACCTTGAGCTTCCACAGCCCTTTGGATTTATTGGGTAATAAGAGCAAGGAGGAGGAGGTAACGATTGGTCAGCTGCTTAAATGATCACAGGTTCATTATTGACAGGCTTCAGATGTACCTAATCACAAGAAACATTTGTGTGGCCTCCAACATCTCCTTTTTGTTTTTAAATTAATTGAGCAAGGCAATTGCAGGCTGTGCACCCCTTAATTGCCAGTTGGTTATCCAGCTTCATTTTTCTTAGCCCTTATTCAAAATGGAGTCACTCTGGTTTGAATGCTTCTTACATATTTCCCCCTTCCCTTTTGCAAGAGGACCCTTAATCCTAAGGGCTGCAGAAGGATGAAGGTCTGTCTCCTGCAACTTCTTCATGCTGAATAGGGGCGATGATATTCCTGCCTAACTATTAGGGTCTCTTGTATTCAGCGTAGAGAGGAGCTCAGTCAAAAATCATCGGTCTGTTAAGCATCGATTGTACCTCTGAGTTCCAGCAAAAGGTGAAACCCCGGTGCTCCAGCAGTTTCTCAGCTTCCTGTATGGTTTTCTTGATCTGTCCCCATGGTACCTGTTAGTTCCTGCAAGTCCCTGTCTGCTCCTACCTATCTGTACTTCCTTATCTCTATTTATCTCTACTTATCTCTACTTATTTCTTATTGTCCCTGCAGGCCTCTTCAGGTCCCTTCAGGTCTCTGTCCCTGATAGTCCCTTCAAGTTTCTGCTAGTATTTGCTAGTCTCTGCTAGTCTCTACTTTTGTACCTCTTTAGGGCACTGACCTTATATTGCTAGTCTTTGCTAGTCTTTATCCCTATCTGTCCCTGTCTGTCCCTATTCATCCCTGTTTGGGCACCACTTGTGGCTAACTGCCATGGTTACTGCTTGAGACCATCATTACAGCAGTTACTACTGTTACTGCTAGAGAACGTCATTATGACTGAACAAAGGGACAAACACAGAAATGATAACAAAGAGGCAAAAGAAACAGTTTAAAGGAAAGGCTAGCATGGACAAGAAGAGCACTCCCTGCTTCTAGTGAGCAAAGGCAGCCCCCCTTGAGCTTCTATAGCCCTTCTTATTTATTGGGTAACAAGAGCAAGGAGGAGGAGGTAACGATTAGTCAGCTGCTTAATTGATCACAGGTTCATATTGTTACTGACAGGCTTCAGATGTGCCTAATCACAAGAAACATTTGTGCGGCCTCCAACATGCTTTCATTGTGTAATATAAGTAGAATTCAAGGAAGTCTGTTGATGTTTTATATTTTCTATTCATAATGGCATATTTTCTTAAAGGATTTAATTTAGAATCATCTTGATGAAGAGAAACACAGATTGAATTACATACATTAACTCCGTTTAGGCATATTTCAAGTCAAAATTTTTAAATGATAATTAAGATGACTTAGTGTTTATGCTTTTGTTTTATTTCAGTATATAAGGAACAATGTTTTTAGGATTTCTTTTTTCTTTTTTCAGATGGAGTCTCACTCTGTCCCAGGCTGGAGTGCAATGGTGTGTCCTCGGCTCACTGCAAGCTCCACCTCCTGGGTTCAAGGGATTCTCCTGCCTCAGCCTTTCCAGTAGCTGGGATTACAGGTGCATGCTACCACACCCAGCTGATGTTTGTATTTTTAGTAGAGACAGAGTTTCACCATGTTGGCCAGGCTTGTCTCAAACTTCTGACCTCATGATCTGATGGCCTTGGCCTCCCGAAGTGCTGGGATTACAGGTGTGAGCCACCGATCCCAGTCACGTTTTTAGGATTTCTAAAATAGAAAGAAAAAAACAGAAAGGCAAGAGAGAATTCATGATTCTCTGAGCAAGGTAATAGTGAAGGATTACTAATTATAAATGCATAGCCATTCCACAAAAGCCCATATTAGAAAACAGCATATCATTCATAATAACCCATAAAAAGTAAATTAAACAAACATTGTATGGCAGAAAATCATAATTTTGGTCAGTGAAAATAATATGTAATATAAATATACTCTGTGTAATACTGAAATAGCAATAGGGCATGCCCAATAAAGTAAATTTTCTCTGTTTAATGGTTGGACAAATTTTCCTAATTATTGAATTATGCACTTTATATAAATATATAAAAATATTTTATTTATTATCTAGATAAATTATATATATAGTATAGTTACATATACTTATTATTTATATGGTGATATATAATCCCAACAAACAGGATATGAGAGAGAATAGTGTTTCATTTTTATTAACTAGAAATATCATAATTTGACATATTACTCTAAGCAAGAATCACACTTTTGTTCCTCATGCATCAAAGAAAGCATTTTATAATTTGAGTAACCCAGATGCCATTTGAATAAAAGATGATGTAGGGAACAAAAGACACTTCACACAGAAATTAAATAATTTCAGAACACTAGAGGTTATACATGATATCTAATAGAAGCCTCTTAGTATATGGATGAGGGAACTGACTCAGTGAGACTGTGTGGCCTGATTAGACAATTCATCTGTATATTGGCAGAGCCATACTTGAGTGGAAGAATTTTTATTCTGAAATTCTATCAAAATATAATTATCATTTATATGTCTAATTCGTATGAAAGGTATGAATTACTACATTAAAGGATAAATCTTATTGATGCACTTAACAAATGTATAAATATGCCTGAAATGGTTTCCTCTGTCTAGCAAATTTAAAAGTTGATATTTTCCATAATCCTATTAATTTTTAAGATAGCTTTTTATTGTTTATTCCCCAATTCTGAACAGGGGATTTATAATGGCAAACAAAATTCAGGATCATCTATAACATGATTTTAAATTGCTAGTGGGTCCTAGTGGAAATTCATGGAATTTTTTTTGTTAAATCTGTTTCAGTGAAATCGTCATGCCATATGACCTTCTTATTTTTGAAATCTGGGTACCAAGGAAAATCCAAAGATTGGAACTAACTGGCTAAAAATCAAACTAATTGGGAATACTTTAGCCATAACTTAGTAGTCGTTTTTTCTATCATGCTGTCTTACTAAAATCAAACGTCACTGAACATGGTGATTTATTCATTCATTTACCCAATACATTTATTTATAGAACCATCAAGTTTTTCTTCAGTGTATATGATGGTCCTTGCATTGTTCTAAAAAATGGGATCTATAGGGCAGTTTTTCTGACTTTCAAAACCTACATTTCACTAGGATGAATAAGTGATATACCGAAAAAATTAATCAAATATATTATGATACCCATATACAATGACACATATACACGCATATATTAAAGTGCAAAGGTAATTCCTTTTTATAATGTAGTGCTTGAGTTGATTCCTTTACAAAAACATGAACCTGAAAATGCATCAAGTTAAATGATAGTTTCTGAGTGGTAGTTGGAGAAAATCGTGTACTGAGGTCTTCAGGAATCAGAGAGCATGCTGTGGTGCAGATGCTGCTTAAAGATATAAACCTAGAAATATGAAGACTTTAAATACTGTGAGGTAGAATGGAAGATCCAATATACATCTAACATGAGTTTCTAAAGAAGTCAATTTTTTCAAATAAGGAGAGTCAGTGTACAAAAAGATCATACTAGGCAGAATAATGATATCCCAAAGATGTTCACATTGTACTTCCTGGAACCTGGGACTAGTTACCTGTTATGGCAAAAGAAACTTTGAAGATTTGATGATGGATACAGAAGTTGAAATGATGAAAATATCCTAGATTATCATGGCAGTTACAGTCTAATGACGTAAGTCTTTAAAACCAGAAAACATTTGCCAACCATGCTTAGAGGAGATACAAAGGTTTAAAGAGATGCTACGTTATAAGGACTTGACCCGTGCTTGCTGGCACTGAAGATGGAGAAAGGAGGCAATAAACCAAGGTAGGCAGATGCCTCTAGAAACTAGAGAATATTCCCTGAGTTTACAACCAATAAGAAAATGGAAAACTTGGTCCTACAGTGACCAGGAACTGAATTCTACCAGCAACCTTAAATGCATGAAGAAATGACTTCATATCTACAGCCTCTAGAAAGGAAAGCAGCTCTACCAACATTTTGATTTTAGGCAATGTCAGACTTCTGACCAAGAGAATTGTAAGATAATATATTTGTGCTGCTTTAATTTGTGAAATTTATGGTAATTTGTTATGGCAACAATAAAAACTAATACAAAGTTAATACCCCAAAACTAAGGTATAGTATAGCTAACCAAATGATTATATGGCATAAAGTTATAAAGCAAGAATTTACTCCAGAAACCTCAAAGCAGGGTTCTTTATCTTAATAATCTACATTATAGTAGTAACTACGTCCCTGAAGAGTATACATTGCTTTTTAATAACTAAAAATATTTTTCAAATGTTATCTACAACTATATTTCCCATGAAAGTCTCAATGTGAAAATTGTAAAAGCTGCACTTTTTCTAGAAAACAATAAAAAAATTATAATTTTAAATACTTTTAAATACCAAATATAAAAAATATAAAAATATATTTTCTCAAAGATAATGTTTGGAAAAGTAGTAATCAAAGTTATAATTACATGTAATTAGTGATTTATTAGAAGTGATTACCATTGAGGGAACTTACTTGATTGAAAAGGCAGACCTACTCTGCTTTAAAAAAATAAAATTTATAATATTGGTATTAAATAATTTTAATACATAGTGGGCACAAAAACACTTGAATTCTCTCTAAGCCAGAATTGAAATAAGAAATTAAGTAAAAGGCTCAATTAGCCTTTTAAGAGCTCTAAGTTGGACTATTAATATCCAAGAAGGATAGTCTTTGGCTTTTGGGCTAATATAGGCAGGGCATTTTTATCATCTCCATTTATGTATAAAGGTAGTAAACTAAAATTTTTGACCCTAAAATATCTCCACATCAGTGAAAGGACACTAAAAAAGTCTGTCCAACTGTCCAGAAAATTACAATAAATTGTGCTGTGTCCTACATACGGGGCTTAGATAAAAGGTGATATTCAGTAGTGGCTATGAATTACATATTTGTATGTTTTTGAATAGCTCAAGCTGAGAGATAATGTTAAAATGATCCCAAATAAGAAATATTCCTAAAATGTTGATTAGAATCAATTTATACAACTAAGTGCTGGCATTTCTATAACCCCAGGACCCAATTAAGTAAGCTTTAGCTGTGTTCATTTAAAAAAATAGAATTTACTTTTTAGAGAAGTTTTAGGTTCACAGGAAACTTGAGGGGAAAGTACAGATTCCCATATACCTCCTATGTCTACACATGCACAGCTGCTACAACTATCAACCACCTGCACGAGCCCTATATTTATTAAAATTGATGAACCCACATTGACAATTTATTAACACCCAAAGTTCATAGTTTTTATTGAAATTTATACTTGAAATTTTGCATTCTACGGCTCTTGACAAATTTCTCAAGAGACATAACCACTATTATAGTATTATATGGAATAGTTTCATTGTCCTAAAAATCCTCTTCTCTGCCCATTCATCCTTCTTTCTTCCCAGCTCCCGGAAACCATTGATCTTTTAATTGTCTCCATAGTCTTTTCATTTTCAGAATGCCATATAATTGGAATCACATAGTGTATAGTCTTTCTGTGTTGACTTATTTCACTTAGTAACATGCATTTAAGATTCTTCTGTGTCTTTTTATGGCTTGATAGCTCATTTATTTTTGGCAGTGAATAATATTAAATTCTCTGGATGTACCATAGTCTATCCATTTTACTTAGTGAAGGGTATCTTAGTTGCTTCCTAGTTCGGGCAATTATGACTAAGCAGCTATTAATCTAAACATCCTTGTGTGGGTTATTATGTGGACATAAATTTATAACTCCTGTGGGTAAAAACCAAAAACCAAGGAGCAGAATTGCTGGTTCATTTGGTAAGAGTTTATTTAGGTTTTGTATGAATTCTTCCAACTGTTTCTAAAGTGCCTGTATCATTTTGCATTCCCACCAGCAAAGAATTAGAGATTCTGTTGTTCCACATCCTCCTTAGCATTTGTTGTTGTTTTTATTCTATCGGATTTTAGCCATTAAAATAGATGTGTACTGGTATCTCATTGTTTTAATTTGCAACTCCCTATGGCAACTAATATTGAATATCTTTTGTATACTTATATGCCATCTGCATTTTTTTTTGTAAAGAGTCTGTTCAGATTGTTTGCTCATTTCTTAATAAGGTTGTTTGTTTTCTTCTTATTGAGTCTTAAGAGTTCTGTATATATTTTGGATAACAGTTATTTATCAGATGTGTTTTGAAATATTTTATCCAAGTCTGTAGTTGTCTTATCTCTTTTAATAATGTCTTTAACAGAGCAGAAGTTTTTAATTTTAATGAAGTCTACTTTATCAATTATGTTTTTTCATAGATCATGACTTTGGTTTTGTCATCAAAGTTTAAAAAATTAAATGCCAAATCCAAGTTTATCTGGGTTTCTCCTATGTCATCTTCCAGAATTTTAAAGTTTTGCCTTTTACATTTTGGTTTATGACCCATTTTGTAGGCAGAATAAGGTCTGCGTCTAGATTCTTTTTTTTTTTTTTTTTTTTTGCATGTGGATGTCTTTATTTTAGCATCATTTTGTGAAAATAATATTTTTCCCCCAATGTATTGCTTTCACTCTTTTTTGTCCAAGATCAATTGTCTACATTTTTGTGATTCTATTTCTTGGCTTTCTATTCTGTTCCATTGATTATCTGTTCGTCTATTTTTTTTGTTTTTTTGTTTTTTTTTTAGGTGGAGTCTTGCTCTGTCACCAAGGCTGGAGTGCAATGGTGTGATCTCGGCTCACTGCAACCTCTGCCTCCTGGGTTCAAGCGTTTCCCCTGCCTCAGCCTCCCAAGTAGCTGGAACTACAGGAGCATGCCACTACGCTCTGCTAATTTTTGTATTTTTAGTACAGACATGGTTTCACCATCTTGGTCTGGCTAATTTTTGTTATTTTTAGTAGAGGTGAGGCTTTACCATGTTGGCCAGGCTGGTTTCAAACTCCTGACCCCAGGTGATCCACCTGCCTTGGCCTCCCAAAGTTCTGGGATTACAGGCGGGAGCCACCACACCTGGCCTATTTGTCTATTCATTAGCCAATATCACGCTATCTTTAATACTATAGCTTTAAAAGAAGACTTGAAATCAGGTAGTGTAAATTATTCGATTTTATTTGACCAGTTCAATATTGCATTTACTATTCTGGGATTTTTGCATGTTTCTATAAACTGTGTTATCAGTTTGTTGGTATCCACAAACAACATTCTGTGATTTTGATTGGAATTAAATTGAATATGTAGATAAAATTAGAAAGAACTGACATCGTGACAATATTGAGATTGCTTATTCATGGACACAGGCTAGCCCTTAATTTATTCAGATCTTCCGTTTTGTTCTGATTAGAATTTAGTAGATTTTCTAATATAAATTTTGTATGTATTTTGGGGATGTTTTACCTAAATATTTTACTTTGGAGATGCTAATATAAATAATATTGTGATTTTAATTTTTAATTCCAATTTCCAATTGCTAGGATATCAATATATTTAGTGCCACTAAAACCCAACAATGACACAATTGATTATTAATGTCAGAAAACATAGTAAACAATGGAAGTACTTCAATGAATGAAGATTAAATATAATAAAAACTAAAATACATATTTGTGCTAGTAATAAAAATACACAGAAATTTTAAAAATAATAAAACAAAGTTTATAGAAAATATAGTTATTATAATTAAAGGTCAATGTATAGGTCACATAGCACATTTTACATAAGTATATGTAGAATTAATGCTCTATAAGAAAGATCTAAAGGAGAAAAATTGAAAAAAATTGAAAAAAATGGAAGGTAAAATATGAATAGGAAAATATAAAATAGAAAAGTAGGCTTGAGCATCATGCCCAGCGATCATCTTTTCAACCTGGTAGTCACAAGTGGCTTAAGTGGATGGTAATTGAATGAAAGGTATAGATTCTAAGATTCAAGCCATGTAATTGATTTACATGTATATAGCATTACAATCAAAACTACAACACATCATAATAAAACGTTAGAAGAGCAAAGAAAACAGAAATCATAAAAAAGTTAAAAAGATAAATAATATTTCTTAAACCCTAAAAATATGTTTCTCATGAACAAAAATAAATATCATAAGTCAATATAATTAGGTTCTTATAATATTTCAGAGGAGGTAGAAATGATGATTACATTTAAACATTATCAAGTTAAAATGCACGTTAAATTATTTAGGTAATCAGATGTCTGGCTTCACCTCAGGGAGCAGAAAGCTACAAAGAGACATTTTCATATCCTAACATGAAAAACCTGGATAATCTATAAAGCCATAAGTTTTCTTGAACTCACTGGGGTGTCAAGATTCCAAGAAAATACACTAGCCTGAAATCTAAGGGAGTTCAAGATAGGCATAAGCAGTGGCTCATTTGTGACAGTAAGAGACAATAGAAGTCTCACTTCAAGTAGGTAAGAAGAATCCAATTAAAATGTTTAACGAATTTGTAAAGACTGAATAGAACCCTTAAAAGCGGCAGACATAAGAGGAACTCACAATCACTTGCAGCCTACAAGTTCCCTGGACCTGACCAGGTATGTATGATGAAAACTGGGAGAAGGGAGGGAGACCAGAGAATATCCCTACTGGAAGTTTTGGCCAGGAGGAGTGCTTGAAAATATATATAGTTCTACCTGTGCCCTTTTCCTCTCAGGAACAAAAGTCCTGAGCCACTGGGGAAGAATAGCAAACTCTTTTACCCTGATGACACAAATGAAGGTCTACAATGGGGGAAGGACAAGCAAAGTGGCGAAAATGTCCCTCCACCCCTGGGAATGTAGCAGAAACATTTCCTGGGCCCAAACCACAATTTTTAACAGTGAGAGAAGGCCACAACCTGAGACTTGGGGTCACAAAGCCTGCCTGAGGCGGGGCAAACCAAGAGAAGAGAGAACACTTCTACCCCAAAAAACTGCAATGGCAACACGTGGGAACTGGAAATAGGAGCCTATTATTAGAGGAAGGAGCAAGGGTATGAAGGGTATTTAGTCAGGTGCTTTCTAAGGTGCAGTTTTAAAACTTAGGTTGAAGAAGAACAGTGAAGAAGACCCTCTGGCAAACCAGTGTGTATCCTAAGCCCAAGGTAACACTAGAGGAATAACATCCAATGTTCCACTGAAGCTTGCAACAAGAAAATGTAAAGACAGCTCTACTGTGGATTAGATTCAATCAAACACCGGTGTCAATGACCTAGTAGTCAAAGAGAAGTAACCACTAAAATCCAGAAAGTATTCACTTGTGTCTCTCTTGTTCTATATAAAATGTGTCAAAATCAGTCAAGAATTATGATACATGTAAGAGCAATTAATTGAACCAGACTCCAAAGTTACTCAAATATTGAAATTATCAGGCTGGGAATTTAAAATACTGTAATATACAAAAGGCTCTAGTGGAAAAGATTTACAACAAACAACAGGTAGGGAATTTCAGAAAATGAACTATACAAAAGTGTCAAAAGTTAAGCTTAAAACAACAGCAAAAGCAACCTGGTAACAGAAACAAAGATTTATTTTAACAGGCTCATCAGTAGACTTGACAGAATTGTGGAAAGAGTAAGTGAAAAGTTAATTTAAAAAACAATAAAAGGGCCAGGCACAGTGGCTCACGCCTGTATCCCAGCACTTTGGGAGGCCAAAGCGGGTGGATCACTTGAGGTCAAGAGTTCAAGACCAACCTGGCCAACATGGTGAAACCCCTGTCTCTACTAAAAATACAAAATTAGCTGGGCATGGTGGCACGTGCCTGTAACCCCAGCTACTCGGGAGGCTGAGGCAGGAGAATCGCTTGAATCTAGAAGGTGGAGGTTGCAGTGAGCCAAGATCATGCCACTGCACTCCAGCCTGAGCAACAGAGTGAGACCCTGCCTCAAAAAATAAAAACAAACAAACAAAAACAATAAAAAGCCAAATTGAAAGACAAAAAGAAATGAGAATAATAAAAAACCCCAGAGCATCCAAGAGATGTGCGGCAATATTAAATGGTCTAAGATATACACAATGGAAATCCCAAAAAAACACACACAAAATAGAATAAATATTTGAAGAAACAAAGGCCATTTTTTAAGAATAATGAAAATCATAAAAATACCTCAAGCAGAATAAGTACTTTCAACAAAATGTATCAAGAGACATAACATTCTAAATGTTGAAAATTCAAGATAAATTAAATCTATTGCAAGCAATAAAAAAGAAATAAAGATGGGAAACACAGCAGATTATATACACAAATAAATATAAGAAGTATAGCAAAATTCTTACTTTAAAAGTACTGGAAGACAGGGTATTGGAATATATAAAATAAAACAAACAAACAACACAACAGCAAAAAAACTGTGCTAACCCAAAAAAATATATATTTCTTTTTTTTTTTTTTTTTTTGAGACGGAGTCTCACTCTGTCGCCCAGGCTGGAGTGCAGTGGCACCATCTTGGCTCACTGCAAGCTCTACCATCCGGGTTCACGCCATTCTCCTGCCTCAGCCTCCCAAGTAGCTGGGACTACAGGTGCCCGCCACCATGCCCAGATAATTTTTTTGTATTTTTAGTAGAGACGGGGTTTCACCGTATTAGCCAGGATGGTCTTGATCTCCTAACCTCGTGATCAGCCCGCCTCAGCCACCCAAAGTGCTGGGATTACAGGCGTGAGCCACTGCGCCCCGCCAAGAAAATATATTTCAAACGTGAATGAAAAATATATTTTCTCCTTCAAAAATGAAAAAATTTATTACCAGTAGACCTAGGTTACAAAAAACTTAAAAGAAGTTATCATGGCAGAAGTAACATGATTATAATTAAGAACTTGCTTCTGCAGAAAAAAAGAAAAAAGATAATTCCTGACAATAGATGAAATAAATGTAAACAAAAAAGCTTTTAATAAATTATTATTTTGAATCTCTAAAAAAATTGGGATTAAAATTTATTCAGATCTAATTGATTTTTCTGGAGATTTTAGTGTTTATTCCATAAATGTTTTATGTAATTATTAATATATTTGATTGCTTTGCCTTTAATCCCTTTTTGTTATTTTGTTCTCTTGTTCCTCCTTTTTGAACTCATTTGGATTGAGTATTTTATTAGTATTCTACTTATTTTATTTTTATTTACATCGAAATATTTTAGTTATCTGTAGAACTGCTAATCATGTAGAAACTACTCAGCTATATCAGAAGCAAGATTTACTTGTTAAACTGACAGAAGGTTAAGCCCTCACAGTTTATTATGTTGCCTTGTTCCTGTATTCCACCGGAATGTAATTAAGTTAGAAAAAGGCAAAATAAAGAAGTGGTATGTGTGTTTGGAGTGATGAGTGAGAAGGTGGATGGAGGAGCTGGTGTGAATGTAAGAAGATATTAGTTATAATTGGCTTTACGGAATAAATGACAATAAAAATGCCCCGCATATGCTTGTCCTCCATCCTAAAGACTGCTTACACTTACAGATAAATTATAAAGCCTTACTTATACGAATATTAAAATGTTATTTTTAATTTTTTTTTTTGAAATTTATGCATTCCTATTATCATAGTCAAAGTGTCATGGCTTGTAAGATTGGTGGTAGGATTTTCTAAAATGTAGTGTTTGCTACATTGTCAAATAATTTACATTAATTGCTAATGATTCTCTTTTAAAGGTTGTAAAGAGTAGAATGTAAAATGTTCAGGTTTTAATGAATATACCATACTTCATCTACTCATCAATTCATGAACATTTGAGTTGTTACCATTTTACTCTTAGAAACTTGGATTAAATGTGTGTATATGCACTGATTTTTACTGACAAGCTTTTATTCAGCTCTATCAGTGTTCACATGTTTGTTTTAGGCTGTGTTGGTAAAAGCCTATCCTGTTTGTTTATATTATCAGACAGTCCTCCTCATTCTTCCTTTCTTCCCTTTTGCTCACTGCAGGTTAATTTCTCTTATGGGGTTGTGGTTGGTTTTTATCTTAACAGAAATAACAAGAAGGAAAACTCAATATCTACTCTACTAAATACTGGAGGCTGGAAATGAAGTTGGCGGGGGAATAGAGGGAGGCATGTGTGAAGGAGTCTAATTTCTGGGATGCAGGGAATGCTACAGGGCTCGGTGCCACAAGCACCTTGTGTCCTGAGCCAGTCTCCAGTGCTATGCGCAGTGCTCACTGTGTCTCAATACCTTGTGTTCTGCCCGGCACTCATGTGAAAAACCTGCACACAATTACCAAGGGCCAAGGAGCTGTCTGAGATGCCATGTCCTGTTTGGGAATTGTTTCAAATGAAATCAATGACCCTTCCCTGCATTAAAACAATGTTTTGTTTTGTTTTTACTGTAGAATTTTTTTTATTTGTATGAACTTATGGGACACAAGTGTAATTTTGCTACATTGACATATTGCATAGTGACAAAATCAGGGCTTTTAATGTATGCATCACTGGACTAATGTACATTGTACACATTAAGTAATTTATCATCCACTTCCCTCTCACCCCCAAAGGCTCCATTGTCTATCAGAATGTAAGAATTTTCTATGCTTAAGAAGTTTGTTTGAAGTGGAGTACAAAATTATTTTGTTCACAATGATTCATTTACAGAGTTCTGCAAGGAGATTGGAAGAAAATGTGAGGACTGAGCCCATAAGAATATTTTTCTTTCTGTTTTTATCAGGGGGCATTTTGACTATCAGCATTTTTATTTACTTGCTCTGGCTTTGGCATGATTTGCTATTGGAGAGATATAACAGTATTGTTTTTCTTCTGATGGAGACAAAATATTCATTTATAATCCTGCCGGTAAGTATAATGCAAATAAGTGGCATAGAGGTCAATTAAATTTTGTGCGTTCTTAAATGTCATGAGTAGAGACATATTCAAAATTCAGTAAGTTAATGTTTTGGAGTTCTGTATGTGGGGAGAAACTTATTCCTATAAGAAGTTGCATAGCAATTGCTTTTTAATGAAATTGATGTATACTCTGAATAAGTGAATGTGCTATATTAACTTGTATTTAGCAAATTATATTCAAGGTATTGAAAATACTTTTCTGAAAAGAGGGTATTAAAAATATAGGTACATACCTATAAAAATAAAAAGCGGGTATTTTATTCATTCTTGTTGATACCTTTTTTTAGCAGCATAAACAATTGATAACTGAGTGGCTCTTTTCTCTGTTCTCCTTTAAAAATTTATTATTACTTTCTTTGCGGCTTTTTGATTCCTGACATTTCTTTTTTTCACTTTACAGTGTCAGTTTCTGTCTTATGGTTTTATATTTGGCCAAATTGAAGCTCCTTTCTGTATTATTAATTCTGCACTCTTTAAACTATCTTTGCATTCATCCCTAAGATTTTATTGTTCACTCTTTACCAAAAATTGAAATTTCTATCCCTATAAGCTAATCTCTGCTCTCAAAATTACCTGTATTTATACTTATTTTAATTCCAGTAATGGTCATTTTTGAATAAAATATTCAAAAACATGTATTCTTGATAAAATAACTCTTTTACACTTTTGTTCATTTTCAAACTGAACATTAATGGGACTATATTAAGGTTCAGTAAAAATATGATTAACCTTTTTATTAATTATTTTTCATTTTCATGCTAATTTGAATTATTTGCTAACATGAAAATGTAGAAATAAAATACCAAGGTATTAAATAAATTTACATCTTTAACACTCATTTTATATAAGAAATAAAACTACCCATAATCTACTGAAAATACATCTTCAAAAGATTTTACTCTCATTTAGTAATTTCAATATATTTGGAAAGCATAATATTAAGCCTAACACTTTGCATATTTAGGGTATTCGTTTATGTTTCAGAATTTTTTTGTAGTCAAAGGTCTAGATTCAGAAGCAAAAGATGAAGTTGACATTTCAGTCTCTGTAATCGCCTAGGGTGTTACCATTTATGTCTGGGTAATAGCTGTTGATAAAAGAAATATATACATCTTGGAATCTGCACGAAGTCTGTAAGAGCATTATGCCACCAATACTTTGCCTAGAATTGTGCATCATCAGAGCAGTAACATTTGTAAATTAATGTGTCCTTTTTCAAGGAGCTTTCACAACATCTCCATGAGGTAGTTAAATTTTGCCAGTCTAAGATTAAAAGGATCTGGACCTCACCAACTGATATCTACCTTTTATCCACAGCCCTGCCGCACCCCGCCCCCTTCTGCCACCACCAAGTGATCATCCAGCTGACACTTGAGGAACTTTGATGATGAGGAGTTCATCAGTCATTGGTCAGACTATTAAATCTTTCCACAGCTTAGTGAGTTTATTATAGTTTTCTTGATGCATAATTCTGCCTGCTACAGAGATAGAATTACTTAAGGATGTTTGAAATACAGGTATACCTCAGAGATACTGCAGGTTTGGTTCCAGACCACCATAATAAAGTGAATATAACAATAAAATGAGTCACACAATTTTTTTAGTTTCCCAATGCATGCATATAAAAGGTATGTTTATACTACATGGTAGTCAGTTAAGTATGCAATTGCATTATGTCTATAAAAGAGTACATTCCTTAATTTAAAAATACTTTATTTCTAAAAAAACGTTAACAAACCTCTGAGTCTTTGAAGAGTTGTTATCTTTTTGCTGAGGGAGGCTCTAATTGAGGGGTGCCAACTCATTAAGGTGGTGGTTGCTGAAGGTTGAATGGCTATGGGAATTTTTTAAATGAGCCAACAATAAAATTTAAGACATCAATTGACACTTTTACAAAAATATTTCTGCAGAATGTGATGCTGTTTGATAGGATTTTATTCACTATAAAACATCTTTCAAAATGGGAGTCAATCCTCTCAAAACCTGTTGCTACTTTATTGAATAATTTTATATAATATTCTAAATCCTTTGTTGTCATCTCAACAATGTTTACAGCATCCACACCTGGAGCAAATCTGATCTTAAGAAACCATCTTCTTTACTCACCCACAAAGAGCAAATCTACATCCATTCAAGTTTATCATAAGATTGCAGCAATTCAGTCACATCTTTAGACTCCAATATCTTACTATTCCCATGACATCTGCATTTCTTCCTTCCCCTGAAGTCTTGAAGCCCTGAAAGTCATCTGTGAGGGTTGGAATCAGCTTCCTCTAAACTTTTGTTGATATTGATCTTTTTACCTGCTCCTATGAATCATAAATGTTTTAATGTCATCTAGCCAATAAGTTAGTTCTTTCCAGAGGCTGTACATTTGCTTTGCTCATGTCTATCACAAGAATCATTATTTATGGCAGCTAAATATTGAAAAATGTAATTCTTAATGACACCTCAAATTTGAAATTAATCTTTGATCCACAGTCTACAGAACGAATATTGTGTTAGTAAACATGAAAGCAATACTAATCTCCTTGTACATCTCCATCAGAGCTCTAGGGTAATTAGATGCATTGCCAATGATTATAATATTTTGAAAGACTGTTTATAGCAGTAGGTCTCAACACTGGGCTTAAAATATTCAGGAAACCATATTGTAAACAAATGTGCTGTCATCCAATCTTTGTTATTCCATTATGGAGCACAGGCAAGGTATACTTAGCATAATTCATAAGGAATCTGGGATTTTCTGAATTGTAAATGATCACTGGCTTCAACTTAAAGTCATCAGCAGCATTAGCCCATAATGAGAGAGTTATCCTGTCCTTTAAAGCTCAGAAGCAAGGCATTGATTTTTTCATTAGCTGTGAAAGTCCTCGATAACATCTTCCAATATGAAGCTGTTTCAATCACATTAAAAGTTAGTTTTTTGGTGTAGCCACTTTTCTCAATCACCTTATCTGGATCTTCTGAATAACTTGCTGCAGCTTCTCTATCAGCACTTGCTGATTCACCTTGTACTTTTATGTTATGGAGATGGATTCTTTCCTTAAACATCATGAATCTGTCTCTGCTAGCTTCAAACTATTTTTTTTTTCTACAGCTTCCTCATCTCTCTGAGCCTTTATAGAATTAAAGAGTTAGTTCCTTGCTGTGAATTAGACTTTGGCTTAAGGGAATGTTGTGTTTAGTTTGATTTTCTATTCAGACCACTAAAACTTCATTATATCTGCAATAAAGCTGTTTTACTTTCATATCATTTGCGTGTTCACTGGGGTAGCACTGTTAATTTCCTTCAAAAACTTTTCCTTTATGTGACTTTTGGACTGTTTCAGCTTTCAACATGCCTGTATCACTAGGTGTATTAGTCAGGGTTCTCACTCTGCTAATAAGAAATACCCAAGACTGGGTAATTTATAAACAAAAGAAGTTTAATGAATTTGCAGTTCAATATGGCTGGGGAGGCCTCACAATCATGGCAGAAGATAAAGTAGGTGGCAGGCAAAAGAGCTTGTGCAGAGGAACTCCTGTTTATAAAACCATCATATCTCGTGAGACTTATTCACTACCATGAGAATAGTATGGGGAAAACTGTCCCCATGATTCAATTATCTCCACCTGGCCCCACCCTTGACATGTGGGGACTATTACAATTCACGTGAGATTTGGGTGGGTACACAGCCAAACCATATCACCAAGCATAATTATTTCTAACATTTATTTTAAAATGAGAGATGTGAAATTTTTCCTTTTGCTTGAACATGAAAGACCCTTGTATAGTTTTCACTGGCTTAGTGGCAATATTATTGTGTTTCAGGGTCAAGGAAGGCCTGAGGATTGGGAGAAAGATGGGTGAATGGCAAGTCAGTAGAGCTGTCAGAACACAAACAACATTGATAGATTAAGCTTGCTGTCTCATATAAGCAGGGTTCATAGAACACCAAAATAAGTACAATAGTAACATAAAATATCACTGCTTATAGATTACCATAACAGATATAATAATAATGAAAAAGGGAGAATTCCCAAAATGCGACACAGAGACACAAAGTGAGCACTGTTGAAAAATTGCTACTAGAAAAACGGTGCCCATAGACTTGCTGAACATAGGGGTAAAGTTGCCAGAAACCTTCAATTTGTAAGATATATAATATCTGAGCAGCACAATAAAGTGAATCAAAATATGAGTTATGCCTGTGGTAAAATCTCAGTGGCCAATTTGGCTCCCATTTGAAGAATTTATGATTACAAAGTATATTTGAAATGCTTACTTATTAGTAGTACAGAAAAGTATATGGAAAATCTTGAATTTTGGAAATATTTTCATAAAAGAATTCTGTTACAATCTGTGATTCATGAATGCAACACACATCTAAAAATATAAAACAAAATTAAGATAGGAAAATAATGGTACACATAATTAGTTGCTATAGAGGTTCCCACATCTCTGATTTTCCTTTTGTTAATATCTTCCATATATTTGCTTAGTTTTCTTAAACTAAACCAGTTTCTGCACATGGGGAGTTACTTGGATGGCTGTTGCCCTAGATTCTCATGTTTAAATACTTGTACAAATAAAAGTTAAAGGAGCAAACTGAAAAATTGACTTCGGCCTGTTTGGCAATAAAGCATTAAAAGTAGATCCAGTTAATCTCCATAAGAGCTCTTGAGTCAGGCTTGGAAGCTTGTGGCCAGGTACTGGCCAACCAAGGCCACATTTTTCCACTGATGTCTATAAATCTGCACCAGAGGTGGCAGTTGATATAAAGCAGGGAGATCAGAACTTCAGGCATACCTGTACTTGAAAGCCACACTGCTGTGCTATACCTAAGGCTAGAATATAGCTTCTCTGTGGCAACAGAGTTCTCATAGTGTTTATTTCTAATTGACATGTTTCATACTGTGTTTGACTGGCAAACCTTTAAATGTATTCCTTTGATTTAACACAAGGAAAGCTGGATAAGTGAATTCCTAACTACTGCTTTTGGGGAAGTAGTATTTATAAAGCAGGGATTTTTATAATACAAAATTACAAACAAAGCATAAGGTCTCATGCCCATTACTGAACTATTCATTATTGCCCTTATAATGGTGAACTCTGATTAGATCACCTTATGTTAAGAATCCACCTCTGTGACAAGAGTCAGAATTTATGATTGACAGTCTTCAAAACAATAACGTTCTGTTCTAGACGTAATTTTCTCAAATTTTCTATATTTTTGTACTGACAATAAATAAACATTCAAAACATACTTTGTAACCATAAAATCTTAAAAATAAAAGCCAAATTAGTCACTTTGGTAAGTATCTTTTTACTACTTTGTTTTGTTTTGTTTACTAGCCTCCAGATTCTACATTATTAAGGATGCAGTCTATTACATTCACTAATGAATCTCCAGCATCTAGTTGCCACATATCATAGGGTAAGAATGCAAAAAATTCAATAATGAAAGTATGAATAAGAATAAATAGAGATGTCTCTACTTCCTTGTTTGCTGCATTCCCAGTAATTAGGAATGTGCCCCCAAAGCTAAGGTGTTTAAAATAATTTAAATCATAGCTGTTATTTATTTTTCTAATTTTTCATTATGACATGTGTTCTGAAAAAAAACCCGTAGAAAAGCTGGTGATATATAATATTATATTGGTAGTATGACTAGTATTAAAGCAATCATTACATGATTGGGTAATATATAATACAGCATACTATATTATGTAATATTATATAGTATGTTATATAATTTGTCATACTTTTAACCTAATGAGATATTTCCAAATGTATTAAAATAAATTAGAAATGTATTTTAAAACAGTCCTGCTTATTATTTACACTTTGCCACAGGCAAGAGTGTCTTTAAGTTCTTACTACAAAATACAAGTCAAGTTTTACCATGCTGAGCCACCAAAGTTTTCAATTTTCTCTTTACTCACAAATGTTTTCTTCAACTAGCAGTTCAATTATTTAAACAGAATTATTATGGTAGCTTTTTAAATTGTTCTAGCGAAAAGTCTACCTTTTCACATTAAAATAAACAAAAGCAAATAATAATCTGCATCAGTAATTATCACAATTTACATAGCCCAGATCTTAGAATTTCTGCTTTGGAAATGTTGATATTTATTATTTCAGTACAATATTTGTCAAAGATTATGTCTTTACCTAATATATTATTTTACCAGTAAAGGATTATTTCAAAATTGCATCATTTTACTATTTTAATCATATTGTTCATTTTATTATGTAGACAATAATGTATACTTCTCTACTATTTGAAAAGCTAGCTCACTTAAATGTTATTAAACCTAGAGATTGCTATGTGTCATGTTCAATGGAATGCAAAGGAATCATAGCACATAGAAATATGCCACGCATCCTGTAATCCTAGCACTTTGGGATGCAGAGGCTGGTGGATTGCCTGAGGTCGGGAGTTCAAGACCAGCCTGGGCAACACGGTGAAACCGTGTTTCTACTAAAATACAAAAAAATACAAAAACTGCAGGTGTGTGCCTGTAGCCTCAGCTACTCAGGAGGCTGAGACAGGAGAATTGCTTGAACTCGGGAGGTGGAGGTTGCAGTGAGCCAAGATAGCACCACTGCACTCCAGCCTGGGCAACAGAGCGAGACTCTGTCTCTACAAAAAAAAAAGTAATATATGGAATTGAAGACCTGCTTTGTATCCAGTAGTCAGAGTATGTATTGCTTCATTGCTCTGAAATAAAAAGCAGAAGTTCTAACTATTTAGGAAGTAACAAACTTAACAAACTCTTACTTAGAAGGACAAGCTGATTGATAATGAGATTCCAGCTCCAATTATTGAACCACCATATAAACAAACTATAGTATTTGGAATCAGGGGGATTTTGAATCAGGAAAACGAATATTTGTATTACAGAAGCATAATGTATGCCTCAGATAAATGTAATTGCTAAAGGCCTAAAAGGATGAATATGTAGATGAATGAACGCAATTTGGTTTTCCAAAAATATAAGATTTTTGTAAAAGGGCAAAAATCTCTCCTCTTCAAAAGTATTAAGCAGACATAGCTTAATAATATGAGTGATTTAAAAGATGCTTTAGAAATGCAATTCATCAGTCATCTATTGTTTTCTGATTTAATCTTGCAATTGAGAACATTGAAAGTTCACAATGTCCTACTTTTCCAGGAATTTGCTAGTTCCCTGAAAAGATTGTCTTTCATTGTAATCGATTTCAGAAAAAAAGAGATAATTGAACTCAAGAAATATGTTTATGATTAAAATGCTACAACCCAGAACATTTGGATTTTTCATTAAAAACAAATAAAAATGGTAGATTTAGTTCAGCATGATTATTTTATTCTAACATAAATTATAATTTATGTTATTCCCTTAATGATATTTTCAAGTGCCTGAACAAGTAACAATTATAGTCTCTTTTCGCTACTATAACTTTCTGTTTTGTTTTAATAATAATGAATTTGAAAATTAGCTGTATCCTGTCAAATGCCAGTGTCTTTGGTTTTTACTTTTAATGAATAATCTCAGTTTAGTACAGGCATAGGAATAATAATATAAATAAATTATATCAATTACCTTGTTTTCAGAAATTTGTGTATGGTTTTAGGCTCACTGGTTAGTCTTGAGTGAAGCAGGGAAGAAAATATTTGGTCACAAGTACCCATGCAACTGTAAAACTATATCAAAAGGAGAGATGATTTTAAAAAAGGAAGAATTCACATTTTATATGAGGCAATGAAAAGATTCTTTTTGTTTCTTCTTTTAAAGTAGAAAACCTATACAAAAAAAAAAGCTGTGTTTGAGTAAAGAGAGAAAATACAAGGGAGTAGTAGAGGAAGTAGTGTTTATTGAAAACATAGCTATTTTGGGCTAAGTCCTTCATAGATGCATTCCACTATTTAATTTGATAATAGCCATGTGAGGAAGAAATGTTATACCCATTATGTATATGATGAAATTAGGCTGTTAGAAATCACTAAACATTCAGCACATATAAATGAATACATATTTGAATACATGGTTGTATGAGTTTTAAATTTTGTTTTTCATTAAACAACATGTTTTATAATGTATCTAACTGCTTTACTCCTGGAGAATGAGAGATATATATTCTAATAAACTTCACATAAGACACATGCTATCTTAACATTGAAACAAATGGACTTATTTTGCCTTCCTGCAGAGGAAATACAGGGAGTCTTTGTTGGGGATGGGTAGGGAGGATGGTGATGGATGAGAGAAAACATACATTTTGGAATTAAAAATTAGTACTTTAATACCCATTTCAAAAAATCTCAGTGTATTTTTTTTACTGTACATTTACAGTGTATTAATTTTGTTTTTATACATAGAATTTTAGAAAAAGTTGTGGTCATAAGCCACCTTGTTCTCATTTCATTTCCTCCAGTCTGTAGAATTGTATTGATTGAACACTAAAAGGGTTTTAATCTAACTGGACATTAAGGAGACAATTATGTCTCAGCTTTTGTCATTTAGAGGCATGCATGGAGGGGCTACTCAGAAAGTAATTATAACACCAAAGTTTTTTTTATAATTAATACTTGGGCACAGTTATTGTTTGGTTATATTCTTCATTCATCAGGGAAAGCACTTAGTGCTATGTCACTGAGGTCACTTTAAAAAAGTAAAAATTCAAATGCTGCAACACAGTGTAAAGAAATATTTTTCAAAGGTAAATTGAACCAAAAAAATTAATAATTCATTACTACTATCACTAAATGAATTTTTTTTTGTCTTCTAGTTTTGAGATTGACTTAATATGATATGGAAATCTGAAACTAAATCTTACTGAGAAAAGGCGCCAACGGTTTTAGGTTAAATTACAAGATCTCTGTGATAGATTTACCTGTATTTTCTATATCCTTATATTAAAGGAAACCGTTTCTTGTAAAACGTATCAGACTTTTTAATCCAGTTTGACAATCTGCATTGAACTGGAATATTTATTCCATTTACATTTAATGTGATTGATGATATCTTTGATTTTAAACATACTCTTATTATTGGTTTACTATTTGTTTCATATGTGATACATTTTGTTATTCCATTAAACCCTCTATAACCTCAATAATCACATAATTGTTTACTACAATTTTAGTGGAAATTCTAACAATTTATATTAGTATACTTGACCTTAAAGATTGATATAGATTAGTAATTTCACCACTGCTTGTATAATGCATTAGAACACTTTATGAATATTCTCTATCTTCACTAATTTTTAATAATTAGTCACATATCTTGAATTTAAATATATTTTACATGTAACAAGTAACTATTAGTATTATTTTATAACATCAATACTCATTTAGATTTGTATTTGTATTTATAGTCTATTATATTTCTATAAAAATGGAAAATTTGGGAAATCTATATTTTTTCTGTATTTACATACTTCCATTGGGGATTATTCCTTGAGCAAAAGACATACCATTAGGAATTAGTTGGTCTGCTCCTGACAGATTCTTACATTTTTTGGTTTCTTAGAAAATATTTTTGTTTAGCTTTCTATTTTATTGATATTTATATGAGTATTATATATAAGCACATATATTTACATATGTTGACATAGGGCAGTGTCAGCATCCCAGAATATTCCCTCCTATCCCTCCCTACTCATTGCCTTCACCATGGAATAGTCTGTCTTCAGGCTTCTGTAACCATAAAAGTTGCTTTGCCTTTTTTTTAATTGAAATTCCTATAAATATATTTTTATAGGTTGAGATATTTTGAACTTGGTCTTTCAACATCATGTGGTTTTATGCAAAAGTAGTTCAATTTTAATTATTACTTTGTAGAATTTCAAAATATGAACCTACATAATATTACTCATTTTTTAAGTGTTGATTGACATTTGAGTTGTTTCTAGTTGGGGCTATCTTGACAAAGCTGTTACTGTTATTCATATATATATATATATATATATATATATATATATATATTCATTTCTATTCAGTATATAAGTAGGCAAACAATTGCTGAATCATAGGAGAGTCGTATTTTTAAGTTTAGAGGATACATCCATGTGTCTGTGTTTTTTTAAGACTGTTCAATTCACACTCCTATGAGCAACATGTTATAGTTTCTGTTGCTCTACATCTTCAGTAACACATTGGGGTATAGTGAGGCTTTTATTATAAAATTTTACCATCTGGTCCTAGAAGACAGTTGATGTGATTTCTATTTTTTTATCTTATTGTGATTTGCTTTATGGCTGAGCATATGGTCAATTTTGGAGAATGTTCCATGCACAGATGAGAAGAATGTATATTCTATGCTTGTTGGATAGACTGTTTGGTAAATGTCTTTTAGGACTGTTGGGTCTATTTTCCAGTTTAAGCCAAGATATTCTTTGTAGATTTTTGGCCTTAATGATCTTTCTAGTGATGTCAGTGAAGTGTTGAAGTTTCCCACCATTACTGCATCAATATCAGTCTCTTTTCTTAGGTCTGCTAGTATTTGCTTTATGAATCTGAGTACTCTGATGTAGGGTGCATATATATTTAGGATAGATATATCTTCTTGCTATCCGGATGACAGAGGAGTAAAATTAGAGGTCAACACAAAGAAAAAACTCAAAACTCTCAAAACTACACAAATACATGGAAACTAAAAAACTTCCTCCTGAATGAATTTGGATACACAATTAAATAAAGGCAGAAATTAAAAAAAAGAAGATCTTTGAAATAAATGAAAATAGACACAAGATACCAGAACTTTTAGGATATAGCAAAAGCGGTACTGAGAAAAAAGTTTATAGCATTACATGTCTATCTACCTCAAAAAGATGGAAAGATCTCAAATTAACAACCTAACATCACACCTCAAGAAACTAGAAAAACAAGAACAAACCAAACTCAAAGCTAGCAGTAGAAAAGAAATAAAAATTCAGAGAAGTAAATTAGATTGAGATCCCCCAGAAAAGAAGGATCAATGAAACAAAAAGTTGGTTATTTGAAAGAATAAACAAAATTCACTGACTATTAGCTAGACTAATGATGAAAACAAGAGAGAAGATTCAAATAAACATAATCAGAAATGATAAAGGTGACATTACAACTGATACCACAAAAATACAGAAGATCTTCAGAGGATGCTTTGAACATCTCTATGCGCACAATAAAAAAACCTAGAGGAAATGAATACATCCCTGGAAACATACAATCTCCCAAGATCGAACCAGGAAGAAATAAAAATTCTGAACAGACTAATAATGAGTTGGTGAGTAAGAATTAGTAATAAAAAAAAAATCAACAAAAAAAATCCCAGGACCAAGCAGATTCACAGCCAAACTGGAAAAAGGAGAGAAAAGTGGAAAGGATTTTGTCTTGTGGCTTAAATGCTAGCTTAGCCACAGTAAAATAGTATATCAGGACATTTTCTAACATTTTTAACTCCAATCTATGATTCCCAGATAGCATTTAAGGATCCATTCAGAGCCTAGGGAAATTTGCGGCTCTGAGGGGAAGAACACAAACCTTCCTGGTTCACCAACAGCTGATCATGGAGCCCAAGGTCCTGAAGTGAACATAGGTGGTAGCAAGTAGTGATTACAGCAAGCCTTGGACAAGACCCAGTGCTATGCTAGCTTAAAGTCTGACCCAGCACAGCTCCAGTGCTGGTGGCCACAAGGGGTGCTTGTATAACCACACCCCTAGCTCTAGGCAGGTCAGCACAGAGAGAAGACTCCATTTGTTTGGCAGAAAATAAGGAAACAGAACAGTCTCTGCCTGATAATCAAGAGAAGTCTGTATGGAGGGAACATCCAGACCAGACCTAGCCAGAGAAGAATCACCCATGCCAGTGGTTGCAAGTTGAGTGAATTTCTCAGCAAGTCTCTCCACCATAGACCAAAGGGCTCTGTGGTTTTAGATAAACTTGAAAGGCAGTCTGGGACACAAGGACTGCAATTACTGGACAACTCAGAATGCTGGGCTGGGCTTGGCTTAGAGTCAGTGGACTAGGCTTGCATGAGACCTAAGGATATACCAGCTGGGAAGCTAAGGGATTGCTGCTATACCCGTCCCCCAGCCCCAGGCAGCACAGCTTGCAGCAACAAAAGTGACTCCTTCTTTCTGCTTAAAGAGAGGAGAGCAAAGAGTAAAGAGGAATTTGTCTTGCTTCTTGGATACCAGCTCAGCCACAGTAGGATATGGCACCCGTCAGAGTCATGAGGCCCCTATTCCAGGACCTAGCACTTGGATGACATTTCTAGACACACCCTCAACCAAAACAAAAACCCTTGCCTTGAAAAGAAAGACCTAGCCCTGGCAAGATTTATCACCCACTGAATAAAGAGCCCTCATGCTATGAGACATGCTGGCTTCAGGTGTGACCCAGCACATTTCCAGCTATGGTGTCTGTGGTGAAAGATTTCATGTGCTTGAGAAAAGAAAAGGGAAAAACAAAGGGGACTTTGTCTTGCGCCTTAGTCACCAGTTTAGATACGGTGGGGTAGAGCAACAAGCAGGCAATTGGGATCCCCAAATCCAGGTCTAGGCTCTAGGACAGCATTTCTGGACCTGCCTTGGGCCAGAGAGGACCTTAGAGACCCGAAAGGTGAGTACCCTGCTGGAAGCATTTACTAAAAGCTGACTGAAGAGCTGAACCTCACATAGAGGAAAGGGGAGGGAAGAGTAGAAAGGACTTTATCTGTGGAAAGGGGAGGGAAGAGTAGAAAGGACTTTATCTGTGGCTTGAGTTCCAGCTTAGACGTAGTAGAATAGAATATCTTAGCAGTTTGTAAGGTTTTGACAACAATCCCTGACTCCCAGACAGCATCTCTGGACCTGCCTGGAGCCTGAGGTAATTCACTGCCCTGAAGGGAAAGACACAAGCCTGCCTGGTCTCACCAACAGCTGATTATAGAGTCCAGAGGTCTTGAATGAACATGAGTAGTAGCCAGGTAGTGGTTACAGTGGACCTTGGGTGAAATTTCGTGTCGCGTTGGCTTCAGGTTTGACCCAGCATAGTCCAAGTGCTGGTGGCCACAGGGGTGCTTAAATCACAACAAGGTTGGCTCAGCACAGGAAGAGAGATTCCATTTGTTTGGGAGAAAGTAAGGCGAGAAAACAAGAGTCACTTCCTGGTAATTTAGATTAAAGTCTTCCAGATTTTATCCAAGAACACAAAGGCAGTTATTCTACAAGTCTTCCAAAACCACAGCATTATTGGTCTTGGGGCCCAAGTCCCTTTGGGTATCTGGACAGCCTTCCCAAAAGGAATGGGCACAAAGAAGCCTTGACTGCAAAGACTGCAATAAATGCCTAACTCTTTAACGCCTAGACACTGACAAACATCTACAAACATCAAAACCATCCAGGGAAATACAACTTCACCAAACAAACTAAATAAGGCACCAGGGACCAATGTGGGAGAAATGGAGATATGTAACCTATCAGACAGACACTTTACAACAGCCGTTTTGTGGGAACTCAAAGAAATTAAAGATAACACAGGAAAGGAATTCAAAATTCTATCAGATACATTTAGCAAAGAGATTGAAATGATTAAAAAGAATTAAGCAGAAATTCTAGAGTTGGGAAAGGCAATCGACATACTGAAGAATGCATCAAAGTCTTCTCTATTAGCAGAACTGAACAAGCAGAAGAAAGAATTAGCTTGAAGACAGGCTGTTTGAAAATACGCACAGAAGACAAAAGACAATAGAATAAAAAAATGAAGCACACCTACAAGAACGAGAAAAAAAGCCTCAAATAGGCACATTTAGGAGGGATTTGCCTTAAAGAGGACTTAGAAAGAGATGGGATCGAAAGTTTATTCAAAGAAATAATATCAGAGAATTTCCCAAGCCTAGAGAAAAATATCAACATTCAATACAAGAAGGTTATAGAACAACAAATAGATTTAATCCAAATAAGACTACCTGGAGGTATTTAATAATCAAACCCCTAAAGGTCAAGGATCCTAAAGAAAGGATCCTAAAAGCAGCAAGAGAAAAGAAACAAATAACATAAAATGGAGCTACAATATGACTGGTAGCAGGCTTTTCAGTGGAAATCTTATAGTCCAGGAGAGTCACATGATGTATTTAAAGTGATGAAGGAAAAAAAAAACAAAAAAACTTTAACCCTATAATAGAATATGTGGCAAAAATATTCTTTAAGAATGAAAGAGAAATAAAGACCTTCAAAAAAGAAAAAAAAAAGGCTGAAGATTTCGTCAACACCAGACCAGTCCTACAAGAAATGCTAAAGGGAGTTCATCAATTTGAAAGAAAAGGATGTTAATGAGCAATGAGAAATCATCTGAAGGTACAAAACTCACTGGCAATAGGAAGCACACCAAAAAATAAAGAATATCATAACACTGTAATGGGGATATGTAAACTACTCTTATCTCACACAGAAAGACTAAATTAGCTAATAAAAAAAACTATTACAATTTTTCAAGATATAGACAACACAATAAGACATAAAGAGAAACAGCATAAACTTAAAAAATGAGAGATAAAGTTATAGTTTAGATTTTTTATTAGTTTTCTTTTTGTGTATCTGTTTATTTATGCAGTGTTAAGTTGTAACAGTTTAAAATAATGGATTATAAGATAGTGTTCCATGCCAAGTTTCATGCAACCTCAAGTCAAAAATCTTACAATGGATACACATATAAAGAAATAAATTAAATCATTCCATCAGAGACAACCAACTTCACTAAAAGGAATCAGGACAAAAGAAGGAAGAAGACCACAAAACAACCAGGAAACAAATAACATTCCAGAGGTAAGTCCGTACTTACTAACAATAACATCAAATATCGATAGACAAAACTCTTCAATAAATAGACATAGAGTGGTTCAATGGAAAAAAAAAAGACACAATTACCTCATACCTACAAGAAACACACTTCACCTGTAAAGACTGACAGAGACTGGAAATAAACAAGAGATAAAATATATTTCATATGAATAGAAATGAAAAAAGAGCATGAGTAGCTTTACTTCTACCAGACAAACGAGATTGCAAGATAAAAACTACAAGAAGAGACAAAGAAAGTCATTATATAATGATAAAAATGTCAATTCATCAGGAGGATATAACTGTTGTAAATATATTCACCCAATACTGGAGCACCCAGATATATAAAGGAAAAATTATTAGAGCCAAAGAGAGATATAGATTCTAATACAAAAACAGCTGGAGACTTCAACACCTTGTTTTCAGCATTGAACAGATCTCCTAGACAAAAAAAAAAAAAAAAATCAACAAAGAAACATAGGACTTAATTTGCACTATAGAATAAATGGATCTAATGGATATTTACAGAACCTTTCATCCAATGGCTGCAAAATACACATTCTTCTCCTTAGTACATGGATCATTCTCAAGGACAGACCATATATTAGGTCACAAAGCAAGTTTTAAAGCATTCAAAAATTGAAACATCAAACACATTCTCTGAGCACAATGAAATAAATCAATAACAAGATGAATTTTGAAAACTATACAAACACATGGGAATTAAGCAATGTACTCCTGAAAAACCAGTGGTCAATGAAAAAATTAGGAAGAAAATTTAAAAGTTTATTGAAACAAATCATAGAAAAACAACATACTAAAACCTATAGGTTACAATAAATGCAGTACTAAGAAGAAAATTGATAGCTGCAAGTTTTCACATGAAAAAGAAGAAAAACTTCAAATAAATAACCCAATGATGCAAATAGAAAAGCAAGAGAAAATTGAAACTGAAATTAATAAAAGAAAAGAAATAATAAGATCAGAACAGAAAGAAACTTGAAATGAAAAAACAATACAAAAGGTAAATGAAACAAAAAGTTGGTTTTTTGAAAAGATAAACAAGATTGACAAAACTTTAGCTAGAGTAAGGATGAAAAAACTGAGAAGACCAAGATAAATATAATCAGAGGTCATAAAGGAGACATTACAGTGGATAATGCAGAAGTTCAAAGGATAATTAATGACCACTATGAGCAATTATATGCCAAAAAATTGGAAAATCTACCATGAATGGATTAATTCCTAGACACATACAACCTACCACGATTGAACTAAAAAGAAATCCAAATAAAAAGGCCAATAAAAAGTAATGAGATCAATGCCAAAATAAAAAGTCTCCAAGCAACAAAAGCCTAGGATCTGATGGCTTCACTGCTGAATTCTGCCAAACATTTAAAGAAGAAGTAATACCAGTACTACTCAAACTATTCAGAAAAACAAAGGGGGTAGGAATACTTATAGACTCATTCCACAAGTCTAGTATTACTGTGATACCCAAACCAGACAAAGACACAGGAATATTGATGCAAATATCCTTAAGAAAATATTGGCAAACTGAATTCAACAATACATTAAAAAGATCACATTTATGACCAAGTGGGCTTATCTTAGGGATGCAAGGACCATTCAACATAAATGAATCAATTAATGTGGTACATCACAGCAAGAGAATGAAGGACAAAAATTATATGATAATTTCAATTGATGCTACAAAAAAAGCATTTGATAAAATTTAACATCCATTCATGATAAAAACCCTCAGAAACTGTGTACAGAAGGAACATACCTCAGGATAATAAAAGCCATAATGACAGACCCACTGTTAGATTCATACATAATGAAGAAATACTGAAAGCCTTTCCTCTAAAATCTGGAACATGACAAGGAGGCCCACTATCACCACTGTTATCCAACAAGGTACTGGAAGTCCTAGCTAAAGCAATCAGATATGAGAAAGAAATGAAGGTCATCCAAATTGGAAAGGAAGAATCCAAAATATCCTTGTTTGTAGACGATATAATCCTATATTTGGAAAATCCTAAATACTCCACAAAAATACTGTTAAAACTAATAAACAAATTTAGTAAAGTTGCTGAATACAAAATCAACATACAAAAAGCAGTAGCATTTCTATATGGTAAGTGTGAACAATCTTAAATAAAAAAGCAAGCCCATTACATTAGCCACAGATAAAATTAAATACCTAGGAATTAACAAAAGAAGTGAAAGATATCTACAATGAAAAGTATGAAACATTGATAAAAGAATTTGAAGAGGGCACCAAAAAATGGAAAGGTAGTCCATGTTGATAGAAAAATCAATATTGTTAAAATTATTGTTTATTACCCACAGCAACCTACAGATTTTCTGTAATCCCTGTGAAAATACAGATGACATTCTTCACATAAATAGAAAAAAAAAATTCTAAAATTGATGTGGAATGACAAAAGACCCAGAATAGCCAAAGATATTGTGAGCAAAAATAACAAAACTGGAGGAATCCCAATACCTGACTTCAAATTGTATTCATATTACAGAGCTGTAGTAACCTAAATGGCACTGCACTGGCATAAAAACCGAAATATAGAAACAATGGAACAGAATAGAGAACCCAGAAACAAATCTATGCACCTACCGTGAACTCATTTGTGACAAAGGTGCCAAGAACATACACCGGGGAAAAGAGAGTCTCTTCAATGAATGGTGCTGGGAAAACTGGATATTCACATTCAAAAGAAGGAAAGTAGATCCCTATCTCTCACCATATACAAAAATTAAAGTGTACTAAAGAATTAAATCTAAGATCCCATACTATAAAACTACTATAATAAAACATTTGGGAAAATTTCTAGGACATTGGTCTGGGCAAAAAGTTATTGAGCAATATCCCTCAGGAACAGGCAACCCAACAAAAACTGTACAAATCGGATTATATAAAGTTAAAAAGCCTCTGCACAGCAAAGGAAACCATCAAAAAGTGAAGATATCATCCACAGAATGGGAGAATATATTTGCAAACTACTCATCTGACAAATGATTAATAAGCATACTATATAGGAGCACAAACAACTGTGTAGGAAAAAATATAATAATCTGATTTTAAAAATCAGCCAAAGGTCTGAATAGGCATTTCTCAAAAGAAGACATATAGATGGCAAACAGGCATATGAAAAGGGGCTCAGTATTATTGATCATCAGAGAAATGTAAATCAAAACTGTAATGAGATATCTCACCCCAGTTACAATGGCTTATATCCAAAAGACAGGCAATAACAAATGCTGGTGACAATGTGGAGAAAACAGAACCCTCATACACTTGGTGAGAATGTAAATGAGTACAACCGCTATGAAGAACACTTGGGAGGTTCATCAAAAAACTAAAAATTGCTGCTGGGAGCAGTGGCTCATGCCTGTAATCCCAGTACTTTAGGAGGCCATGGTGGGTGGATCACTTGAGGTTAGGAGTTCGAGATTAGCCTGCCTGGCCAACATGGTGAAACTCCGTCTCTACTAAAAATACAAAAATTTGTCATACATGATGGCATACCTCTGTAGTCCCAGCTACTCGAGAGGCTGAGGCAGGAGAATTGTTTGAACCTGGTGATGATAAAGATAGAGAAATTTCTCGTCCTTTGAAAGATAAAATGGAGCTAAGATGTACCACCAACCAGAACCACTTGCTTACTTTAAATAATTAAAAAAAAGAGAAATAAATTTCTGTCATATTTATGCTAATATACCTTGAGGTTTCTTGGTCTGTGTTCTATTTAACACATCAAATTTCATACATTTAGTAGGCTGGTTATATTTTGGGTATTTTAGTCTGATGATAATAGCTAAGTAGATGCTTTTATTTTTCTTTAATGTTGTAATTTTTGAGACAGAGGAAAACGCATTTTTTTGTTATAATGTTTTTACATATAGTGTCCCATTACATTTTAATACCCAAATTCTTGTTTATGTTAACACATTTAGATGATGGTGATGATAATGATGACATACTTTCTGTAAAGTTATTTTCATCTGTGCCCTGGAGAATTAATGCAAAATGGCACAGGTGGGCATATGATGAGCCATTCATTGAGATACAATACCTGAACTGGTTACAGGTCAGGATGAAATCAAAGTGATTTCAAATGTGAATCTCTATGGTATACCAGGAAAATCCTGGATCATAATTCATTTGCCTTAATATTTATTTCAGATCTTTCCAATAGCTTTATATTGGTATTTCTTAGAATGTAGATACCTTTTAAAAAACAAGTAATTAATTATAGTAATGTATTTGATAAAAGTAGGTAGAGAGGGGAGTGAATCATACCAAATTTACTTATTTCTCAGCAAAATAATCAGCAGAAAATATATTTCAGTATTTGATATAATTACTTATAAAATTTAAATATACTGAGGAGTTAACACATATTGGTTTACATACTTGGCCCAAGTAATTGATTTTATTTAAGTAATCAAGTCAAGCTTAAATATTGAAAAGCAGTACACAGAAAAAAAGAGTCAATATTTGATCTATATTTGCCATTCAAAAGCATCCATAACATTCCCTTTTTTCTGTCTTATCAGGTTTTTTATTAGACATTGATTATTCTATGTTCTAATATTAAATATTGATGTTTTCATTGGCAATCCCTCATGTGGATTTTTCCAAACATTTTGTAAAATGGTATTGTAGTCTTCTGTTGGGACTCACACAGAATACAGAATAAAGGAACTTAAATGGATGAATTAACTGATACTCATCATTCTCTATAATCATAATTTTTTTTTATTTTTTCTGCTTTTAAATGTTGTGAATAGTATGAGACTTTTGATGTACTGAAACTAGTTACTAAATATTTAATCTCAAATTATTACCTGTTTTAATTCGATTATACCTATGCACAGTCAAAATAAAATTTAAATTTAATGGCTTTATATAACTACTTTCTATTTACCAATATTTAATATATCAATGTCTTTTATCATTCTGATAAAAAACTAACGTAATTCTACTTTGCCAGAAAATATTAAGGTATTAGTTTATTTTTGTTCAAAATAAAAGCATATCTTAATTTTGAATAAACCATACATTATAGTTTTTTTCTAAAGAGCACTATTAGTATGAGTTGTTATTTAATACATTGTAGATAAACTGGCAGTATACTGGAGTATTTTTTTTTAATTTTGGAATACAGATATAAAGGAAATTATCAGAAAGATCAATCACTTTTTTATAAAATGTGTAGAGATGAGCAGAAAAATTAAACTACCAGCATTTTCTCACTAATAAAATTTCTAAAGTTTGGTAAGCTATACTAACTGAAGAAAACATACTTTTTCCATAGACATTAATATAGAAAAAAAGGCAATTTATCTGTAAATCTCATCAAGAAGAGGAGCATTTTTATTTAATATTTGCATACCATGATACAAAGGAAAAGAACATTTTTATTTTTGCTAGCAAGAATGCATTTTTTAATTTTATGAAAATAGAACTATACAAAGAATGAAAGTAGATGAAAACTATAATATAAATCAAAGTATGAAATAATAAAATGTATTAATTATTCCAGTTGTAGAAGCATAAAATATTATACAAAATATATGTTCGAAGATGAATAAGGCTGCACTCTTGACTGATTAGTGGTGAAGGCGAGGATCAAAATAGAATATCCACAATGTGAAGGTTTGAACCAGCAAAAATGATGCCTTCGTTATCTCCCTATATGGAGGAATTCAATTCAATGGAGAATTCTCTCAGGAGAAAATCTATGACATAATTTTATCCTAGCAGTAGGCAATTAATCTATTTTATTTTCGAAATGCCTTTTGAGAAACTCACATAAAAAAATTTAAACGTAAAGTTATTGTTAGCTCATCTATTTGCGTCTTACAGAAAAGACTGTAATTGTTTCTTATGAAATAAACATAGAATTTTGTAAAATATCTATCATTGGTTTAATGAGAAGCTCCTTTGCCTTAATGAAAATGGCCTCACTATCATAAGATTTTTGTTTATATCCTACTTATTGTTCAGTCATCTACAAACATTTACCGAACAACTGGATTACATCAGTGAACAAAAGAAGACTTGCCAACAAGGAGTTTACATTCTAATGAGGGAAAACATATTAGAAATTTTATAAATATAACATTATACAGTATATCTTAAAATTATACAGGCTGTGGGAAAAAATACAATAGGCTAAGGAGGAAGAAAGTATTGAAATAAGAGATGATGGTTTGGTACAAGATTAAATATATATCCATTATTTTATCCCCTTTTTTTGTTCTGGCTAATCACATAATGCATCTATGTTTGAGTTGGAGTTATCTCTATAACTTGAATGGATTATCACCATCTATTCATCCCATTCTATGAATTATTTATCCTTATTCTTTAGGTCCTTTTGTATTGGTATGTTGCTTTTTATCTCTTATTATTTTCTAGGAACTCTTTATCCATAATATAGAGAAACACCTTTCGATGTGATACATGATGCTAGTGTTTGCTATGAGATAGATATATCTGATTATATTAAGGAAGTGATAGAGACAGGAGACAAACAAATTCCTGGGCAGACAAGATGGGTCCCTGGTGAAACTTGACTTTCAGGCAAAGGATAGTCTAAAGCCTGAAAATTAAGCTACCAGTTTCAGATAGAATCCATGGACTGAAGTGAGAATTTCTATCTCTTTCTTACCCACTCTCTCTCAATTGGTTCTTTCTAAATGATGCTTTTTAACCAATCGAATAGTGATTTTTCTAAGCTCTCCCACGGACCAATCAGCACACATCCCCCCATTCTAAGCTCATAAAAACCCCAGGCTACCTCTCACAGATGGCAACCCACTTTCAGGTCCACTCTCACTGCTGAGAGCGTACTTTCTGTTGCTCAATAGAATTATAGTCTGCGTTACTCACTCTCCAGTGTCCACGTACTTCATTGCTCTTGGTCATGTGACAAGGACCCGAAACTCACCAAACTAAGGAGCAAAAGAGCTGTAATGCTCCTGTTTGCTGAGACGTGGGTGAGAAGAGTAAAAGAGCTGTAACCCTCCCTCCCACTCACAAAGCTATGGAAGTGAAAAAGCTGCAACAGAAGTACCTATCTATTTTTGTTTTTTGTTGTAATCACAGTTTTTTTCCCCAAATATCTTTAAGTATCTATGGGAATAATCATTACTCTTCTCTCATGTTATATTAAATGATTGCCTATTTTGGTAGTTTTCCTAATATAGAAGCATTCTTGCGTCTCTTAAATAAAGCTTACTTAGTGTTGATGTCTAATTATGTCAATATGCTGCTAATTTATTTTCATTAATATTTTCTTTAGGATGTTTATCTAGTGTTCATTAAACATTTGATTATACAATTCATTTTGTTTAATACATTTTCCAGTTATTGTACAATATTTTTAACTTTTAAGTTCAGGGGTGCAAGTGCAGGTTTGTTAACATAGGTAAACTTGTGTCATGGGGTTTGTCGTACAGATTATTTCATCAGCCCAATTTTTTGGAAGTGTTTATCACTGGCATCATTTGTCTCAGACACTTAGGTGCAATTACCTTGTAACACCATCTAATACTATTTTTTTTAAGAAGAGGTTGAAAACTCTGACACCTTTCTTAATTCCAGCTAAAGAAATTGCTCTAAATCTCTCTAATGTTATTTTTGAGAATTTGATTTTACAAAAAGTATTTTCGTTTTTATTTGAATAGACTTGATTAATTTTTTAAAAACATTTTACTTTCTGGATGAGACTACTTCTATATCAGTTATTTTATAGTTTTGAACATTCTATTTCTAATGTCAATAAAGGAATTGACAAAGAAGCCTATACACCAACAACCACTGGAGCAATGTTAACAGGGGAAATCTGATGGATACAATGTTAGTGACAAGTTTTCAGTCCAGTATTCATTGTAGGGCATCCCACAAATACCATGGAGGGCTGGATTTCAGAGCCAGATAAAGGAACTGAATACTTAGCTGTGAAGTATCAAATTTGCATTCGAGGCACACTAGTTTCTTTGTGGTAGGAATAGGAGCCACCATTCAATAGTATTATGTGGAATACACTTTAAATATTTTTTAAATTTCATTTTCTACATTAATACACTAAGACTCCCACTTCATTGCTTAAATGAAAGACTGGAAAAAAAAATCATTGTTGTCTCATTCCAGACCCTAGAAGGAAAGCATTTGGCTTTTCATGATTAAGTACTGTGTGATATTTTCATAGCTATCTCTGTCAGATTGAAGAGGTATACATATTTTCCTAGTTTACTGACAGGTTTTATGCTGAATTTTGTTCATGAGGGCAGAGCTTTTAAGACCTAATTATCTCCCAAAAGGCCCCACATCCTGGTACCATCATAGTGGGGAGTAGGACTTCAACATGTGAATATTGATGGGACATAAACATTCAGACTATAGCACCCGTCTTTCTTTAAATATCTTTTAGAAAATTTATATGTAATTTTAGAATCTTATTTCCTGATCATGCTTTCTGTGAATATTTTTCATTCTTCCTTTCCAATCTATTTTCTTTTATTTTTTTCTGCATTAATGCACTATCAAGAACTCCCAGCACAATGCTGCAATGAATAGGTAAGAACAGACATTATTTGTCCTGCTCCTGACCTTAGGGAAAAACAAAACAAAACAAAAAAAAAACTTTTTTTTTCCTTGTATGTTTTGTGAGGTATTTCAACTTCATACTCTACAATCATCTACCTTTTTTTTCCTCTTCTTTACCCACAATTCTACAAATTATTTTATTTCTTTCCATGGTTTTAAATAAAACCATTATGGACTCAACTGTGGGCCCCCCAAAATTCATATGTTGAAGTCCTAACTCCCATTGTGACTTTATTTGGGTACTAGATTCCTTAAGGAGGTAATTAGTAAAATTAGATCATAAGGGTGAGGGTCTAATTTGATAAGACTGATATCCTTTTAAGAAGAGGGAGAGACACTAGAAATCTTCCTCTCTCTGATGTTGCACAAAGAAAAGACCATGTAAGGATAGAGCAAGGGCAGCAATCTGCAAGCTAGGAAGAGAGCCTCGGCCAGAAATTGAATCTGAGTGCACTTTGCTCTTGGAGTTCTGGCCTTCAGCACTGTGAGAAAATAGGTTTCTGTTTTTTATGACACCCAGTTTGTGGTTTTATTATAGCAGCTCAAGCAAACTAATGCAAATATCTGAACACAAAATACTCCATTTCCACGTCAAGGTCTCTTCAAGAGTCTCAGTTACATAGAATCATCTGCCCATTCGACTACTTTCTAAACATCCTCTATTTATTTCCTCCAGATAAATGTTTTCTTCTCCTGCGTTCTCGATTCCTTTTTAACAGTAATACTACCGTGCATTAACATATTACAATATTGACATTAGCCTCTGATCAGTCCCTTATATTTAAGCATCACATTTTTAATTCTTCCTGAGAAATATCTCTTTGGCCCCTAATTTAACTTCCGTTTTTGTTACTGTCAACTAAGATTAGATCCTTTTAAGATACCATTTATTTGCATTTTTAAAGAGCGTTATAAAAATTCCCCTCAACTTTATTGTTTGCTATTTAGTGCTGTGAAATGAATGATACTAATCCACCATTGTCAAAAATATCCACTGGATTCTCATTCAATGTAGAACAAAATTTTTAAAACTGTTAGCTTCACAGTCAATGTTTACTGTGATCCTTTCACTGCCTAGTATTTGCCTTCTCTTCTACTCCCAATCTACACACATACCTTAATCGTCTCATGAACTACTACTTATTTTGCACACATAATCTAGACTTTTTCTATTTCCCTACCTTTGCTTGTACTATTCCTAAGGTCTGGTTTACATTTCACTTTTTACATTCATCACATGTATTTCACATCTTTATAGGCCCAGCTCAAATTTGAACTTTTCTGTGAAAACTTTTCTATCAGCTTCAATCAGAATCAAAAGTCACTATTTTAAACATGTATATCTTTTAATAATATACATTGTTCTTATTTGTCAGGACAGATACCACATCTAGCATAGTTTTGGGAAGAATGTTGGGATTCAATAAATAAGTTGTGAGTTGAGTGATGCTTTATGTTAGATTATTCATATGCGTATTTAAATTCAACTCTAAATTCGTGTGGTTGAAATAGATGTTATCTGTGATACTTTGTCCATTTAAATAATTCCAGTATTTAAATAAAAAGAGGTGATACAAATTATTTTCTTACATATTTTCAAAATGTCTTTCTATATGTTTACTATTATTAAAGATTGGTCTATTTTATTTAAATAGATACACATACATTTGAAAAATATATTATTTTCATTATATATGTTTAATGTCTTTATTGCAAGTAAAAAGGATAGAAATTATGACACATAGCAGTGTTTGAGTTATTAAATAAATGAGTTATCTTATGATATCCCTATGTCTGAACATTATATCTAAGCAATCATAATTCAAATATTTAATTTAATATAACCTCAATGCTGTAATAATGCACAAATCAATATTTAGCTTTTATTAATTTAATACATTTCCATTGATCATTAATTTCAACCTAATTAAAACATTAAAATCATCATACAATGAAGACTGCCTTCAATTTTGGTACCAATCTCATTCATAATATCAAATTTCCTAATAAAATCTTCTAACCAATCTTCATATAACTACAGAAAAACATTTGTTTTAAATTGCCACTTTCAAGTAAACATTTGAATTAACAAATGAGTTTTTATGTCATGACTTGAAGGTAAAAAAATTTAAGGATACAGAGGATTAAAAAATTTTTAGAATTAAGAATATCCTTCAATCACTGTCCTTCCTCTATTCCTCTAGAGGTTTTATCTTTAATTTATGATAAAGTAAGCTTTAAATTATTTCTGTACTGAAATGTGACAGAAAAAAACATTGAGATAAAATTTATGAAAATGAATACATTGCTGATTATCTGTATATTTTACAAATTATAATTTGAACAAATTTTGCTACTAAAACACTACGTGGATTTCAATAAACAAATTAGGGGTAAAATTGCTAAGCAAACCTCTGGGTAGTAAAGCACCCAATGAATAGGTATATAAAAATATTATAATTGTCTCATTGAAGAGTAAATAAGAACTTCTGTTTGTTTATATTCCACAATAAGTGATTTTTTGGTTGTATTAGATTATTCTATATTGTTTTTATGATTAATTTATACTAATCAAATTTATAATCTTGCTGCCATGCTTTTATTATTAAAATAGATCAAACAGAATGTTAAGATTTTGAATTTATACTCTACATATATGAACTGAGAATAATAAAAATGTTATTTATAATCTATTCTACAGTTAATAAATCAATTTTATAAGTGAAAAGGGTATAATTACACAGCAGTTGATTTTGTAAATTATGAAACATCTTTCTTTGATTTCCTGAATGTTGCTTATTTATTTTTCATCTGTGGCCATCTTTGAGTAAAACTTTGCTAACAAGAAAATTATTTTTTTGTTCTGTGAATACTTACAGATTTCATACAACAGCCTGACACACTACATTCTTCTTAAATTAATTAATTTGCATATTTAATTTTAGCTACATGCTCAGGTTTTTTAGGCTAATCTCATTTTTTTCATGTTTTATTTTTCTAAATATTAGCAATGCTAGAACTTCAAACTTTTGTTTTAAAATATATATTTAAGTTATTCAAGGTGAATGAAGTTTGCCTAGCAAAGACTATTATATGGCAATTAATTCGATGCAATTGTCAATATTTTAAAGGTAGATGAAACTAAGTTGTATATTGAGCATTCACACGGACTCATTTTTAAATGAAGATTATAATAGAATATTTTTATTCCCCTCAAAAAGTTATGAATATTATATTTCTATAAAGTAGCGACTGTTGTTTTTACCTTTAAACCATTGCTTATAGTAGTTAATGCATAATTCCCTTTCACACACATATTGCTATCATAATTGCTTGAGTCATATCCAGTATTAATATAGTAAGTGCCTTTACTAGTTTCCAAGCTAACATAAAGGTTATTTAATAATACATATTTTAATATCTTAGATATAATGGGTACAGCATGTAATGTGCAGTACTCTCAATTTGTCAATCCTCTTGCAAACATTTATCATTTTGAAGCACTTTCGGGGCACTGGAAGTAATTCATGTCCTATAAATAATAGTTGATTTAATTTTTTGTTTGTTTGTTTTTTGAGATGGAGTCTCCCTCTGTCACCCAGGCTGGAGTGCACTGGCACAATCTTGGCTCACTGCAACTTCCGCCTTCTGAGTTCAAGTGATTCTCCTGCCTCAGCCTTCAGAGTAGCCGGGATTAGAGGCATACACCACCACATCTAGCTAATTTTTGTATTTTTAGTAGAGACAGGACTTCACCTTGTTGGCCAGGCTGGTCTCAAACTCCTGACCTCAAGTGATTCACTCGCCTTGGCCTCCCAAAGTGCGGGGATTACAGGTATGAGCCACTGCACCCGGCCGATTTAATTTCTTTAGCACTATTTTAAAACAAGGTACTATTAATTCAAAAATTAGATAATCTAGTGCAAAAAAAGAGGAAAACACTAACAAGGTGGCACAGTAAGTAATTGACAAAGAACAACACAAACTTTTCTCCATATGATGAGAAAGCTGCTTCTTTCAAGCTCAACATGCATCTTAGAGACAGCCTGAAATAGATAGGCAGATGCCCACTGATCTGTGCAAGTCTCTGTTGGAAGCCTGTATTCAAGAGAGTCCAGATATTCTATTAATATGTACTGAATTAGTAAATCTACCCATTTTCCCAACTAACAAATATTAGAATATTTAACAAACTTAAATTTGTAAGTGCTCAGAGCAGTTGCAAATTTTTAATTTCAACTTTGTCCAGCACTCTAATAGCTAACCATCTCCTCAATGAAGTCAGCACACACTATAGATATAACAGATTTTGGAGGGTTGATACAGCAGATAGGGATGGGGAGCTAAAGAACAGAGAAGTACTAGAGTGTCTGTGTTTCCCTGAACTCTGATCATTCCACAGCATTGGTTTGGCAGAGTAGTCCATGCTATCATGGCCAACATCCTGGCTGAAAGGGGCAATAAATATTCCAAGAATAAGAGCTAGCCTCGCCCAGACACTACAGTACATATTTATAAGTTAGTGGGCTAATAAAGGCTTAGACAACACCTAGAAACAAAACGTGTAGCACAGGTTCTCTGGCTCAAAAACAGTGCTTTGGTAGTATGCATACTGAGTGTCAGGGAATTCATAGCAAGGTCCTGGCAACAGTCCTACCAGACAAGAATGCTGACATTAGTTCAGCTGGGTCAGCTCTCTAAGTGAACAAAAAAAGGAATGAAATGAAGTTCTGGGACCATCAAGTTTGTCTCTCATTATCTATCTTATTCTTGTAGTTGTATATTGTTAATTGTCAATGCTATATGTCTACTTTTGTGAATATAAGACCATTTATTCATTCATTCCTCTGCCAATGGGTATTTGGATATTTGCAATTATTGATTTTCACTAATATTATTGCAAACAACAATTTAGTGCATGTCTTTTGATATTGTCAATGCTATATGTCTACTTCTCTGAATATAAGACCATTTATTTATTCATTCCTCTGCTAATGGGTATTTGGATATTTGCAATTATTGATTTTTACTAATTATTATCACAAACAACAATTTAGTGCATGTCTTTTGATTAACACACACATATAATATTTGTATTGCACTTTTTGGAATGTAATTAATAGATCACATGGTATACACAAATTCAAGTTAGAAAAATAATGCCAGAGAATTTATCCAAATAGTTGTAACAATCAAGACTCCATCAGCAGTAAATAAAAATTTCAGTGGGTCCACATCATTGCTAAAACTTTCTGTTTTCTGTCTTTTTCACTTTATCCATGTGATGACTGTGGAGCGTCACTGAGTTATGATTACTAATGAAGTCGATCACCTTCGTGTAAATGTATTGGCAATTTGGGTATTTTGTGAATTTTTTTCTATTCATTTTCTATTATTTTAAATCTTTTTATTATTGATTTTTAAAGTGTTTAAAATATATTCTGAATGTGATTTCTTTTAGGATATCTACAGTAAATATCTTCTTCAATCTAAAGCTTTTCTTTGTATTTTCTTGAGGATTTACTTTTAACAACCTTAGTATACAATCTTCTATATTTTAAATATATATCTATGTAAAATTTAAATTATATGAAACATATACAATGATTCTTTCTTATGCCCTTTATTATATTAAGAGTTTCTCTTTTTATAATTTCTTGAGAATTCTTATATTTTATTTTTTCAGATTTTTTTTTTGTGCCTATTAGAATGAATGCTGCTACCTTATTCTGTTTGTGTTTTGGATTACAGTTTTTGATTTTCAAATGTTAAATTAATCTTTCATTTTGGCAAAATCTCATTTAATTATTTAGGCATGGTATATATTCACTTATTTGATTGGCTATTTTGTTTATTATTCACTTTTATATCAAAGGGCCTATAATTTTTCTTTCATAAAATGTTCTAAGGTACGCATCAAATTAATGCTGCCTTCATAAAACAATTTATAAGTGTTCACATTTCTCTTTTTCAGGAAAAGTTTTTTTTACAAAAGGTTGTTAGTACAGCTGTCCCTTGAACAACATGGGTTTGACTATGCAGATTCACTTATATGCAGTTTCGTTCAGTAAAAGTTATAATGAGTGTGCCTACTTCTCCTACCTTCCCTTCTGCCTCTCCCACCTCTTGTGTCTCTGCCATCTCTGAGACAGCAAGACCAACCCCTCTTCTTTGTCCTCCTCAACCCATTCAACGTGAAGACAATAAGGATGGAGACCTTATCATGATCCACTTCTACTTAATATATTCTCTCTTCCTTATGATTTTCCTAATAACATTTCTCTTCTCTACCTTACTTTATTGTAAGAATAAAGTATATAATACATATAACGTACAAAATAAGTGTTAATCAACTGTTTGTGTTATCGGTAAGGCTTCTGGTCAAGAGTAGGTTATTAGTAGTTAAGCTTTTGAGGAATTAAAAGTTGTAGGTGGATTTTTTATTGTGTTTGGGGTCAGTGCTGCTTCATGCCATTCAAGGGTCAAATGTTTCATTTCCTTTAATATTGTGAAAAAATACAATTAAAACAGATAGAGTAAATAATTAATCCATTCTATCAATAGGTATTAGACTAGGTCAAGGCAATGTTTCAGTTTCAGTAAGACTCAAATCATCTCTGGTTTTTCCTTGTTTCTTGGTATGACCCTCATCACATTCGAAAAGGTGTCAGAAAATTATTTGTCTTCCCAGTTCTGAAAGACTTCTGAAGTTATAGTCATTATTTCCAGAATTTCCTTGCTCCTTCAACCTACCACTCACCTCACCTAAAGTCTCTGTTAAATACCTATTGAAAGATCAGCAATTGTTTTGTCTGAGGCCCTATTTCAGAAAGGCGTTTTTTTTTTTTCCTCAACATTGTATAATGGAGGAGGCTTTGCTCTTCATTGCAGAAGATTTCAGCCTACCTTTCCACTCTACTGAAATTCTTGATTAGCATTATTTTACTTAAGGCTGGTCTGTTTCCTAAAACCAGAAGGAAGTTTTCACATTTGGTTAAATAAGGAAAGCATGTGTTACATAAAAGTAAATTCTATGTAGTTTTCATTTTTTATGTATAATCCTTCAATTCTATAACAAAGATAATGAACGTTTTTTAGATTTATTAGATTGTTCATAACTGAGGAAACAATCAGTGAACTTCAAGATTGTCAATAGAAATTATACAGATTAAAAATAGCTGAAAAACACAAAAATATAAAAAAGTAGAAAAAAGATACAAAAAAACAGAAGACAGCATCCAAGAACTGTGGGACAATTTTCAATGGACTAATGCATATGTAATCAAAATTCCAGAAGTCCAGAGAAAGAATGTGGTAAAAGACTATTTCAGAAAATGATGGATGACAGTTTCTAAAAGTTAATGAAGGCTATAACACCACAGATCCAAAAATCCCAAAGAATTTATGAGATGATAAAAGAAAATAACAACCACAAAAAAACTAAAACAAACTGAAATAATAAAGTAACAAAGATAAAATGAATGTTTTTTTTTTAAAAAAAACTTTTATTTTAGATACAGGGCATACATGTGCAGGTTTGTTACATGAGTATATTGCTCACAGGTAATAAGTGTAGTACCAATAGATAGTTTTTTAAACCCCCCCCCCACTCTCTTCTAGTCTGTAGTGTTAGTGTGTATTTTCCCCATATTTATGTTTACCCAATGTTTAGCTCACACTCATAAGTGTGAACATGTAGTATTTTGTGTTCTGGTCCTGCGTTAATTCATTTAGGATTATGGCCTCCAGCTCTATCTATGTTGCTGCAAAAGACATGATTTTCTCTTTGTTATGACTGTGTAATATTACATGGTATATAAGTACCACATTTTCTTTATCTAATCCATTACTGATGGGCATCTAGGTTGATTCCATGTCTTTTCTATTATGAATAGTGCAGTGATGAACCTAGGAGTGGATGTGTCTTTTTGGTATAATGATCTATTTCCCTTTGGGTATATACCCAGTAATGGAATTGTTGGATCGAATGGTAACTCTGTTTTAAGTTGTTTGAAAAATCTCCAAGCTGATTTCCATAGTGGCTGAAGAAATTGATGTTATCACCAAGAGTGTACATTTATTTGTTCCCTTTTCTTCACACCCTCACTAGCATGTTGTTTTTTAACTTTTTAATAACAGGCATTATGAATGGTGTGAAATGATGTCTCATTGTGGTTTAAATTTGCATTTCTCTTACAATTAGTGATGATGAGAATTTTTTCATGTTTGTTGACTGCTTTTATGTCTTTGTTTGAGAAGTGTCTGTTAATGTCCTTTGCCCATTTTAAATGAAATTATTTGGGTTTTTTTGCTCGTTTATATAAGTTCCTAATAGTTTATACATGTAAAGCCTTTGTTGGATGCATAGTTTGTGAATATTTTCACCCTTTTTGTATGTTGTCTGTTTACTCTCTTGGTAGCTTATTTCACTGTGTAGAGCTGTTTAGTTTAATTAGGTTCCACTTGTCAATTTTTTTTGTTACAATTACTTTTGGGGACTTAGTCAAAAATTCTTTGCCAAGGTTGATGTCAAGAAGGCTATTTCTTATAATTTTTATAGAGTTTTTATAGTTTTTTAAAGTTTTTTATAGTCTTACATTTAAAATCTTAATTCACCTTCAGTTAATTTTTGTACATGGTGAAATATAAGGGTCCAGTTTCGTTCTTCTGCATTCAGCAAGGCAGTTATCCCAGCAGCAATTACTGAATAGGGAGTCATTTCCAAATTGCTTGTTTTTATCAGTCTTATAGAAAATTGGACGGTTGCGTTGATATATATTTATTCCTGAGTTTTCTATTTTGTTCCATTGGTATATGTGTCTGTTATCCTATGAGTATTATGCTGTTTTGGTTACCATGGCCTTATAATGTAGTTTCAGGTTGGGTAGTATGATGCCTCCAGCTTTGTTCTTTTTGCTTCCAGTTGCTTTGGCTATTCAGCTCTTTTTTAGTTACATATGGATTTTAGAATCATTTTTTTTTTCTAATTCTGTAAAGAGTGACTTTTGTAGTTTGACAGCAATAGCATTGAATCTGTAAATTGCTTTGTGCTTTTGGCCATTTTACCAATATTAATTATTCTTTTTCAAAAGCATGATTTTTATTTATTTTTTTTCTGTTGTTGCTAATTTATTTCAGCAGTGTTATGTAGCTGCCTTTGTAGAGATCTCTCACCTCCTTTGTTAGCTGTATTCTTAGATATTTCATTTTCTTTATGGCTATTGCAGATTGTGTTCTTAATTTAACTCTTAGCCTGGAAATGACTGGTATGTAGAAATGGTACTGATTTTTGTACATCGACTTTGTTTTCTGAAACCTTACTAAAATAGTTTATCAGTTCTGTTGCATTTTGGTAGAGTCTTTAGTGTTTTCTAGATATAGAATCTTATCAGTGAAGAGAAATAGGTTGACTTCTTTTCCTATTTGTATTCCTTTTATTTCTTTATCTTGCCTGATTGCTCTGGTTAGGACTTCCAAGTAATATGTTAAATAGGAGTGGTGAGAGTGGGCATCTTGTCTTTTTCCAGTTCTTAAGGGCAACATTTCTAGCTTTTGCCTGTTCAGTATACTGTTGACTCTGATTTTGTCATAGATGGCTCTCATTATTTTGAGATATGATTGTTCAATGCCTGGTCTGTTAAAGGATTTTATCATGAAGGGATGTTGGATTTTATTGAAAGGTTTTTCTTTCTATTGAGATGATCATGTGGATTTGCTTTTTTATTCTGTTTATATGGTGAACCACATTTATTGATTCGTGTATGTTGAAACAGCCTGGTATCCCAGGAATAAAGCCTACTTGATTGTGGTGTATTAACTTTTTGATGTGCTACTAAATTCAGTTTGCTAGTATTCTGTTGAGGGTTTTTGTGGATATTTGCCTGAAGTTTTATTTCTTCATCGTGTCTCTGCCACCAGTTGGTATTAAACTGATACTGGCTTCATATAACGGGTTAGGAAGGAGCCCTCCTCCTCAATTTATTGGAATAATTTCAATAGCGTTGGCATCAGCTCTTCTTTGAATGTCTTGTGAAATTGAGCTGTGAATTCATGTAGTCCATAGTTATTTTTGTGGTTGTTAGTTTTTGTTTTTAATTCAATTTCTGAGCTCGATATTGGTCTATTTATGGTTTCAATCTCTTCCTGATTCATTCTTGGGATATCATTTGTTTCCAGGATTTTATCCATTTTCTCTACATTTTCTAATTTGTGTACATGGTGTTCTTCTTAGTATTCTCTGTGGAACTTTTATATTTCTGTGGGATCAGTTGTAATATCATCTTTGTCATTTATGATTGTACTTCTTTGGATCTTCTTGATTTTTGCTTTGTTTTGTTTTGTTTTGTTTTTACCTAGCTAGCAGTCTATCAATCTTGTTTACGTTTTCAAAAAAAAAAAAACAAGTCTCAGTTTCATTGATTCTTTGTATGGGTTCTTGCATCTCAATTTCATTCATTTTTCTCTAATTTTAGTTATTTGCTTTTTCTACTAGCTTGGGGACTGGCTTCTTCTTTCTTTTTCTAGTTCCTTTAGGTGAAAAGTTAGATTATTAATCTGAGGTCATTCTAAATCCTTGATGAAGGCATTTGGTGCAATAAACTTTCCTCTTAACACTGTGCTAGCTGCATCCCAGAGATTTTGGTAAGTTTTGTCCCTGTTTTATTAATAGGAAAAAATTCTGCTTTAATTTTGGTGTTCTCCCAGGAGTTATGCAGGAGCAAGTTATATAATATCCATGAATGCTCTAAGAGCATGTTTGGTATGATTTCAATTTTTAAAAATTGATTGAGACTTGCTTAGTACGAAAGTGAAACCCATGTTCTGGTCTTTTATTTCTCTTAACAAGTGTCACTTGATAAACTATAATTCCTTATTCTAATGTGTAACAAGTTATCATTTTAACTTCAAGGCCATGAAAATAGTCTCATATTTCATTTTCTTTAAGTTTTGTTGTTTTCTTATTCAAACTTAGGACTCTAGTTCTTGAAAATTTGATTTCATTTTTTGTAAGTAAGGTATCAATTTACATAGTTCTTTATGTGATTATGTTATTAACGTAGCAGCATCTACTTAAAAGTTTGTTCTTTCTCTCTTTCCTGCTACTTTGCTCTGCTGTGGTCAACTTTTGCAAAAAGTTAAGTGCCCATATGATTTATGTCTAACCTAAGATATATTCCTGCAGATTAGTCTAATTGTCTATCCTTTTACTAGTTCCCTTCAGACTTAAGTTCTGCACGTATGTAAAGTAATTTATAATATCTAGGAGTGTAAGTATTTCCACCTTAGCATTATTTATCAAGAGTTTCTGGCTATTCTAGTCCCTTTGCATTTTTTTTATATTATAGAATCGGCTTAATAATACCCACAGAACAAAACAACTCAATTTTTTTTTTTTTTTTTTTTTGAGACGGAGTCTTGCTCTGTCACCCAGGCTGGAGTGCAATGGCCCGATCTTGGCTCACTGTAACCTCTGCCTCCCAGGATCATGCCATTCTCCTGACTCAGCCTCCTGAGTAGCTGGGACTACAGGTGCCAGACACCACGCCCAGCTAATTTTTTGTATTTTTAGTAGAGATGGGGTTTCACCATGTTAACCAGGATGGTCTTGGTCTGCTAACCTCATGATCCACCAGATTATCTCTTATGTATTTAGGAGGAAATCAGTGTCCTCTCTATATGTTATGTAACAGCAAGAGATTTGGGGCCAGTATGATGGTCTTGCTAATTCTAGAATGTCAGTCTCCTAGCGTATACTGCCTGTATCAGTTCCATGTTGAAGTTTTTTGCTAAGCCAGCTCATTACCAGGATACCTAAGATGGGAAATGATTAAATCAAATAGGCTCATACATAGCCAAAAGGTTTTCATTTTTCCAGTTTATTGGAACACCTCATGATTATTAATTTAGTCTTCATATATTTGAGAGAACTAGCCCATATATACAACTTTTCTTCTTTTGTTCTACTCATGACCATACCACCTTATATACCAATAACTGGGTAGGGATGCAATAAGAATATTTATTTCTCTTTTCCCGTAAACTGAGTGTATAGCTCCTTAGAGATCCAGCTGAATATGCAGATGATATCCTCTAAACTCTTCCAACTTGAATGGGTCCCAAATTTTGATTCGTATCTCTTTGTTGTGAAAGGTTGTCACAGTTATCAGGCCTTTGGGGATTCACAAATGCTGTCAGGACTTCTTGTCTGCCTTTTCTGCCTGGCTCTCCTCTTTGGTTTCTATGTTTTTCTTAGTAATTGGTTGGAAATTTTCTCATTTTCTTAATAATATTAAATTATTTTATAAATGTATCTTACTGTATTTTATACATTTTCAATTAGAGAATAGGTCCAAATAGTCCAATCTATCATATTACAGAAACAGAAGTTAAATAAGTACTTTTCTTTAATCTGAATGGCTCAAGATACTTAGAATAACTGCTTTCTGTCTTAAGTCTTTGATAAACACCGATTAAATGAATAAAAGAAGGCTTCTCATCATCTTTCTTGACTTTTTTATAGAAAAATTTTCTCTTCATTTCATCATGTTATATATATGTGTACAAAGGCAACTCATGTTAAACCAGAGCTGTGAATTTGTTATTGGTATAGTGATAATGTTGCTACCTTATTGTTAATATTTAACTTATTTATGTGAAAATATTATTAATGACTAATAAACCAGGCAGGCTTTATTAAAATTCATTAGTGTGATATGAATTAATAGAAAAAAGAATTATGTTTTCCAGGCTATTTTTTCATTTCCCGTAAGAAATTATTCTACATTGCTTTTGAAGATATAATATATTAAACAGGTATGACATACTGTTTCAGTAACATTTAAACAACTCAAAGGAAATGCTCTTATTTATTTTGAACACTGACTACAAAATATAACTAGCCTATTTCAGAATACATAGGAATGATTTACTAAAGCTAATCTCTAATTATGTGAAAAAAATATTTTGCAAAGCCTTTCGCTTAATTATGTCTACAGCTGATGAGATGAAGAAAATAAACAAAGGGGATTTAGAAGGCACACTAGTATGTTTAGCATTTGCCTACCAATACCTGGGAGATCAAATGATTTAAGTAATAATTTTATTTTAATACTTAGTAAATGTCTTAAATCTATCAGAGTTCTTACTTGCAGAAAAGAAAGAATGTATACCTTGGGGTAAACCCTACTGTGGACACATGATTTGAAGTTGAACTTTGAGTCAAATATTCATTTATTCTCATTGTTGAAATGAAATGAATAGATACCAAATAGCTTAGTATAAAATAGTATTTTTTCCAATGTATTTGAATGGATTTTGCACAATTTAGTCAATTTATTAGTTTTCTTTGAAAAACATGGGAGGGTGAGAAGCTGTGCCATAGAGAATTAGTTAGAGTGTGTTATCTAGGTTCTAACATGGCTAAGTCACAAAATTCATAAGTAAAGCTTATATCAAAACATTGCATTGTATGATAATATAAAAGCCAACTAATCATTTAAAAATAAGAGAAAACGTTAACAAGTAGTAAACATAAATTAATTCATTATTTATAAAATTACTTGCCATTTTAAATAGTCTTTTTTTTCTGGTTAATTGAAAAATACTCCATATTTGAGCCAAACTTCTGCAGCTAGTCAGCAAATAAACCAGGTCATACTTTGTTTTGTTATAATTGTATTAATATTTCAGTATATGGGATGATAGCCCAGGTGGAAATAGAAAAGCCACAAAAGCATACAAAGCCAGGTCCAAAATAAAATGTAAATTATATTCTTTCTTCCTTTCCCAATAAGATTTTAAATGACAGATTCCAAATTAATACTTGTTGTGGGACATTAGGGACCCCGAACGGACAAACCAGCTGGAGCCACTGCAGGGGAACATAAATTGTGAAGATTTCATTTTAATATGGACATTTATCAGTTCCCAAGTAATACTTTTATAATTTCTTACACCTGTCTTACTTTAATCTCTCAATCCTGTTATCTTCGTAAGCTGAGGATGTACGTCACCTCAGGAGCACTGTGAAAATTGTGCTAACTGTACAAATTGATTGTAAAACATGTGTGTTTGAACAATATGAAATCAGTGCACCTTGAAAAAGAACAGAATAACAGCAATTTTTAGGGAACAAGGGAAGACAATCATAAGGTCTGACTGCCTGCGGGGTCAGGCAAAAAGAGCCGTATTTTTCTTCTTGCAGAGAGCCTATAAAGGGATGTGCAAGTAGGGAACATATCACTAAATTCTTTTCCTAGCAAGGAATATTAATATTAATACACTGGGGAAGGAATGTGTTCCTTGGGGTAGGTCTATAAACAGCCACTCTGGGAATGTCTGTCCTATGCGGTTGAGATAAGGACTGAGATAAGCCCTGGTCTCCTGCAGTACCCTCAGGTTTACTAGGGTGGGGAAAAACCTGGCCCTGGTAAATTTGTGATCAGACCAGTTCTCTGCTCTCGAACCCTGTTTTCTCTTGTTTAAGATGTTTATCAAGACAATACATGCACCACTGAACATAGACCCTTATCAGTAGTTCTGCTTTTGCCCTTTGCCTTGTGATCTTTATTGGACCCTTATCAGTAGTTCTCCTTTTTGCTCTTTGAAGCATGTGATCTACTCCCTGTTCTTACACCCCCTCCCCTTTTGAAACCCTTAATAAAAAACTTGCTGGTTTCACGGCTCAGTTGGGCATCACGGTCCTACCAATATGTGATGTCACCCCCGGTGGCCCAGCTGTAAAATTCCTCTCTTTGTACTCTTTCTCTTTATTTCTCAGCCGGCAGACACTTATGGAAAATAGAAAGAACCTATGTTGAAATATTGGGGGTGGGTTCCCCTGATACATACTAAAATAGTTCTTTACCTTCTTAGGTCCCAAAAGCAAAGGAACCACTTTATTATGTGTGTTCACTCATTAAAAAGTGTTTATAGTAATAGTTAGGCAGGGAAATCTTTCCAAATAGCCTTTTAAAAGGAAACAATTAGAGGAATTAAGAAAATTTACATCAAGAATACACTTTACTATAAACTTTTCTTGACAAACTTGATACTGACATATCTCCAGAACCTATTTAAATATCCTGTTGGCATTCAAGAGGGGAAATTTTCAAGCATTTGGCCTTCATGACATATAACTGCAGATAACATCTACACTTTCAATTTAGGCTTATTCCCCAGAAATGAACAATTGATAATTTTTTCTCTAAAAAAAGAGATTAATCCTCTAGCACCTGAAATAAGAGAGTCTTATTTTGTCATAAATAATAGAGGAATGTTTTTTCATAAACTGTCAAATTACTGTGAAAAGTATCTTATTGTTTATTAAATACCAATGACATACATTAGTATTATCCTCTATGTTTCAACTGTGGTCATTTGTATTTTTTGCATTTAAAGTCATTTGTACTTAAAAAAAAAAAAACCTACAAATTAGAAATTCTATGCTATTAGAGCACCCTGTCATGACACTTGAGCTGGTTAAGTTTTCCTTAACCCTATTTAAACCTAAGCACTTGCACATATCCACTTGCTGGGAGACTATTTCCTATCAATCTACTCTTCATTGAAAGATCAATATTGACTTATCACCTACTCCAGGTTCTTTTATTTTGATTCCCTTATTATATTTTACCAGGAGGCTTAAATATATCATGCATATTACCTGTCACTACAAGTATTTGTCAGTATTTTCTAAGAATTTACTCAGATTTTTATAATAGTAAATGTTACACAGCATGAAGTACAGCTGGCCAAAACTGTGCTTTAAAATTCTATCCCACTATTTTAACCAATATGAAGAAAATATTCTAGGTTTTAAGTCTCTCATATTATAAACAACAGCTAAATATAAATTCTAAATATAAAATTTCTATCACCGATAAGCTGTTATTTTAGTCATTATACTTGAGAATGCTCTGTTGTGACATACCAGCTTTTCAAATATACACAGAAATTTCATATGCTAACTCAGATAGCAACAAACCATGCATCATAAGTTCAAAGAAGGTACAAATTCAGTCTTATAGATCAATTTTTAGGGGCAAAAATAAAAATGGAGACACTATGGGAATTGAAGAGTCATCCTCCCTCATAAAAATATGAAAAAAATGCCTGTAAAGAGTAAAAACAGTGAAAAAAAGTCAACAATTTGTTTTCCATTGATTGATTATGAACAATCACACACAATGCACACACACTCCCCACACCATGGTCATTATTAGTTGCAGTCACACTGTACATACTATTTTAAAGTTTATTTGGGGTTATCTTTTTCAATTTATTTGAAATATTGAACTGTAAGATGTATAATACTTTGTTTTATTTTCTTTGGTTTCTATGTATTATTATTGAATTTAGATGTTTGGTAAAGAGCCTTCCTATTTGTGTTTATATATTTTTGCTTTTCTTTCAGAATAGTGCTTATGAAATTTTTTACTTTTCCACATTCTTATAATAATTTTGCATTGTGATATATCAACAATCTTTGCATAGTCACATAAATAAAAGTTTCTGTTTAACCAATATTGTCTCGTCATCTAATCACAATACATTACCAATTAGGACAATTAAAGGTAGGCTCCCAGAAATTTAATATCCTGAGTTGCATGTGATCTCTCAATTATAAGCCAATTTCTCATGAAAACAATCTGGTGGAAAATTAAGTTGCCATATGCACATATACCAAATAAATATTAGAAAATGAATGATCAAATATCCAGGAGAGGGATGTTCAATCTTTCTTATAAAAAGATAAGATGAGACTATACAAGCAAAGTGGTAATGCAGAAAGTTCTAACAGGCTTAGCTTCAAGTTTAAAATGAATGATGAAGATCACATTTCAGTAATCATTCTAAGCAAAACCATATCTCTATATGGGAGAGTAGAATGCAATTGAGTTGGGCATTAGAATACAGAGCCAAAAATTTAGCCGATAGAAAAATATTGTGCTCGGCTGTAATAGGTAATTACAAAAAATGTTCAAAGATACTGTATAAATTCATTCTCTCACAGGCTATATATAAGACTTCCCTCAGCTCCACATCTCACCAAATCTTGCTTTTTACAATCATTTTAACTATTCTGAAGTTAAGTAGTCTAATCACATTTCAGTTTTAATTTGCATTTTTCTGATTACTAATGATTATACTTTTTCAAACAACATGTTAGGATTCTTAAATTAAGATCACAATTCATGTATAGATTAATTTTGAGAATACATCTTTAAAATATTGAGACTTCTGATCTATAAATATGAGTCTTCCATTGGTTTGTGCTTTATGTAATTTATTCCATTATTTTATAACTATTTTAGGAGAGCAATTGATTTAATAGATTTAATAGTTGGTATATGATATTTTGCATGCTACGATAATTATTTATTTAATTATATATCCTATTTATTGCTAATATGTAGAAAAACAATGATTTGTTTAAAATGAAAGACCATTTCTAGAGTCATCTCTCAGCAGTTTAGCTTTTGAAAGAGATTAAATGCAAAACATCTGCATTTTAATTAGTGCATATTTATCTCAACCAGAGCAACATCATATAATCAGATGCACACGAAGTAGAATAGTAGTCATAGTATTTCCTGTTCCAGTCCATGAACACATTATTTCCATGTTGAGTGGTACACTGGACTTTTTCTCCTGGCATGAATTAGTCATTCCCCCTTTTTGTTCACTATATAAGTTATTCAGTGTCATGGTTGGTTAAAAGAGTTACTGTAGTGCTACAGTAGCAATCTGGAAATGGAAAACTGAAAACTTGAGCTTTCAAGAGTGGGACAGGCATTACCAGTTTTAAAATATGAAATGGAAGAACATCAAAGATGAATGTTCGGGAATGGGCAGACCTTAGTAAGTGTGGGTGGAATTCAGCTTTAAATACACATTCTATATCTACATGTGATCTATCAGCATATAAAAAATAACCATATAAGTTTTGGAAAGCCTTAAAATCACTCAGCTGAGTTGGAAAAGCATCAGCAAATTCACAGTGGTCTCGGGATTCAGCCAAATTTAAATTTGCTGAAGAGCTGACTGCCTCTTTCTACTGAAAACCCACTGCATCTAAGTTCCTGTAACATTTGGTATATCACAGATACTTATGGTAGATATATTATTTTATTGGTTTACAAAGACACAATTTGACTTTTAAACTCTTGCTCCATTCCCACTTCACACTTCTAGAAGAAAAATCTACGGGTGAATATTTCACATGAAGAGTTTTAAGGGGTTTTCAGGTTTCAAAACACTTAGGCTCAGCTATGTACTTGAGGACATGTCTCATGGGTGCACATTGATCTCCACTCACTTTCAGCGCACAATGTTTGCAAATGTTGTTGTGGTTGAGTCCTAGAATTAGATGAAGAGAATAGAGCTGAGATAGAGTGGTGGTGGTAATCTCAAGTTATCTTCCTTCTTGATCTTCCAAGACTCAATAAATTTGGAATGCAACATTCACACTAAGAAAGCACCAAAGACCAGGGCTGCAGTTCGAAAGGGTGAGATCCCTGAATTGTCACCAGGTTATTGCAGTCAGCAGGCACACAGAGTCACCTGTATGCTCCCACAACACTGCTAAGTGCACAATAGAGAAGATGTAGATATTTATTATAGGAGAGATAGTGGCTCTCTACCAACGTAAGAAAGAAGGACATAGTCTCAGTTCCTCTCCTGCTCCTAAACTCTGCATTCTACCACTGGGCTGCGATGAGAAGAGGATCCAATATAAAAGACCTAGAGACTCCGCCTTGGAAGACTGACTAACCCAGTGCATTTTGATAAATAGCTACAAAGTTAATCTTTAACCACTTTAAAACACATGGCAAGTTAAAGATTTATTTTAAAATAGATCTCAAAAATATCTATTTACAGTATAGAAAGAGGGGCATGTGCAAACATCTGAAAGGGGAAAAAAGTCAGTAAATGAGCTGGGGAAATGATCACGAGACACCAGGAGCTGAACTGAGCTGTGGAGGCCAAAGGATGGCATTCAGCTCATTCTGGCCTCAGACGTAGGGATGTTTGTGTGGAGGGGGTGTAGAGAGGAGTCCATGTCGGTATCCTTGTATTAAAGGGGGTAGTGGTGAAGAAAGAAACCACTGGAAGAGACCCATTGTGACAAGATGGCTCATTTCACAAGATCTCTCACTCTCCATTCCAGGTAGACATTTGGAGATGATCTTCCCAGTCAAGTCGGCTTTCTAGGAGGAGGAGTAGGGGTGGCCAGAGCCTAGAGATCAAAATCCTCTTAGAAAATACAGTTGAATAGGGAGTAGATAGTTAAAAAAAAAAAAGAATCTGAATGTTTTTCACTCCCTCCTTTGTCAGATGATAAGCAACCATCCGGTGATATACTTGAGTAAATAGTAGCTAAGTGGACTCTCATGCAGGTGTAGCTGGCTGCACAATACCTTGGCACCTAAATGGTCAAGTGCAGGTCTCTACTTCCAACATCAGTGCATTAATACTTCCACATGAATCTAGAAAGACCAATGGTGTAGCCCTTGAAGCAGGAAGGTGCAAAGTCGAGTCCATAGACAAGATGGAAGAACTATGTGGACTTGTTCAACTGATTATAGGGCATGAACTTGTGCAACAGACTCTTTTCACAGCTGTGTGGTAATGGAAGGTGCTGAAGCAGGTGAGGCTAGAAAATATGAACACGGGATACAGATGTTGGTGGCACCTGGATGGTTCCAGAAGCCACAGCAGGAAGTGGCTGTGGTACATTTATGTGCTTAGATTTGGTTTATTTATTTTTATGAAAGTTAATGTTCATTTAGAATGAGAAAAGAAAGCACAACAAATTATGAGTATAAAACAGCTGTAAAATACCACAAACATTTAAAAAATATTTCTATTATGTAACAGCCTGATGCTTATGTTTAGGGATACATAGTCCTTGATCTGCTCTTCATGGGATAACCACTTTGTGATATTTTACAGGGAGTGATATAAGAAACACTCTTTCAGCTAGCACATTTCTTCATTCCCCATGTCTTGCTGGTGCTAGGTGCGATAGTTTGGTTTCATATTTCACTTCAGCATCTTTGTTTCTGGATGCCACCTACATCTGCACAGGAGGTGGCAAAAGAATTCCTGAAAGCCATTCTTGTGTAAGGAAGCTATCAAATACCTACTTGCATGATGCAGTGACTACAAACTACAAAAATATTTTATTAAATTTAAGTTAAGGTTTTCCTTAGCATGATCCCCAAAATGCCCATGAGTACTCTAGAGCCACTTAATGATAAGATGAAGAGTTGGAATCAAAAGATACAGTGGTTAAACATGTAAATAAAATATATTATTTTGCAAATTTTACAAAGGCATACGATCACTTGAAAGAATGTATTGCTCAACTTCTTCCCAGGGCTTTGGAAATAATCCACCAAAAAAGTCTGGAAGCTTAAGCTTCACCTGATTTATGGTAAATTTGCCTCTAATCAGAATAATCATTCTATAATACAAATCAGATCATGACAGTCAATGCTTTAAATATCTCAGGAATTTCTTTGAATTGTCCTAACTTTTATTTTATAATTTTTAAAATCTTAGACAATTGACAAATATAAGGCAATGAACCTAAGAATTGTAAACGCACACACACACACACACACACACACACACACACACACTTCTTTTTGTCTGAATCATTTGAGAGTAAGTTTTAAGCATTATGGGATTTCTTCATTTCAAATTACTTTAAAATATATCATCGAAGAACAAGATCACTCTCCAATTAATCATAATATAATCCTCACACCAGAAATTTGACACACTACTATCTTTTGTTCATTATTATTATTTTCACTTTTTGGGGTTTTTTTTGACACACTACTATTATTTAAAATGAAATCAATCTTCACAGTTGGTCAATTGTTAAAGTAATGTACTTTATAGTTATTTTTTATTGTGGTTAAAAACACATAAAAATGAAATCTACCCTATTAATAAATTGTAAGTGTACAGTATAGCATCATTTATATATGCATTGTTGTGCAGTACATCTCTATAGCTTTTTCATCTTGCATGACTGAAACTCTATACACATTGCACAGCAATTCTCCATTTCTCCCTTCCCCTAGCCCCAGCAACCACTATTCTACTTTCTGCTTCTATGAGCTTGACTCCTTTATATACCTTATAGAAGTAGAATCATTCAGTATTTGCCCTTCCATGACTGGCTTACATGGTCCTCAACTTGGACTTATAGCCCATGTAATCCAGGATGGCTGTGATATTCCTTTCCAGTAACCTTGACCTAAGGTAATAAAGGAAGAGGTCTGTGTAGGTCTTGATACATTTGAATTCCTTCTTTAATAAGCAAAGGAAGAGATTGATGACCCCTGTTTTGGGTAGGCTGAAGACATGGTAAAGGGCCTGCATGCTGGAGGAGCTCATCACTCAGTGAGGGCATGAAGCTCATCACCATCTCATTGTACAAGTTCCCAAGTCTCACAGGAGGTTCTGCACAAACCTAACTGCCAGAGTATGATTTTGGTAGACAGAACACTCATAGGTCAAGTCAGGGAAAGCAAATTTATTACAGATAGAAAGCAAGAATCAACAAAAGCCTAAAATCCATGGGAAGCTGTTCCCCCATGTCTGAGGAAAGTTGCCCAAGATGGATGACGTCTTCTTTGAGCATGTCCCATCTCACATCATGGCTGAGGGTATTGTCGGTTTTATACCCCAGGTACCACCTGGCTCACTGAGTGCAAACACTGAAAGACATTCTGTTCTAGGAGGGACAAAGACAGAGTCTGGATTGTTTCATATAGTTCCTCCTTATTTCAGGACACTGCATCCCCAGAATATTCTACAGTTATTCTGATAACTGCAAGCAAGAGGAGAAAACAGTGTTGGCCAATGCTATCTAGAGACTTGGCCTTCCATACACATAAAACTACGTAAGCCAGAGTCAATAAAAGGAATCTACTTGGTGCAGGCTGAACAGAGTCAGGGTTATCACCCACATGTACATTTTACTGACTGTCATCTCCTTGCTGGGGTGGTGTCTACTTTGACTTCATATAATTGCATTAATTTGAGAAATTAGTCTTATAATATTTTGTGCTCATTGAACTGGGCTTCTGCATGAATCCAGGGAGAAAGGCTACCTTAACCCGCTGTGGCTTCTAGGTTAGAGGCATGGATGTTGTGAGAAGCACTGACATCTTGCCCTGACTTATGGGAGCAAGAGACAGGCGCAACCATGTCTGGAGCCAGGCTGTCTGGGTTCTCACTGTGCCCGCTGACTCCAGGAGACCAAGACCAGTGCCCACAATTGACTTTTCATGTTCAGCAATCTTGCTAAACTCACTTTTTAAATCCCATAATGTCTTATTAGATTGTTTTTAGATATTAAGAAATAAATAATATTATCTCTATAAATGTTTGTTTAGTTTTTTTTCCCTTAATGGTTGTCCTAAATTGTACTTAATTTCACTAAGATTTCTGGGAAAATTTAATGGATATGATAATACCAGGATTCTTGACTTGTTCCTAGAGAAACAAGAAAATTTTAGAAAATTTTAATATTAAATATAATACTTACCATAGACATTTTGTAGATCCTATTTATCAGAATATGAAATTGCCTTACTATTGGTCTAAGTGTTTAGTCACAAATGAATGTTCAATTTTAACAAAAGTTTGTTCTTGGTCTATTGAGACCAAAATATAGCATATTTCTTTTATTTTCTCAAGTGGGTGACTTTTAAATTTATATCAATTTGTATTTTGCATAATTTTTATTTTTATACTATTCTTATCAGATTATGTCATCCGTATTATACAGGGCTCTCCAGAGAAACAGAAACAACAGGATGTGTGTGTGTGTGTGTGTGTGTGTGTTTGTGTATGTGTGTGGGTATGCGTATATGCACATGTGTATATGTATAATATATAGGCTGGCATGTCCCAATTTGCAGGGTAAGTCAGCAAGCCTGAATCTGAAGTACTGAGAAAAAGGAGAGTTGATGGTGTGTTTTTACTGCAAAGGCTAACAGAATCAAGTTTCAAAAAAAAAAAAAAAATCTGATGTTTCAATTTGTGTCTGAAGACCAGAAAATCTAATTTCACAGTTTGAAGACCATCGTGCAGGAAGACTTTTCTCTTACTTGGGGGAAGTTGGCCCTTTTATTCTATTCAGCTTCTAACTGGTTGGATGAGTCTCACTCTAATCAATAAATGGCAATCTCCTCTCCACTCTACCGATTTAAATATTAATCTCATTCAAAGATGTCCTTACAGAAACACATAGAGTAATATTTGACGAAATATCTGGGCACCCCATAGTCCAGTAAAGTTGATACATAAAATTACCCATCATAGTACAATTGTTATAATGAAGTCAAAAAAATAAGTTAACCAGTACTTATATTTTTCCATTTTCTTTAATTCAGGTTAAGATTGGCATATATATCCACTTTTAACTTTTTGTAAAATTCAACAATGAAGCCATAGGGGACTGATGTTTTTCCTGTAGAAATCTTTTTGAGAATGAATTGATTTCTGTGTCAATTCTATCTAGTTAGTGTATTTTTCTAGGAATTTGCTCGTTTTATTAAAAAACTTCAAGGTAATGTGAAAAATATGTATATAATTATCTTATGCACTTTGACGGCCATTAGGATTTCTAGTAGTGTCAATTTTTTCTCACATATAATGTTAGTTATTTGTGTCTGCATTATTTTTTCCTTGATGAACTTGCCAGCTCTATATCATTTATTAAGAATTTTAACCACTGAAATGTTGGTTTCAAGATTTTTTCCACTTCTGATTTGTTCTTACATTTTATGAATTTTTACAAATACTGTTATGTTATTTCTAAATTTTAATTTTCTTTGATTTTGAGAATTTCTTAAGTAATTATTTTCTCCTTGATTTTTAACCTTTTTTTCATCTATTTGGCTAAGCCCACAAATTGCCATCTGAGCCTGGCTTTAGCTGAATCTCACAAATGTGAGGTATTTTTTTTCTTTCAGTTCAAAATATTTTCCAATACTCACTGTAGTTTTCTCTTCATTACTGTGATATTTGTAAGTGTATTAGTTATTTTTGAAAGACATGGGGATCTTCTTCATATCTTTTTAAATTGGTTTTTAGATTGATTCCATCGTGGTCAAATAATATTCTTTGCATGACTTCAATTCTTTGAATATTTTGAAAACTCCTTTAAGGTCCATCTTACAGTCAATTTGTGTAAATGCTCTATGTGTACATGATGACAATATGCATTATGCAGTTGTCAGATGCAGTTTCTTATAAGTCCCAGTTATCATGATTTTGTTTATATGGCTTTTTATATAAAATGTATCCTCAAAGTTTTTGATCCTATTTGTTCTATCAGTTTCTGAGAAAAGTTTGTTAAAATATCTAATTATTCCTGTGTAATAGTCTGAATATATATAGTACATATGTATATATATATACGAGATGTATTATACATATACACACACATGCAAAAGTATATATAGTAGTTTCTTCTTAAAGTCTAATTTGTCAGAAATTAATATAGCGTTATCTACTTTCTGTTGGGCATTGTTTGCTTAGTATAACTTTACCTTTCCTAAATCACAGAAACTAAAACATTTAAATTTTCTTTATATATTAAAACTCCATAATATATTGCTAATATATTATGTAGTCGATGCTTCAATGCTCATTTATATTCACTTACAGAATTTACTGTTTTTACTCTTCAGTCTGTAGCTACTAGTTTCCATCAGTGATAATATTCTCTCTATCTCAAGAAAGGCATTCAATGCTTCCTTAGTTTAGACATACTCTCACAGTATTTGTCTTCTTTTTTAAATTTCATGTTTATTCAGTGGATCTAGAATCTAGATTGGTACTTGTTTTAGCCCTTTGAAAATATACCATGATCATTTGACTCATATTGTTTCCATTGAGAAGTCACATGTTAGACTTATTTTTATTTACCTGGGGATAATGTATCATCTTCTTGCTGCTTCAAAAGCAGCAAGACTTTTCTTGAGACTTTTCTCTTCCACTGTGAATGACAAAAGTCTTGCTATGATATTCTGAGTTATTTTCTCATAGGTTTCCTGCTGAAAGTTTATAGTGCCTCTAAAATAATATAAAAAACTTCATGTTTTAGAAAATTATCTGATTCTTTTTCTTAAAAGATTGTTTGTGCCTTATTTTTTTTCCTTTTCTCCTTCTGAAGCTCCATTGTTGAAAATTTCAAATTAATTTCACTAATTATATTCTAGTTGTATTTCATTATTACTATAGGTTTGTTAACTCCTATTCTTAGTTTCACTTATTTTATCATTATATTATTATTTTATACGGAAATTTAATTTAATTTTTTCTGTATAGCTCTTTCTAATCTTAGTTGTTTCTGAATATATGCTGAAAGTTTCAAGTAATAAACACAAATATTTTAGAATTTATTTCTTAAAATCCCAAGATCAATGATCCCACTGATCTCTTTTTTTGTTTTTACTATGCAATGTGTTAGATATTGAATATGTGCTGATAATTGTTTGTGAAAGATTTTAAAGATAATTTGTGACTTAGAGTGTACTTATGATATTACTGTGATATGTATGTATACTTCCAGAAAGTAGGCAATGGAAGTAATGGTCCTGGCCATATTCTAAAGAGAGTTTGTGATAACTTTATGCTTGATATCAGTTCCTGTGAAAGATAGTCCTTTTTGATTTACCTTTACTCTTGTAGTAGAACCCTTTGGGATTTCTAATCCAAAATATTAGGGTTTATCAAATCCTTTTCTTTTGGACATTAAAATCCAATTTTTATCACTTTAAGCTCCACACATCTGCCAAAACTTTCATTTATACTCATTCCTGTCCACAGTCTTTTTTGGAAATAGACATTTCTAAGTGAAAGTGATGTAAAGCTATTGTATGTTTTCTTATTTTCTTAAACTTAAGTCATAATATTCAATGTCTTTTTCCCAAAAAATTTCAAAAGGCCTTTTATTAATATTATAACTAGTCTTATTTTTTTTTCTTATTCTACCTATACATCCTTGGGAAGCATGTGTTTACCCTGAATCTGGCAATAAATGCAAAGAGAGGACATAGTGAGGGCATACGGTGAAATCAGAATGTTCTCTAACCAGTCTCTGGTCACACTTTCTCTGGAATGCATTTAGTACCACTGGCATATTATGTGTATGTTAGTCCATATTGGCCACACATTAGTCTATTCCCCAGAGACCGTATCATTCCCATATTCCTCACACAGTCCAGATACATCATTATAAGCCTCTTAGAGGACTGGGGATGGTAACTAGATAATTTTAGCAGCATTGCCTAATAATATAGAAATTCCTGACCCAAAAAACTCAGATAATACAAAGTCAGACAGTGACACTGGTATTCAGAGTTCTGTTTTGAATGTGTTGAGTTGAGGTGCTTCTTGGATGTCACAGTGGGGATATTCAGTAGGTCATTGAATAGCTGGCTTGAAAACACAATAAAGCCCAGATATTGCAACAGGTACTTCAAAATTATTAGCTAAAAATTCATAGTATAAAACACACTAGTGGATATGAAAATACATTTAGAGGTAACTAGAGAAAGATGTTGAAGAGAGAATATTGAGCTACACTAGTATTTAAGAGATTCTGTGAAAAAAAAAAATGAGCCAGTAAGTGAGTGAATAAGAATGGCCCTGATGGGAAAAGGGCAAAATGAAGAGAAAGATCTCTTAGAAAAGGGAGTCTGATAATTGTTCAAGGAGAAGTGAGGGATCTATTTTATAAAGTTCTCTAGAGATGTGTGCTAGTGTTTATGCACACCTGGACATCTTATTTTTGGTTGGAAGGATTAGATAAAGTGAGATTGGTTAAATCATTTTACTAAAGGCCTCAGTGCAGATGAGCTGTGTTGAGGACTAAGCAAAATGAAAATGATCAAAGAAATCTATATATTGATAGGAATTTTAGTTTTACCCAGGATAAAATGAGTATATGTGATTACAGTCTCTTTTGAAAGCAAATAAAGCATAGGGATCCCTTATGTATACTTGTTTTTTTTTTCCTAGTGTAACCTGTGGAGAAAAATTGTAACTAATTCAAATCATACAAGTAATTTACCAAAATGAAAAACTCGTGTTCAGAGTGATAGTTCTCAGTAGCAAATTTCCTACCTGTTAGGAAATTGTAGAGTTCATTGATTATTTTAATATTCTCTAGAGTTAAAAGTGAACATATAAAGTAAAGACAAAATCTTGTCAATAAGAAAAAGCTCTCTAGTTGGAATATTCCTTAGGGAATACCTTATCAGAGTGAAAGATGATGAGTTAGAAAACCTGATAAACTACGATGTATACTATGATTCATAATATTTTAACACTTAAAATTCTCTTAAATATCCTGCCAGCATGGAAAGGAAAAAAAAACTTTAAAATACCGGACATAATATATGCAATTAAAATTTTGTATGCATATGTAATTTAAAAGATTGACAGATAAATCAGTATGACTAAATATATTCATTTCTACATACATGTAAGTGAATCCTAAACATATGATGTAAAATTATCTTTTAATGGGTAACTTGCAGAAAAACCTGAAAACTACTGTGCGTTTTAACATATCAAATGAGAGGTAAATGAAGTTTATTAAGTTTAGAAAATGAATGTGAAGAAACAGATGACTTGAATAATAATTTAAAAGTCAATATTTAGAAGGTAAAGGGTGTTTTAAATTATTATTTGAACAAACTCATAAAATTTTGTGAGGAAATACAAGATTATAATTTATTATTAACATTACTGGCAATCTTAAAAATAAACAAATTGTGGATAGCCAACCATTGTCTTGATATTTATGTCATAGGTTAATTTGATCCCTTTCACCTAAAACAAAAGGTGACCCAAATTGACCCCAGTGTCATCTGTGGTCAATTTTAGTGTAGGATAAGTAGCTTAAAATGATAATAGCAACATATTTTCCCAAAAAGAACAACACTTTTTAGACCTGAAAGTATTTATAGTATGTAATCATTATGGCAATTCAAAGTCTAAAAGAAAAATTTTTACATGCTGGTACAAGACATAAAAACTAGAAATATAGGGTAATCTATTACAAATTGCTCATTATTGATTTGTTTTTCTTCATTGTGTCTTTCTTGCTTATAAAAATGATTTACATTTTTCAACTGCATTTTAGATTGTTAACTATATATGTATTTTTCCTCTGGATCAAGATGACAGAGTGGAATACAAGCTTACCAAAGCCCCACTATAAATACAGTGAGATGAGTATGATCACAATTATGCATACAGGGAGACTCACTTCAAAAGACAGCCCAGGAAGCCTGCAGATGTGTAGAGAGGTTTGGAGCTTAGAAATCTTAGGTGAGATTTGAATGAGAGTGGTATTGAGTAGAGCAGAAAACAAGGATTATATTAAAATATATCTATGAAATAGTAGATCATCCTTGCCAATCCTTCTTCATTTGCTTCCCTTGCACCTCAAACAGGCAGACAATAGCAATCATAGCTTCTACATCTGTATTCTACCAATAGCTCCCCTCCACTGTAGGGGAGTTCTATTAATAGAGTATTCCCCACTCTCTTAATCTAAATTGGATCTTCCAACAAGGCCATCAAACATCTACCAAACTCATAAGCATTTTTTTCCGGATTAAGACTTAAATTTGAAAAATAAACAAGGATTATCTGTGTGGTGAACAGTTTTCAGTCATTTTTACTCTCCAGAATTATAAATGTTTTTATGGAAATTGTATTCTCTCTTGCTCTCTGTCTATGTGTGTGACAGTTGTTTAGGTGGCCACTGGGTCAATTTTCTGACACAGGAGTGTTTGAAATTACAGTACCATTGTAAAATTGGAATATCTCATTTCAGGGAACACATATTTTTGGAATCAGCATAGATCTTACATCTTCAGATCTCAACACTTTTTTTTTAATTTCTCAATGTGTGTTTAATGAACTATTTGTTTAATCACACAGAGTGGATTGTGGTTATTTACAACTAAGATCATTGACATAAAAATGATAAACTGAATTAATGTAGGCAAGAAAATGTTAGGCATGCTATAGGTAGTTGCTATTTATTATCTAGTCTGTTTGTGGCTAACGGCAGAGCATATTTATGTTGAATTAAAACATAGAATTCCAGCAGCTTGTGGTGCTCAGTGGCAAAATAGCTAATTAAACTATTACCTGTGGTTACCTAGAATAAAATGTGTATTAACGAGGAGAATTTGAGAGATTAAGTCACATCTTAGAACAAAATGAAGCATATAAGTAATTCAAAGCTCTAGGGTGGGCTGGTTTCTTTTATTTTTTTCTGTATAACTTGAAGAAAATGCATGACAAGCTCAAGGTCCTAAATTCTCAGCTCAAAACTAAGACAGACAACCAAGGATTTTAAGCATCTCTCATTTCTTTTTGCCTGTAGGCTGAGACAGATGAAAATCAAACTAAAAGCTTTATCCTAAGGGTTTACAATTTATGTAGGTTGAATTAACAATCTGAAAATGCATCAAATGTGACAGAGCTTTGATAAGGAAATAATAAAGCAGCGAGTGTAGGTATAAAGACATACTGAAAGATTTGGGTGTTTTAAAATATACCAAATAACAAGACTCCAAGTCAACCCCTATTTTCAGCTAAGGCATGTCTGATGTGACTATTCCTGCCTTACTAAAGAATCCTAAAACTATTTGATCAAAGCAGTTTCTTGCAGAGAATTCAATTCTTCCCATATTCTCTACTCAAGAACTCTCTTATTGTCTTCAGGCCTGTAACTAAAATCAGATACTAGCAAATGCATGAAATTACATACTCAAACATGGCAGAAGAAAAAAGCTTACAATCAAAAAAGAAGACAGAAATTTGCCAGTATATGTATAATTTATTTAAAAAATAGAAAATACAAGAGACAATTGGTGAATATATTTTAAGCGTGCCAAAGAAAAAAATCACCATAATTTTTGGCTTAACCTACAGTTTTTGATTCCCTAACTAGGGAAACTGAGGTTGTTGTTCTAACTCGCACATCTACAATCATTTGCTTGGATAGTTGCTCAAATCTTGATTCAAAGACAATCTACTCTTATATGAGGGAAGGAATCTAGAAAATTCTTTGCATATGTAGAGTAGGAAAGCAAAGGACTTAAGAATACATTTGTCATGTGTAATATCTAAAGTATTTTCCAAACTAAGAAAGCCCAGAAAACATCGCCTTCACCAAAACATTGGGGACACCTTTACTGAAGAAAGCACATGCATCTATGAAATGGGCAGGAGCAGCAATTGTGAGAATCAGCTTGTTGTTGGAGATTAATGTACCATTTGAAATTATTATCAGTTGAAAAGTAGACATTACAGGAATGGGACAGAGAGGTAATCAGAATGATTTGATACACAGGAATCTTTGAAGGTGGCTAATTCATCATAGAGTTCCTATGGCAAACATTAAAATTTTTCCAAATAGATTATTCCTTTATTAATAACCAAAAATTATGCTAGGTGTGACAAGCACAGCATCGACATATTTTGGAATTGTTTCTACACCTTATTTCAATCTCTAAACCTGAATTACTTCATAGAATTAGAGTGCCCAAATTGAGATGATGGCAGTTAGTATTGAGAAATAACATTCTACATATGTACTATAAATTATTTTGTTATTACTACCAAATTTCACCTGCAAACATTCACCGGGATCATTATACATTGCTGAAAGGGAAATAGTCAACACATGGGGTGAACTAATTGGATTTGGCACTGGCTCTCTGGTAATGTTAATTTTTGTGGCTCAAAACAACATTGTTGCCCACTGATGAGAAAAAGGTTATAGATGTCAGGCAATAAATGGAGTTTTGACCTAACACATAATTGGCATGAGAGGTTGTTAAACCTCCAGTTCCTATATTTATAGTTGAAGTAGTTATGCAATATTACCAGAATTGGCATTTTGGCTTCCTAACCCACAAATAATGGCATTTCTGTCAGGAAGAACATAGTGAACCCTATGGAACGACACTACTTTTTCCAAAATAGAAAACCAAAAGCAAAAACGTATTCCTGGGGGATACTCATTATTACTGTTGAGTTTTAGAAGATCAAAGAAAGGTGATGATTTCTATTTCATCTCCATGTAACTCCTCTGTTTTACTAAGCAGTATACAGATGAGAAAGGTTTTTAGAAACATAGTGGATTATTACAAGCTTAATCAATTCAATTCAATTTCACCTGTTAATTCTGACATCTACTTTTCCTGAGAAAATTACCACAGAGCTTGATTGGTATGTACCTATTGATCTAGAATGTCATTTTGTACCTATCCTAATAAGCAAAGTCTTTTGGGAACTGTGTACTTTCACCTGCTGAGACAGAAGTAAACGCTCATAGAAGTACACACTACCATTGGCTCAGGAATAAAATCAACTCCCTAATTTGGGACACAATTTATTTCACAGAGACTTTGATCATCTTACTATCCCTTAGAATATCACAACATTGGTTACACTGTGACATCATTTTATTACTTGAGTAATGAGAAGTAGTAGACATTCTAAATGACACCAAAGTATCTCAAGTTATAAGTCAAATAAAATGAAAAAAAGATATGTCACCTAATTCAATGGTGATCTTCCAGTCCAATTATCTTGGGATAGATATATTGTAATGAATTTTCCAAAGGCAAGTATCAGTTGCTTCACTCATCATCTTTTGTTATTGTAAAAGAGCGTCACAATCTATTGCATATTTTAGGAATTTGGAGACAACATAGATAACATGTAATTATGCTGTGCTGACCCATATATTAGAAAACCTGGAATGCTTCTACCTTTAAGTGGGATCTAGAGCAATGGAAGGCTCTCAATCTGCCTCTGCTGCTTCTGAATGTGACATACTTATCTTTTCTACTCAACCATTTGGAGACATCAGATACACTGTGCAGGCTACATAGTTCCATTCATTGTGCAACTCCAGGAACACCATTCAAAGTTGATTAAAATGTGGAAGTTTCCTCTGGGAGTGTTCAGCTTTCACAATTACAAAAAATGGTCCTGACAGTATTATTCATGATGGTTCTGGCAATTATATGGTAGCATAAGATTTTCATTAAGTATGTAATAAACTCTTAAAGAAAATCCAAAGTAGATTCCACTAGAGTTTTGAAACAAATCTATGGTCTCTTTGGAATAAAATAGTGAATTTTACAAAAAATATTATTAGCCTTTCTGGGCACTGATAGATTCCAAATGCTTTACTCTGGGACTTCAGGTGCTTATACTACTTGGTGGTACATCTTGACTTGGTATTATCTTATCCTTAAATACAAGGTTACCTAGCAATATTCAGTATTGAAAGTTATAATTGAAATTATGTTCAAATAGTTCTTGAAGGGACAAGTAGACTGCATGAGCCTGATATACCTATCTTACCACTCTTCTCTCAACTTGCACTTATGCCTTCATGGACATTACATATATATAGTTGGATCAAGAAAACAATACTGAGCTAGCTTATTTTAAAGACAGATTTACAAAATTTTCTAGCACCAGCAAGGAATAAAATGTTTGATATTAAAGCTTGAGTGAGAAGATAGTGGAGAAGGGAAACCTTCTGGGTTGGAGACGTTAATGATATATCTCACTGCTAACTTTATCAGAAAGAAGAGATGGCTAGAGGTAAGAATCTATACCAATTGGAGATAATAATTTAATTATATTTTAAGTGGATTGGCAAGAGTAATACTGGAGTTTTAATGATGAGCTTTGGGTAAAGGTTAAGTAAATGGTCCACTTACATGTTCCAGGAGTATGATAACTGTGTCCTGTGTAAATGCCCAAGACAGCCATCAGCTATGCGGAAGGTGTTAATTATCCTTTTTTATTGCCATATTCATTTGTATAAAGGGCTCGTGAACCAAGAGATATCGGAGGAAAGGGCCAAAGTTATACATGGGCCCAACAACATTGACTTCTTCTTACCATGGCTGGACAAGTTAACACAATTTTTGTAGAGGTGCAATTTGTTGGTGACATGAATCAATCCTAAGTGGCACCATATTCTCAGGGAATTAGCTAGTATAGTGGAAATATATTTTGTTTATTGAATATTTATCATTATAAAAAGGCCATTATTGGTTTGAAACTAATATTATCATATAGTTAGTTTTACCTTAAGAAAATTAGTGATTGTATTGTTTAATATCTAATCTACCCCCCAATATTGATTATGAACAAAAAAAAATTTTGAAGATACAAGGTTGTATACTACTGTTCATATGATTCATTGATCTTAATATGTACTCCATCTTTCAGAAGCAGCTGACTTTGGAGTATATTGGAATTGACATAAAATATTTAATATTCCAACTGGATGACAATAATTTAATCTTTATGTCTTATCCTCAAGAATAGCAACTGACTAATACAGGATGTCATTTTTATTCTTTTCGGCCAGGATGCATGGGTTCAGGAGGAAAGAAATGCAAAGGAAGAGGTGCATCTCACTATCACATTCATGACTTGTTTGAAAATGTATGGTTCATGGCTTGTGAACTCTGTTCATTCACAGATCTTATAACAAAAGAAAGATTGTATACATGAGGTAATATAATAATTCCTTTGCAGTATAACATTTTAAACAACACATGCCTTTAGAGGAGTAGCTTAAAATGGAATATTTCCTAAAAATTAATTGGTATATCTACAGGGGAAAAATATAGCTCCTGCTAAACAATAGGAAAAGGAAGATTATGGATAGCCATGACTCTCAAGAGCCATGTACTTCTGCTATGTCCCATAGTTACATTTAAGGGAATACCACACCCATCCCACGTAGGCAGAACCACCACTGGCTCAGAAAACTCAGAGATGAAGACCTAAAATAGCCTCCAGATAAAGAAGTCTTTGGTGCTAGCAGAAAGCAAAAGACCTGTGGAGCAGTTGAGTATACTGTCTAAGGCCTCGTGGTCAGCTACAGGGTTGAGGTTATAGTGACCAGTTCTTTCCCCCTTTTTTAACATTTAAAATTACTTGTTTGGTGGCTTTAAAGACCATTAAAATATTTTTGATTTCCAAATGCATTTCCTAATTAGAATATTACTGTTTAGATACACAATAATTATAATCGTATGCTTAACTACACAAGCCCACAGTAAGTGGAAACTACATACTTCCAGGTACTCAGGCCAAAAATCTTGGTAACATCACTCATCCTTCTCGTGTCCTATGGCCAATTTATCAAAAAAAAAGAAAAAAAAAACTGTGAGATTAATCTTTGAAGTATACCCAGAATCATACAACTTCTTAATACCTCTTTTATTACCACCCAAGTCCACTTCACCATCAACACTCACTGAAACAATCACAAGCCTCTAGACTAGTCTCATAGATCGGCAGCATGTCAGAGTTTCTTTTCAAAATAGCAGCCTGTATGTTCTTTTCAAATGGTAAGCCAGGTATTTTACTCTGTTTAAAGCCCTCCACAGGCTTACTGTTTCACAAAGAATTCAACACAAGGTCATCTGACTTTCTATGTAAACATCTTCATCTAAAAATTCTCCACAATTTGCCTTTCTTTTACCAATCCGATCTTTTCTCCTACAATCCTCTTTCTTTCTCATTCAGCTAAGGGAATATTGATCACTTTTTAGAATTAATCTGTCTCCAAATTTTTATTGTTTTCCGTGTGGTTAGAATGAAAAATATTAATGTCTACTCCGAATGTTATTTTTAACTTATTGAAGTCTAGAGGGAAAAAATTAGTGTCACAAGATGAGATTTTTTTTCCTCCATATCAACTCAACATATTTCATTAAATAGATGTCTGTACTCTGAGTTTTAATGGAGCCTCCCATATGAGCAATGTAAAAGGATATTAGAGAGATATTAGTCAAAATGTGATGTAGAGAATATTATATTAGAAACAAATATGACTTTGAGTAATGTGTAGAAATTAGGTTAAAAGTAAGAATTTGGGGAGTTTCCCGGGAAACTTAAAAGTTTTCAGATTGAATAAGTAAAAATAGTTTATTTATTTTTACAATCTGAAATGAATATTAAAGTCCTTTTCCTCAACATGAGGCAAAATAGTATATGAGGACTGTGACAGATTACATTAATGACCTCAATATTTTACCCATCTATGTATCCACAGTCTTTGTTATTTGACTTTGCAATTTGTTCCATTTAAAATGCTTAACATAGTTTTCCAAGCATTGGAAAAAACTTCAAACATTGTTCCAGTGCTTGGAAAAATACACTAATCATTTTAGGCAATAACTGGCTTTAGCCAATGGAATGTTAATGGGTATAAGTTGAACAATGGCTACAAAAGTCCATGAAGTTTCCTTTGGAATTTCTATCTTCTACTGCAAGCAATACCATGAGAAGAATAGTTCTTGGCTAGCTTACTGGTCCCTGAAGAAGGAAGAAAGACATGTGGAGCATAGCTGAAATCAGCCAAACCGCCTGTAAGAAAATGCCCAGGATTGCTTGTGTGCCCAAGGAAAAGGTATTAAATCATTTTTCCTTACAAAGACAATTCACAATCTTTGCAAACGTATTCTGTGATTAAAGATAAGGTGTTAAATGCACAAAAATTTTGTCTCCTATTTTTCATTTTTTAAAAATAGAAAATGAAACAAAACTGACATTTTAAAGGCCATGGTACAGATTTCAGAAAGAAATTTTAAGTGAAAAAACCATTGATTATTTTAATGAATAAAAGTCTTAACGTGAAATTAAGCTTTGTGATAACCAAGGATGATAGCATAGGAAACTCTGGTATTCATTCGTTGGGATTATGAATGGAAAGGAAGAGAAAGGGAACTACTAGGTAGGCAGATGAAGAGTTATCCTCAGAAAGATAAAAGAGACCTATTCAGTGTCTCCTAATTTCTTCCTTTATGTATCTGTTCAGAATCCAGTCTGCTTCTAGATTCAAAGACTTGCTGTCAATGATTCATTTTCCTCCTCCATGAATTCTGTGCCTATCCTTGCTAATCAAGATCTAGTTTAATCTGGTAGAGATCAACTAAAAGAACTAGTAGGACATGTCGAGGGAAGAGCTGATGGTATCAGTGATTAGGGGAGCCGAGCAGAATTTTGAATTGGTTACTACTCTTTCTGAATATGAATATATTTTTTCATAGAAATAAATTAATTCTGGTTGTTTATATTTTAAAGCACTCATGTCACTATTGCTCAAGTTCACTATTGAAGATATTGACTTTGGCAGGCAAAACAATAGAAGTTTCAACTTGTGTCACACATTGTTGCAATTTCTACACAATTTACTTGCTTTAGAACTCGAACTATTCTTATTTAGGAATGATCTGTGTATGTAAAAGAATGAATTAAAAAATATGAATGGGCTAGATGCATAAAATTGCTAATAAACAAGTTCTGTGGATGAAATGAAAAGAAATATTTTTCATAAGACATTTTACATTATTTCATAGTTTGTTCTGATTATTTTAATGTTATAAATTTGATGAATCAAAAATACATAGATAAAAAACACAAAACAGATTAATTTTAAGGAGTTTTACTTGTCACTACAAATTTAGAAATAGAGAAGTGTGGAATAGCAATTTATTGTAATTACCAAACATTAAAATTTAGAGGCAAATATAAATTATACATTTGTAGTGTCAACATAGAAACTAGGTGAGCAGCTATTTACATTTAAATATATTTATTCATTTCAAGTAATCCTAATTTAATTCAAATATTATTTGCATATTCTTTTGCTCCATTATTGAATTTCTATAAAATAACATATTCATTATTTCTTGAGAAGAATAATATAATATCTTGTACTGATTGTTTAGTAAACATATGTCAGCCTTTTCTGCTACATATAGCACACCTAAAAACAAAATCAAGATTTATATTTTATTTGTATTTATCTCAGTGCTCATAATGTTCATAATTAAAATGTCAAATTTTTTTCCTAAATGTATATTTTGAATACACAAATAAGAAATACATGAATCTTGGTGGTGATTTTTACCCAGGATTAAATTGTGTACATACATGTTTGTGTCTGTGTGTTTATGTGACACAGTGCATGATTTTGTGATAGTTTTTACTTCGGTCGAGAAATTTAGGGTTTTTGAAGCTGTTAGCTTGAGTTCTCCATTTTAGTTAGCATCTCTTTTTAATACTCATTAGGATCATGCATTTAGACATCAAGATTAAAGTACAAAATAAATAAAATTGCATGTGAGTGTTTTAAATGAGATTTACAATGAATGAACTTTGATATTTGCCAGTGACTATATCAAATGATCAACTTAAATTTTTGCATTTGGATTTCAGTATCCTAAAAAACAAATACAACATATATTTCTTAATCTGGGGAATGAGACATCTGAAATTTTTGACGGTAACAAGAAATGTGTCAATCTCAGTTCAGGGATGTTAACACATGATTTTTAAAAATTATTTCTACCATTAACATATTTGACTTTTATATTGTGGTGATTATTTTCATATTTTAGCACTTCTATTTTGGCATTTCTTTTAGTATTTCTTATGGGAAATGGCAAAATTAAGAGAAAGGAGAAGCTTATGTTATTTAACTCATATTTAGCTGGGATATTTAACTTATATATCAGCCATTCCTCACCAAGTATAAAATCATGTCGCTAAATTCTGTGCCAAAAAAACGGAGCATAATTAAATGGCTGTAGTATCAAGGGATAGGCACATAGAATACTATGAAATGTGTCCAGCAGGGCAATATGGACACACACAAAATTTACCCAGATGCAAAGCCCTTCTCTCCAAGAACAGCCTTGCAGATGATGTATGGTTGATGAGGCAGTTACCTCTTAATGTCAATCTGTGTCTAACACAGGATTGCAACAGCTCTGTGACAGTAGGAATTACATTGTATTTGCCCTTGTATCACTAGGTGTCCCAGTGATGAGGTGAACAATAAATGTCACTTGTTGAATGGTGAACATTCAATAAGATGGATTGATAATTGTCTTGTCAGTATGAACAAGATCCAGGTTAGGATCGTAGACATGGTGACAAGATCAGGTCATGAAAGAGAAAAATTATGATCACAGCAGAGATTTATTCTCTGTCACTGTTAAGAGCTTCAGTTTTGGTCTCTAAACTGTAAGGACTAACAAATTGACTAGGGAAGGAGTAGGAACAGAAACTTAATTCTAGAATTACTGTGCCAAAATGAGAATAAGGTAAAATATAAATTTGTAACAGCATTGAATAAAAGGTTTTCCCCTAGATTTACTATATAGTATGTCTGATCATCTAAGGTGACTCAATGGTATAGAAGTTCAGAAAGTCTGAATGTGTCAAAATGTATATCCCTGATGAATGGAGGTAAAGGAAAACTGAAGGTTTTGGAAATATTTTCTTCCTCTTTCTGTACTGGTTCAGAAACTCACATAAGGATGATTTGAATGCAGCAAATTTAATTTTCATGTCTTTTCAATTAATTATTGTAGCGTTCCCTTTATACAAGATGACTCTAAACCCAAGTTTTCATGTAAACTGTTGAACTGGCATAAATTTTTAATTGCATCATTTTCACTCTGAAAAGTGTCTCAGTTTGAATAATAAATGACACATTGACTTTCCTAAGCTTTATTTTGTTTACTTATAAGACTTGTCTTACTTCCTATAAAAGAATCACATTTCTAGACAAGGATTGTGTATCTTTCATGAAAACACATGATATTATTGTTGATTGCACTAGGCTTTTGATTTGTATTAGCCCGTTCTTGCACTTCTATAAGGAGATAACTGACACTGGGTAATTTATAAAGAAAAGAGGTTTAATTGGCTATAGTTCTGTAGGCTGTACAGGAAGCATGGCAGGATCTTCTTCTGGGGAGGCCTCGGGGAGTTTTTACTCATGGTGTATCTCACAATAACTCACTTGCTCCCTATCAGGAGAGCAGCACCAAGGGATGGTGGTAACCCATCCACGAGAACTCCACCCCCATGATCCATTTACTTCCCACCAAGCCCCTCTTCCAACACTAGGGATTAGAATCAACATGAGATTTGGGCGGTAACACAGATCCAAACCATATCACAGTTCAAATCTTGACTCTACTGGTATGTAAGTTTGATCAAATTATTTACCTCTAAACTTTAGTTTATTCATCCATAATATGAAAATAATTATAGTATCTAATATATAGGGTGATCATTTTTAAAAAATATATGCAGAATGTTGAGCACTGTGCTTGGAATATATGTTACTTAGTTTCAAACACCTTTTAGTTATTTTAACAGAAATTAATATAACATGGCACAGGAGAAAAGTTATATCTTCAGAGAAAGGGGCTAGGGTTGAGTCAATTAAAAATTCATAGATAAAGGAGTTAATTTAACAACTGAATATGTAGACATAATGAAGATATGCCCACTTCACTTTCTAATTAATTAGTTCTGCTTTCTAATTAATTCTGAGAGAACATCATGGTCTTAATATTTGTCTGGTCTGAAAAGCCAGACAAATGTTAAGTATCAGCAAGAAAAAATATACACCAGTCTTACTCAGGAGCACTCATGACAAACCATAGTATAGAAGCCATTGGCCATTCCTCTGTTTTGAAGAACGAAAACAAATAAAACAATTAGTGTACTTTTCAAAACAACATATCTTGAAGTGCTAAACCATACAGCCAATATTTAAAAATATTAGGCACATGTAGAGCCGTGGGAGTGGTTCTTGAAGAAATTTTCATGAGGAAAAGATGGACGAAACTATGTTTTAAAATAAATATTATATTTTGTTTTTGTCTTGGAGAAGAGGTAAACATAGGAGTAAAAATAGGAAGCTTGGTGTATGGGGTGAAAAATAAAGAAATCTATATGGATGAATTGGAGTGTATTACTGGGGAAAATAGTGAGAAATGAGGTTAAGAAAGAAACTGGAGATAAATGCTAAATCACAATCAATAAAGAATGATTTGTTAAGAAAAAGAAAACAGTATAAATATAAAATAAAAATATACTTAATACAGAAAGTAATAGATGATTAATATGACAGAATTTCAGAATAAATGAAAATGAGTAAAGAACAATGAGACTTAAATGTCAGAAGTAGGAGGTCATACTTGCTTTTCAAGCTGTAAAAGACAACTCCTGCTCCAGTTTGAACTGTATCTTTTTCACTAACTAGATGTATATTGTTAAGTATATCATGAAGGATGCTGTATATGCTGTTGCCAAGGTTAGAATACAGTGACTAAAGACACAATGTTCATTTCTGGCACAACCTCTGGCCTGTGACTACGTTCAATGATGATAATGAATAAAGTGGTGACTTTGAAGGATTCTGCGTGTCAAGTGAGAAAAAAAATGATGTCTGACCTCCTTACACATGCAAAAAATACACCTCCAGAGTACTTCAGTAAGCTGAAAGAAGCGTATCTAGAAGTTCTTAGTATCCATAGTGAGTTTTCAGTTGTTCATTCATTGACCAATGGTAAAATAGTTTAATTCTAAATCAAGGTCTATTATTTAGCCATAAAAAGAATAAAACCCTGTCATTTGGAACAACGTGGATGGAACTGGACATTATGTTAAGTGAAATAAGCCAGGAAAAGAAAGACAAATATAGCATGTTCTTACTCATATGTGGGAGCTAAAAAAAAGTTAATTCAACAGAGGTGGTGAGCAGAATGGTGGTTGCCAGAGAAGGAGAAAGATAGTGGATGGAGGTGATGAGGAGAGAAGTGAGTTAATGGGTACAAAAATACTGTTAGATAGAAGGAATAAATTCTAGCATTTAATAAGACAGTAGGGTAACTATCATTAACAAGAATGTATATTATATTTCTAAATAACTAGCAGAGAAAATTTGGAATGTTCCCAACATAAAGAAATGATAAAAGCTTGAGGTAATTCATATCATAATTACTGATTTTTTCCTTATGCACTGTATAAAACTATGGATCCTATAAATATGTACAACTATTGTATATCAATAAAAAATTAAAAGTACATTATTAATGACAATTAATTTAACATATTACTTAAGTGTCTTAAACAGTGCTTGGTGCATAGTCATCATTTTATAAATAATAATAATTATTGTTGCCATTGTCATTATTAGAAAACCATCAAGGGATAGCATGTGTTATGAGAAAACAAAGTGCTTAAGATAAGATCCTGGTGAATGACAGCCTATGATTTCAGACAAAAGTTACATACACACACACATATTTACAGGTACCCATTAAACAGACTATCAAGACATTCATTTTATTATGTGCTTTATAATTTTAAACACAAAGGCTGTCTTTGATGTTCTTTGGAGGTAGTATTTTTACTGAAGACAAACTAACATCCTATTGCTTTAAAAAGACATTAAATTTAAGCAACAAACAGTATCTAAAATAGTTCTACATTGATCATATAGAATGCCCTTCAAAACTTGCAGTGTGATTTATGCCTTTAGATTTTTTTCAGTAATACACTGTGGATGATCTGTGTTTTTGAATATATTTGCAATAACTCTTTTAACATAGACCAGTAAAGGTATCCAACTATACACATTTGGCATTTTGTTTCTACATCATGAATAATTGTATCTCTCACCAGTTTAGTAAAAAGCAGTAAACACAAAAAGATAGAGGCTCATATGCAGAGGAGAAATTATGTTTTCAATTCAGCTGTAAATATTTAAACAGGATAATTTTTGAAGACTTTTTATTGTAATTACAGTAATTATTGATGCTGAATTTTGTTAGATTCATCTCTATTTTAGTGCTAAAAATAAGAGTAAAATATGAGTTCCGAGTTTAATAGTCTGTTTATCAAATGTCTCATGGGCAGTTCTGTAATGTGGTATCCATGAGGAACAATTGAATCAGCAGTCTTCAGAAAGGAATAAACTGATAAAGTGATTGAAATGGTTTAGTAGATTAAGCCAGATTTAGATTATTTCAGCTAATAGAATGTGGCTTTAATTAAATATCTTGAAAATCAAGTAGCTTCTTTTAAATTAGAAAGTTATTGATTTAAGTCCTATTTAAATCCAGTAAAAATGCAATTGAAAATTCAGATATCTTGGCTTTTCTTTGGAAAATTCCAATGCAAGGGGAAAATGTATGGCTTAAAATCAAACTTCTAAATTTGTAAAACTCTAAAGAGAATTTGAAATTAGGTAAACATAAAGTTTTATTTTTAAAAATCAAAAATATAATTTATAGATATAAAGATAGTAGCAGTATGCATGGCAAACCCAAAACAAAACAGAATTTAGTAATAACTCCTTAAATCCACTAGTAGCTTTTTTTTAAATTAAATTCAATTGCACAGGTATGTTTTGATAAACTACTACTTGCACATTCCAATTCAGTTAGTAGACCTTTGAAAACAGTGTTTATATTAATGCAACAGTGTTTTAGCTTCTATGGCATACAATTGATAATGTAAAATTTTACTCAATCTATAATAAAATACTTTTTATTAAATGCTTACAGTTAATTGAATAGCACATCAATAATAGAATTTTGAAAGTCCTGTAGTGCAAAATATATTTATTATATGATTTTTGGTTTTTCTCTATTTATAAGCATAATATAAATTTTGAATTCCTTTTGTACTCATGCCTTCAGCCACTTTTTTATTTTTATAAATCTATCTATGTATAGTCGACATATTTGCATATGATCCCTGTATGATTATATCATAATGGGAGAATTTTTAAACTGAAATTCCTTTTTACCTGTCTTCTCCCTATCATATAAACAGATAAATAAACTTGAATTTAGAGAACTATCACCATGATCATATTAAAGAGATTAACATTAAGAAGAAATATATATATATATATATATATATATTTACATATACTTGTGGTTAAAATATACATTTTTAAAACTGGAAATTGAGGAGATCAAGTATACTAAAAAGCAAACAAAGAAGAATTATTTTCCTCTTATTTTCAAAAGAGAAAATGTGTATCTCATGAAATAAATTATAATCCATTCAAAAGGAGAGCCCTTTAAAACTACTTCAAAACATGTGCTTTTCTTAGGACAAATCTGAAGTAGACACTGGGGACACAAATGCAATTTGAGACATTTCATTTCTACATTACTGATGTAGCCTCTGTTATTAAAGCTTCTCTCATAGTTAAAGAAGAAATGGAGTACTGAACTTTGTGTCAAGCAAAGGGAATAGAAAAACAACCCCAAAACTCAATACTGTTTAGTCCAATTTATGAAGTGATTTGAGTCAGGTAATTCAGATACTGGAAAAACGGTCTTTCACTTAAGTACCAAAAAATCTAATTTAACGCAGTTGATATCTTCATTTCAGCCAGGAAAGCTGTTTCATCTTCATTTTAGTCTAGATTGCTACTATATGAAGTGACAGGGAGTTTACATGCTCTGGTTGTATATTTATTTTCTGAAAAGAGTTGAGATGCCATCATTTTTCAAATTTATTTGCCATTTTATTCTTTATTCTAGGAAGACTCAAAGTGTGAAATGGACACAGTGATCTCATTATTTTAAATTCACTCAACTTCAGAAATAGGGAATTGTGATTAGTTAAATAATTAGCATGTCTAAAAATTGATGTTAACACACTTCACATTATGTAATTTTAAATGAATAAAAAATATTTACTAAAACCAATTCTTTGAAGCCCTTTGAATAACAGCTACCAAGGCTTGAATAGTTTTTCACTCTTCTGCTCTGTCACTTTCTATTTTTGTTTTCATTTTAATCTACTTTTTAATCTATTTATCTCTTTATATCTCTGTCATCTTCATCTACATCTCTCATTTAATAGATAATTTATTATTAAAATGCAAAAACACACGAGTAGTAAATCCTAGAAACAGGAAACTTAACTTTAATGCAAGTGACATAGATAAGCAAGTTCTGTCTACACATATTAGAATCAGAAATAAGACTTAATTTGAGCAAAGAAGTCAGAGAACTCAAGTAAAAGAATGGTAGGAAAATGAGAAATGGGTTTTTAAAACATGGAGTGTATCAGGAATGTGTCAGGAAAACAGTGATACAATTTTATTGTGATCTGCATTTCTATCCATGTTAATTCACACATAATTTATTCATAAGTTATTTTTGAGGGTCTTTCCTAGCACAAAATGCTTCCTTTGTAATACACTCTGTATTTATTTCTTTCAGGTGTAGTCCAGGCCCTCAGTGCCTCAGGGCTAGACTAGATTCATGTCATATTTTTTGTTGTTGTTGTTAACACTTTATCTACCCATAATTAACTGATTATTCTTTTCTGGAATAGTTACACTTTACCCTTAAATGACCCTTATCACTATTCCATCACCAGCCCAAAATTGCTTAAAAAAAAAAAGTGAAAACATGCCTAGAATTCAGATCATTCTCCAAGTTAGTCAATTTAGTACTGATTTTCATTTTCAAGATTCTTTGGTCTCTATTTTCAGATATAAGTTTCAGATCTTTCATATCTTGAAATATAGATGTCAAATGTCAAAACCCTATCATTTTAAAAGAAATGTCACAAAAATTTCAGAGAATCTATAAGTATAACAAGACATCATCTCTCAATATAAACAAGCAAATAAACAAAAAGACACTAACATCTAGTTCTTTGAATATAACACTCTGATGTTCACTCCATGTTGTAACATATTTACTGTTTCATATTCATCATTACTAAGTTTTGTTCACCTACTGGGATAATGTACCTCTTTATTTTCTATCTGTTATTGATAATAATTTTGTTGTACTCCTGGACATGTGATTCTCCTTGAATTAGACATTCGTTAATCCATTACCTGGGGGTGTTCAACAAACTCCAGGCTTAATTTCCTCCATGTCTGTTAAATCACGTTTTAATAAATGATGTTTATGACTTCCAAATAATGAAATTTTTTGGTGTGGCAATTTCATTAGTTAATAAAATATGCTATACATATTAGTTATCAAAGAAAAATAGGTGTTATTATCCCAGGAAGTTTTAAGGGTCAGTGAGAAAAAATATGGTTGGATTTGAAATGATTTGCTTCAGATTAAAAAACAAAAAGAAATGAAGAAAGGAGGAGTCAAGGCATTTGATATTAGCTTATTATCAGGGTCGAGTACAACATATTGTGACTGTGACTATGCCATGAGCAGGTATATTCTGTTGTGAAATGAGACTACTACTAACACAGTTTTTCAGACAGAGATTTAATGGGATCTCGTTTTGAGAACTGTGTTATATAGTAAAAATAATTAAAAATTCAAATAAAATAAAAGAAAAAATAGCTAGTAGTATTTTTTTGCTGAGAGTTAGAGTATTAAGACTGTTGAATTCCTTCTTATTAATATCTTTATTGGTCCTGGGCACAATATTCATAACATTATATATTAAGGTTTCAGTGGAATATATATATATAATATATATTGCTGTAAATGTATATTTTAATACATGTATATTTTGTATATAAAATATATGTATATTTTAATATTTTTTAAACAAAAATATATTATATATTATATATATTCAGTGAAATATACACATTTACATATACGCATGCAAATTATCTCTATCTTTTATATCTAATTATATCTATCTTCTGGATTTTTTTCAGTTAATTTGAGTTAATACCCAACCTTTCACTATCCGAGTTCCCAAATCTATAGATATTCAGATGGTTACCCACTCTCTTGGCTTCATCAGTAATGTTTTCAGGTAATGTTTGCATGTACCTTTTGCTACCTACTTTGAACAAGATAATACATAAAAGTATGATTTTTTATTATGAATTTAATTAATCTAGATTATTTTTTGCTTGACAATGCAAATACATTAGTCTTGCTCTTTGGTGTGTTTTTTGGTAGGGGGAGTTTGAGGAGGTGATAAGTCACACTCAATTGAGGGATCAAACACAAGACTTCTAGAGTCAAACTGCTTACATTTAAATCCTAATTCCAGTGAACCACTGGACCTTGAACAAGACCACTAACTTCTTTGAATTTCAGGTTCTTCATGTAAAAAATAGAAATAGTACATACCAAATATATTTGCTGTAAAGATTAAATGTAAGGCTTTTTTTTTTTGCAGTAGTTGTTTAAAATGTTAACTATTTGGGGTTTTGTGTTTTATTTTTTCATCCTCACCTTTTGTTACATGACAGTTTTATTTTTTTATTTTTTTTTTAATTAGTTGGTAGCATGGATTCGAACATGACAGTGAAGCAGGATATTTCCCTGATGCCTTCATGAGTGGGAAGTGTTGTGCATGGGTGCTGGCAGGGGTGAACTGCACTCACTCGCTGCTCCACCCCCCCATGGGAGGGAGAGTGCATGTGAGCAGGTGCACGAGCTGGGGCGAACACTTTTGGGCTCTTGCAAGACTGAACTCTGTACCCACCCTGCAGCAGCATCTAGGGGAGAGTGCCTGTGACCCCTGAAGACCCAGAGGAAGTGTTACAGTGCCCTTTTAGCTTTGCTATTCACAAACGGTTTAAATGTTGGCAGCTCAGTGGAGAGTCAGGGTGAGAGACTTTTGCACCCACACTCGTAGCACCTGAGTCCTTGTCCAGTGTCCAGGAGGAATAAGGTCATACGAACGACTCTAAGATGGTAAATGTGGGGGATTTTAGTGCTGATGAAAGTGGCTCTCAGTGGGAAGGGGTGCTGAAAAGAAAACAGAGGGGAAAGGTAATATTCTCCATCTGGACAGCTGGACTCCTCTCTTAGGCTACACCATCAAGCTGTTCTTCTGAAGTCAAGCCACTTCTCTCCAACATCCAAGCATAGTCTCTGACATCCAGCTGCTTCTCTTCTCTCTGCTGGCTGAACCTGGGGTTTATATGAGCACAGGATGAGGGGGCGGGGAAAACAGGGATGTAATTTCTCACTTTGGATTGCATAATTAGGTGTTTTGGCTTGAGAGTGGGGACCTTGCCAGGAACCTACCCTCTTCTGGCCAGAATTTCCTTGCCTCCTGTTCCTGTCAGTAGCTACATTGGGCAATAGGTTTCTAATGTGGAACCTTCTCTAATTAATTAAATTCCAGTAACTGCAAATTTAGATGTTATTGAATGCTCAGATTAAGAGGAGTCTTCTTTCTCATTTTTTGTAAAAATTATGTTTTAAACCTGTATCATATAGCCATTAATCTCATGAAAGCAGTCACCAGAGAGCTTGAACTTTATCCTAGTTCCACAAATTCTTGGGTGTGTTACTCCAAGCAAGTTAGTTAGTCTCATTTGAATCAATGTTTTCCTCTTACAAAATGTAGATAATAATACCTTTTATATAAGAGGTTCACGGCAAAGCTAAGGTAAGATAATTTATTTAAAGCACATGATTTGGCAATTCGTATGTAGCAAAATTTATAAATATTGACTTTTAAAATTATTATAATTTTTCGGGGCCATATAAACTTTAAGCAAACACCTCAGTAGTTTGTACAAATGATGCACAGGCGATGAGACTGGATACCAGATGTTTTGATTTATTTTATTTTTTATTTTACTTTAAGTTCCAGGATACAAGTGCAGAACATGTAGGTTTGTTACATAGGTACTACATGTGCTATGGTGGTTTGCTCCACCTATCAACTCATCATCTAGGTTTTAAGCCCCACATGCATTAGGCATTTGTCCTAATACTCTCCCTTCCCTTGTCCCCCATCCCCTGACTGGCCCCAGTGTGTAGTTCACCTCCCTGTGTCCATGTGTTCACCTCCCTGTGTCCATGTGTTCTCACTGTTCAACCCCCACTTATGAGTGAGAACATGTGGTGTTTGGTTTTCTGTTCCTGTGTTAGTTTGCTGAGGATGATGGTATGTCCGGAATTGGTGGGTTCTTGGTCTCACTGACGTCAAGAATGACGCCACGGACCGTCGTGGTGAGTGTTACAGTTCTTAAAGATGGTGTGTCCAGAGTTTGTTCCTTCAGATGTTCAGATGTGTCCGGAGTTTCTTCCTTCTGGTGGGTTCGTGGTCTTGCTGACTTCAGGAGTGAAGCTACAGACCTTCACGGTGAGTGTTACAGCTCATAAAGGCGGCGCGTCTGGAGCTGTTCCTTCCTTCCGGTGGGTTCGTGGTCTCGCTGGCCTCAGGAGTGAAGCTGCAGACCTTCGCGGTGAGTGTTACAGTTCATAAAGGTGGCGCGTCCGGAGTTGTTCATCCCTCCCGGTGGGTTCGTGGGCTCGCTGGCTTCAGGAGTGAAGCTACAGACCTTCAAGGTGAGTGTTACAGCTCATAAAGGCTGCGCCGACCCAAAGAGTGAGCAGCAGCAAGATTTATTGCAAAGAGCGAAAGAACAAAGCTTCCACAGCATGGAAGGGGATCCGAGTGGGTTGCCTCTGCTGGCTCAGGTGGCCTGCTTTTATTCCCTTATCTGGTCCGTTTTGACAGAGTGCTGATTGGTGTGTTTACAAACCTTTAGCTAGACACAGAGTGCTGATTTGCGCGTTTACAATCCTTTAGCTAGACACAAAAGTTCTCCAAGTCCCCTACAAGATTAGCTAAACACAGAGTGCTGATTGGTGCCTTTACAAACCATTAGCTAGACACAGAGTGCTGATTGGTGCATTTACAAACCTTTAGCCAGACACAGAGTGCTGATTGGTGCACTCACAATCCTTTAGCTAGACAGAAAAGTTCTCCAAGTCCCCACCCATCCCAGAAACCCAGCCTGCTTCACATCTCACTGGCACTTGCAGTGGGACTTTGTGGCTCCTAGCCCGGGCACTCCAGCAGCACAGAGAGAGCTGGTCCCAGACAACCAAGAGGAAAAGAGGGGAAGCAAGAAAGAGAGGGAGACCTGCCATTGTGGCCAGTGACCCCACGAAGAGGGAACTGCGGTCCACACACGGGACCCAGCCTCTGATCAAGCCCAGCAGGTGCAAGCCAACCACGCTGAGTGCGGCCCACCGAGCCCACGCCCACCTGGAACCCGCGCCAGCCCACAAGCACTGCACACAGCCCTGGCTCCCGCCCATGCCTCCCCCTCCACACCTCCCTGTGAACAGACGGAACAGGCTCCGCCCTCCGCCAGCCCCAGAGAGGGGCCCCCACAGTGTAGTGGTGGGCTGAAGGGCTCCTTGAGCGCAGCCAAAGCAGACCCAGAGGCCACGGAGGCACCAAGAGGGAGCAAGGGCTGCTAACTGTTGTCACCTCTCATGAGCTCATTCTTTTTTATGGCTGCATAGTATTCCATGGTGTATATGTACCACATTTTCTTTATCCAGTCTATCACTGATGGGCATTTGGGTTGGTTCCATGTCTTTACTATTGTAAACAGTGCTGCAATAAATATACATGTGCATGTATCTTTATAGTAGAATGATTTATATTCCTTTGGATATATACCCAGTAATGGGATTGCTAGGTCAAATGGTATTTCTGGTTCTAGATCCTTGAGGAATTGCCACACTGTGTTCCACAATGGTTGAACTAATTTACATTCCCACCGACAGTGTGAAAGCATTCCTATTTCTCCACAGCCTCGCCAGCAACTATTGTTTCTTAACTTTTTAATAGTCGCCATTCTGACTGGTGTTAGAAGGTATCTCATTGTGGTTTTGATTTGCATTTCTTTAATGATCAGTGACGTTGAGCTTTTTTTTTATGTGTTTGTTGTGATATAATTGTCTTCTTTTAAGAAGTATGTGTTCATATCCTTTGCTCACTTTTTGATGGGGTTGTTTTTTTTTCTTGTAAATTTGTTTAAATTCCTTGTAGATTCTGGATATTAGACCTTTGTAACATGGGTACATTGTAAAAATTTTCTCCCATTCTGTAGGTTGCCTGTTCACTCTGATGATAGTTTCTTTCGCTGTGCAGAAGCTCTTTAGTTTAATTAGATCCCGTTTGTCAATTTTGGCTTTTGTTGCAATTGCTTTTGACATTTTCATCTTGAAGTCTTTGCCCATGCCTATGTCTTGAATGGTATTGCCTAGGTTTTCTTCTAGGGTTTTTATGGTTTTGAGTTTTACATTTAAGGCTTTAATTCATCTTGAGTTAATTTTTGTTTAAGGTGTAAGGAAGGGGTCCAGTTTCAGTTCTCTGCAAATGACTAGCCAGTTTTCCCAGCACCATTTATTAAATAGGGACTCATTTCAATATTGCTTGTTTTTGTCAGATTTGTTGAAGATCAGATGGTTGTAGATGTGTGGTGTTATTTCTCAGGTCTCTGTTCTGTTCCATTGGTTGATATGTCTGTTTTGGTACAAGTACCATGCTATTTTGCTTGCTATAACCTTGCAGTATAGTTTGAAGTCAGGTAACATGATGCCTCCAGCTTTGTTCTTTTTCCTTAGGATTGTCTTGGCTATACAGGCTCTTTTATGGTTCCATATGAAATTTAGTTTTTTTCTAATTCTATGAAGAATATCAGTGATAGTTTAATGGGAATAGCATTGAATATATAAATTACTTTGTGCAGTGTGACCATTTTTACAATATTGATTCTTCTTATCCATAAGGATGGAACGTTTTTCCATTTGTTTGTGTCCTCTCTGAATTCCTTTAGCAGTGGTTTGTAGTTCTCCTTGAAGAGGTCCTTTACTGCCTTTGTTAGCTGTATTCCTATGTATTTTATTCTCTTTGTAGCAATTGTGAATGGGAGTTCATTCATGATTTGTCACTCTGCTTGTCTATTGTTGGTGTATAGTAATGCTTGTGATATTTGCACATTGATTTTATATCCTGGGACTTTGCTGAAGTTGCTTATCAGCTTATGGAGTTTTAGGGCTGAGGTGATGGGGTTTTCTAAATATAGAATCATGTTGTCTGCAAATAGAGACAATTTGACTTCCTCTCTTTCCATTTTTTTTCCTTTACTTCTTTCTCTTGCCTTATTGCCCTGGTCAGAACTTCCAATACTATGTTGAAGAGGAGTAGTGAGAGGAGCCATCCTTATCTTGTGCTGGTTTCAAAGGGAATGCTTCCAGCTTTTGCCCATTTGGTATGATATTGGCTGTGGGTTTGTCATAAATATATCTCATTATTTTGAGATATGTTCCATCAATACCTAGTTTATTGAGAGTTTTTAACATGAAGCCATGTTGAATAACATCGAAGGCCTTTTCTGCATCTGTTGAGATGATCATATGGCTTTTGTCATTGGTTCTGTTTATGTGATGGATTACATTTATTGATTTGCATATGTTGAACCAGCCTTGCATCTCAGGGATGAAGCCTACTTGATTGTGATGGATAAGCTTTTTGATGTGCTGCTGGATTCAGTTTGCCCGTATTTTAGTGAGGATTTTCCCATTGATGTTCATCAGGGATATTGGCCTGAAGTTTCCTTTTTTGTTGTGTCTCTGCCAGGTTTTTGTATCAAGATAAAGTTGGCCTTATAAAATGTATTAAGGAGAAGTCTCTCCTTTTCAACTGTTTAGAATAGTTTCAGAAGAAATGGTACCGGCTCCTCTTTGTATCTCTTGTAGAATTCAGCTGTGAATCCATCTGGTCCTGGGCTTTTATTGGTTGGTTGGCTATTAATTACTACCTCAATTGGAGAACTTGTTGATCTATTCAGGGATATGACTTCTTCCTGTTTTAGTCTTGGAAAGGTTTACATGTCGAGGAATTTATCCATTTCTTCTAGATTTTTTAGTTTATTTGCCTAGAGGTCTTTATAGTATTCTCTGATCATAGTTTGTATTTCTATGGAGTCAATAGTGATATCTCTTTTATCATTTTTTATTGTGTCTATTTGACTCTTCTCTCTTTTCTTCTTTATTAGTCTAGCTAGTGTTCTATTTTGTTCATTTTTTTTTCAAAAAAAAAAAAACTCCTGAATTCATTGATTTTTTTTTGAAGAATTTTTTGTATCTCTATCTCCTTCAGTTCTGCTCTAATCTTAGTTATTTCTTGTCTTCTGATAGCTTTTGAATTTGTTTGCTCTTGCTTCTCTAGCTCTTTTAATTGTGATTTTGGGGTGTTGATTTGAGATCTTTCTAGCTTTCTGATGTGGGCATTCAGATTTCCCTTTTAACACTGATTTAGCTGTGTCCCAGAGATTCTGGTACATTGTCTCTTTGTTCTCATTGGTTTCAAAGAACTTCTTGACTTCTGCCTTAATTTCATTGTTAACCCAGGAGTCTTTCAGGGGCAGGTTGTTCAATTTCCATGTATTTGTCTGGTTTTGAGTAAGTTTCTTAATCCTGAGTGCTAATTTGATTGCACTGTGGTCTGAGAGATTGTTATGATTTCAGTTCTTTTGCATTTGCTGAGGAGTGTTTTACTTCCAATTATGTGCTCGATTTTAGAATGAGTGTCATGTGACACTGAGAAAAATGTATATTCTGTTGATTTGGGGTGGAGAGTTCTGTAGATATCTATTAGGCACTTGATCCATAGCTGACTTCAAGACTTTAATATCCTTTTTAATTTTCTGTCTCATTGATCTGTTTAATATTGACTGTGGGTTGTTAACATCTCCCACTATTATTATGTGGGAGTCTAAGTCTCTTTATAGGCCTCTAAGAACTTGATTTATGAATCTAGGTGCTCTTATATTGGGTGCATATTTATTTAGAATAGTTAGCTCTTCTTGTTGAATTAATCTCTTAGCCATTATGTGATGCCCTCCTTTTCTTTTTTGATCTTTGTTGGCTTAAAGTCTGTTTTGTCAGAGGGTAGGATTGCAACCCCCGCCTTTTTTTTGCTTTCCATTTGCTTGGTGAATTTTCCTCCATCCCTTTATGTCAAGCCTAGGTGTGTCTTTGCACATGAGATAAGCCTCCTGAATACAGCACACCGATGGGTCTTGACTTTTTATCCAATTTGTCAGTCTGTGTCTTTTACTTGGGGCATTTAGCCCATTTACATTTAAGGTTAATATTGTTATGTGTAAATTTGATCCTGTCATCATGATGCTATCTGGTGTTTTGCATACTAGTTGATGGAGTTTCTTCATAGTGTCATTGGTCTTTATATTTTAGTGTGTTTTTGCAGTGGCTTGTATTGGTTTTTCCTTTTTCCTATTTAGTTCTTCCTTCAGGAGCTCTTGCAAGGCAACCCTGGTGGTGATGAATTCCCTCAGCATTCGCTTGTCTAGAAAAGATTTTATTTCTTTTTCACTTGTGAAGCTTAGTTTGTCTGGATATGAAATTCTGGGTTGAAAATTATTTTCTTTAAAAATGCGGAATATTGGCCCTCACTCTTTTCTGGCTTATAGGGTTTCTGCTGAGAGCTCTGCTGTTATTCTGATGGTATTCTTTTTGTAGGTGACCTGGCCTTTCTCTCTGCCTGTCCTTAATATTTTTTCCCTCATTTCAACTTTTAAGAATTTGATGATTATGTGTCTTGAGGTTGATCTTCTCATGAGTTATCTTAGTGGGGTTCTATGTATTTCCTGAATTTGAATGTTGTCCTGTCTTGTTAGGTTGGGGAAGTTCTCCTAGATAATATCCTGAAGTGTGTTTTCCAACTTGGTTCCATTCTCCTGGTCTCTTTCAGGTACTCTAATCAATCATAGGTACGGTCTTTTTACATAGTCCCATATTTCTCAGAGTTTTGATCATTCTTCTGCATTCTTTTTTTCTCTAATCTAGCAGGAAGAAAGACTAAGTCGGCTTATCTGCAGAGACTGTGGCTATCACTACCCCTAGGGGCTCAGGCTCAGGCAGATCAGAGTTCTGTCCTAAGCCCCTGGCTGGAGTTGTTGGAGTTCCTGCAGGGAGGCCCCACTCAGTGAGGAGGGATGGGTCAAGGTCAGGCCTGAAGAGTCACTCTGTCCTCAGTCCACCACAGCTCAGGTGTGTTGGGCTGTGGAGGATACCTCTTGGGACCAAGCCGTCCAGCCTCCCTGGCTCCAGCAGGGGAAAAGTGCAGCCTGGAGCTATAGAGATGGCTGCCACCCTGGGAGCTTAGTATGTTAGGCGGCTATCAGTCCCAGTGTTGGCTGCTGAGGATCTCAAAAGGCTTAGATCTCAAAGGGCTTAGAGAGCTGGCAGCTGCAACTCTGGTGCTGGTCACCCCTCCCTCCAAGAGCTCAGCAGGCTTAAGCTTAGTGGCTGTTGAGAATCTGCAGGGCTCCACAGTTGGGACCCTAGGCCCCAGTTGCATGGACTCACCAGTGGGCTCTTCCGATCTGTGAATTTCACAGTTCCTTGGAAAGAGCACATTTTCCAAGGCTGAGTAACATACTCACTCCCTGCCTCCTTTGGCTGAGGGCTGCCCTGCCCCATGTGGCTCTCAGGTGGGCTCCCACACAACAGTCCTCTTCCTTCCTCTTTGTGGGTCACTCCAGCCATCTAGTCAGTTCTGATGATAGAAGCTGAATACCTCAGTTGCTGGTGCAAGTTTCACATGTGGTTACAGTTCTTTTCAATGGAAACCTCCTATTCCCACTACTTCTAGTTGGCCATCTTGGCCCTGCCTGCCAATGTTTTGGTTTCTAACATACTATCTTTTCTGTTTTTTCATACTATCTTAATTAATAGGGCCAATGATTAATCAGATGCTACTGGTTAAAGCTGGGGAACTGTCTGTTGTATTGCAGAGAGTGTATGCTTTGTAATAAGTGAGATCTGGGTTTGATTTTCAGTTCCGAAGATTTTTAACATATATCTTAGAATTGGCTTTCTATCTGCCTGAATCTCAATTTCTTTATAAGTAAAATAGATTGGGGAGGTGGGGAGTACCGCACTTCAGGGTTATTGGAAAGATTAAATGCAAAGTACAGAGAATAGTGTTTTACATGCTATATGTTAAGGATATCTATGATATCATGAATGATTACAACATGAATGATTACAGCATTTGAGAAACCTAAATATCTATTCCAAAGATATGGAAAGCTGACCAAAGATATATCCAGTTTTCCAGAGACTTTTGCAAATGCAATTTTTACTACTTAAAATATTTGTTCATCAATTATAATAAGGAATAATAATTTTGCATTTAACAACTGTGTAGATAATGAAGATAGAGTTGTCATTTATAATGCAGGGCAGTTTGTGACCTTGGGTGCTTTGTCTATAGAAGCAATTATTTATGTACATTAAAAAAATTAAAGCATAACAATTTGACATTAAGTACAATATCAGCATTCTCAAAGTTGACCTAACAGTAATGTTAAAAAATACAAATTACCTCTATGAATATTTTAATATGCGTTTCCTGAAAACCTGAAGAACCTTAATCTTTTGAGAATATCTAGTAAGGGAGCTATTTTATCCACCTAAGATTGTTTAAAATAAACTTTTTTATTAGTTTAAAATAAAAATAAATAAATAAATATGATACCATATTCTTAAATGATGCTCCTTCTCCAAAATGAATATAAGGGACATGAATAAAGAATATGTGAAGTTTATGTGTGTACGTGATGATAGCAAGCTTTTACTCGTTAGCATATGTCAGTTTTAATATAAAATATGTGATAAGGAGTAACATTTTCCAGTCAACACTAGTTTATCTAAAGCTTTATGTTAGTCCTGGAACTGTAACTGTTTTCATTTTAAAAGTAAAGAAACTAAGATTCAAATAAATTAGGTAACTTTTCCTTGATCACTCTGGAGGTAAATAGAAAAACTTGAGTTAAACACTACAGGCTTGACTTCACAGTTGTTGTTTCTTCCACAGTATGTTACAGAGTTGATGACACCATTGTTTTATATTAATCATAGAATATTTTTTAAAAGTACTTTAAGTTACAACTTAATAAAAACAATTTTGTGAATTAATGCTGAAAAGAAAGGTTTTTGTAAAAATATGCTTAGAGAGATTTCATTAATCATGTTAAGCAGAGTGGGTCGATTTTGATATTGAAAATTATTTCTTCGTTAGTATGTATTTTGATTTCCTAGTTAACATATGTTTGAATAAAGATATGTTACAACGTAGCTTTTTGAAAATAATATTTATCTTAATAATTTAAGGATACAAGTGGTTTTTGTTTACAAGAATGAATTGTGTAGTGGGGAAGTCTGGGCTTTTAGTGTACTTGTCATCTAAATAGTGCATGTTGTAAACAATGGTAATTTTTCATTCCTCACACCCCCATACATAATCTCCAATGTCCATAATACCACATTATATGCCTTTGCATACTCCTAGTTTAACTCTTACTTATAAGTGATAATATGTGGTATTTGGTTTTCCATTCACTTTATTTCACTTGGAATAATGGCCTTCAATTCTGTCCAAGTTGCTGCAAAAGAGATTATTTCATTCTCTTTTTATGGCTAAGTGGTATTCCATAGCACATATAAACCTTATATTCTTTTTCTACTCATCAGTTGATGGGCACTTAGGTTGATTCCATAGCTTTACAATTGTGAATTGTGCTGTGATAAAAATGCATGTGCAAGTGTCTTTTGATATAATTATTTATTTTCATTTGGATAGATGCTTAGTAGTGAGATTGCTGGATAGAATGGTAGGTCTACTTTTAGTTCTTTGAGAAATAGCCATACTGTTTTCTATAGAGGTCATATGAATTTACATTTGTACCAGCAGTGTAGAAGAATTTCATTTTCACCACATTTGTGCTAACATCTATTGCTTTTTGTTTGTTTGTTTGTTTGTTTGTCTGTTTGTTTGAGACAGGATCTCACTTCGTCACACAGGGTGGAGTGCAGAGACATGATATTGGCTCACTGAAGCCTTGACTTCCTGGGCTCAGGTAACTCTCCCACCTCAGCCCCCCAAGTAGCTGGGATAAGAGGCATGCCACCACACCTGGCTAATTTTTGTATTTTTTCTAGAGACGGGGTTCTGCCATGTTACCCGGGCTCAAACTCCTGAGCTCAAGCAATCTGCCTGCCTAAGCCTCCCGAGGTGCTGGAATTATATGTATAAGTCACTGTGCACAGTCTATTTTATTTTTGACTTCTTAATAATGGCCATTCTGATTCTGACGAGGTGGTATCTCATTGTGTTTCAATTTGCACTTCTCTGATGATTAGTAATGTTCAACATTTTTTATATGCTTTTTGACCATTTGTATATCTTCTTTTGAGAAATGTCTATTCATGTTGTTTCTCATTTTTTAAATGAGATCTTTTTTTTCTTGCTAATTTGCTTGAGTTCCTTGTAGATTTAGTCCATTGGAGGTATATTTTGCAAATATTGTCTGCTATTCTGTAGGTTGTCTATTTACTCTCTTGATTATTTCTTTTGTTTTTCAGAAGCTCTTTAATTTAGGTAGGTCCCATTTATTTACCTTTGTTTTTGTTGTATTTTCTTTGGGAGTTACAGTCATAAATTCTTGGCCTAAGCCAATGTCTGGCCTAAGCCAATGTCAGCAAGTGTTTTCCCTAGGTTTTCTTCTAAAACTTTTATGGTTTCAGGTCTTAGATTTAAGTGTTTAATCCAGTTTCAATTGATTTTTTTATATAGTGAGAGATATGGATCCAGTTTTATTCTTCTACACATGGCTATCCAATTTTCCCAGAACCATTTATTAAATAGGGTATCCATCCTCTAGCATATTCTTGTGTTTAGTTTGTTGAAGATCAGTTGGTTGTATGTATTTGGCTGTATTTTTCTATTATCTTCTATTGGTCTATGTGTCTACTTTTTACCAGTACCATGCTGTTTTGATTAATATAGCCTTGTAGTATAATTTGAAGTTTGGTAGTGTGATCCTTCCAGATTGGTTCTTTTTGCTTAGGATTGCTTTGGCTGTTAGGGCTCTTTTTTGGTTTCATATGAATTTTAGGATTATTTTTTCTAATTCTATGGAAAATGATGTTAGTATTTCTATAGGAATAACATAGAATCTGTAGATTGCTTTGGGCAATATGTTTGTTTTTAAAATATTGATTCTTCTAATCCATGAGCATAGAAATTTTTTTTTGTTTATGCCATCTGTGATTTCTTTTTGTGGTGTTTTATAGTATTCCTTGTAGAAATCTTTCACCTTCTTGGTTAATTATATTTCTAGATATTTTAAATGTTTTGTCACTATTGTCAATGTGTTCAAGCTCTTGATTTAATTCTCAGTGTGATCTTGATTTGATTCTCAGTCTATGGCAATGCTACTGATTTGTATACATTGATTTGGTAACCTGAGGCTTTACTGACTTTATTTATCAAATCTAGGAGACTTTTGGAAGAGTATTTAGGGTTTTCTAGGTGTAATATTATATTATAGTTAGAGATAGTTTGACTTTCTCTTTTCTAATTTAGATGTCCTTTGTTTCTTTCTCTTACCTGATTTCTCTGGCTAGGACTTCCAGTACTATGTAGAATAGAAGTGGTAAAAGTGAACATCCTCATTTTGCTCCAGTTCTTAGTGGAAATGCTTTTAACTTTTCATTGTTTAGTATGATGTTGGCTGTGAGTTTATCATATATGGCTTTTATTATTTTGAGGTATCTTTCTTCTATGCCTAAATTGTTAAGGGATTTTATCATAAAGGGATGCTGGATTTTATTGAATGTTTTTTATTTGTCTATTGAGGTTATCACAAATAGTCAACAAAATGCTATCAAACCAAATCCAACAGCACATTATAAAGACGATTTCCCATGATTAAGTGAGTTTCATCAAAGGCATGCAGGGAAGGTTCAACATACACAAGTCAATAAATACGATTCACATAAGTAGTATTCAGTACAACATAGTTTTGATGAGAAATATACTACTAACTTGAAGTAAATTTAGAAGCCCGTATAGAAATATTTTTCATTTTCCCACTTGCTTCTACTGTCATATTCATATTCGATTGGAAGCCTGTTAAAGACAACGTTTGTGCCTCCAAAATTTATTTGTTCTGGCCTCATTCCCCAATGTAATGGCATTAGGAAGTGCAGCATTTGGGAGCTAATCAGATTCAGATAAAGTCATGAGAGTGAAACCCTCATGATGGGTTTGGTATTCTTACATGAAAAAGAGACATCAGAGATTCCTCTCTTTGACTTGTGAGGCTACAGCAAGTCATCAGAAATCCAGGAATTGAGTCCTCACCAAAACCAAGTCTGTTAGCATTTTGATCTTCAGCTTCCCAGACACCAAAACTAAGATACATATATGTTGCTTAAGCCATCCTGTCTATGATATTTTGTTATAGCATTCCCAACTAACTGAGTCAGAAGTCTACTTTTAAAGTCATGTAGGTGAGTAACATTAAAATGCTTGCGGAAGAATAGAATTAAAAGATAAAGATATATACATTTTATTTTTCAACATAAGGTCCGTCAAAATCAAGAAACTTTATATAAGTCATTTACAGTCTATTTAGTCTATCCCTAAAGAACTCAGTGGCCTGGGAATTAAACTATGCCAATGTGGTCACTTCTGCATTATTAATTGAAGAAAAATAGGTTTATAGATGTTTTAAGTTTAGGAAACAAAAATCAATCAGAATGAGCCAAATCAGTACTATAAAGTGAATGCTTAATGATTTTTATATAAACTCTGGAAAAATTACTCCTGATTGATAAAAAGAATGAGCAGGATCATTGTCATGGTAAAGAAGGACTCTCTGATGAAGCTTTCCCAGCATTTTTCTACTAAAGTTTTGGCTTTCTCAAAACACTCTGATAATAAACAGATATTATCACTCTTTGGGCCTTCAGGAAGTCAAAAGACAAAGTTGGGCATCCAAAAAAAACTATTGCCATGACTTTTGCTCTTGACCAGTCTACTTCTGTTTTGAATGGGCCACTTCCACCTCTTTGTAAATTTTTCTTGAAAGACGTTCATTTTAACATGCACGTAAGAAGGATCACTTTGAAGAATGTTTGGGTTAATATTTTCTCCTTTTTATTTTCAATAATGCTTATTTTTATCAAAGTCTTATACAGCGCTAGATGTGTTTACTGAATGGGACATACATCAAGCACTAACACCAGAAACGTTTCTTCTACTTACCATATACAAACTCTACAGTTACTAGATACAAACTCTATAGTTAGTTTTGAACATAGACAAAAGTTCCAACATAATGTTGTTAAATGTTTGAGTTTGTTTACATGAGGCAATAAATTAATTGTTAATTCCACAAAATGGTCAGCTTTTGTTTGTCAGAAATGAGCGTTTCATTTCTTTTCTGTACCTCTGTTCTGAAAACCTCACAAAGTGTTGAATGATTTAGACCTCCTCGTGTCTGAGGCTGTCATATATTACCCAGTGTTTCTTTTTTTTTTTCAGTTGCAAACTCACAGTGCAACCAATAGTATCATTAATGCTAAGATGATTAAATGGAAATCTATCCAAATCTAACAAATATATTTCAATTATGAACAAATAATTCCAACAGTGTATACTAGAGTTATGGGACAACATGTGAGTTGCTATGAAGGTAGAATGTATGTGTCTGGATGTGCTGTTTAGTGAAGTCACTATTAAGGAGCTGGTCTTTGGAATAATTCTTCAAAACTAAGCCTTTATCATCAGAAAATGAAGTTATCACAGGCATTCTAGTCATAGACTTTTGATAGAATAATGTGGGCTGTTTTTAGTATAAGTTGTGTGTAAAATAGGTACAAAGTTGGCAAAAAAATTTTTTTTGAAGAACAATTACTTCATTGTAACTGGCTAAATAGTAAAAAAATGATCTGCTCATTGAAATATGCTTAGACATAATTGGTATCATTTCCAGGACACAAAATAAAATAAGAAAAGCTCAATACATTTAAAACATCAGATTCCCTTTGATATACAAAGTAAGTAACCCAGAGGCATAACTTTTCTGTCCGACCTATACACCCCAAGAGACACTATTCCTCTGCCTTAATCATCCCAGGGCCAGGTACAAGGCAACTGGAGACAATCCCTGTAACGCAAAGCCCACTGAAATTAATCATTTAATTAGTCATTTAGCCAATCCTAAGCTGTTTATCCTGCCCTACATTTTTTTTTTTTCCTAGAAAACACCAATAAAGGCCCTATAGCCTCGGGCTTTCCTTTTGTTTTCTTCTACCACCTGACCCAAATCTTGTGCTTCCAAAAATGCTCTGCATCACATGCTGTGGCCCCTTCTCTGTGACCTGTGAGTATAATACATAATTCTTTTGGCCTTTTCTTTAGGGAATTATTTAAAGTACAGTTTGAAGTTTTCTTCTTCCAGAAACAATCTGTAGTTAGTCCTACCAGTCATTTGATACACTGCTAACCTGGGAGTCTGTTAAATTAAATTTTATCCATGAGGTGTTTTTGACCATGTGGTAGTATGGATTTACACCACAAAATTAAGGGAGGGCTGGCTTAGTTATAAATTGTCCTGGAAGAAGCTCCAGCACCATTCCACAGAGCCACTGAAATGATAATTTATTTTTATCATTATATTTTGAATTTTTTCGCTAACCTTTTTACATAAGGTATAGCCTATTGAATCCCAAAGTCTGAGTCATTTTGAATTAGATATCTAAAGTTGATTGATCCCTACATTTTTCCTTCCATCTTCTGCACCCTATGGAATCGTGAAAATACAAGATCAACAAATCCAGGGTTTTTCATGAATTATCAAAATAAAAACTGGCTTTTGTGTCCTGTTGTCTCCCTAACTTCACTTTGTTTTTAAACTCTTGTAATTTTATTTATCCTGCAAATTTTAGATTCATATTTATTTCAGACTAGCTAATAAAATATATTGTTGGAGATTGAAATATGCATTTCAAATAATTATGACCTTAAATAGTTAATGACTTTATCTGGTGTGTATTTGTTTATGACTTCTAATTTGAAGGGAGAATTATAGCTGTTTATCAGTATATAATCTTATGCTATGTAATCCTTTATACTTTGAACAGAAAGTATCCTGCGTATATAAGTGCAATGTGCTTTAATGTGTTTTCTTTATTTGCTTTATTTTAATATTCTCTTACTTCCTCTATGTCAACATTTCTTAAGCATTTTGCTTTTCACAAATATTCCAGAGCTGTTTCATTTTACTAGTAGTATCAGAAATAAAGAATAGAAACTTCTTATCAGAATTTAATCTTCTCTATTATCGAAGAAGTATAGAAATCCAGAAGATCTATGATATTCCATTTGGTCAGTTTCAGGCTTATACAGCCATGTTGTTCTGCTATATTGGGCTTTCATCTTCAGAAACGTGATTGGTCCCAAAATTACTGTTGGAGCTCTAGCAATTATATTTACATTCAACCAGTAGGAAATAAGAAAACAACTTCCAATGCTCCTTTTATTTAAAGCCATTCTCCAGAAATTATACATAGATCTAATTACATTCCTTTGACAAACTTTAGTAACATGACCACACCAAGCTGTAAGTCAGTCAGAAGTATTTAATCATATAATCTGCTAAATCTGCTGATTGACAACCACAGCTTATAATGATATAATCTGGGAAACAGAAGCCATTGGATTTTCAACCTGTCACAGTTCCAAATTGCATGATATTTAGCCACTGAGTGTGCCTCCTTTAGCAGAAAGCTACATCCCCACTTCAAGACTGAGTGTCTAATCTTGGCTAAGTACCTCTCTCTTGAAGGACTCTAATAGAAGTAGCAAGAAATGGACAACTGAGACCAACACTGTTAATTTTCCACTATTCCCTCTACTGCTGCCTTTTACTGTATCTGAAAATGTGAGGATATAGCTTCCATTATATAACAGACATCATCAGATTGTCAGCCTGCAATACGTGCATACTCGATTCTTGCCGCCCATCTGCTCCTATTATTCCAATGTTAACATATTTTTGGCTCTTTTATGTTCAGCATTCTACTTCTAACTTCCAAATTTGTATTCATTAGGATTATAGTAAACTGAGAGTTTCAAAACATAAAAACGAACTAGAGTTTAAACAAAATAAACGTTTATTTTTCTGTGATATTGCAAAAGGTCGGAAATAGGCATGCTAGCAGTGATATGTCACTCCAAATCTATAGGGACACGGACTCCTTTAATCTTGTTTTTACTCATGGTAAAGTTTCTATTCTGAAGGTCACACTAGGGGCCAAAATGGCTGGTAGATCTGTATCCAGAACATCCACACTCTAATTGGAAGGAGGAAGAAAGCATGTCTTACAGTGTTAAGGTTACTGCCAGGAATTCAGAGACACTGCATCTGCTTACATGTGTGGGAAGAAGAGTTAAGAATCCAATATGCATTTAAAGAAAGAAAGAAGGCAAGTGACGTGTTTTAATATCCTTTTATATATGTCAATCACAGACTTCCTGGCCAAAAAACAAACAAACAAAAAAACTAATGATATTGGATAGCAGCAAAGTCTGTATGCCTTGGACACTTTCAGAGGGAAGTACTTGGCAGGCCGTTTAGGACTGTTTGTAGGAAACAAAAATAAAATATGTGGATATATGGACAATGGCTCCCTGGAAAATGTCACTAAAGCTCTATCACTATCTTAACATAAAATGGAAGTGTTTCATAACTGATATGACTCTCTCTTGTGTAAGTACTGTGGTTACACATATCAGTTAGATGCCTTATATGTAAGTCATGACCAAGCATGTCTAATGTAGTGAGAAGGAGCCCAGTAACCACATTAAAAGTCCTGTATCACTCTTTTTAAAGTGCCATGAGATTACTTGTGTAACTGAAATTAATAGTAAAGTTTAATGCAGGGTAAGATCTCTGATTTGTCTGGGACTAATTTGGCAAACCAGTGTTTCATAACATTCCATTCACTTGGCCAGTACTTACACATGGATGCAAATTAGGCTAAAGCATACTTTTATTCTGAGGGATCATGTATCCAGTTAAATATCAGGGATTCTGATTTACCTTTTAAAAAGGTACATTATTAATATTGAGGGACAATTAGGAGTCTCTGTAATTCACTTCCAAGTATGTATCTCATACAAACTCATAAATATGCATCAAAAGACAGGTACAAAAATATTCACATATTGGAATTGATAACATACTGGGTATGCCAAACGGTTGTGAAAATGGTTGCCTTTGTTCCTTTCTCTCCTCTCTTGCAAAGTTCCATCAACAGCAGCCTTAGAGGTAGAGAGAGCAAAACCTGATCCACAGCCCTAGAATCACTGGAATCAGAGATGTCAGAAGATCTTTCCAGAAGGATTTACTCTGGCCAGAGCAGCTCTATTTCTTAGTTATCTTCAAGAACCTAAATATCTCCAGAAAATGCCATCTTACTCTTGTTTCAGGGTTTTTCACACCTGGTTGTTACGTTTGATCCCTTGGTGCCAACTGTCTCCTCCCAGCTTATAGCACAGTCCTCAACTTCACTCACATCATGATGAAGTATATGAATGGACACTGAAACTCAGGATCACAGTAGGCTGGGAAGGGCAGTAAGCATGCATTCACAATGCCAAGGCTGTCTTCCAAAAACCATTCCCTCTCTCCATCATTTTAAAAATAAAAGTATAGCATACATAATATGGTCCTGTCTTCATAAAAGCTTTCTGTTAGTCTATCCAAATAAATGTATAAAATATACCTGGCTGACAATGACATCTACTCTTATTTTTGAGAGTTAGAATTAAGGCAGATTTTAAAAACTTATTCTGTAAGTTCCTGACATTGTCTTAATTATTAAAATAATCACATAACTTAAAAAGTAACATTTTTTTCCAAGTACCTTAAAAAATAAAAGTATATTTTCTCAAAAAACACAGATTTAAGATAATTCTCTTGTAGATAACCTTAAACCCATACGTACAAGATATGGAGATACAATAGTTCACCTTATAATTTCTTAGAAATTTGACAGAATTAAACATTATTTTCAAAGATTTTATGTTAAAACACTCTATCTTATGTACATCATGCATTTCTATGCAAATAACTCATCAGCAAAATGAACTGCATTTCAAATTAAGCATAGCATGAACCTCTCTTGTAAAAAAAACACTTTTATATAAAAAAGTTAAAATCTAATGCTGCTAAAATAAGTTTCTGTTTAACTCACAATATGTCTAAAGTCAAAGCAATCCATATTATCTACTAAATCAGTTTTTTCCATTCAGCATGAACCTTCATAATCACTTTATAATATATACTTTTTGAAGGAGGTAAATTTTTTGTTAATTAACTACAGATTCTATATGCCTGAAAGATCAAGGGCTTATTGACATTTGCACCTATATAAAAAAACAACTTTTTTTCTTTTATAAACTGTATATGCTCTTCATGCTTAATCAGTGCACATATAAAACGGCATGAAGTATCTAATTCTCTGCACACAATTTTCAGTAGCTAAGGTGAATTGGCTGTCCTGTTTCTTTGACTCAAATTAATAACTAAGAAAGTTCTTCAAAATAAAATATGTTTAGTTATCTTTAATCAAGTGAATAAATTGACTAATAAGAAGCGCCCAGTGATCACTCTCTGGAGAAATACATTAATTCATGTATACACTTGAGCCTTTCACCTAGAGAGAGGCCATTTATACTAGCTGCACTGACTGCCATGTTAAGTGCATTTTGGGCTGGGTAAACATTCAACTTGCTTCATGAAATGATGGTTTAGGTCCCTGGATAACTGTTAAGATTGCAAACACCATATGAGTATGTGAGAGACTTTCTATTTTAAAGCAAAATAAGCAGGTTATGAAATGCTTAGCATTTTTTTCTAGTTCAGGATGTGAGTTTATTGACATGAAGTTTTCTTTTCAAAAGCAACAGACATAATATAAAAAAATACATTTTATTATATTCCTTTTGATTTAAGCATTTTATAATTTACAACAATATGCATAATAAAATCTAAACAAAGAGTTTTAGACAGGCAATCATGTAATGTGTCAGAGTTAGACTACAGAAAATTCTCTATAAAAGGGAAAAAAGATGTTTTACTGTTTTTGATTATTTGTCATAATATAACAATTTTATAAAAGTGGTGCATTCAAACTTAAAAGCTGTAAGATTCAAATCCATTCAAATTAAACAAAGAGAAAAGAATATAAATCTTGAACAAAGTACTTAGATGTGTGTTAAAACCACAATGCCCTAGGGACAACTCAAATGAAAAACATAACACTGTACTTCTCAGTGCTACATCTCAAGTCACAGCCACAGGCTGCATATAGGATAAGTTTTGCTCTCATTCTACAATCTACTTAATAATCCAACACTTAGTCTTTGCACTTTCTAAACAATACATTCCACAGGATCTTGGGATGTGAAAGCCATATATTTCCATCTTTCCACAAGACTGTGAGGCAGGCTTGAGGCACATTTTTTGCATTTTTAAAGTTGATAAGAAAAAAAAGACAATTTATATTTGTATTTTTTATGAAAAATTCCTATTTTTCACAAATAGGAAAAATGAGTTGTAATCGTGGAACCTAACTTACTTAGGTTCATGCAAGTGGTATGGCACAAGAATATTCAGCTTTAAAGTTTGTGCCCTTATAACCAATTACAAGTGGAACTGAACAATATGTGAGTGTAATTAGTATGCCATGACTACATATGTCCATACTGGGACACACTGTTTCCGTTATCTCTGTATCAGACAGAGGTTTTATTTCATATGAACCCAAGATATGAGTCTTTTAATTTCAGAAGTTGAAATAGAGGACAAATTTTATATTATTCACATTGAGGTAATATTTACACTCTAAGAACAGCTGAGAAGATTGAGAGAGAGTATGTGAATACAGAAAAGAAAGGAGCATAAAGTATAACCTTAGTAAATGTCCATGTATGAAGGTAACAGAATGAGAGTTGTAAATATCCAAGTTAGAAGAAAATCAAAGGAGAAAACTAGGTGCCACAGAACCAAATCAAGGAAAATTGAAGCATTAAAAATTCATTAATGATGAAAAAAGAGAGGTCAACAATGAGAAAGAATGATTGGCAATGAAAAGAAGAGTATAGATTCCTCAAGATGAGGATACAGAGCAAGTACAGAGCCAAGCAGAAATTCTTCTGGACAGCAGAGAAACAAGGGATAATATGATACAATTTACTCACATTTGCTATTTGCAAAAAATATCCCAGGTAGAAAATGTGATGGAAATAATGATGAAAAGTGTCTTAGGGTAGATCTATCTAATAGGAAATGATGCCAATCATTAATTTAAGAGACAATGAAGATCTAAATAAAACAATGTGTGTAAAATAGGAAAGCTTGATGTTATGAAATAAATCAGATTTCTGGATAGGAGACTTAGTTTTGTTGTTTACTAAATAATATCTCAAATTTTGAAATTAAGAGACATGGCTCTTTCCTCCCATCTAATTCTCAAAAATTGATGTAAATACTGCTACAACAATAGTTATGCACGTTAGTAGCATGATAACCTTGTAGACTTAAAAATTAACTTATATGGATAGCACAATTAAGGTTCTAAAGCAAATATGTGAGGATAGATATATAAAAAATAGGTGATATGGAAGAGAAGAAACTTATGCTTGGTTCATTCCTGTATTTAAAAACTGTTTATATGCATATGTATATACTTTTTCAATTTATACAAATTTAATCTCTACTGTAACACCTGTAACTCAATGGGAGCAGAAGTAGACCTAAAGTGAGATAAACAATACAGTAAAAGTCTCATAGCAGAATACAACTAAATTTCTCCCTCCTCTGTCACTTTCAGCTTTGATTATAGTTATACATGAGGCAGTAATGCTATTATTCCACTCAAATTAAGATCCATATCCTTTTATTGGATGAAATATTTTCAATCTGGTTAAAGTAAATAGGTCAATAAACATAAGATTCACAACTTTAGCAGGTATAAAAAAGCAGAAATTGAAATCACGTTCGGATACCATTACACATACATCAGAACCACTGAAATTGAAAGTTCTGGCAATGCCAAGTGCAGACAAGTGGTGCAACCTGGGAGCTTTCCTACAGAGAGAAAGAGGGAATGCAAATTGGCATATCCAATGTGGAAGACTTTTTTGGCAGCATCTCCTAACACTGAATACATGAACCCAGTAATTTTATTTCTAGTTATATACCCAATAGAAATGTGTGCATATGTTCAGTTAAGAAATATTTAAGAATGTTCATAGAAGTAACATTTATAATTGCCCCAAACTAAAAACTACCTGAATGCTTATAAGCAGGAGAATAAATAATTGAACTGTGTTATATTCATCCAAAGGGTGATGCAAAGTAATGGTAATGAGTGGACTGCAAATATGTGCAACAAAACAAATTAATTTCAGAAGCTAATGTTGAGCTAAATAAGCTAGTGACAAAAATGCAGCTATTGCATCTCTCTCTCTCTGTGAGACACACAGAGAGAGAAAGAGTTAATTTAAGAACAATGCAAGCAAATGGTTGCCTTCGGTGTGATGTAAATGGAAGAATGCTGGTATGATTTGGATCTGTATCTCCACCCAAATCTCATGATGAAATGTACTTCCCAATGCTGGAGGTGGGGCCTGGTGGGAGGTGATTGAATCATGGGGTCATGAAAACTTCTCTGGCAGTGTAAAATGAGCCTGCTTTCCCTTCGCATTCTGCCATGATTGTAAGTTTCCTGAAGCCTCCCCAGAAGCCAAGCAGATGCGAGTATCATGCTTCCTATACAGCCTGCAGAACTGTGATCCAATTAAAACCACTTTACCTTTTTTTTTTTTTTTTTTTTTTTTTGAATCGGAGTCTCACTCTATCGCCCAGACTGGAGTGCAATGGTGCGATCTCAGCTCACTGCAACCACTGCTTCCTGGGTTCAAGCAATTCTCCTGCCTCAGCCTCCCAAGTAGCTGAGATTACAGGTGCACACCACCACGCCCAGCTAATTTTTGTATTTTTAGTAGAGATGGGGTTTCACCATGTTGACCAGGATTGTCTTGATCTCTTGACCTCGTGATCCACCTGCCTCAGCCTCCCAAAGAAACCCACTTTTTTTTTTAAATTATCTAGTCTCAGTTATTTCTTTATAGCAATGTGCATTCTAATACAGAAAATTGGTACTGAGGGGTAGGGCATTGCTATAAAGATACATGAAAATATGGAAGTGACTTTGGAACAAGGTAACAAGCAGAGGCTGGAGGAGTTTGGAGAGCTCAGAGAACAGGAAAATGAGGGCAAACTTTGATCTTCCTAGAGATTTGTTAAATTGCTTGACCAAAATGCTGATAGTAATATGGACAATGAAGTGCAGGCTGAGAAGGTCTCAGATGGAAATAAGGAACTTAGTGGGAACTGGAGCAAAGGTCACTTTTGTTATTTATTAGCAAAGAGACTGGCTGCAGTGGCCCTGCTCTAGGGAATGTGTAGAACTTTTGACTTGAGAATGATAATTTAAGGTATCCAGAGGAAAAAATTTCTAAGATGCAAAATGTTCAAGGACTGCTTCTAACAACCTATGCTCATATGTATGAACATAGAAATGAACTGAAACTGGAATTTATATTTAAAAGGGAACCAAAGCATAAAGCTTTGGAAAATGTGCAACCTGGCAATGTAGTAGAAAAGAAAAACCCATTTTCAAGGGAGGAACTCAAGCAGGCTGCAGACATTTGCATAACTAAAAGAAAGGCAAGTGCTGATAACCAAGACAATAGGAAAAAGACCTTAAAGGCATTTCAGAGACCTTTGCAGCAGCCCCTTTAATCAATAGGCCCAGAAGCCTAGGAGAGAAGAATGGTGTTTTGTGGGCCAGGCCCTGGGCCCCACCACTCTGTGCAGCCTAAAGACACTGCTCCCTGCAGCCCAGCCGCTCCAGGTCCAGCTGAGGTTAAAAGGGGCCCAGGTACAACTCAGGCCACTGCTTTAGCGAGTATAAGCCATAAGCCTTGGTGGCATCCATGTGGTGTTAATCCTGTGGGTGCACAGAGTGCAAGAGTTGAGGCTTGGGTGCCTGCACTTAGATTTTAGAGGACATATGCAAAAGCTTGGGTGTCCAGGCAGAAGCCGGCTGAAGGGGCAGAGCCCTCGTGGAGAACCTCTAAAAGGCAGCATGGAGGGAAAATGTGGAGTTGGAGCCCCCACACAGAGTCCCCACTGGGCCATGGACTAGTGGAGCTGTGAGAAGAGGGCCACTGTCCTCCAGACCCCAGAATGATGGATCTTCTGACAGTTTGCACCCATGTGTCTGGAAAAGCCACAGGAACTCAATGTCATCCCTTGAGAGAAGCCATGAAGGCTGAGCGCTGCAGAGCCATAAAGAGTGAGCTGCCCAGAGATTTGGAAGCCTACTCATTGCATCGATATGACGTGGGTTTGGGGCATGATGTCAAAAGAGATGACTTTGACTTTTAACATTAAATGACTACCTTACTGGATTTCAGGCTTGCATGAGTGCTCTAGCCTCTTTCTTTTGACCAATTTCTCTCTTTCGGAAGGTTCTTACTTACCCAGTGCCTGTATCCCCTTGTATCTTGGAAGTAACTAACTTTTTTATTTATTTATTTATTTTTATTTTTTTTAAATTTTACAGGCTCATAGGCAGAAGGGACTATCCTTGTCTCAGATGAGACTTTTGACTATGGACTTGAGAGTTAATGTTATAATGAGGTAAGATTTTGGGGGACTATTAAGAAGGCACGATTGTATTTCAAAATGTGAGAAAGGAGATTTGGGAGAGAACAGGGGCTGAATAATATGGTTTGGATCTGAGTCCCAACCCAAATCTCATGTTGAAATGTAATCCCCAATGCTGGAAGTGGGGCCTGGTGGGAGGTGATTGGATCATGGTGGTTTCTTATGGTTTAGCGCCATCCCTCTAGTGCTATTCTTGTGACAGTTATCATGAGATCCGGTTGTTTAAAAGTGTGTAGCACCTCCCCACTCCATCTCTTTCTCCTGCTTTGGCCATGTAAGAGGAGCCTGCTTCCCCTTTGCCTTCTGCCATAATTATAAGTTTCCTGAGGCCTTCTCAGAAACCAAGCAAATGCCGGAATCATACTTCCTGTAAAGCCTGTGGGTCTGTGAGCCACTTAAACCTTTTTTCTTCATAAACAATCTAGTCTCAGGTGTTTCTTTATAGCAATGCAAGAATGGAATAATACATCTGTCTAATGGAACTCCTAAAATTGGCAGCAAACATATATTGTAGTGCGTAAACTAAATTAATGGGTTATGTTCTATATGAAAACCATCAAACAATGCTTATAATTTATGCACTTTTCTATATGTGTATGTTATATATTAATTATGTTAGTATGCTGGAACTGCCATAACAAAGCACCATAGACCAGTAATTTATTTTCTTTAACTACTGGAGGTTGAAAGTCCCAGATCAAGATACCAGCAAGATTTATTTCTTCTGAGATCACTATCCTTGGCTTATAGATGGGCACTTTCTCACTTTGTCCTCAAATGGCCTTTGCTCTGTGAATGAACATCCTTGGTATCTCTTCTTATAAAGATACCAGTCATACAGGACTCCACCCTTAAGACATCATTTAACATTAACTGCCTTCTTAAAAGTACCTTTGCCTGGCCAGACACAGTGGCTCACACCTGTAATCCCAGCAATTTGGGAGGCCAAGCTGGGAGGATCACCTGAGGTCAGGAGTTCGAGACCAGCCTGATCAACAGGGTGAAACCCCGTCTCTACTAAAAATACAAAAATTAGCTGGGCATCGTGGTGTGTGCCTGTATTCCCAGCTATTCAGGAGGCTGAGACAAGAGAATTGCTTGAACCTGGAAGGTGGGGATTGCAGTGAGCCGAGATCATGCCATTGCACTCCAGCCTGGGTGACAGAGCAAGACTCCGTCTCAAAAACAAAAAAAAAACAAAACAGACAAAGTATCTTTGCCTATCTCCAAATGAGAACATCACCAAATCAATTTTGGGGATACCATTTAGCCTATAACACCAATAAAAATATAACAAAAATGAAAGAAAAATAAAGAAACAGCATCTAAAATCTGAAAGATATCTTATATGGCAATCATCTGCCCTCACTCCTTCCTTTGCTACCCTTGTATTTCCATTACACATCTCAGTATAACAGATTTTAGTAGCCTCTTCCTTCCTTGCTTCTATGTCTGCATCAACCATATTGTGCATCTGCCATTAACCTAGCATCATTTCTCCTGTTATCATTGGGAAGAGTTGGGAATGTTTATTCTCAAAACTTTAGGCAAAATATTGAAAATATAATTATATTTGGATTTTATTGAGAATAAGAAGCTTCCCTTTGCCTTAAAGAAATAAAATTGCATTAAGAAATGTATCAAATCTTATTTTTTTCAAACCACTTTCAAATGTAGATCATATTTGGAAACTCAAGTAAAAATGTAGCATCATGTTAATTAATACATACTTGCTATGAAAGTAATTAGTAAGTAATTTAAGTGGCAGAAACTTTATTAAGCCTAAACAATTTTAAAGATCAAATTAGGAAAGAATTCTTAAAAGTAAATATTGCTTTTAATGACTAAATGTGTTATAAATCTGAATTGTACTTCAATATGTTTGTGCTAGGACTTAGTTATTTTACCAGTATTCCATACTATCCAATTCTGTTGTTGAACAATACACAGGAGCAGTGCCTGATCTGGGATTATACAGTTGGTTCTTCGAACTTGGCAAAGAATTTTAGAAATTTTAGATATCCGTGATAACAACTTTGAAGTTGGATGAACCATAATCCTTGAATGAAATCAATGTCACATTCAAGATTTTCAATACAAATCATACACAATACATTTTAAAAGTATACCCAAAGTAAAGGACTGAAATACATAGCAACTAATCCAGCCCCAGGGGTATATGAACAGCTGGCTTATTTTTCACTGCTCGTAAGCCTTTGAATTTAGCTGTACTGTTTACTGCATTTAAACATGTGGTGCTTATAACATCCTTAATAAGGAAAACAGGATTGCTTTCATAAGCACAAGCTCTTAGTTACATCATATGAAACACATAAATAATAATATTAAATACACTCAGCTATTCAATAATATGGAATACCTTGCAAATTATGTTATATGCTGAAAAAATGATACTTTGAATATCTGTCATTTTTCTTGTACAACTGTATTCTACATCTATTTTTCTATTTGGCAGCTAAAATTAGAATAAAGGCATGCCTTGAATACAGCATACATAAAAATGTGTTACATTTACTCTAAACTAGTCAAATGGAAGAAACTCATTTGATATTTTTACATATCAGTTTAAATTTTTAAGTTACAGAAAACAGGACAATTTACAGATTATTCTGTAAGCCTAATGCACATGCTTATGTGTACTGTAATAAAGTTAAAAGGCTATAAACTGTGTCTTAACCAAATAATTTTATATAGAGAGATGTTGACATATGTATATAATCCTTCAGAAGGTAAACATAAATATTTGGTGTATTTACTGATTTCTTTATTGATTTAATAGTAAAGTTAATAGTAAATGCTTACAAAAATTCTAATTTCTTCTGTTTCATTTTTTAAACTGCTTTGTTAAGATATAATTAACATATCATCATACAATTCACCCATTTAAAGTGTACAATCTAATGATTTTTAGTATGTTTGCAGAGTTATGCAACCATCACCACACTCAATTTTAGTACATTTTCACCTCCCAAGAAACTCCCTAACATTGGCAGTCATTCCCGGTTTCTCCCCTATTCCTCACCTATCCTGTGTACCCCACCCCTTATACTTGCTATGAAAGTAATCAGTAAGTAATTTAAGTGGCAGAAACTTTATTAAGCCTAAACAATTTTAAAGATCAAATTAGGAAAGAATTCTTAAAAGTAAATATTGCTTTTAATGACTAAATGTGTTATAAATCTGAATTGTACTTCAATATGTTTGTGCTAGGACTTAGTTATTTTACCAGTATTCCATACTATCCAATTCTGTTGTTGAACAATACACAGGAGCAGTGCCTGATCTGGGATTATACAGTTGGTTCTTCGAACTTGGCAAAGTATTTTAGAAATTTTAGATACCCATGATAACAACTTTGAAGTTGGATGAACCATAATCCTTGAATGAAATCAATGTCACATTCAAGATTTTCAATACAAATCATACACAATACATTTTAAAAGTATACCCAAAGTAAAGGACTGAAATACATAGCAACTAATCCAGCCCCAGGAAGCCACTTATTTATTTCTGTCTCTATATATTTGCCTATTCTAAACTTGTTTTCCTCCTACATAACTGTAATTATATATGCTTGGAGAAAATCAAACATCTCCACCTCTCTCACTCCCCACCCAACCTCCTCAGCCTCTGGTAGCCACCATTTTACTCCACCCTTCTATGAGATCAGTGTTTTAAGATTCCACATGTAAGAGAGGTCTTGTGGTATTTTTCTTTCTGCACCTAAATTATTTTACTTAAAATATATTTTCCATGTTGATCCACATTGTCACAAATGACAGGATTACATTCTAATTATGTTTAAGTAGTATTCCATTATGTATATATACCACATTTATTTCCATTCCTTGTTCATAGACACTTCTGTTGATGCCATATCTTAGCTATTGTGAATAGTTCTGCAATAGACATGAGAGTGCAGATAGCTCCTCAACATACTTATTTCATTTCCTTTGGATACATACTCAGTAGCAAAATTTTTAGATCATATGGTAGTTGAACTTTTAATATTTTGAAGAAATTCCACAATGTTTTAAATTACAGCTACACTAAGTTACTTGCATTCCCATCAAGAGTATATAAGGGTTCTCTTTTCTTCACATCCTCACCAATGCTTGTTCTCTTCTGTTTTTTTTATAATGGCCATTCTAACAGGTGTGAAGTGATGTCTCATTATGGTTTTGATTTGTATTTTTATGATTATTAGTGATGTTAAGCATTTTCTTCAAATACCTGTTGGTCATTTGTATGTCTTCTTTGAGAATGCCTATATGGGTCTTTTGCCTATTTTGTAATATGGCTAATTGTTTCCTTGTTAGTGGGTTGTTTGAGCTTCTTGTATATTTTGAATATTAACTCCTTATAAGATGCATTAGGTGATTTCTCTAAATTTGTAGATTTTCTCCTTACTCCATTTATTGTTTCCTTTGCTGTGCAAAAACTTTTTAGTCTGTGGTAATCCCATTTATATTTTTGCTTTTGTTGCCTATGCTTTTCAGGTCATTTTCAAAAAAAAAAATCACTGGCAAGACTAGTGTCATGGATGTTTTTATCCCTAAGATTTCTTCTTGTAGTTCCACAGTTTCAGGTCTAACATTTGAATTAGGTTCAACATGAAATTCAAACATTTATTGAATTGGTTTAGAATTAATTTTTGTATATGGCTTGAGTCACGGTTTAGCTTCCTTCTGCATATGTATATCCCATTTTCCTAATATCTTTTACAGAAGATATTTCCCTTTCTTCATTATGTGTTTTCAGCACCTTTGTCAAAAACCAGTTAGTTTTAAATGCAAGGATTTATATTGTAACTCTATTCTGTTCCATTGGGCTGTTTGTCTGCTTTTATGCCAGTACCATGCTGTTTTGCTTATTACAGCTTTGAAGTATACTTAGGAGCCAGGTAGGGTGATACCTTCAGCTTTAATTGTTTTTGTTTGTGATTGCTTTAGCTGTTTGGGCCTTTTATGGGTTCCATACAAGTTTTAAGATTTTTTTTTTTGTGAATAATGTCATTAGTATTTACATAACGATTGCATTTGACTTATAAATTGCTTTGGGTAGTATGGTATGAATATTTTAACAATATTCATTCCTCTAACACATGAACATGAGGTAGCTTCCCACTCATTTGTACCTTCCTCACTTCCTTTTATCAACGTTTTATAGTTTTGAGTGTTGAGATTCTTACTTACTTGGGTAAATTTATTACTAAAAATTTTAATTTTTGTAGCTATTGGGAATGGGATTAATTTATTGATTTCTTTTACAGATAGTTCAATTTTGGCATATGAAAACACTAGTAATTTCGTATGTTAATTTTGTACCCTGCAACGTTACTAAATTTGTTTATTAGATCTAACAGATTTTTTGTGAAGTCCTTAAAGTTTTCTACATATAATATCCTATCATGTGCAAACAGAAACAATTTAAGTTTATCCTTTCCAATTTTGATACATTTTATTTTTTTCTCTTGCTTAATTGTTCTGGCCAGGACATCAAGTACTATGTTGAATAGAAGTGTTAAAAAAATAGGTATCTTTATCTTGTTTTGGATCTTAGAAAAAAAACCTTTCAGTTTCCTCATTCAGTATGATGTTAGTTATGGGTTGTCATATATGACCTTTATTATATTAAGGTACATTCTTTCTATACTTTCGGTGAAACTTTTTATTATGAAGGGATGCTGACTTTTCTCAAATACTTTTTCTGCAATTGTTGAAATGATTCTATAACTTTTGTAATTCATTCTGTTAATGTGATATATAATGTTTATTGCTTTGTATATGTTGAACCATTCTTGCATCCCTGGGATTAATTGCACTTGATTATGGCAAATTATATTTTTAATGTGCTATTGAATTCAGTTTGCTAGTATTTTGTTAAGAATATGTGCATCTATGTTCATCAGGAATATTGCCCTGTATTATCCTTTTTATATTGTGTCCTTGTGTAGTTTTAGTATCAGGGCGATGCATGCCTTGCAGAATGGGGTTGGAAGGATTCCCCCCTCCCTCCTTAATTATTTTAAATAGTTATAGAAAAATTGGTATTAGGTTTTTTTTTTTTAACATTTTATAAAATTCTGCAATGAATCCATCAGTTTCTGTACTCTTCGTTGATGAGAGACTTTTATCACTGATTCAATTTTCTCACTCATATTGGTCTGTTCAGGTTTTCTGTTTATTCTTGGTTCAATCTTGGCAGATTGTATGCATCCAGGAATTTATTCATTCATTCTAAGTTATCCAATATGCTGGCATACAATTGTGCATAACAGTATTTTATGAACATTTGTAAATCTGTGCTATCATTTTTAATGTCTCCTTTTTCTTATCTGATTTTATTTGAGTCTTCTCCCTTTTTTTCTTAATCTAGCTAAAGGTTTGTCAATTTTGCTTATCTTTATAAAAAACCAATTCTTCATTTTTTTATTATTTGTAATGTTTTTACAGTCTATTTCACTTATTTCACCTCTAATGTTTATTATTTTCTTCCTTCTATAAATTTGGGGTTGAGTTTGTTTTTGTTTTTCCAATTCCTTGAGATACGACATTAGGTTTTTTACTTGAGATCTTTCTGTTTTGTTTTCTTTTCAATTTGTATAAATTTGTGGCATACATGTGCATAGTTGTGCAGTTGTCAAGTCAGGGCTCTTTTAATATATCAATCACTTGAGTAATGTACATTGTACCCATTAAGTAATTCCCCATTATCCACCATCATGACAACTCCTTCAGCCTTCTGAGACTCCCTTGTCCATTATTCTACTCTCTACATCCATGTGTACACATTATTTAACTCTGGCTTATGAATGAGAACATGTAACACTTGTCTTTCTTTTTTCTTTTTTTTAAGACAGTCTCACTCATCCAGACTAGAATGCAGTGGCCCAATCTCGGCTCACCACAACCTCCACCTCCAGGGCTCAAGGGATTCTCCTGCCTCAGCCTCCCAAGTAGCTGGAATTACAGGAGCACGCCACTACCACCCGGCTAATTTTTGTATTTCTAGTAGAGATGAGGTTTCACCATGTTGGCCAGGCTGGTCTAGAACTCCTGACCTCAAATGATCCACCCATATTTGTCTTTTTGTTACTGACTTGTTTCACTTAAGATAAAGGTCGTTTGTTCTATCCATGTTGCTGCAAAAGACATGATTTTATTATTTCTTATGACTGAATAGTATTCCATTGTGTATATACACCACATTTTTTTTAAATTCAATCATCCATTGATGGACACTTACATTGATTCCATAACTTTGCTAATACTGCTATAAACTTCCCTTTTAGAACTGCTTTTGCTGTATCCTGCAGGTTTGGATCTGTGATGTGTCTTTTCTATTTGTCTCAATAATTTTAAATTTCTCTTTTAATTTCTTCATTAAATCATTGGTTATTCAGAAGTGTATTGTTTAATTTTGAAGTATTTGTAAAGTTTCTGAAGTTCTTCCTGTTGTTGATTATTATTTTTATACCATTGTGGTCATGAAAGAGATTTTATATTATTTCCATCTTTTCAAATTTGTTAAGATTTGTTTTGTGGCATGTTATATAATCTATGTTGCAGAATATTTTATTGTTCCATGTATAGTTGAGAAGAATGTGTATTCTGCAGTTGTTGGAATGCTCTGTATGTGTCCATTAGGTCCATTTGTTCTAAAGTGCAGTTTAAATTTGGTATTTATTTGTTGATTTTCTATCTGGATGATATTTCCATTGCTAAAAGTGAAGCCTTGAAGTCTCCAACTATAATTGTATTGCTTTCTATGTCTCCCATTAGATCTAATAATATCTGCTTTACATATTGGGGTGCTGTGTTGTTGGATGCATGTATATTTACAACTTTTATATCCTCTAACTGAATTAACCTATTTACAATTATATAATGACCTTTTCTATCATTTTTTTAACAGATTTTTACTTAAAGTCTATTTTTTCTATTGTAAGTATAGCTATTTCTATTGTCCTTTTGTTTCCATTTTCATGGAATATCTTGAATATCTTTTTCCATCCCTTCACTTTCAGTCTACTTGTGTACCAACAGTTGGATTGAGTCTCTTGTGGGCAGCATATAGTTGGTTTTCAATATTTTCTTCCTTCACACACTTTATATCTTTTTTAAAATTTTTGTGGATAGCAGTAGGTGTATATATTTATGCATTACATGAGATGTTTTGGTACCGGCATGCAAAGTGAAAAAAGCACATCATAGAGAGTGGGGATCCATCTCCTACTCCATATCTTTAAATTGAAGAATTTAATGTATTTAAATTCAAGCTTATTATTGAAAAATCAAGACTTATTTCTGCCATTTTGTTAGTTATTTTCTTGTAGTTTTGTAAATTGTTTGTTCCTTTCTTCCTCTCTTGTTGCTTATTTTTATGTTTTGGTGGTTTTCTATACTGCTAAACAGATTTATTGCTCTTTCTTTTCTGCTGTATTTTTTTTCTTTATTGTTACCATGGGACTTATTAAAACTCTTATAGTTATAATAAACTATTTTAAGCTGATAAAACTTAACTTTGTTCACATACAAATACTGCAGACTTTCCCATCCCTCAAACTTTTTTTTTTTTTAACAATTTCAACTTTTATCTTAGATTCAGGTGGAATATGTGCAGGTTTGTTACATGGCTATATTGCATAGTATCCAATAGTTAGTTTATCAACTCTTGCCCCCCTCCCTCCATCCTCCCTGTAGTAGTCCCCAGTGTCTATTTTTGCCATCTTTATTTCATTGTATACCCAATGTTTAGCTTCACCGTGTAAGAAAGATGATGTGTTATTTTGTTGTAGTCTATATTACATCATTATATATTGTGTGTTTCTTAACAATATATTGTAACTGTAGTTATTATTGACCACTCTGAGGTTTACTCTTCATAATAGAGATCTGGAAGATTAATATACTAACATTCAGTAATGGAGTTATCTGAATTTGATTATATGTTCACCTCTACCAGGGAGTTTCATACTCTTTTGTTTTTATGGCAACTATTATTATTTTTTCACTTCTGCTTGAATCACACTGTAAGCATTTCTTGTAAGGCCTGGCTAGTGGTGTGAAATCTCTCAGCTTTTTGTTGTCTGGAAAACTTTTATTTTTGCTTCATTTCTGTAGAATAGCTTTGCTGTGTATAATGTTTTTGGCTGACAGTTTTTTTTCCCCTTTTTTCTTTTCTTTCCTTTGTTTTGTTTTGTTTTGAGACAGGGTCTTACTTTGTCACCTTGGCTGGAATGCAGTGGTGCAATGGTAGCTCACTGCAACCTTGGTCTTCCCAGTTCCAGGGATCCTCCTGTTTCAGGCTCCCTAGTTGCTGGAACTACAGTTGTGTGCCACCATGCTTGACTAATTTTTTTGATTTTTAGTAGAGACAAGGTCTCATCATGTTGCCCAGGCTGATCTCGAAATCCTGAGCTCCAGTGATTCTCCTGCCACAGCCTCCCAAAATACTGGAGTTACAGATGTAAGCTCCCATGCTTGGCCCTTTTTTGCTTTTTTCTTTCAGCATTTTGAATATACCATTTCTTTCTTTTCTAGCCTGCAAAATTCCTGCATAGATACCTTCCAAGAGTCTAATGGGGATTCCTTTATTTGTGACCTGACAATTTTCTCTTGCTGCTTTTGGAATTCTCTCTTTGTCTTGACTTTTGATAGTGGCTTGCCTGGAGTCAAGTATCTAGACTGGTTCACACAATAATGGGGCATACATCTGCTCTACTGGATTAAGCTCAGTTTCCCTACTGGGCAGGGCTTGATATTTCTTTTGGGAAAGGGTGCTATGTGGACTCAGGCACAGGGATCACAACGGTTCCACTGGGCTTGGTCTCTGAGTAACCAGGATCAGAATGCTGCAGCCACTGGGGTGAGAAAGATAAAATGCCTCTTAGGCTGCTTGTTTTCAGTGGGTAGGGAGCTGTAGCAGCTAGACCAGGGAAAGGCATACTACCATGTGTGTGAGCAAGCTACAACAGTGGAGCCACAAGGATGGAGAGATGCGGTGACTATTAGCACCTGGTGCAGGACATATTCTGTCACTGGCTCCAATTTCAAGATGGTGCCATGCAGTAGCAGGTTGGGACACAGCTGGGGTGCCCAATGTGGGTTCCTTTCTGAAGTAATGCAGCCATGTGAACTGCTGGCAGCTCCCCAAACTAAGCTCAGGGTCTGTGATTACTGGAGGATTCTCTTGCAGCAGAGACTGCAGGTGTCTGTGATAGTAATAGGGGCTGCTGGGGCCCTCCTGCTTACATTTTCTCCCCAGGGAGAAGTCCCTCTTGGTTTTGAGATGATCCCAACTGGGCACGTGGGGTAACAGGGGCAGGATGTTTTATTCCCTTCTCTGTGTGGACATCCTGAGTTTCTGTGCTCTACAGAGTTTCTACAACTCTCTTGTATTTCATCACTCTCATTTAGATACTCTAGTTGAAATGTAGTTGTTTCTTGTTTTGTTCTTTTTTGTGTGGTGAGTAGAGTAAGTGGTAAGCACATCAGCAGCCCATCTTGTTGATGTCACCTTCTGAAGTTTTTAAAACTATATACATTCACTAAACCGATGTAAATATTAATTCGATAAAGTTTACTGGGCACTTTCTACATAACTGTAATTGCCAAGTCCTTGTTATATGTAACAGTGAGCAAACTATGGCTTATGGACCAAATCTGGCCTGTCATGTAGGTTTTCTTGTTGTTGTTTGTTTTTTTATTTTATTTTATTTATTTATTTGTTTATTTATTTTTGAGACGGAGTCTTGCTCTATCGCTCAGGCTGGAGTGCAGTGGCCCCGTCTCAGCTCACTGCAGCTTCCACCTCCTGGGTTCCAACGAGTCTCTTGCCTCAGCCTCGGGGGTAGCTGGGATTACAGGCGTGTGCCACCATGCCCAGCTAATTTTTGTATTTTTAGTAGAGACGGGATTTCACCATGTTGGCCAGGCTGGTCTTGAACTCCTGATCTCAGGTGATCCACCCTCCTCAGCCTCCCGGAGTGCTAGGATTAAAGGTGTGAGCCACTGCTCCCAGCCTGTTTTTTGTTTTCTTTTCTTCTTCTTTTTTTTCTTTTTTTGAGATGGAGTCTCCCTCTGTCATACCCAGGCTGGAGTGCAGTGGCGCGATCTCAGCTCACTGAGACCTCCACCTCCCGGATTCAAGCTATTTTCCCACCTCAGTCTCCCAGGCAGCTGAGATTACAGGTGCCCGCCACGAAGCCTGGGTAATTTTTTTTTTCGTATTTTTATTAGAGACTGGGTTTTACCATATTTGCCAGGCTGGTCTCTAACTCCCCACCTCAGGTGATCTGCCCACTTTGGCCTCCCAAAGTGCTGGGATTACAGGCATGAGCCACTGTGCCTGGCCCATATGTGTTTAGAAATAAAGATTTTGGAACACACTGCTCATTCATTTCTTTCTTATGATTCTCTAAAATTCCTGAATTATAATAGTTGTAGTAGATATTGCATGATCAGCAAAGTAAAAATATTTACTATGTGTCTGTTTACCAGAAAAGGTTTGTTAAACCTTCATGTAAAGGATTTTGTGTACATGTAAAAAAGGTGGGGTACTAGCTATTGTTTTTAAGATATCCAAATAATATCAATAATAAGTGATACCAATGTCACAAGTTCTCTTTACCTTTCTCAGTATCTTTGCATGCAATCGGGGGATGGAGCACTGGCAATTCTTAGGCAATTTTTGTGTGAATCAGAAGAAACATTATGTTTAAGCATCCTAGTGCTAATATTAGCACACATTTAAATATTTTATAGATATTTATCAAGAAATTGAGCTAAAACATATCTAGTAACATGCACTGAGCACATATCAAATGCAAATCAGTCAAGTGCTTATACAAACGTGAAAAAGAGATATTACGAGTTTCATTTATTATCTTACTTAAAATATAGCAATAAAAACCATAATAAATTTAACAACTGAGTCAACTCTTCATAGTCTGAATAGTCTTAAAAATTAGACTTTACTTTTATATCCTGCTATAGTCAGGTCTCTTGTTTTTAAATTCACAGCTCCGCTCCTTCCTATCTGTAAGGTTTTGCTCAGCTTAGGATCTTTAGCATGCTAACAGAGTGGTAGTGATGAAAGTATGTGATAATATTAATTGGTGGGAAGAGGTTGGATTCTGGATATAGAGTTTGTCCTTTATATTCACAGGTTCCACATCCACTAATCTGACTAACTGAAGATCAAAATTTTTTTTTATCCAGAAAATGCTTTGTTTTTTTCTGGAATGTTCTATGTTGTTGAGCCTATGATGGTTGTATAGGTACTGAACAAGTAAAGACTTTTTTTTTCCTTGTCATTATTTTCTAAACAATAGAGTTTATCAATTATATTTTCTTATTTTGTTATTTTAGATAAATACCCAGTATTGAGGTTCCTGGATGATATGGTAGTTCTGTTTTTAGTTTTTATATACATTATTGTAAGTAATCCAGAGATTACTTAACATATACAGGAGGTTGTGCATAGGTGATTTGCATATATTATACTATTTATATAATGGACTTGAGCAACCATGAATTTTAGTATCCACAGGGTTTCTGAAACCAAGCCCCTGTGGAGACCAAGGAATGACTGTATTTCTAAGGTAAAGTCAATACAGTTTACTGACTAATAATGTGAAATGTGAGAGGAAAAGAGTCAAGGATGATTTATATATACACTGTTTTTCCTGAAAATCTAAGATGATAGAGCAGCTATTGATTGACATGGTAAAGAATCTGTGGGATCAATTTTAAAGGAAAAGATCAGGAGTTTATTTTCAAACACGTTACCACTAACTGCTTAAACTTTAGGTGATTTTATGTCCTAGGTACTTAACGCCTTAAAGTACATGGGCAAATGACACCTAGACTTTTCTCAAATAAATGTCTGCATAAGTGCATTTAAACAGGACAGGAAAGGTAGGATGACAGAAAGGGGCTTATTTTCCCACACTTAAAAAAAAGTCATGAAAATAAATATCAGAAGCAAAATTAAACGTATGTGATAATTTCATGATGCCTCAGTTTTCCATATTAGAATATAAACTAATTTGAATATTTCCTGAGAATATCACAATGACAGTAAAAGGATGTATATTGGAATAAATTGCTTTTATTATATGTGTAGAGACATGAGATGAATATTTCTGGAAATGCATACATAAATTTAAATATATTTTCAAAACAGTGAGTATGTAGCGTTTTCCACTATCTCACTGTGGTATTTTAAGTCAATTTGATTTCCCAACTGAATGAGCATTCTCACACCCTTTCACTCATGCAATGAAGAAGTGAAAGGACAGTAATTTATGGTTACATTGTGTAGTTTTCACTGGGGGAAGGAAAGGTGTTATATAGAAATGTATACATTTTTTATTTCCTTAAAATTGCATCTCAGTCACCTTCAATGAATATTATTCGTTCCATATTACTGTTTTTTTGGACTAAATTAGAAGACTGTAAAGCTGCATTAGGTTTTTCATAAATGGCAAAACAAAACTTCCTTTAAAATAAAATTAAAAGGAAATCAACAAACCTGAGTTCAAGGAAAGTAATAGAAAAGAAGGGTCTGTTCTTTCAGCTTAAATAATAAACTAAGGCATTATCTTAAGGAACAAAAAGTGTTCCAATAAATATTACTTGAAATGAAAGTTTACAAGCTATCCATTTGCAACTTAAATATAATCTGAAGTAATAAAATCAATGGGATTGTATATTTATTACCACCATGCTAGAAATAGAAGAGAATATCTCCCATGAAAAAACTTCTCAGAAGAGCATCACAAACTTCAATTCCTGTCTGGTAGGTGATCACTTAATATATTTAAATTTTAGATTATAATCTCAAAAACAAAACAGAACAAAACTATCCCCTGACCAGGCAAAAGTAAGAAAATATACACAAAGAACTGTAAAACTTCTATCATTTTATTTGGGCATAAACTGGAGTCTAGAATTATGAGTATTTTGTCATGGTCATTGGACAAAATTATTTGGTTTATAAATACACTTTTTTCATATTTAAAGCACTCAAGTCCAGAAAATGTTCAGTTTCTAATAGGATAATATTGTGAGAGAGAGAGAGACAGGGTCCTAGAAGCAGCAAACTGTGGGTCTGTTGTACTGTTACTACCTCTCCAAACTCTCAATTCTTATATTCATATAATCCACTGATTCTTGGCCTTCTCTACCTCAGCAGTCCTCAACCTTTTTGGCACCAGGGACAAGTTTGGGGAAAACAATTTGAAACTATTCCACCTCAGATCATCAACCATTAGTTAGATCTCATCAGGAGTGTGCAACCTAGCTCCCTCACATGAGCAGTTCACAATAGGGTTGTTGGCGCTTCTGTGAGAATCTAATGCTGCTGCTGATCTGACGGGAGGCAGAGCTCAGGAAATAATGCTCTCTTATCGGCCACTCACCTCCTGCAGTGGCACCCAGTTCCTAACAGGTCATAGACCAGTACCCGTGTGTCCCAGGGCTTAGGGACCCCTGCTCTATCTCAACACTTCCAGGCAGCTACAAACCAATGATTACCAAATAGTTATGTAATTCAACCTGAAAACATAAATATTTTAACATATGGCAATTTAACATCATAATAAAATGCACAAAACAATATTAAAATATATTGTATTATAAAATTTTTGCATTTTGCCACATAAAAATAATATATTTCTTATATTAATGATAATCTAATAATTATTTGCCTCAAATTGTTTATGTTTACTTTTAATTTGCAGACTTGACAGCTGTTCAGGATTGTATTTTTTAGGATTATTAAATATTCTAAAGTTTCAAGTTATACTAATGCAAAAATGTACCTTTTATAAGAAAGTAATAAATATATTAAAATGGGTAGAAAATTAATTTTGAAATAAATTTTAGGGTAAGTGGAAGTTGAAGACACTTTTTTCACTTTTGCATGAATTTTGTTTAGTTTTAGATTTCCCAAAGAAAACAAAATAATTAATCTGCTGCTTACTTCCTCTAATAATTAGCCAAGATTCATAGGTCACATTATTTTTACTCAGCTTAAAACAAAAATACCTACACTGTGATTTTGTGGCCAAAATACTCTTTATTCTGCTAATTTGACAGAAATAAATTATTTATCTGTAATAATAGAATAGTAAAATATAATAGCATTTCATTTATTAAAAAAATCCAACTATCTGGAAATCTCCACATCATAAAGTTAACAATTATAAATATCATTTAAAAGGCTTAATGTGCTCTAACATAGTAAAGGTATTTTTGCTTATTTGTTTTTTATTGTTTTGTTTTTGCATAGCCAACCTCAACTTATTTTGTAGTTTGAAGATATTTTGTTATCGGAAGTATTGTATGTCATATATGATCCATAAATGTCAAAAAAAATTGTTCTTTTAAAATTCTTTCCCTGCCCAATCTGATTTGTGGGTCGTAAGTCACAAAATAACAGGTTTTTTTTATTTTTTTTCCATGATTCTTCATGTTTTTGCTCTTGTGTTTCATTTGTTGGGTTCTGTTGGAGGTGTAAATGTTTTTCTCTATTTGATGTGCTTTCTGATAACTGAATGTTTGGAAAACTAATAATCAATAACCTATAAATAATTTCAACAATTTATTGAATAATTGAAAGTGAAAATTGATGTTACTTTCAAACATTTGTTTTGTAAATTATTTTTCTGCACAAAGAAGTAAAATTCCCCATCGCTTTTTGGTGGATAATTTTAGCGATTTGATTATGTTCACAGGAATATTTCAAAGGATAAATTTTACAAAAAAGGTTTAAAAAGAACCTTTCATCTATCTGTTTTTGTGGTTTATATAGAGTTCACCTATAATAAAATTAATAATGTTTTATTATTGCAATCAAAGATAAACACTTCTTTTTTATCATTCTATGGTTAATAACAATATATTTCACAAATGTTACATAATTATGAGCAGTTCTTTTATACCATGTTGTTTCATTGTTCTTCACAAACCCACAAGAAAATATCAAGATATTTCACCTTCTTTATTTTATTAGAAACAAAAGTGCTTACTGTGAAAAAGAGAATTCAAATATTACAGTGCAAATACATCATTTGTGTTTACAAATACATCATTTGTGTTTACCAATACATGTGACTGAGTCGCAGTTAAAAAACATCCATTTCCATTATTAGTGACAAAATATAAAACTATACTTATAGAAAATAATCAAAGTAGTGTTATATTTGTTTTCAAACCGTAAAATGGAATAATTGTACTGACATTTTCCATCAAGACAATCTAATAAGTATCCAATTGTTTATCCTATAAGTAGGTTTATATATATATATATATATATGTATATGTATTACATATATTCTTTCTTTCACATGTTGTGATGCTTATTTTAATGTATCACCTTGGCTAGGCTACAGTATTCAGTTATTCAAGTGTATTCAGTTATTCAATTGAACACTAATAGAAGTTTTGCTCTGAAAATATTTTGCAGATGTGTCTAACATTTATCATTAGGTGACTTTGAGTGAACAAGATTAACCTTGATAATCTGGGTTGGCCTTATCTAATCAGTTGAAAGACCTTAAGAGCAAAAACTGAGGTTTCCCTGAGGAAGAAGTTATGCAAGTTGACTGCAGCTTTAGCTCCTAACTCAGAGTTTCCGGTTTTCCAGTCTGTGGCTGGCCCACCCCACAGATTTGCCTAAATGGACCCCAACAATTGTATAAAATAATTTCTTGAAAAAGCTTCACAACTCTCTCTCTCACTTTCTCTACACACACACACACACACACACACACACACACACACACAAACATAAAATGTTAGTTTAGTATAACCCAAACTGATACACATGTTTTCTACCTTTATTTGGTAATAATTAGAAAAATGTAATCTGTCAGTTATCATTTCTTTATGATTCTGATGGTTGAGAAAAATGTTTTAATATGGCACAGACAGGAACCAAGCTCATAAAAGTCACAACTAAAATCATGCAAACTCATTTGTAAATGTTCGTATGCATTGGGAGCTAGTGAGATATGTCTTCATCAAACAAAACAAATAAGTCAATTATTCATATAAATAATGTTCCCCTATATTTTAATTACCAAATCCAATTTAAAAATTCACTTCGGTGATTTGGAGGTGGAACAATAAAAATACTTAACACAGAATGGAGATATTAAGTAGTTTTACCACAAACATTGCAAAAAGATTTTTCTTATCTAATTATAAACCTGTAAAAACATGTTATTGTAAATAATTACAAATTAAAACTGTATCTGTTCTTTAATCCTCAATATATTATAATACTGTGTGTTAGTTGTATATAATACCTACTATCTTGATAATGTTTAATGATAAGACAACAAAGGAGGTAGAATTACAACTTTTGGTTATATAATTCTTTAAAATAAATGAATGTAAGATGTCTGCTGGTCATCAGTTACATAATCAGCAAATATAAACATTCAACTACATAACAAAATTAAAATATGTTATAAAATTTACTATGTTTTTCATCCATATATTAGATTACAATATTGCTTCTTCTTGATTTCTTGATCATTATGGAAACCCATAGGAGGCCAAATTATTACAGATTGAATGGAATGAAATAGAATTATACTTCCCTTGCTAAGTATTTAAACATGGTAACAAACTAACAAAATATTTATTCTCAGACAATACCTTTTGCTGTCTTTATATATCACAATACATTTTTAATTACAGACATACATTAATGACTCTGAAGAGACAATTACACATATGAAAGTATTCAAGAAAACTAAAACATATAATTGGAAGTTTGTATGTATGAAAAAGTACAATAACAGATTATAGAAATTTTACTTCATTTTTTGGGGAAAAAATCAGATACAACCAAGTATTTAGGCATTTTAAGATAGTTTATATTAGTATGATGACTCTTTAAATGGTTCTGTTTCCATTGGCCATCATATTCATGATGATGATGAAATCTCACTCTCAATCATGAAGCATTTTTTTCCTTTTAATAAAATTAATGAGGAAAATACTTATGGTGATATCTAATATTAATAAATACAGCTAGTTTAACATGTATATATTGCAGTACAAGATAGTGAAAACATATCCAATGCAGTAGTAGAGTAGTATTACATTATATATACATACATACATATAATTCCATATATATTATATATAATGTGTATATATATGTAATGGTGTATTTGCAAATAATGAAAATACGACAAAGAGTTGATTTTAAAAAGTCTAGAGAGCATTCTTAATTATGAAACTAAAGATTCTGGAGAGTAGAAAATAATTTTGATCCTTAAATTTTCTTTCATATTTAGAAAGCACGTTGAAAAACCTTAGATTTTCTAATTTTTATGTCAGAATTATATCCTACCTCCAACAGACTTTCTTCCTTAAATTGTTTAAATAATATTTTACTTTCTGGAGATTCATGTTTGTTTTTACCATCATTGTAAGATAGCTATTCAAGCATTAAGTGAAATTTTGCAACCTTTCTTTTTGCAGTTTTTATTTATTCAATAAATATTTCTTAAAGGACTACCATGTCTGAGGGAATATTTCTAGGAAAGCAGTGATGAAAAATTTAAAGTGCTTATTCCTATGCAGCTTAAGTTTTTGTAGAAATCTGTAAGAATTAATAATCAATGAACCAACTGATCAATAATCTAAAATAGTGGCAAGTGCATCATGGTAAGAGAATAAGAGAGTTACTAAGCAAGTGGAGGCATATTTACTCTAGAAGGGGAGATTTGTGAAAATCTTCACCAAAGAAGGGATATGTGATTTGTAAGATTGGATATAGCATAAATATGTCTTTTAGATTAAGAGAAGAATATTTTGAAAAAGGGAAACATTATGTGCTTGCCACAATCATTTTGTTGCTTTTGCGGCTAATACTTCCATTTCTTCTTTGACCTTGATTTTAATGCATATCCATTGGGTCACAATTATACAGTTTGAAATAATTAATAAAGTATTGAAAAAGAAACTATTATACAATAGTTACACTTTATACTTTTTTATGATATTATGACACTAAATATATCAGTATATTTTTCATCATGTGAAAAACAAAAGACTCTTGAAAGGATGGCACACTGATTTCTAAATTAATTTCTTATTGTACTCCTAAAGAGACAGAATGGTCATAGCAGCTTGTTTCTTTAAGGTCAACAGCAGAGTTTTTCAAAATAGTCAGCTACGACAGAATCTTATGCAATGCAAAGTACTCATAAGAGTGACAGCCTGTCGGCTTTTCTATGTTCCATTGGTTGCAAGAAAGTCACGGTGTCCACCTTCACTCAAGGTGAGGGTGCTGAACAAAGGAGTGAATCATCGGAGTTATATCCTAGCACCTTTTATTTCCTCGTCAATCATATAAATTCATTCATTCTTTAATTTTGCCAAAAAAGTTAGCTTTTGTTAAATTTAAGCAGAGAATCTATAGCTATCTCATATTGCATTTCATATTTTCAAGTGCTTAAATTTTTCATAGGTAAACATTTTTTAAAGTATAATCAATATCTATAGTCAGGATATTTTCTTATTTCATCAGATGAACTTAATCACATGTTTTTTTCTTTCTTCCATTATTTAAAGATAGCATATTACAAAGACACTGTGTGCTCATGTGTGTTTATACACACACACACATATTTGTGTATATATACATTCTATTTTCTTTTGCTATACATTTTTCTTTTGTTTATCATCAACATTGTAACGGAAATGTTTGAAATTAACTTACAAAGATATTCAAATATAAAAGATTAATTGCCACATTTACTACCAGCTGAAGTTCTCACAAGTTGGAAGTCACCCCAATTTGTGTATCGGCAGTGCTTAGTGCACAGACAGCATTTAAGATTTGTTGAACTGAACTACAAAGGCAAAAGGTAAGTGAGATTTTCTTTCAAAAGTTTAAAAGGATGAAATACTGTTTATTTGGGTACACTATATTCTCACTGATTAGAATGCTGGATAAGCAATTTTAAGTAAGAAGAAAATTTGTTTACTCAAATCATTTGTCTTATGTTTTCGTGTGTGTGGTGTGTGTTTTTAAATGACAGGAAACCAGTGTTTCTCAAAATGTAGTTTGTTCTTTAAACCTATATCACTAAATGTACTTAATCAGAAACATCATGGTTTGGCATATAGAAGCTGGCACTATAATAAACTTACAATCCAAATGATTAATGTAAACAATTTTTTGAAGGACATTTCTGGGACTAAATTATATGCACTGCACAAACTATGTCATAGAAATAATTGATTTTTATTATTCTCACTATATTGACAGGGGCAGAAAATCTACATTGAAGACATGGTCTGAGGAAAGGGAGAAAAGACATAACTATTGATTCGGTAGTCAATATTTCTAACATGGTATGATTCTACAGTGCATAACATTCTTAAACCAGACTAATTTATAATGACATAAAAGAATATAATTAAAATTCACACTGCTTTATCTACATACAAAAACTAGAAGATGCATTTCTTACCATTCTAGCTAATAATGTTTACTGGTGGATATATTAAAAAGCACTATTGTCAGTGAGTCTTTCATTCTTAGCTATCACCAAAAATAAAAAAAAGTGAATAAAATAATACGTATATTTCTAAAATGTACACTGACATTTCATATTGAATATATTATGATGGTCTATTTAATGCTTCATTTTTCTCAAAACATGTTTATATTCTAGAATTAAATGTCACACAATAGCTCTTCTGGAAGTCATTTATTGAGTAACTTCTAAACAAGCTAAGTTTATCTGAAATTGAACATCTCTGAAATTTAGGTAGAAGAAGCAGGCCAGCTTTCAACATAGTAAAAAAGCAACATAACTTTATCTGTTACTAATATGTGGGCTTTATTTACCAAAATAGCAATTTTCATTGTATTTTATATCTGCGTGTCTGTGTGATGAAGATTAACGTTAGTATGTAGATTAGAATTAGATTTTCAGTTTGGTGTAGAAAAAAAAACTTAAAGTTTTCCAATGAAAATTTACAAAGGCATTACAAAGAAATCTTCATAGGTACGTCCTGTCCTCTGATAGATTCCATTTGGATTTAATATGTTTTAAATAAAGACTCAGGAGTTGGCTTCTGTGACATTCTTCCTTTTGTGGTATGAAACTCTTAAGTGGGACTACTCAGCCAATGGCATTAAACTTTGTGCTTGTATTGTTAAGACATTGAAATATTCTTTACTCATTGAATATTAGACAGTCTTTAGTATATTGAGTGCCTCTTCTGTTACTCTATCTGTCCTATTTTCTAATAACCTCCCAGTTTTCCCCATGATCCATTATCAAAAGTGTTAACATTTGAGCCGTCAGGGAATCCCCATGACTGTATTTCAGAAGTTCTGAAGACTCAGTACTTCAGGCTTCATTCATTTTAAATGACAAAAGTCAATGCAATTATTTTCTTAAATTCCAGCTTTTAGGCTACTTTGTCTATCCAGGGAGACCTAAGACAGCCAACTTCATTTCCAAGGACCCTGCCTCAGAGCTTGGGCAGCCCACTTTCGACATTGGTAAAGAAGAACATTTATAAATACTACCTTTCTTCTTCAATTTCCCTAGTCAGAGCAGGCTCAGATGCCAGCAAAAATGATGGAATCCCTTTAGGCAAATACCTAACACTAGGTATTTAACAATACCTTGTTAAACTTATGCTAATTTTAATTTTTTAAAAAACTTTTGCTTGTGCAAATAAATTATTTATTATTAGATCATTTATTCTGTTACAATATAATCTTTACCTCCCTTTCATTTTCATCATGTCCTTTTATACCTTTTTTTTTTTTTTGAGATGGAGTCTCACTCTGTCACCCAGACTGGAGTGCAGTCACGTGATCTTGGCTCACTGCAACCTCCACCTCTCTGGTTCTAGTGATTTTCCTACCTCAGCCTCCCCAGTAAGCAAGATTACAGGCGTGCGCCACTTATTCCTGGCTAATTTGGTATTTTTAGTAGAGGTGGGATTTTGCCATGTTGGCCGGGCTGGTTTCAAACTCCTGACCTCAAGTGATCCACCCACTTCGGCCTCCCGAAGTGCTGGGATTACAGGCGTGAGCCACCATGCCCGCCCTTCCTTTTATACTTCTTCATCTTTGAACTCAATACCTTATATCTTCCCTAATTTGTTGTGTATATATCTGATTCTGCTCTTGGATTATAAGTATCTCTAGAATAGATGAACTGTAATTATAATTTCACTAAAGCTATAGCTCTTAGATGCTCAGCATATGCTTTTAGAATAAAAATAAACTAATTGAATAATTGTGTCTTTAACACTGGGTAAGTATAATGTCTCACTTTTAAGTATTTTAATTTTAAAAACTGCAGTTGAATTCCCAAATCTCTCTATTACGTGCTGCTACATTGACCAAGATAGAAGCATATGCATATATTTTCAAAATGCATCATTCATTATCAGGTTATATTTACAGCAATTCGACAATGTGACGGGCTTCTCACTCTCTTCAGCTTCTTGTTGATTTTTATCAGCTAATGTGACATTGAAAAATTAGAACACAATATCAAAGAAATAGACCAAGGAGAAAGAATCAAGTGTATCAAAAAAGAAGAATCTTGTTAATTGAATTGCATTTCCATCCTCCTGTTGTGTGATTTAATTAGAGTTTGATTACTAGTTCAGAAATCTTAGATGCTACACAAGCAAACATTTATATTACCATTTAGACTTCAATTTATTATCATAAAAATTTCATTATTTTCAATAGTGGTCTACTTTTTTCACATTTTATCTTACTTTATGTGGATCCTTTGTGATTGGCACTTGCCCATAATCTGAACTACTAGAGAGGTTGAGGCAGGAAGATTGCTTGAGCCAAGGAGTTCAAGGCCAGCCTGGACAACACAGTGAATACCCATTTAAAAAAAAAATTAAAACTTATCAAATTGAATCTACAGTGATCACAGGTACATGATATTAATTAGATTAAAATTACATTCTGTCTTTAGTTGTTTGCATATGTAAAATCCCTATCATTTATACAATATTTTCTTTCTTGACTATTTTTAATGTGATGTAATTTGCCAAACTAAAATATGTGTGTATTATGCATATACACACACACACACATATATACACATATATATCTATCTATATGCGTATATAATACACATATACAAATTTTTACCTATTTTAAATCTTTTAACTATAAGTAGGATATATTCTCATATCATAAGTACATATTTATATAATTTTAATTAGGTAAAATTCAAATATCTGAGCAAAATATTTGTACTACCAAATGTAAATGGATATACTCTAATTCAATATACTTGCTAAATTGACTTTTTATGGAGGTAATTTGTTAAATAAACATAAATTTACCAAAGTCTTCTTATGTTCTTCGCACTGTGTTAGGCATGGATGATGTGTCCAGGAGCAAGACAAATGTGGTACCTGCCCTGGTATTGTTTTTAATCCAGGAAGTTCTCTTTAATTTCAAGGCCTCCATCCAACTCAATTATTCAACAGTTAGTTAGTAAGGATTATGTTAGATGCAAGGGATAGAACAGGGAATAAACAAGTAAATGTGCTATACTCCATAAGTGTTGTAGTGTGAGAGGAGACAGAAAATAAATAATTACATTAGGCAGTATATTTAAAAGATAAAAGTGCTGTGGGAAAAAAATGTAATAGAGTAAGTGGGGAGGATTATACCGAGAGTCTTGTGATTTTAAAAGTAGTCAGATGAAACTACGCCGATTAGGTGAAAGATGAGCAAAAATGGAAGGAAATGAAGCAATGAGTCATGGGTATTTGGAAGAGTCAACAGCCAGTACGAAGACCGAGAGCCATGGGGAACCCTGGAGCATTGGAAAACTAGTGAAGCCAACCTAAACAGAAATGGATAATCAAGGAAGACAGTAGTATACAATAATGTCACAGAGAGAAATTAACCCTACATATTATAGCTTTTACAGACTATTTTATAGACTTTTATTTTACTCTAAGTAAAATGAGAAGATGACGTGAATGAACATACATTTATAAATGATAACTTTGGCAACTATGCTAAGAACTGACTGTAGCAAGAAAAGAATTTAGTAGGTAGACTAGTTAGCAGATCACTATAACTACTCAAGCTAAAGATAATAGCTTTTTCTAGGATGAAAACAGTGGTGGAAGTGGGAGGTAGATTCATCCTGCTATATTTTTCAAGGAAGAGTCAGGCAAATTTGTTGATGTATTGGATTTAAGATGTGACAGAAAGAGAAGACCAGAGGCAATTTAAAGATGCTTAATCACAAACTGAAATGATGGAGCTACAAGAATCTAAGGTGGAGAAAAGGGAGCATGGAACAGGTTGACCTGCCTGATTGGAAATTTAGATTTTGACATCTTAATTTTGAGATAACCAAGCGACTAAAGTTGACACTTTTAACAATAAGAGATTTGGGACCCTCACCCACTAAATAGTTGAAAATTTGCATTATTTTTGACTTTCCAAAAACTTAACTAATGATAGAGTACATTTGACCAGAAGCCTTACCAATAGCAAATAGTAGATGGACACATACATTGTATGTTATGTGTACTATATACTGTATACTTTCAAAAAAATTAAGCTGGAGGAAAGAAAATGTTATGAAAATCATAAGGAGGAAAAATATATTTGCAATTTATTAAGTAAAATGGATCATCACAAAGGTCTTCATTCTCATCATCTTCAAGTTAAATATGCTGAGAAGTAGGAAGAGATGGTGTTGGTCATACTGTCTCAGGAGTGACAGAGGGAGAAGAAAATTTATGTGGAAGTGGATACACACAGTTCAAACCTGTGCTATTCAAGGATCAACTGCATATTGAATATTATTTGGGTAAACAAGGTGAATTTTAAGGGAGAACTATGAGCCCAAGATATTTATTTTAGAGTCAGATAAATTTACCAAGTGAGTGAATGTGGCTAGAGAAGTCCAAGATCTGAGATCAGAATCTTACTCCTGTGTTAAGAATGAGGCAGATAAAAAGGTGAGAATGAACTAGAAAGGGGCAGGTACTAAGAAACAAAAGAAGAGAAGCAAGATAATGTGAATTCTTGAAAGCAGGGCCAAGAAAGTGTTTCTAAGAGAGAGTGATTAAATATTAAATAATGTTTAGAAGGTGAGATGGTTAATATTGAGTGTCAACTTGATTGGATTGAGGGATGCAAAGTATTGTTTCTGGGTGTGTCTGTAAGAGTGTTGCCAAAGGAGAATAACATTTGAGTCAGTGAACTGGGAGAGGTAGACCCACCCTCAGTCTGGGTGGGCACCACCTAATCAGCTGCCAGCATGGCTAGAATAAAGCAGGCAGAAGAAGTTGGAAAGAGCAGGCTTCCTGAGTCTTCTGAGCTTCATCTTTCTCCCTTGTTGGATGCTTCCTGCCATTTGACATTGGACTCCAAGTTCTTCAGCTTTTGGACTCTTGGACTTACACCAGTGGTTTGCCAGGGCCTCTTGGGCCTTTGGCCACAGACTGAAGGCTACACTGTTGGCTTCTCTACTTTTGAGGTTTTGAGACTCAGACTGGCTTCCTTAATCCTCAGCTTGTAGATGGCCAGTTGTGGAACTTCACCTTGTGATCCTGTGAGTCAATACTGCTTAATAAATTCTCCTTCATATATGCATCTATCCTTTTAGTTCTGTCCCTCTAGAGAACGCTGACTAATAGAGAAGGCAAATGAGATGAAGACCACGAACAGAACATTGGACTTAGCATGTAGAAGTCAGTTCAGATTTTCACAAGAGCAATAAACTTGGAGTAGGATGAGTACGGAGCGATTCAGTGGTTTAGTAGAGAATGAGAGGAGGGAAATTAGAGAAAAGTGACAATTATTTTAAGGATTTTAAAAATGACGGGCCATTCTTCCCAATTCTGTACTCAATAATAGGTAAACAACAGCTGTCTCACATATTCAAAACATATGAATATTAAGTGTGTAAACCTTTTTGGGAGCTACTGAGAATTTTGTGAGTAAAGTCTACAAAATCATTTCATCTCAACCTCCACCACTTACATATTAAAAGATTGTGTGTCTTCACCTGGAGCTTCACTTACCTTTTAAAAACACAAAATTTTTCCAGCTAATATTGCATGTAGTCACATCTGTCAACATCTACCTACTTAATTCCCAGGATAAATTCTTTCACTGAGTTCCAGAATGACTCAGAATAAATGTTCTTATATTTCTTTTGTTGTTCTCATCCTCTTTACTGAGTTTCAGTTACACTTCGGAATCATATTCTTTGAAGACTATTATCCAGTTAGCAGTAGAGGTGATTTTTTATTGGCTTTATCTCTATGGAAAGTTCATCATTGGACATCAATATGGTGTGAGTCATGGTTCTGTAATTTTTGTGGGTTTTTTTTCTGAATGTTTTCCCTGTCTACATATTTTAAAAGAAACCTGGAATATGTGCCTGGATCTACATATATCCAGGGAATTGCACTTTATTATATGCATTTCAAAATACAATTAAAAAATTCTCCACTTGGAGAATTTAGAAAGGTATTTAAAACAGCATAATTACTTCAGAGGAAAGTGGAGGAAGAGGAGCAAAGAAACATGCATGTATATAATAGAATAGTGGTTAAGAATAAAACAACAATGGATTACAAGAATTCTCAGAAAACACAAGAGGATTACCCAATATCATATTTATGGTCATGAAATATATGACATAAGTATATTTTATACATTTTAGTAAGGTATATGTTATTAGCAAACACAATGAGATCAATTTTGTCTGACTGACGGAGAGAAAAATATGCAGTAAAAAGGTAATTAGAGAATAAACAGGGTTTAATTAGAGAAGTCAAATAGGCAGCCTTAAGGTAAACTTTGTATTAATATGTTTTCATACTGCTGGTAGATTCATACCTGAGACTGAGCAATTTAAAAAAGACAGAGTTTTAATGGATTTAGTTTGATGTGTCTGGGGATGCTCACAATCATGGTGGAAGGTGAAAGGCACATCTCACATGGTGGCAGACAAGAGAAGAGAACTTGTGCAGAGAAACTCCCCTTTATAAAACCATCCAATCTCATGAAACTTATTCACTATCATGAGAATAGCATGGGAAAGACCCAATCCCATGATTCAATTACCTCCCACTGGGTCCCTCCCACAACACATAGGAATTGTGGGAGCTACAATTCAAAATGAGATTTGGATGGGGACACAACAAAACTGTATCATTCCACTCCTGTCCCCTCCCAAATCTCATGTCCTCACATTTGAAAACAAATCATGCCTTCCCAACAGCCCCCCCAAAGTCTTAACTGATTTCATCATTAACTGAAAAATCCACAGTCCAAAGTCTCATCTGAGACAAGGCAATTATCTTCCACCTATAAGCCTGTAAAATCAAAAGCAAGTTAGTTTCTTCCTAGAGGCAATGGGGGTACAGGCATTGGGTAAATACAGCCATTCCAAATGGGAGAAGTCGGCCAAAACAAGGAGTTCGCAGGCCTCTTGCAAGTCTGGAATCCAGCAGGCCAGTCAAATCTTAAAGCTCCAAGATGATCTCCTTTGACTCCACATCTCACATCCCAGTCACACCGATGCAAGAGGGTGGGTTCCCATGGTCTTAGGCAGTTCCATCCCTGTGGCTTTGCAGGGTACAGCTTCCCTCCTGGCTGCTTTCATGAATTGGTATTGGGTGTCTGTGGCTTTTCTAGATGCATGGTGTAAGCTGTCAGTGGACCTACCTTTCTGGGGTCTGGAGGTTTAATGGACTCAGTTCTATGTAGCTGGGGGGGGCCTCATAATCACGATAGAAAGAGAAAGGTATGTCTCACATGGTGGCAGACGAGAGAAAAGAACTTGTGCAGGGAAACTCCCCTTTATAAAACCTTCAGATCTCATGAGACTTATTCACTATCATGAGAATAGCGTGGGAAAAACCTGCCCCTATGATTCAATTACCTCTCACCAACTCCCTGCCACAACACGTGGGATTTGTAAGAGCTACAAGTCAAGATTAGATTTGGGTGGGGACATAGCCAAACCATATCAGCTTCATCTAAGCAGCAACTATATATACTTTATTCAGTATATATCCCCAGTACCTATCACAAAGACTAGTAAAGTAGAAGCACATTAATATTTGTTGATTAAAAGAGTAAGAGAAAGAAGACTTTCTCAGGAGCTTTATGCAGTAATTATCATTTTTATTTAATAACCTGAGAAATTCCAGGACTCTTAAGTCCTTGTCTACATTTAGAAATAAATAATTCTTCTAGCAATCACTGATTGTATGTTTGAGAGATCAAATGTAACTTGATGTTTTATATCAGGAAGGCATCTTTGATAATATAGCTATTTAACAAATATGACAGATGATAAATAAAGAGAAGTAAAAATAACCAATCAAAATAAATACTGTTAATGTTAATATATTTTAGCCTTAAATATTTTAACTCATAAAAGGTATTTTCATTTTTTAAGACTAAAATAAGTAAATAAAATGAAACAAAATAATTTTTCTATCCATTTATAAATTCTAGTCATGTTTTTAAACAATATACAGTTAATATTAACATAATGTTTGTAATTAATTTAGATATGCTATTAATCAAAAACAGCCTGCATCATTAATATATGTTTTCTTTGTTGTTAATTAAACCCCTATTGAGCACTAATTGCAATTACTCTAGAGAATCCTCAATATATTTATACTTGTGTTCTACTAGAGAAAATGTGTCTGAGTAGCAAAATTATTTAAAATAACAGTACTAATATCATAAAATATATTTAGTAGGCAAAAATACTTTTGAATAAATTCTCCTGGGCCATTTTAGTAACAAGTTTTGGTCTTTTCTAGATTTACCAAACTTGTTTCTGAATTTTGTAGCCACTAAAAATAAAACAACATGATTATTTTGAAATAAAAATATTTTCATTTGTATAATTTATCTGCTTTTTGGAGAAGGATTATGCTCATCTCTATTGACCAGTATGCTTCTTAAATTTAGGTTTTTTTAGCAGTAAATAACTCATCTAACCAGAATTATATTTTAATACTAAAATTTTGAAAACCTACTCATTGATTGCAAACTATAAAAATGTAGTCCCTATGTAAAGTAGATATATTTACTTGGATTATTATGTGGAAAAAATTTAAATAATAGTGTCATCATTTCATTGTATTTCCACATAAAGCATAATATGGACAATAAAATTATCCACTGGTGGGACTCTTAGTCACATAGAGCAGATGGAAGAATAGAAATTCTCTGACCATCCATAGGTAATACTGCTGCTTTTATCAACTCTTTCAGAGTTATATATTACATTAGATTCAATGACATTGTAATCTTTGGACACTGATTCTAAAATAATACCAACTCGTTGATATTCCAGAATGTACCTATTGTCCATGGATCACAGTGAACATTATGGAATGAGGTTGTAAGTGGGGTTTGGATCAAAACGTGGTAGGCTAGATCATATCTATCACCCATGGTATATTCATTTCCCCATACCTTGGGTTTATTATAATAATAAATATTTTTACCAACTGGAAGAACATCTACAATGTCATCCTGACACAGAGATAATGGTTATGGTGGTAGAAAAAGTCAAGACGAAAAATTTGGAACTCCCACTAACTACCAAAATAACAGATAGCGAATCAATTCCAATGCTCTAACTTCAAGGGAATTATAAGAATTGGTGTCATGTTGAAGGATTGTAAGGCTCAAGGATATTGAGTCTTCTCAGATCCACATTTCCAATGTCTAGGGATAGATTAGTTGAGAATGGCAGTGAATTGGTTTAAGAATAATCATCTGCAAATGCAATTATAGCTATTATTTGTGAGGTGAATTTATTTGCTTGAACAAATCAAACAGCCCTTGGCAATCAGTATGCAATTTTTAGGATGGAAAATACTGTCATATTTAGTGCAAGAAATGGAGAATATTATAAGAGTATTATGACATGCTGGCTTTTATCTGGAATGGATAGCAATACACATTTTCCACCATGCCTCAAAGTTCACTTGGCTGTATCCTATTATAAGTTCAAGGTGCCTTTGTCATATCAAGGTTACATAAGACATTACTACAATTCATTATTTAGGTTAAATAATGTTATTTGGACCTGTATATCAGTTCTTAATTTCTTTTACAAGATATATGCATGCTGAAGGTCTGCTACAAACATTATGACCTGCTATCTTGATGAATTTGGTTGTTTCTTTGCTTAAGATATGCTAGATATCCCCTCCAAAGTGAACAGTTCTGCACCTTGAATCTTCTATCATTACAAAGTTGGGATATAGGAGGTGATTTCCTTGGATTCTTGAAGGCAAAATGTTTCTAATGCTCTCATTTATCCCCTAAATGGCCCAGAAGATTGGCTGCTTTGAGTGGGTTTTAGAGCAAGACAAGATTTTCCAGCTGGTTTGGGCAATACTGAAAGCATCATTGCCATGCAGTACTTATGGCTCAGAATATCACAATGTCTGTAATGGAAAAGGAAGTTGTAAAGAGGCCATAAAAATCCCTGATAACATAATTACAGTGAAGTTCCCTAGGTTTTGGAGTCAAGCATCTAAAAAATAACTTAAAAAAAAAAAAAGATCTTGTCCTAGCCATAGAACTTAAAGACTGAGTGAATATAACCATGGAACATTAGGGGATATGGCATCTGACCTGCTTGGGTGCTATATGATCTATCTAATATGCTTTGTATCTCTCTCTGCATTCTAACATCTGGTTGATGCATATTCAGTCACATAAGCGGCATCCTTACTCTCTCCCATGTGATTTCAAGTTCAATTGCTTAGGACTAGTTTACCAATTTTTTTAACTTAAGAATTTTTAATACAAACTATTTAAAAATAAAATTTAAAAGACTATAATCTGGTTTACAGATTATTCTTCATGGCATTCTGAAACTAGTTGGAAGAATAGTATGTCTATGGTTCAACTCAATGCAAAGGTGACCTCAAACCTAAAGGGAATAAATTTGTGAAGAATATATTATTGCTAATTTGTGTGGAATAAAGAGGTTGAGAAAAAAACTGGGATAAATTCCCATATATATTCCATGTTAATAGATTCTTTAACCAAAACATTCATAGAGAAAGGATAAAATCTATAAATAAACTGATTCATAATGTTTTTAAAAAAGAGATTAAGATAAACATCTGCACTAATGCATCAGAAGTAACTAAAGGCTGTGAAGCAAGAACTTGGAAGAAATAAAACTGGAAGGCTGGTGACAAAGACACTGGAATTTTTTGAGTGATAACTACTCAAAACAGTCTTGATTTGTAAGAATATTTTTTTCCCACATGAATTCTCTCCATAGAGCCTTGCTATGGAACTAGATCACTGTAAAGATGATGTCAGTAACCGTCGGCTTCCAGCTTGTTTGATAGGCATATGCATAAAAATAGGTAGAATGGTGACAATGGAGACTGTGAATTGAGTAAACAATAGAGATTGTCCATATCTGGGCCAATCAAGTTACAAGTTCTTCCTAGTGCTCGAGTTGCCAATGGCAGGGAACAACCTGAGCACCTGATATGGTACCATAAACTAGAGTGGACAAGCCAACTCTTTGGTATCAAATTGATTATACTGAATCTTTTCTTCAACAAAAGGTCAGTAATACGTTCTCATGGAAAGAGATACTATGTTTTGATTGGATTTTTTTATCTATCATAATTCCAATTACCTATATAACAAAATCTCCTAAACTGGGCAGTTCATTTCTAAGTCATGTGGTGTCTGCTTGGATGGGCTTGACTGGAGTATCCACTACAAAGTTGGCTTCTTTATTCACATTATCTGTTTCCTTAGTGTTCCTTAGTGTGTCTCTCCCTCTCTCCCTCGCTCTCTCTCTCCCTCTCCCCCTCCCTCCCTTTCAATCTCTTTCTCTCCATGTAAAACAATCTAGAGAATAGATGCCATATGGAGAGAGGCATCTATTCTCTAGATCCTTTCTACATGCTTTGGGCTTTTCACAGTTCAACAGTTTTAGGGTTTTCAATCTTCTTAAAGGTGGTTGATTTCCTAGATAAATTGTTTTAGTGTTCCAAAAGCATACACTCCGTGAATTCTAAGCAAAAGCCATGAGGCTCATTATGAACAAGTCTCAGGCATGCAAGATATAACTTCAGCTGATTCTCCTGGAGAATCAAGTTCCTATGGACAAAAAGTGGAAGGAAAGGATAAACCCGTTCTCTCAATTGCAAAATTGCATCCACATACCAGAAGGGAAGAAATTATTTGTGGCTGTCTTACAGATGAGCTACCATAACCTCTTTTTTCTGCCAACAATAGCATATGTGATTCAACATAACAGTACCCACACAATCCATCAGTGAAAAAATACTATTTTTATTATGTACAAAATATGCAGAAGATAACCTTATTGAAAAGAGAAATGGCTTATTGAAGACACAGCTATGGTTTTAGATGGATTTTTTTTCAAAATTGAGATTATATGCCTCAGTTTTTGTTTTCAAAATTGAGATTAAAGCACTCCCACTATTTATCAATAGTGAGCTTCCTTATATAACTAGAATATATGTATTCATATATCAAGAGACAGAAATTAGAATGGAATCTCTTACTATTGCACCCATTGAGCCTTTCATGAACATTTTGTTTCCTTTTCCTAAAATTCTGCATTCTGCATTTGTGAAGATACAATATTCAAAAGAGAAATGCCCTGTCCAGAGATATACAATAATTCCATTTAAATGGAAATAAAACTACCTCCCAGACTTTTGGTTCCCTTCCATCTCTGAGTGAGAAGAAATCAATGGAGGTTATAGTTTTTGACTGGGGTGATTGATCTTAATCATCTAAAGCAAATAAAGTTGTTTTTATACAACAAAGGGAGGAAAAGAAATATAACATAGGAATCTCCTAATGAAAGTTAACTTTAATTTTATACAAGTTTGACCTCTAAAGGTTTATAATTGCTGAAAAATCAAAACTTCCATATTCAACACAAATTCTCTTTTTGTGATCTCTTAACATTTTTCTCTACATGCTGAAGAATAAAAGGATGGTACCAGAACTAAAACCAGAGATGAGATTAGTATCACCTAGAGATCCTAAACTTCAACCTGAATGCAGCAAGATACATATTTGTATACTGTTTGTTTGTTTGATTGCTTCTCTTTCCTTCCTTCCTCCCTCCCTCTCCTTCCTTCCTTCCTTCCTTCTCTTTGGAAAGGGAGTTAATTCTTATTCAGTTTTGTGAGGAATCGTTGCAAAGAGATTATTCTTTTTTCTTGTAATTGACAAATGTACATTGCATATATTTATGGGGTACAAAGTGATATTAAAATTTACGAATGCAATGTAGAATATATCAAGCTAATTAACATATCCATCACCTCAAATATGTACCATTTTTTAATGGTGAGAACATTTGAAATTTACTGTTTTAGTTATTTTGAAATGTACAACAGACTGTTATTTATGATATTCACCATGCTGTGCAATAGATCTCAAAAAAAAAAAAAAAAATCCAAAGTATTCCTCCTTTCTGAGGCTTTGTGCCCTTTGGCCATCTCTCCATTCCTCTGTCGACCACCACCCCCTCCCTCAGCCTCTGCCTCTAGCAACCACCATTCTACTCTTGCCTTCTAAGAGTTTGATTGTTTTAGATTCCACATATGTGAAGACATGTACTATTTATCTTTCTATTCCTGGCTTATTTGACATAGCATATTGTTCTCCAGTTCCATCCATACTGTTGTAAATGGCAAAACTTCTTGTTCAAAGCTAAATAGTATTTCATTGCGTATATATAGTACATTTTCTTAATCCATTTGTCTGTTGATGGACACTTGATTTCATAACTTGGCTATTGTTGATAGTGCCATGTTTTATTATGAATGCATTTTGTTTGCTTTTATAATTGGAATTGAAATCTAGAAAAAATGGTGGAAATTGGTTTTTGCATCCCATAATATGGAACAGACTGGATATTTCTCTTCATTTTGGTGCAAAACAACTGAATCCTCTTCTTATGTATGGAGACTCTCCCTACTATATGTTTTTGTCAGACATACATGCTCACATGGAGCTTTGAATCTTTCTTAGTGATTAAAATAAGCAGGCAAACCTGCACATATACCCAATGAATCTAAAATAATAGTTAAAATTATAAAAATAAAATAAGCAGGGACAATGAAGGTATTCAACAGTGGCAATGATGGCAGCCATATCACTTTTGAGGGACATCTGTAGCAAAGGTACCAGCATAGGCAATGTATGCTTGGTGATATTTGTAGTGGTGACGAAAGCTGAGGCAACCTGTGTACATTTGCGGCGAGATGGTACTCATAGACTGCTTCTATCATATGATTGTGACAACAGCTCTTATTCTTTAGAATCTCCATTTCCTTCCTCTTTTTCTAAGCCTTGTCTTCCTATTTTACTGGCGACTTTATTAGCTATCCTATTATCAATCAGCATATTAACAATCAGCATAGTCTCCTAATGTTTACATTATTCCGAAACCATTTCTGTTGCATGCAACAGAAAATCCTATCTTGTAAACATACATTCACAAAGACATACATTTTTTAATGTACATTCCATATCTAAGATCAATAAAGTAAATGTACCTTAAGAATTTTTGGTGTATTTAAAACTTTTTTTACATCAGTATGATTGTTGTTTTTCTCACACAAGATATGCAATCAATCCTATGCATATACAATCAGAAAGAATTACATTTGACTGAGGATGATGAAATTATATCAATTTTTAACAAAATATAATAGAACATTTTTCCATTGTGGAAAAATAGATATTCATTGGTATTTTCTGTGAAAGAAATGCAGGTGTTTCATAGAATACCAAACAAATATTGATCTCTAGCAGTGATATGAAGAATGCAAAAACTGGTATTATATCAGTGTTGCTTTACTCTGCAGTATTGGCAGTATATTTAACCATAAAATAATTAGATCACTTTGAGTTGTCATTTTCTTGTTATTCAAGGATAATGATATCTTTTGAACACTTATATGCACAAATTGATAAAGATTTGCCTTCAGATGATATAGTGGCCAAAATGTTTTACAAGTACTTGGTTTAGTATAATCCTTATACTGATAATTTTACCCTTTACAGCTCAGAGGAAGTTTGCTTTATTTTAAGGTTATGTTAACTGGAAATTTTTATTTTTTTTTAATTACTTAAACTAGAAAAAAATCTGTATTATAATACAACTAAAAATAGAATTCAAAGTTGGCAATAAAAATACTTCAACTCAAGTGCATTACTTTTTAAATCTCAAATTTTGTCAGTATGTAAGAACTTTATGTATTTTTGTATCTGTGGTCCAAAATATAGGATAATATTTAGAACTTTGTTGCAATAAAAATTTAGCTCAATTTAGCCATTCCACAATATATATATATAACAAAACAACATGCTGTATGTAAAAAAAATGTAATTTATATTTATATATTAATTAAAATATACAAAATAATACAGTTAAAAATTACTGAAATACTATGTCAAATAAGTTAATTTCATGAATTTAATGTAAAATAACTTACTAAGAAAATGATCCAAAAAGAATGTGCCATTGTTTCAGCATGGATTAGAAAGAAACTTTGTAAAAATAGACGATGCACACTTAGCATAATGACTAAAGTTTTAGTGATGGTAAAACCCTCCACACTGAGGGGTGGATAATTCATTCCTACCAAGTAAAATTTTGTGACTTGTAGTTTTGTTTTTTAATATATGAAACATGTCATAAAAGGGTGTTTGCCTTCATAACAATTTGTAGTCACTGGAAATAGGCATATTTCAATATCTCTATCATTATCTATCTATATCTACTCAGATATTATATATTATACTAAGAATCATGTTAAAATGATGCACATGTGATTGCAAACATTTATTAAGAGCAAAAGCCTTTTAAAAACTATCAGAAAATAAAATGACTGACAGAATCTCAATATCTAACATGACCATAGTTTTTATATATAGATATTATATCCTTAAATATATCTTAATTATTCAGCTACCCTATGTTCTTTGCTGTAGCAGAGCATTGGGATAAGAGTTCAAAATTTTGTCTAGTATTTTTATTTTTCTTTAGTTACTTATAATTTATGGCGACATCAAACTTTCACCAGTGTAGTACTCATTTTATTGACAGAAGATGACATATAGCATTCTTTATTCCTTTGAATGTTTATAAGCTTCAAAGGGACAGAAATATGCTATAATAACTAACATTTATTGGGTAATAACTATGTGCCAGATGCTGAATATTCTACTGATAAGAACCCATTTAATCAATAAAACAGTGCTATTATTGCTCAAGATTATTATTCTGTTTGTTTAAATATTAGGAAAGTAGGACGCAGAGTGTAAATAGCTTATGAAAGATCATAGAGTTAGTGTTTAAGCTAGGATTTACTAGGTAGTCTGACTGTGGAGTTAATATTTGTAGCTGATACCCTTAAATGATGAAGGATGATGGCTTCACTTGGTAGATCAGGAAAACTGAGTTTTCATGATTTTGCCTTAGTTGTTCCTGATAACTTTAAAAAGTAGCCTTAAAAAATTAAAATTATGATGATTTCCAGCAATCTCCATTTTTCTTTTATCTTTGTCCCATTTTCTTCTCCTCTCCACCAGACAAACTATCAGTGTAACCACAAAACAAGGGTCTTACCTAGATAGATCCAGTAGCTCCTCGTAAGCAAAGTCTGCTTATTTAATAGGAGTGGTGTATGTCCCAGCTAGAGGTGTTTTACTCATCTTGGAATAAAAGGTACAAAAGAATTCTTCTTGGACCACCCACCTCCCCCAAAAAAGCTATATATGGTATTGAGTGCTGAAAGTCTCAGAAACCTGAGCAAGAAAGACAGCAGGAATTGAAACACTGAAACTCAGACTTAAAACTGGGACAGGTGTCAGCAATTACATAGTTATCTGCCTTTAATGAACTGAACTGAACGTCAGATACTACAGTTTATCATGAGCCATTTAGCTATGTTTTTCTTAAAAATATTATATTTAGTAATCATTCAAGGGCAAATAAAACATGTTTAATCAAATGAAATAAATTTCTCTGTGTACCTCAACAGTTGACTAAAGGCAAGTCTTTATTGTACTGAGAAACACACAACTAAAGGAGTTAAATCAAAGCTAAAAGATACATAGAGGGAAATATATTCTAAACCTATTGAACCTTAAGAAATAAAAGGAAAATATTATGCAAAATGTGCAAAAGAAAATGAATACATCATTTTCCATGACTTAAATATATTATTATTTTACATATTACAATAAAGAGTATTCCCCTAAGGAAGAAAACAATTTTCCTATCTTGTAGGAATTAAGTGTCTCTTATATTTTTAACCAAGCAAATATTCATATCTAGATGCTCTGAGAATATTATTTTTAGAAACCCATGCTTCATACATAGTAGAAAAATTAGGATGACTATAAAATACATATTATAATGTTGTATACCATAATCACATTATGTACCATAATATTAACTACATATTTGAATTGTTATATCATAGGTAATAGACAAATGTATAAAATAATAGTATAAAATTTAGAGGCTGAATGCTTCCATTAGCATAGTATTCAAATATTTTTGGGCATACTTTTCTCAGGTAAACAGCTTCAAAATAGGTAAACAAAATATATACTTTTTAGTTTCTTAGTTAGACTTTTATTATTTGCTGCTTTGCTAAAAGTTCCAGTTCTTTATGATTTTATAATGTTTTCAGTAATCTCATAATGAGAATTATATTAACTACAGACATACTTATATGCCTTTGCTGAATGCCAGAAATAAGCCTAGATAAATCTAGCCACTGAGGTAAAACTCTCTTTATGCCATTCATCAGAAGCATAGGAAATGTAAGCAATAAATAATTTGCAGTTTATTTAACAATAGGTCTTCACAATGGATTATCTAGGACTTATTAGACAATGTTATTTCTTCATCTAATCTGACTCATTTTGATATGGATTTTGTGTCTGAGAAGAGCTAATGAATATATCTGAGTCTCCATTTAGAGATAAATGTGATGGACAATGAATGTCAGTATTTCAATGTTATGTCTTAGCATCAGTGAATTGAATTGGTTGGTGAATATGTTTTTCATATGCTTTATGTATATATATATGCTCATAAAAATCTCAGATATATGTATATATGTGTGTATGTATGTGTGTATATATACACATATATACATATATGTGTGTGTATATATATATATATAAAATCTCAAAATCTGAAAAGAGGTGTGAAGGTGTGGATAACAGTAAAGTAGCATATACAGAAATTCCCTGTGTATATATATACATATATACATATATACACACATATATACATATATACGTGTATATATATAAAATCTCAAAATCTGAAAAGAGGTGTGAAGGTGTGGATAACAGCAAAGTAGCATATACAGAAATTCCCTCTATATAGTTTCCCCTATTTCATGGTTATTGGACTATTTATTTATCATTATAGGGGATTTTCAACAAGAATCCATTTTGTATTATCTGCTACATTGTCTTTTCAGACTTACATTGAAATATCAATAAAGAAATAACCACAGACAGCCTTAGAAGTTAAATATTAATGAAAATAAAAAATGAAAATTTGAAAACTCACCATGCAATTTTAGAAAATATAAAGTTTACTCAGTGAATATACATTAACTAAAATATAGATTAATTGTTAAGAGTAGGTAAAACACACTTAAATTTTATTAAGTTAAAAACATATTTCACTGATGATGTGGTTAGGCTTTTTGTCCCCATTGAAATCTCATCTTGAGTTTTAATCTGCATAATTCCCCCGTGTCTAGGCAGAAACCTAGTGCGAGGTGATTGGATCATGGAGGCAGTTTCTCCCATGCTGTTCTTGTGATAGTGAGTGAGTTCCCATGAGATCTGATGGTTTTATAAGGGGCTCTCCTTCTTTCGCTCTCACTCTTCTCTCCTGCTGCCTTCTGAAGAAGGACATGTTTGCTCCCCCTTCTTCCATGATTGTAAGTTTCCTGAGGCCTCCCCAGCCATGCAAAACTGTGAGTCAATTAAACCTTTTTTCTTATAAATTACCCAGTCTCAGGTATTTCTTTATAGTAGTGTGAAAACTGACTAGTACAACTGACAACTGTTCAAAAGAATGCAAACAACAAAAAGGAGAGGATGAAAACGAGTAAATATCTGGCCATATGACAGATTAACAAACATGAATTAAAGTAAATAAGTAGACTTTTTTATGAAGAAGAAATCCTACTACACTAACAAATCTAAATAGTGTAGAATAATTTGGTGCTAATTTTTCAATATGAAAATGTCTTTTGCACCTCCATGTTCTGTAATGTGATTGCAAATATGAACAGACTTGAATTATCACTTGGCAGTTTTGTTTAAGGGTATGCGATATTTTGTGACCAATTTGAATTCTCACCTGTGCAGGGAAATGGTGACCTAGTTGTACAGGCGTCCAGTCCCCAAACTGAATCCTGAGTGGTGTTTTACTTGAAAGCAAGCAACATTCATGCTACATAGGATGATTGTTTCTATATTCTTAGAAAAAAATGACATTCAACTATTTCAGAAACTAAAAGTAATCACAGTTGAATAAACAACTAAATTGTCCCTTAGACTTCTTGATAACTTTTGTTTCCCCCTCTATGTCATCTCTTTCTGAAGTATTTAGAAAAGACTCTGGTTAATTAATTTATACAAATGAAAAACAAAGTGTGATTCATCTCTAAAGTTTTTCTATTATAATTGAGGTGAAGTTCTAAGCTTAGGACTCAATGAAAAGAATAGCAAAATGTATTTAATATTATAAGCAACTTTTGAAATCTCAGAAAATATCTCAAAGCAGCTGGGTACACCAAGACCAGAGGAAGAAGCTCCCAAAGATGAGACAAAGGGCCACCAATAGATAAAGTTTGCAGAATATGTGGTTTGTTCAAAATCTAAGATGAGAATGCAGGAAACAGGAAAGAAGGGATTAATTTATTTTACATGTCCAGGGGTGAAGTTTTATTGAAAAAAAAATCTTTGTAAACAGGAGAATAGACAGCGTAAAATAGTCCCAATAATTTCAACCCATTCTTCATTCACACAGTCATTTATTGACCATATTCTAAATAGAACATCTGCTGTGATTTGGGCATTCTGCCATTCCTAGATACACAAATATGAATACATTATAACCAGCCCCTGCCCTCGTAGTGGTGATGGCATACCTTACTGTGGAAGACAAATAATAATGCTACCTCTAGTGTGCATAACTTATATTTGAATCTTTTTATAACACTTGTTTTCACAGAATGTTCATTAAATCTAATATCTACTGTTATTATTTAGAGCAACCCACCATAAGTCTCCTATGAAAAGAAAGTCTAAACACCTAATCTCATTTTAAAGGTATTTTCTGTTCTCATTTGTAAGGAATGTATTAGTCAAATATAAAAATCTTTCCGTCACTAGTAACATTTCACTCTTTTCTGACCTATACTTTAGATGTTAAGTAGCTTCTAATTTTTCTCCAGCAGTTACATCTAAACCTACAAAGGATGTTTTTTTGAGTGCAAAGTGTGGGCATTTTAAGTTATCGCACTTCTTAGGAAGTTGTTGTTGGCATTTAGTTGGATGGAAGCTGATAAAGCCAGGTGATAATGCAATATAAGACAGTCAAAACAGTAAAGGATTTTTTCTCTTCTTCAGGAGGAAAAGAAAAATTAAATAAAAATATGCATATAGCAAAGAATTGTCATATCCAGAAGGCTACTAGTGCCTCTGTAGAAAATCACATGCAAGTTCTCCCTTCTCAATGAGTTCCCCTTTGCTCTCCCTTGGAAAGTAATTCTTGGAGATGCCCCACTTTCCAGAGAGATTTCCTCCTCTTTCACCCGTCAACACATCAACAAATCCATACGCTTTATAACAATTATGTTAGATATAATACATCTTAGGAGAAATGTTTAAAATAATTAAATTATTCTCACTCATTTCCAATTATTCTCACTCATAGGCATAATTCTCAAATCCTACCATATACGTAAATCATCTATGGGTATAATTTTCCTTGTCTGCTAATATTTTAGCAAAATACATTTTAATATCTTAGTTGAATTGAGCATATATTTTCAGCATTGATGTCTCATAAAAAGCATTAAGATAGGTTGTGAAGACCCAAAGTTTATCCCCAAGGACTCATTAAGAACTTATTAACAAAACCACAGTAAGATACCATTTCACTCTTACTAGGATAGTTATAATAAATAAAACAGCAAATGACACGTGATGGCAAGAATATGGAGAAATTGGAACCCTGGAGAGTTGCTAGTGGGAATGTAAAATGGTGTTTCTCCTGTGGGAAACAGTTTGGCTGTTCCTCCTAACACTAAATATAAAATTGAAATATGACCCAGCAATTCTAGGTACATAACCCGAAGACCTCAAAACAGGAACTTGAACAGATACATGTATGCCTATCTTCATTGCAGCATTTTTCATAATACTCAAAAGGTAAAAACGACTTTAGTATTAATCAATAGATGAATGAATAAACAAAATATGGTACATACATACAATGGAATATTATTGTATTTGGCTAGGAGTGAAGTTTACATACATGCAATAACAAGAGTGAACCTTGAAGACATATGATAAACAAAATAAGCCAGACACAAAAGGAAAAATTATGTATGATTTCACCTACATGAAATTTCTACAATAGATAAATTTATAGAGATAAAAAATGTAGATTAGAATTGACCAGGGGCTAGCGGGAGAGAAAGGAGAATGGGGAATTATTTCTTAACAGTTATAGAATTCCTGTTTAGGGTGATGAAAAAGTTGGAAATAGATAGTGGTGATGGTTGCATAACATTGTGAATATAATTAACGCCATGGAATTGCATGCTAAAAAATGGTTAAAATGGAAAAATTTATGTTATATATGTCTTACCACATCTTTTAAAAAAAGTAATTGACAGATTCAATAATTTACCATATGTTGTGACAAATATATCATTTATTTATAAATCATTTAAAGTGTTTGAAAATGAGTTGAAACATGCTTCTTATCTTCTTGTGTGACTTTGCATAAGTTGCTTACCATCTCTATCTACTAAAAAGTGTTTAAAAAGAATTATGTAAAATTACCTAAGAAAATGTTTAGGGAATAATTGTTTGGTAAATTATACTTATTGTGTTTAAGATTATCTGAATATTAAAACAAAAATGTCTCAGATGATTTTCCACCTGCCCTACTAATAATAGTAATTGAATTGTGAAGATGAATATAGCCTGGGTTTTCCTGGCATCTCTATCACACCACACTACTGTCAAACAAAATTTTAGGTGATGAGAAATACTAGATGGGACATTCTATTATAGAATGCTATCTGATATTTTTCAAAATACATTGACAGGTAGGTTTCTAACTTCCTGGCTGGGAAGGTCAGACTTACATCATACAATTCTTAAAGCAAGGACAAGTAAAATTTCCAGAGTGTGTTGCAATTTAAATTTAACAGATTTAAGGATAATAACCATGGAATACTGCCATTACTACTGATAATAATATTATAAATAGTAAGAACAGAGAAAAACAGACATAGGCAGAAAGAGAGACGGAGAAACATAGGCAGACAAAGAGGCTGAGTGAAGGGCACATGGGAACTACTGCCAATCATTCCTAGTAGAATGGCACAGGTCCAAGCTTGCTGTTTGGGACTCTGCAGAAAAGGGCTATGGAATAAGAGAGACAACATGACAAAACACACTTTCTCACATTTAAAGACTGGAGAAGAATGACAACTGTTGAAGTGACCCATTGCTTTTGGTCTTCCTTTAGTTTTATATTAAATATTCTTAGAGTCTCAAATTAGGTAAATGAATGTAAACCATATATAAAATCCCAAGAAAAACTAGGAGTAAAAATGCAGATAACCAGCTTCTAACAGCTTATGAATGTTGTCCTTCTACATTAGAAAATTCAGTGGGAACCAAGATCTTTATAATAATATCAGTTGGGATAAATTTAGAAATCTTTTCATATGCACATTGATAAACGTAAAAGTTAAGAAACTAATTATGATGTGCACTAGGCTAAGTGTATTAATTGAAAAGATCCTCTTATATAGATGCTATTTTATCTACATATTACAGTCATGGAAAAATAAAATTATATTGAAAAGCATAAAATATATTGCAAAGTTGCCTTTGGTCTCTAAGAATAGCAAAATATTTCACTTGATGGCTAAATATATAGATCAAAGAAGCACTTTATTATATTTACTTTTGACACACTTTTTTTCATGGGATTCTGAAGTTCCTGCAGACGTGTGTTTCCTTGAGCTTTTAGAAATTCATGAAATCACCCTTGCCATTGAGGTAAGTCAGCAACAGAGAGTGACTATCTTCAAGAAAGCTCATTTTTACAATACCATCTTTAAACAGGCCCTTACCTTTTATCTTCCCATTAACTCCCCTGTTAACTCCACACTTAACTTTATGTATAACCAGCTTGCAAAATAACACTGAAGGTTAGCAATGTACTTCGTAAGTATCTTCATGAACACTTAGAATAAGTTTAGGGCCAGGTAAGGTGGTTCAGGCCTGTAATTCCAGAACTTTGGGAAGCCTAGGCAGGAGTTCAAGGCCAGACTTGGCAAGATGATGAGATACCCCCATCTCTACAGAAAAATTAAAAATTAGCCAGGCATGATGGTGTAGATCTATAGTCCCAGATACTTGGGAGGCTGAAGTCAGAGGATAACTTGAGCCCAAGGGTTTGAGGCTACAGAAAGCTATGATAGTGCCACTGCACTCCAACCTGGGAGATAGAGACCCTATCTCTAAAAAAATATAGTAATAAGTCCAGTTAAAATTTACCATAAAAGGCACTTGTATCTCACATTTATTGTATTGAGAGCCCTACAATTACAGCACATATCAAACATAAGTTAATTACATAACAGAACAAAACTACCTAGAATATTACCTGTAAATTATGATATAAAGTCATCCTTTCATTTTATGAATAAAAACATAGTTATGAAAAATGTTGCATATATTTATATTATTAACTGTCCACTGGAAATTTCCATTAAGAAATAAAACCAACTGCACAAATACAGTTTGCTTTCTGCCTACTTTAACATTACTATTTCACTGTGCTTATTGATACAACTTCATTATTTCTGAAAGCATTAGCACAAAAGATTAACATTTTAAATGACTTTGTTTTTCCAAAAACTTCTGGGAAGAATTAAAAAAACACATTTAAATGTATATGAAACCTTCAACTTCTTTACAAATAACATCAAAGGACTGTTTTCTTACCGAGAGTTTTTCAACCCCTTGATCAAAACAAAAAAGGGAAAAAAATATCCTACCAAAGATGTGCATTTGTATTTGTTTGAGAATACATCCAGAAGAAATTCAGGCTTAAAAGTTACTGTCTTAAGCTATTCCTTTGCCAACCCAAAGGGAAACTAAACAAAACAAAACAAGACAAACAAAATATCTCTGTTTTAAATCGTCTGTATAAGAATTAGCAGCTACATTTCTTTATTTTATTAAACTTTTTCCCCATTCTTTGCTTGTACATTTCCCTCTGCCCCAATCCTCCCTCTGAACTGGTCTCCTTCCCTTTTGACCTAGCAAAAACCCCAAAACACTCAATTGTTCAGTAAAGTTAAAACATGATTAGAACAAGGAAGAACCATTTTAAGACTTGGTCTTGTTCTGAACTGGAAGCCATAAACAAATATTTTTAAAAATCTACAAAAGATAGAAATTATTCAGAGAAATATAAATTAGTTGTAAGAATATATAACCCAATACTCTTGGATATATATCTGTTAATTCATATGTTAATAGAAATCTCAGTTGCAAAAATTGAATGGAAAATATAGAAGATTCTAGAAGTGGCTTTAAAAGGCTACAAACTGAATAGAACATCAGAAGTAGTTAAGAAAAAACTGATAATGTTAGATATGTTATTTCAGATGTTATCTCCAAAGTCTTTCCCATGAGGCAGTTTTGCCATGATTAAGTCCTAGAAGCAATAAAAGGTTAAATATGCTGAAGACTTTAGGGGAAGGTCTTTACCATTTTTGAATAAACACTGCTCAGGAGTAAATCCTAAAATATGTATGATCTGGTGCTTTCCTCAAGTTTTGCTAATGGTTTTAAGTAAGAAATAGAAAATTAAATATGGAAGAAAAACTGAAATCAGAAGTCATCTCATTACCAATCTTCCAATACCTTTCTGAACTTTTTGAGAGTCCTAGAACCAAAACAGGATAGCATTCAGATAGACTGATAGCTTTACAGATAAAAACAAAACAAAAATAAAATAAAATTTTTCACCCTAGTCAATAAACATTTTCTCTAGATACTGTAAATGGGATATTGATTTTTAAAATAGTGTAAAGTACTGCCAAAGAATATAAGAGGAATTTGTGACCAATGAGGATGGTAATAAGGAAATTAAACACCATGCTTTCCTGTTCTCTTAAACTTAAAAAGACAATCTTCTCAAAATATTTAAGGACAACATTAAAAAATTAACTTCCAGAATGGCTGAATGAGAACCTCGGTGAACTTGCAATTTTTCTACAACAACAAAAATGTGGGAAAGGCAATTAAATTAATCATATCACAATTCTGGCAATTAATCAAAGCTATAGAATGAGCTGAAAATTATGTGTGCAATAAAAATTACTAAATCTCTGTAAGAGAGTAGGTTCTATAAAATTTCTCTTCAGGCTTTCCCCAGATATTCTCCCTCCCCAGCTCAATGATGTCATAGCCAAAAGACAGTAGCATTGCAGAAAACAAATAGAATTTTTTTTTTAGAACTTCGTTAAAGGCACTATACCCAGAATACTGTCAATCTTTTGTCTGAACTTAGAACCCTCAGGAAAATCTCTACCTTGAGAATATGGTAGCTATTTGATTTGACTCAGAGCTCAGCACAGTGGGTAGTAGGAAGGTGGGGCAGAGGTAATTATGGTCTCTGGGTATTACCTGAAATCATAGCAAATTTACCTGCATAAGGCTGTGATTTCATTTGAGGAAAACAAGAATCTGTGCAGAAATTTAAAAGGAAATCCTGATGACAATAGGGAACCCTGAAAATCTCTGACATATTTCTGGGGATCCCAGGTTAAGTTTTTTTTTTTTTTTTTTCCAGACAGAGTCTCGCTCTGTTGCCCAGGCTGGAGTGCAGTGGCCCGATCTTGGCTCACCGCAAGCTCCGCCTCCCAGGTTCACGCCATTCTCCTGCCTCAGCCTCCTGAATAGCTGGGACTACAGGCGCCCGCCACTACGCCCGGCTAATTTTTTGTATTTTTAGTAGAGATGGGGTATCACCATGTTAACCAGGATGGCCTCGATCTCCTGACCTCTTGAATCCACCTGCCTCAGCCTCCCAAAGTTCTGGGATTACAGGCGTGAGCCACCATGCCTGGCCGTTAAGTTGTATTCTCACCCATATAAGACCTGGGAAAGGAAAAGGCACCACTCACTCACCTCTAGTTGGCTTGAAAGTGTTGCGAAAACTGCAAGTAAAAGCTAAGACTATTTTGTAAACTGCCTGAAGTTTGAAGAGGTATCTTTGCACATAGATCTCCACTGCAGAGAGTAAGACACATAGTCATTTAAGAAAGATTTGATCAATCATTGGCTGATCATTGATCAAGCCAGCCTTAACATTTCCTTCATCTTAGCCACACTAAGATAGACTTCTTTTTAAACAGCTTCTTGTCAGTATTATAACCAGGACTGTTTTGCAATGACCTGGAAGCTACCTCTTTGAAAGTAGTCATCAAGAAAGATAGCACTATTTATCAGTTTCTGTGGGACAGAGGAAGCCTAACTTCAATAGATACCTTGATCCAAGCTGTAAAACTACCCACTCCCATAAAGATATGAGAAAGTTTGCTTTACCTTTGTGTAATACCAATTATCAAATACAGCCTATGATCCACCTCATCCCCAGCTCTTAAAACTCCTCCTGCCTCTTATTTTATCAGAGTTGAGTTTAGACTACATTCTGGTCTCTCACTCCTATTATGGTAGCCTTGAATAAAGTATTTCTTACATGTTTTACTTTTTCCGAGACAAAAGAAACAAACAGAAAGTCCTGCTGGGGAGGTAATATTTTGGACTCAATAAAAAAAGACTTTAAATCAGCTGTTATGGATATGTCAAAGAACTAAAAACTATATCTATGGAATGTATAATTACAATATCTTACAAATAGAAAAACATTTTAAAATTTAAAAACAAATCATTTAAGATAAGTCAAATAGAAATTATAAAGAAGAAAAGTAAAATAACGGAAATGAAAACAAAATGAATGAGGTTTAACAATAGATTTTTAATAGTCGAGGAAAGAACCTGGAAACTGAAAATAGTCAGTAGAGAATATCCAGTCTGAGAAGTAGAAAGAAAAACAGCAAAGTAAAATGAACACAGACTCAACAAATAGAACAAAGGAACAGAAGAGAGAACCCAGAAATAAATCCACACATCTACAGTTAACTTATTTTCAAAAAAGTTACCAAGAGCATACATTGGGGAAAGGACAGTCTCTTTAACAAATGGTTCCAAGAAAACTGGATATCCATACGTAGAAAACTAAAACTAGACCCCATCTCTCACATATATATAAATCAAATCAAAATAGATTCAAGACTGAAACTTAAGACCTCAAACTATGAAACTGCTAAAAGAAAACACTGCAGAAACTCTCCAGGACATTAGTCTGGGCAAAGACTTCTTGAGTAATGCCTCAAAAGCATAGGCAATGTCAGGCCTCTGAGCCCAAGCCAAGCCATCGCATCCCCTGTGACTTGCACGTGTACGCCCAGATGGCCTGAAATAACTGAAGAATCACAAAAGAAGTGAATATGCCCTGCCCCACCTTAACTGATGACATTCCACAACAAAAGAAGTGTAAATGGCTGGTCCTTGCCTTAACTGATGACATTACCTTGTGAAAGTCCTTTTCCTGGCTCATCCTGGCTCAAAAAGCACCCCCACTGAACACCTTGTGACCCCCATTCCTGCCCGCCAGAGAACAAACCCTCTTTGACTGTAATTTTCCTTTACCTACCCAAATCTTATAAAACGGCCCCACCCTTATCTCCCTTCACTGACTCTCTTTTCGGACTCAGCCCGCCTGCAACCAGGTGAAATAAACAGCCATGCTGCTCACACAAAGCCTGTTTGGTGCTCTCTTCACACAGATGCGCATGAAATTTGGTGCCGTGACTCAGATCAGGGGACCTCCCTTGGGAGATCAATCCCCTGTACTCCTGTTCTTTGCTCCGTGAGAAAGATCCACCTATGACCTCAGGTCCTCAGACCTACCAGCCCAAGGAACATCTCACCAATTTTAAATCAGGTAAGCGGCCTCTTCTTACTCTCTTCTCCAACCTCTCTCACTGTCCCTCAACCACTTTCTCCTTTCCAATCTTCAATCTCTCCCTTCTCTTAATTTCAATTCCTTTCATTTTCTAGGAGAGACAAAGGAGATGCATTTTATTCGTGGACCCAAAACTCCGGTGCCAGTCACGGACTGGGAAGGCAGCCTTCTCTTGGTGTTTAATCATTGCAGGGACACCTCTCTGATTATACACCCACATTTCAAGGGTGTCAGACCACGCAGGGACACCTGCCTTGGTCCTTCACCCTTAGCGGCAAGTCCCGCTTTTCTGAGGAAGGGACAAGTACCCCAACCCCTTCTCTCCTTGTCTCTACCCCTTCTCTGCTTTTCTGGGAGAGGGGCAAGTACCCCTCAACCCTTTCTCCTTCACCCTTAGCGGCAAGTCCCGCTTTTCTACGGGGCAAGAACCCCCAATCCCTTATTTCTGCGCCACAACCTCTTATCTCTGTGCCCCAATCCCTTATTTCCATACCCCGACCTCTTATCTCTGCGCCCCAATCCCTTATTTCCATACGCCGACCTCTTATCTCTGTGCCCCAATCCCTTATTTCTGCGCCCCAACCTCTTATATCTCTGTGCCCCAATCCCTTATTTCTGTGCCCTGACCTCTTATCTCTGTGCCCCAACCCCTTTTCCCACTTTTCTGGGAGGTAAGAACCCCCGAACCCCTTCCCTCCATTTCTCTACTCTCTCTCTTCTCTAGGCTTGCTTCCTTCACTATAGGCAACTTTCCACCCTCCATTCCTCCTTCTACTCCCTTGGCCTGTGTTCTCAAAAACTTAAAACCTCTTCAACTCACACCTGACCTAAAACCTAAATGCCTTATTTTCTTCTGCAATGCTGCTTGTCCCCAATACCAACTCGACAGTAGTTCCAAATAGCCAGAAAATGGCACTTTGAATTTTTCCATCCTGCAAAATCTAAATAATTCTTGTCGTAAAATAGGCAAACGGTCTGAGGTGCCTGACGTCTAGGCATTCTTTTACACATCAGTCCCTTCCTAGTCTCTGTGCCCAGTGCAACTCGTCCCAAATCTTCCTTCTTTCCCTCCCACCTGTCCCCTCAGTACCAACCCCAAGCGTCGCTGAGTCTTTCTAATCTTCCTTTTCTGCAGACCCATCTGACCTCTCCCTTCCTCCCCAGGCTGCTCCTCGCCAGGCCGAGCTAGGTCCCAATTCTTCCTCAGCCTCTGCTCCTCCACCCTATAATCTTTTTATCACCTCCCCTCCTCACACCTGGTCCGGCTTACAGTTTCGTTCCGTGACTAGCCCTCCCCCACCTGCCCAGCAATTTACTCTTAAAAAGGTGGCTGGAGCCAAAGGCATAGTCAAGGTTAATGCTCCTTTTTCTTTATCCCAAATCAGATAGCGTTTAGGCTCTTTTTCATCAAATATAAAAATCCAGCCCAGTTCATGACTTGTTTGGCAGCAACCCTGAGACGCTTTACAGCCCTAGACCCTAAAAGGTCAAAAGGCCATCTTATTCTCAAAATACATTTTATTACCCAATCTGCTCCCGACATTAAGTAAAACTCCAAAAATTGGAATCTGGCCCTCAAACCCCAAAACAGGACTTAATTAACCTCACCTTCAAGGTGTACAATAACAGAAAAAAGTTGCAATTCCTTGCATCCACTGTGAGACAAACCCCAGCCACATCTCCAGCACACAAGAACTTCCAAACACCTGAACCGCAGCAGCCAGGCATTCCTGCAGAACCTCCTCCCCCAGGAGCTTGCTACAAGTGCCAGAAATCTGGCCACTGGGCCAAGGAATGCCTGCAGCCCAGGATTCCTCCTAAGCTGCGTCCCATCTGTGTGGGACCCCACTGAAAATCGGACTGTTCAACTCACCTGGCAGCCACTCCCAGAGCCCCTGGAACTCTGGCCCAAGCCTCTCTGACTGACTCCTTCCCAGATCTTCTCGGCTTAGCGGCTGAAGACTGACACTGCCGGATCACCTCGGAAGCCCCCTAGACCATCACGGATGCGGAGCTTCAGGTAACTCTCACAGTGGAAGGTAAGCCCGTCCCCTTCTTAATCAATACGGAGGCTACCCACTCCACATTACCTTCTTTTCAAGGGCCTGTTTCCCTTGCCTCCATAACTGTTGTGGGTATTGATGGCCAAGCTTCTAAACCTCTTAAAACTCCCCAACTCTGGTGCCAACTTAGACAATACTCTTTTAAGCACTCCTTTTTAGTTATCCCCACCTGCCCAGTTCCCTTATTAGGCTGAGACACTTTAACTAAATTATCTGTTTCCCTGACTATTCCTGGACTACAGCTATATCTCATTGCCACCCTTCTTCCCAATCCAAAGCCTCCTTTGCGTCCTCCTCTTGTATCCCCCAACCTTAACCCACAAGTATAAGATACCTCTACTCCCTCCTTGGCGACCGATCATGCACCCCTTACCATCTCATTAAAACTTAATCACCCTTACCCCACTCAATGCCAATATCTCATCCCACAGCACGCTTTAAAAAGATTAAAAGCCTGTTATCACTCGCCTGCTACTGCATGGCCTTTTAAAGCCTATAAACTCTCCTTACAATTCCCCCATTTTACCTGTCCTAAAACCAGACAAGCCTTACAAGTTAGTTCAGGATCTGCGCCTTATCAACCAAATTGTTTTGCCTATCCACCCTGTGGTGCCAAACCCATATACTGTCCTCAATACGTGCCTCTACAACCCATTATTCTGTTCTAAATCTCAAACATGCTTTTTTCACTATTCCTTTGCACCCTTAATCCCAGCCTCTCTTCGCTTTCACTTGGACTGACCCTGACACCCATCAAGCTCAGCAAATTACCTAGGCTGTACTGCCGCAAAGCTTCACAGACAGCCCCCATTACTTCAATCAAGCCCAAATTTCTTCCTCATCTGTTACCTATCTCGGCATAATTCCCATAAAAACACACGTGCTCTCCCTGCCAATCATGTCTGACTGATCTCTCAAACCCCAGCACCTCCTACAAAACAACAACTCCTTTCCTTCCTAGGCGTGGTTAGTGCGGTCAGAATTCTTACACAAGAGCCAGGACAACACCCTGTAGCCTTTCTGTCCAAACAACTTGACCTTACTGTTTTAGCCTAGCCCTCATGTCTGCGTGCAGCAGCTGCCGCTGCTTTAATACTTTTAGAGGCCCTCAAAATCACAAACTATGCTCAACTCACTCTACAGTTCTCATAACTTCCAAAATCTATTTTCTTCCTCATACCTGATGCATGTACTTTCTGCTTCCCGGCTCCTTCAGCTATACTCACTCTTTGTTGAGTCTCCCACAATTACCGTTGTTCCTGGCCTGGACTTCAATCCTGCCTCCCACATTATTCCAGATACCACACCTGACCCCCATGACTGTATCTCTCTGATCCACCTGACATTCACCCCATTTCCCCAAATTTCCTTCTTTCCTGTTCCTCACCCTGATCACGCTTGATTTATTGATGGCGGTTCCACCAGGCCTAATCGCCACACACCAGCAAAGGCAGGTTATGCTATAGTACAAGCCACTAGCCTGCCTCTTAGCACCTCTCATTTCCTTTCCATCGTGGAAATCTATCCTCAGGGAAATAACTTCTCAGTGTTCCATCTGCTATTCTACTACTCCTCAGGGATTATTCAGGCCCCCTCCCTTCCCTACACATCAAGCTCCAGGATTTGCCCCCACCCAGGCCTGGCAAATTAGCTTTACTCAACATGCCCGAGTCAGGAAACTAAAATACCTGTTAGTCTAAATAGACACTTTCACTGAATAAGTAAAGGCCTTTCCTACAGGGTCTGAGAAGGCCACCACAGTCATTTCTTCACTTCTGTCAGACATAATTCCTCAGTTTACCCCTCCCACCTCAATACAGTCTGATAACAGACGAGCCTTTATTAGTCAAATCAGCCAAGCAGTTTTTCAGGCTCTTAGTATTCAGTGAAATCTTTATATCCCTTATGGTCCTCCGTCTTCAAGAAAAGTAGAATGGACTAAAGGTCTTTTAAAAACACACCTCACCAAGCTCAGCCACCAACTTAAAAAGGACCAATACTTTTACCACTTTCCCTTCCCAGAATTCAGGCCTGTCCTCGGAATGCTACAGGGTACAGTCCATTTAAGCTCCTGTATAGACGCTCCTTTTTATTAGGCCCCAGTCTCATTCCAGACACCAGACCAACTTGGACTGTACCCCCCCGCCAAAAAAAAACTTGTCATCCCTACTATTTTCTGTCTAGTCATACTCCTATTCACCGTTCTCAACTACTCATACATGCCTTGCTCTTGTTTACACTGCCGGTTTACACTGTTTTTCCAAGCCATCACAGCTGATATCTCCTGGTGCTATCCCCAAACTGCCACTCTTAACTCTTGAAGTAAATAAATAATCTTTGCTGGCAGGACTATGCCGAATCTCCTTAAGCACTCTCTAATCAGATATCCTGAGTCGTACCAATTCTTAGACCTTTTATACCTGTTTTTCTCCTTCTGTTATTCCATTTAGTTTTTCAATTCATACAAAACCGTACCAGGCCATCACGAATCATTCTATATGACAAATGTTTCTTCTAACATCCCCACAATATCACGCCTTACCACAAGACCTCCCTTCAGCTTAATCTCTCCCACTCTAGGTTCCCACACTGCCCCTAATCCCGCTTGAAGCAGCCCTGAGAAACATCGCCCATTCTCTCTCCATACCACCCCCAAAAATTTTCGCCACCCCAACACTTCAACACTATTTTGTTTTATTTTTCTTATTAATATAAGAAGGCAGGAATGTCAGGCCTCTGAGCCCAAGCCAAGCCATCTCATCCCCTGTGACTTGCCCAGATGGCCTGAAGTAACTGAAGAATCACAAAAGAAGTGAATATGCCCTGCCCCACCTTAACTGATGACATTCCACCACAAAAGAAGTGTAAATGGCCGGTCCTTGCCTTAACTGATGACATTACCTCGTGAAAGTCCTTTTCCTGGCTCATCCTGGCTCAGAAAGCACCCCCACTGAGCACCTTGTGACCCCCACTCCTGCCCGCCAGAGAACAAACCCCCTTTGACTGTAATTTTCCTTTACCTACCCAAATCCTATAAAACGGCCCCACCCTTATCTCCCTTCGCTGACTCTTTTTGGACTCAGCCCACCTGCACCCAGGTGAAATAAACAGCCATGTTGCTCACACAAAGCCTGTTTGGGGGGTCTCTTCACACAGACGCGCATGAAAGGCAACAAAAGAAAAATGGATAAATTGGATCATATCAAGATAAAAAGCATCTGCACAGCAAAGGAAACAATCAACAAAGTGAAGACACAAACCACAGAATGGGGGGAAATATTTTCATACCATCTATCTGACAAAAGATTCATAATCAGCATATATAAGAAGCTCAAAAACTAATAAGAAAAAATTAAATAACTCGAATTAAAAATGGGTAAAAAATCTCAATAGATATTTCTCAAAAGAAGCCATACAAATGGCCAACATGTATACAAAAAAAATTTTTCAACATTATTAATCATCAGATAAATACAAATTAAACGACAATGAGGTATCATCAGAACTCGTTAAAATGGCTTTTATCCAAAATACGTGCTATAATGAATGCTGGCAAGGGTGTGGAGAGAGGGGAGTCTTCATACACTGTTAGTGAGAATGTAAATTGGGAGAGACATTGTGTAGAACAGTATGGAAGTTTCCAAAACAATGCAAATACAACTACTATTCAACCCAGCAATCCTACTGCTAGGTATACATCCAAAAGAAAGGAAATCAGTATATCGAAGAGATAGTTGTGCTCTTATGTTTATTGCAGGATTGTTCACAAAATCCAAGATTTGGAATCAGCCTAAGTGTCCATAAACAGATGAAAGGATAAAGAAAAGGTGTTATAGACAACGGAATATGATTCAGTCATGAAAAATAAAATCCTGTGACTTACAACAGCATTAGGGAACTGGATGACATTTTATTAAGTGAAATAAGCCAGACAAATTTGCATGTTCTCTCATTCATATGCAGAACTGAAAATTAAAACAATTTATTTCATGGACATAGACATAGAGAGTAGAATGATAGCAGAGGCTGAAAGAGGTAGGGGTGTGGTGGGGGTCGGGGAGGGAGTGGTGATGGATAATGGGTGTAAAAATATGGTAAGGTAGAATGAATAAGATTTAGTATTTGATAGCAAAACAGGGTGACCTTAGTCAACAATATTATACTGTATATTTTTAAATGACTAAAAGAGTGGAAATAGAATGTTCCTAACACAAAGAAATAATAAATGCTTGAGTTGATGGATACCTCAATTACCCTGATAAAATTATTACACATTATATGCTTATATCAAAACATCACATGCCACCCCATTAATATATACATCTATTACGTACCAATTATAATTAGAAAAATTTGAAAATTAAAATGCAAAAAAAAGTAATTGCTGAACTTAAAAAAATGTATCAACAAATACATACTGGAATTCTCAGAAGGAGAAAAGAAAGGGGGACATAAAACATATTTGAAAAAAATTGATGAAAATTTTCTAAATATGACGACAAATATTAATGTACACATAAAACAAACTCATCAACGTCATAGTAAACTAAACTGAGGCCAGGTACAATAGTTCATGCCTGTAATTGAGACAGCCAAGGCAGGAGGATTGCTTCAGTCCAGGAATTCAAGACAAGCCTGGGCAACACAATGAGATCCTATCTCTAGTGAAAAAAGCAAACCAAAAACAAACAAACAAAAACTGACAGAGTGTTTCACATAGTGTCATAATACTCGCAGTAACAATAAAGACAAAGGAAAGTCTTGCAAGCTGTAAAAAGAATGATTTTTCATGAATAAGATCCCCAGTCAAAAATTCTAAATTCAGCTGAACTCTCCTTCAAAAATAAAAGGTAAATTGAAATATTTCCAGATAAACAAAACATGGGATAAATATTTGCTGGTAGATCTGTCCTACAAAAAATACTGAAAAGAATTCTTTAGGTTACAGGAAAAGTCACTATACAGTAAGTCAAATCCACACGGAGAAATAAAGATCTCCAGTAAAGGTAACTATAAAGAATTTACAAAAGAAAATATAGACATATTTATAGTTTTAATAATGTCCTTTTCTTTCTATTTTAAAAGACAACTACATAAACTTCATAAAACTGCACTGATAGTCTTAAAATTTATACATATACAACTTTTCACTCGCGTCCGTGTGAAGAGACTACCAAACAGGCTTTGTGTGAGCAATAAAGCATTTAATCACCTGGGTGCAGGCAGGCTGAGTCCGAAAAGAGAGTCAGCGAAGGGAGATGGGGTGGGGCCATTTTATAAGATTTGGGTAGGTAAAGGAAAATTACAGTCAAAGGGGGTTTGTTCTCTGGTGGGCAGGAGTGGGGGTTGCAAGGTGCTCAGTGGGGGTGCTTTCTGAGCCAGGATGAGCCAGGAAAAGGACTTTCCCAAGGTAATGTCATCACTTAAGGCAAGGACCGGCCATTTTCACTTCTTTTGTGGTGGAATGTCATCAGTTAAGGCGGGGCAGGGAATTTTCACTTCTTTTGTGATTCTTCAGTTACTTCAGGCCATCTAGGCATATAGGTGCAAGTCACAGGGGATGCGATGGCTTGGCTTGGGCTCAGAGGCCTGACACAACTTATATGGCAATAAAGAAAAAAAAGAGGGAGAGAATGATAAAATATTTAAACAAAGTTCTTCTATATTATTGAAATTATGTTAGTGTCATTCCAAAATGGATTGTTTTAAGATGCTAATTTTAATTTTCAAGGCAACCACTAAGAAAATAATTCAAAAAGATAAAGGAAAGAAAAGCAAAATAAAAGGGTGCACTTGAAAATATCTATTTAACACACACACAGAAAGAAGGGATCGAGAAATAAAGGAACAAAGATGACAGAAGACATATCGAAATCATTAACAGAAAAACAGACATAAAACCTACCTTTTCAGTAATTAAATTAAATGGAAATTGGCCACTAAAATGAAAATATAGAGCTTATCAGAAATAGAATGAATAAAATAATGAAAGAATGTATAAGTATGGAAAGAGTATTTAAAAGAGAACTGGGACAACTATACTAAAATCAGATAAACTAGACTGTAAATGTTAAAGTTCCCTTAAGTAACTAAAAGTGTTATATAAGTAGTTACAGAAAGTGCTACTAGACACAAAAAAGGATATTTTATAGTAATGATAATAAGGTCAATTGATCAAGAATATATAACAATAAATTATGCAAGCCTCTAACACAAAGACTCAAAATACATAAAGTAAAACCAGACAGAATTAAAGGAATAAATAAATAATTCAAAAGTAATAGTTGGAGACTTAAATGCCTACTTTAAATAAGAGAACAACCAGACAGAAGATCAAAAAGGAAATGGAAGACTTGAACACTATAAACCAACTAAACCTAACAAACATCTTCAGAACACCCCACCCAGCAGCAGCAGAATATATATTCTTCTCATGTATTTATGAAACATTCTCCAAAATAGACCACATAATATACCATAAAACAAGCCTCAATGAACTAAAACACATTAAAATCATATGTATTATGTGCTCTGACCACAATAAAATTAAGTAAAACATCAAATGATAGGTAAACTTAGGTAATTCACAATACAGTCATGTATCACTTAATGATAGGAATATGCACTGAAAAATGGCTCATTAGGTGATTTTGTAGTTATGCAAACATCATAGGGTGTACTCAGAGAAACCTAATTAATACAGGCTACTATACAACTAGGCTATATGGTATAGCCTGTTGCTCCTAGGCTGCAAACCTATATAGCATGATACTGCACTAAATACTGTAGCAATTATAACATAATGCTATTCATGGACTAAATATCTAAACATTGTAACACAATGGCATTCATGTACTAAATATCTAAACACAGAAAGATAAGTATATTATATGCTACAACAGTATGACAACAACAACATCCCTAGGGAACAGAATTTTTTCAACTTCATTTTAATCTTACGGGACAACAGTAATATATGAAGTCCTGTGTCAACCAAAACATTCTTATGTAACAAGTGACTGTATGTAAAAATTAAAAATACCCTCCCAAATTGCCAATGAGTCAAAGAATAAGTCATAAGGGAAATTTAAAAATACTTTGACATTAAAAAAATAAAACCACAACATACGAAACCTTATGCAAAAAAAAGTCATGCTTTATAAATATAAACTCCTATGTTAAAAAATAAGGACAAAGAATTAATAATTATGCTTACACCACAAAAACTAGAAAAAGAAGAGAAATTTAAACCTAAAACCATCAAAAGGAAATAAAAAAGTTTAAAATTGATATTATTAAAATTGAGAATGGTTAAAAATCTTGAGAAAATTAATAAAATAAAAACGTATTTTTGAAAAACTAAAATAAATATAATAAAATACCTTTAGCTAGACCAAGAGGAAAAAAAAAAACAACAGAAGACTTGAATCAAAATCAAGAATGAAAATAAAGACATTTTATTGCCTTTATAAAAATACAAAAATTATAGTAAAATAATACTATCCATAATTCTATATTAACAAGTTATAACTTTGATGCAGTGGCCAAATTCCTAGACAGATTCAAACTACCAAGTCTTCTGAAGAATAGATAGATAATCTGAATAGATTTAAAACGAGTAAAAGGTTGATATAATAATTTTAAAACTTCCAACAACAAAATAAAATTTCAGGGCCAGATGGCTTCAATGTTGAAATCTACAAAACATTTCAAGAATAATTAGTACTAACATTTCACAGTTTCTTTCAAAGTATAGAAGAGGATGGAACACTCTGCAGTTCATCCTATGAGGTTATTATTACCCTGATACCAAAACCCAGTAAAGACTTCACAAGAAAAATACAGACCAATATCATTCATGAATATAGACATAAAAATCCTCAACTAAATGCTAGCAAACTTAAACCAGCAACAATTTTAAAAAGAATACATATAATGATGAAGTGGCAATTCTTCTTGGCATCTAAAAGTACATTTAACATCCCAAAATAAATTAATTTAATACATAATATATAGAATTAAGGACAAAAATAGACATGATCATTTCAATAGACACAAATATCATTGCACAAAATCCATCACCCTTTTATGATTAAAAAAATTTAGGAATAGGAACAGAAGGGAATTATCTAACCTAATAAAAGGGCATCTACAAATAAGCCACATAAAATTAAATTATACTTAATAGTGAAAGACCGAATGCTTTATACCTAGATCAGGCATCAAGCAAAAATATCCAATCTTACCATTTCTATTCAGCAATAAATCTGAAGTACAGATTCAACACTAGGCCTATCATACTTTCCCTAGTTCTTATAGTATTTCTGCTCTCCCTGTCAAACACACAACGGGAAGGGCAGAGATATAGGTTTGTTTATGACCCGAGGGTCATAAATCAATATAATAGTCATTTTGTTTTGCTATATTACAAAGCCAGAATTTGAATATTGTTAGTACCTCCTGACTGTGACTCTACATATTTTGCAGTTGTAGATCTCTGTGCTGCTTTTTGGGGTATCTCTTTAGAATTAGATCAAAATAACCAATATTTCTTTGCCTTCTCCTGGGGGTGGGTAGGGGTTGGGGGTGGGAAACTAAAGCAGACTATTATGCCCCATAAGTATAATAAGAAATCCTCTCACAATTCCTCAAATAAGAAATAATAATTTCCCTATATTTCTGCCCTTATTCCATAGGTGTATGACTATTCGTTGTGTTTTAAAGATAATGATAGCTCTGCAACTGATTTTATATATGTATTTAGTATTTTAGTTTAGAAAGATCGTAAGATTTTTTTTAAATCCTAATTTTTCTAAGTAAAGTTTATAACCTAGGCATGATTTATTCTAAGGAGGTAAGTCAGTTTCTTAGACTATAAGCTATTCATAACTTCCTCAAGCCAATAACAGGGATGGTTAAACAAATCCTAGATTTTATTTTCTACAGCAGGGAGTGGGTCTAAATTTTTCTCAGTCACCAAAACCTATGTGACTTATCCAAGTCCTTGGTATCTGAGATTCTTCCTTGAAAATCTAAAGAGAGACTGATTGTATATATATGAAAGAGAGCTAAAATTAGTTCTTCAAAACATTGGATATGGACTTACCTAATCATTGTAAACTATTCTATCTATTCCTACATGAGAGTTTCTTTGGATGAGCCCTTAGTGTTCTGGATTAATGATTTGGGAATGACCAAAAGCAAACTATATAGTCTCTTTCTTGACTCTGTGGCAAAAGCCAACCAATTGTGTTTAAGGGTAATAATCATGGCAGACAAATTAGCAAAGCCTTCTGACAATATTATTCCAGAATCTTCTTTATACTTGATTGTCCTTTATATTTTACATTTGTTGATTGCTGAAAATACGCATTTATCAACAAGTAGGCTTACCTCCTCTAAAATTCGATTATTTTATTTTCTCACACATTTTCATTCCTTATTGTAATACTCAAAGCTCCTGCTACTTTTATTCCATTATAAGAAGAAAAGGAAACTCAAGATTATCTAACCTTTATCCATGAACTATGATTCAGGTAGATTTATTAGAAAAGTCTTTACAATGTTTATATTATTGGTTAATCATAAGACTTAAAAAAAAAATCAGTGGGTACATTCTTTGACAGAATGACTCCTTCATCCCTAAAATATGACTCTCTGCCAGAGGCAAAATCTGCTCAGAAAGCTGAAATCGACACATTCACCAAAGCTTGTCAATTAGCTGGAGACAGAATGGTTACTGTACACAAAAATAATAGATCAACTTTTTGGTTGGACAATAATTTTAGAATTGCTTTAAAATCAAGGCAGGTTGTTGATCTCATGTAAGAACAGTCAATGCATTAAAGGACTTTGTGTGCTCTAATGCTTCATTAAGAGATGAGTATAAGAAAATAACATGAGATCGGGCCTGGTGGCTCACGCCTGTAATCCCAGCACTTTGGGAGGCCGAGGCAGGCAGATTACCTGAGGTCAGGAGTTCAAGACCAGGCTGGCCAACATAGTGAAACCCCTGTCTCTACTAAAAATACAAAAATTAGCCAGGCGTGGTGGCGGGCACCTGTAATCCCAGCTACTCAGGAGGCTGAGGCAGGAGAATCACTTGAATCTGGGAAGCGGAAGTTGCAGTGAGCCGAGATCGCACCATTGCATTCTAGCCTGGGCAACAGAGCAAGACTCCATCTAAAAAAAAAAAAAAAAAAAGAAAGAAAGAAAGAAAAAGAAAATAATATGAAGAGCAGAAGAGTAGAAGAAATGCCTAGGCTGCTCATCTTGCCAGACAGCCCTTCATCACCAAAATCCTAGCCCTCCTGATACCTAACAAGGAAAATCCTTGAAACGCTCAGTTATAGTTGATATGGTTTTGCTCTGTGTCCCCATCCAAATCTCACCTTGAATTGTAACCCCCATAATCCCCAGGTGCCCAGGGTGGGACCAGGTAGAGGTAATTGGATCATGAGGGTGGTTTCACCTATACTTTTCTTGTGATAGTGAGTGAGTCTCACGAGCTCTGATGGTTTTATAAGCATTTGGCCTTTCCCCTGCATGCCCTAGTTCTCTCTCCTGCTGCCTTGTGCAGAGGCGTTTTCCACTGTGATTGTAAGTTTCCTGAGCACCCAAGCCAAGTGGAACTGTGGGTCAATTAAATCTCTTTTCTTTATAAATTACCCAGTCTTGGGTATTTCTTCTTAGCAGTGTGAGACTGGGCTAACACATTAATATACCAGCATTTGGCTCCAGAGTCATAAAATGGATACTGGGAAAAATATAAATGCAGGTCACATAAGAATAATCTTCAAAGATGACTGCTTAAAAACACAGGAGTGTCAAAAATGAAAGTGTACAACTCTAAACAAAATTGCTCACAACAGAAAAGTAGCTATTGCACTCAGTAAACATTGGTGGGAACACTTGGATATGAGGCTGTGTATGTTGGATATTGCATTAATCACTAACACAATTTGGTAAAACTGTAAAGGTGGGATGTAGAAAAGGCTCAAATTTCAGTTCCCCCTTGATCACCTTCAAATAGATTTCAAGTAAATATCTTGAATGGCTTTTGTACATGTGCCTGACACTGTTTCCTTATTCTTAGGATAAATTGAAGCCTTTCATTGCCTGAGAGTTCTAAAGTGATAAACAATTACAGTTGTCTCTGTATCCATGGGTTCTGCATCTGCAGATTCAAACAACCATGGATCAGAAATATTTGGCACAAAATTCTACAAAGCTTGAAAAAGGAAAACCTGAATTTTCCATGTGCCAAATATTATGCTAAATTCATGTGAATGAAATGATGTGTAGGCATTGTATTAGGTATTGTAAATAATCTAGAAATAATTTAATGCATACAGGGGGATATGAATAGAATATTTGCAAATACTACACCATTTTATATCAGGGACTTGAGCATCCATGGATTTTGGTATCCACTGAGGATATTGGAACAAATTTGCCATGGGTATACCAAGGCTTGGCTATACTTGATATTTTGTTACCAGTCCAAGGATTTCAACCTGTCCCTTGGGTGCTTCTAGTGAAAGTTACCCCTTTTTTTTTTATTGAAATGATGTAATAAAAGCTTTGCAATTTTGAGAGAAGTAGAAAGATCAAATATAACTCTACAATGAAAATAGCAAAACTCTCAGAGATTTTCCAAATTTCAAGCATTAAATTATCATTGGATTAATAACAACGAGAGCAGCTACTTCTGGGTATCATCAGGTCTCTCCTTTGGAGATAGTAACAGGCAAGATTATATGTCTTGTGACATCATCTCAATTTTTATACGCCACATTATTGCAAGACCTGGCTAAAATTTGTAGGGTACTGAAGCCATGTACTCAGGGCTGTTATCAACAGATATGAGAAGGCTTTTCTAAATAACCTTTCATGACTTAAAACCTGGAGACCTCTCTTACTGAATGAGGCATCAGAAATGGACAGATCTTACCCTCTGATGGAAAAACTCCATTATATACAATTAACAATAAATACAGTAGTAAGGTTTCAAGGCGTTATCATCTCCCAATCAAAAGGGCTTAAACCTTCTTTGAATCATTGGAAGATAATTTCTTCTGGAGTCTTCAAGCTGAGGTTGATGCGAAAAACTCTAGAATTATATGGTCTTCATAAAGAGATACACTCCACCCAAGACCCCTGGACCAAGTCAAAAACTATATGAGATGTAGATGGCTTCAACTTAAGATTCACAAACTAAAACTACCAATTGTCACATTTTATTCTGCATTCTTTTGCTTTTGCTTTTCCTTTTTTTCTCCTTTCCTTTCTTGTTGTGTTAAGGGAAACTTTAATTTTGTTAACTGTAAAGCAAGCCTATATTCTTAATATTGCCTTTTTTGCCTCTTTAAACACTCTTTGATATGAGTTCAATACTTGGCTACAGCTGGCATGTGAACTAGCTATCTCATGCAAAAAATTGTTGAGTTTGTACACATGTTTTTGAGAAACACCAGTTTTCTTTAAAAGTAGTTAGTTGCAATAAATCAGTTGATGTCCTGGTTAACTGGATTCAACCTATGCATCAGTTTACAGATGGGAAACACAATAGGCTAACCATCCGCATATCTAAAAATTTTATCACATCACTTATAGAAAAGTGGATTACTTTCCTCAATAAAATATGACTTGAGGACCTCATGTGTGAACTATGAGTGACTCATGTTGTAACTGAACTTTTAAGAAATAGAACTTGGAAAAGAAACAGAGAACAGATGGTGTATATTTGGAGCCTGTCTCATTTTCTCACAGATCTCACAAGTAAGACTTCTCTTTGGCTTTAGATCTTCCTAATGATCTCTCTATTACAAGTTTAATTTCCTGGCAGAGGAACATTTTGAATGAGTGGTACCATAACATAACAACACTATTTAACAATTCTACAGGGAGTATTTGACCAATTACACATCATTGTGTGACTTCAGATGCCCAATATTAGATTTGTGGCACAAAAGCCAACTGGCCCCTACTTCTTTTTGGACACAAACTTAGGAATCTAATTTCTTTCCTCAAGACATTCCCTGATATCAACCAGGGTACATTTTGCACCATCAGTTTACACTGTTATTAAAAGGAAATTATTAAATAACTTATTCAGAAAGAAAAAATGGGTCTTGATTTGAGAATCAATATCCAACAATTCAAGGGAGATTTTGGATTATTTTTTGTTCTAATCAAGCTCATTATTCATGCTTTCAAGAGACTCACAAGGTAGGATGAAGCTTATGTGTTATGGTTTAGAGAAGAGCAATGCCCCTAAGACTATAAAATACCTTTTCTGGGAGATTCATGAAGTTGAACAAGCAGTAGTTCATAGGAGAGTCACTTTAGGTAAAATTTCAAAAAGATCTTAAAGGTAGATCTTCAGTATCTTCATTTGTGCTGAGCAACAGCTGTCAGAGTAATGCAACTAAATAATTGTGTGTGTGTATACCTACACAATAAGGAAACCTGGCACATGAAAATTTAAATAATCGCACCAAGAAATTTGATGTGACAGCAGGACATTTCATGTAGTAATTATCTGGATAACTCATGTTGCTATAGGTTAATGATACATAATTTGGTTCAGGTTCTAGAATGATCACAAGGGAAGACAATAAGGTCTGGATCTATCCAAAAGCAAAGATCTTTTTGTATTAACATAACTTTGCTTTTCCACTGTCTCTATCAACATGACTGTATTATTGCCAGAAACTCATACCAAGAGTGAAAAAACGTTGAGAATAATTTTACTGTTTGTTCTACAAATTCTGTCTCCCTACGTAATCAAACTGTTCAACTCTGAAAAATGTATTATCAAATCAATGTTTTCTTTCTGAGACTATTTTAAAACATCAAAATAAAATTCTTCCTGTGCTGTACCCTGTTAATTCTAAACCATTATATCATGATTCTTCCACAAACTCCTAGAGTGAACAATTCACTTTAAGTCAAACCACAAAACCTCATAAATATCCCAACTTTATTCTCCCTCTCTCGGAGATGCTACTAAAATCTAAAAAAGTAGTCCTGTTCCCTAACTCAGTAATAATAAACTCAGTGTTTTCCTATCATTTGGCTATTGTGCTTGTATTATCATAACCGGTATTCAGCAGTATTTAGATGCCCCATAATGAAAACAAACACATTCATCATTGATGCTAATTTATGATAAATTCCTTATTTTATGTTTAACTAATTTAGACCAATTGTCTTATATATAGAGTAACAGAAATAAAAAAACCTAACAAGTTGAGCACTTACTACATTCAAGACTCTGTGTTAAGCACTGTGTAACACATTTGTTATATATCTCAGAAACACCTTTGTGATGCAGCTATTACTTTACTTATTTACAGGTACACTAACTGAGGCTTTGGATTAAGTGAGTAGATCAAAGTTAGTGAGATCATAAGTAGAGGCGTTGGAATTTGAATTCTTTCACCTCTAAATTTCCATGGATCTGTAATCTAAATATACTGAATAGAAAATAAATACACGGCCGGGCGTGGTGGCTCACGCCTGTAATCCCAGCACTTTCGGAGGCCGAGGTGGGCAGATCACGAGGTCAGGAAATGGAGACCATCCTGGCTAGCACGGTGAAACCCCATCTCTACTAAAAATACAAAAAATTAGCCGGGCGTGGTGGCGGGCGCCTGTAGTCCCAGCTACTGGAGAGGCTGAGGCAGGAGAATGGCGTGAACCCAGGAGGCGGAGCTTGCAGTGAGCTGAGATCGCGCCACCGCACTCCAGCCTGGGCGACAGAGCAAGACTCTGTCTCAAAAAAAAAAAAAAAAAAAAAAAGAAAAAGAAAATAAATACACAAATGGCACTCAGTGTGTTTTTTTTATTCATCAGGGAGGAGGAAAAATTGAGAAGCCCCTCAGAGAACACTTTTTTGAAGAGAGATTGTGTTTGAAAAGAAGGGCCAGAACTTAATGTGAGAAATTTCATGTATCATCTTTTAAATATCATACCTGATATAGTTTGGATATTTCTCCCTTCCCTAATCTCATGTTGAAAGGTAATCCCCAGTGTTGGAGGTAGTACCTGGCATATGGCATTTGTGTCATGGGAGGAGATCTCTCGCACCTTGGTGTTTTCCTTTCAATAGTGAGCAAGTTCTCATAAGATCTGTTTGTTTAAATGTATGCAGTATCTTCTCCCACTCTTCCTGTCCCCATTCCTGCCATACGAGATGCCTGGTCACCCTTTATCTTCCAACATAATTAAAACTTCTTGAGGCCCTTACCATATACCAGACAGATGTCAGCACCATGCTTCCTGTACAGAATTCAGAACCATGAGCTAATTAATATCTTTTCTTTATAAATTACCTGGCTTCGGGTATTTCTTTGTAGCAAGTCAAGAACAGCCTGACATAGAAAATTGATACTGAGGAGTGGGACATTGCTATAAGATACCTGAAAATGTGGAAGCAACTTTGGACCTGGGTAATGGGTACAGGTTAGAAGAGTGTGGCAGGTTCAGGAGATAGAAAGATGAGGGAAAATTTAAAACTTCTTATAGACTGGTTAAATAATCATGACCAAAATGCTGATAGTGATATTCAGAGTGAAGGCAAGGTTGATGAGGTTTAAGATGGAAATGAGGAACTTATGGGAAACTAGAGCAAAGGTCATGTGTATTATGCTTTAGTAAAGAATTCTGCTGCATTGTGTTCATGCCTTAGGGATCTGTGAACGTTTCAACTTAAGAGCAATTACTTAGGGTATTGGGAGAAAAAAAAATCTAAGCAGTAAAGTGTTCCAGAAGTGATGTAACTGCTTCTAACAAGCTATGCTCAGATGTGGGAGCAAATAAATGATTTAACATTGTTTAATATTTAAAGAAGCATAAAAATTTGGAAAATTTGCAGCCTAGCCATGAAGCAGAGTAAAAGAAAGCATTATCAGGAGAAAACTCCAAATGGGCTGTGGAATATCTGCTAGATATATTGGCATGACTAAAAAGAAGCCATGGGCTAATATCCAAGACAATGGGGGAAGACCTAAAAGACACTTCACAGAACTTCTAGGCAGCCCTTGCCATTCACAGATCCAGAGGCCCAGGAGGAAGCGAGGTCTGGGGCTCTGATGTCTGATGCAACCTGATGACACTGCTCCCTACATACAGGCTTCTTTGGCACCAGCCTTGGCTCAAGGGGTCCCAGGTACACCTCAGGCCACTGCTTCAGAGGGTGCAAGCCTTAAATCTTGGGAGTGTCTATGTGGTGTTAACCTTGCAACTGCACAGAGTGCAAGGGTGAAGGAAGCTTGTCAGGAAGCTTGTCAGTCTCTACCTAGATTTCAGAGGATGTATGAGAAAGCCTGGGTGCCCAAGCAGAAGACTACTGCAGAAGTGGAGCTCTCACAGAGAGCCTCTACTAGAGTAGTTCTAAGAGGAAATGTGGGGTTGGAGTCCCCAAGCAGAGTCTTCTCTATAGCACTGTCTAGTGGAGCTGTGGGAGGGGTTCACTGTCCTTCAGACCACAGAATGATAGAGCCAGCAGCTTTCAACCTCAGTATGAAAAATCCACAGAGGCAAAGCTGCCTAAGGGCTTAGGAGGGCAACCTTCACGCCAGCATGCCCTGGATTGAGACATGGAGTCAAAAGGAGATTACTTTAGAGCTTTAAAGTTTAATGACTACCCTGCTGGGTGTTGAACTTGCATAGGGCCTGTAGCCCCTTACTTTGGCCAAATTATTCCTTTTAGAACACTCATGTTTACCCAATACCTGTAATCCCCATTGTATATTGGAAGTAAATAATTTGTTTTTATTTTACTGGCTCATAGATGTAAGGAACTTATCTCTAGATGAGACTTTGGACTTGGTTTGGTATTTTGAATTAATGTTAGAATGAGTTAAGACTCATTCAATTTGGGAGAAAAATGAGGGACTCCTCTGGGGGGACCATTGGAAATGTATGTTTGTATTTTGCAGTGTGAGAAGAACATAAGATTTGGAGAACCAGGAGCCAAATCATGTAGTTTGGATATTTATCCCCACCAAAATCTCAGATTGAAATGTAATCCCCAATGTTGGAGGTGGGGCCTGGTAGGAGGTGTTTGGGTAACAGGGGTGAATCTCCCATGGCTTAATGCTGTCCTCATGATAGGAGTGAGTTCTCATGATTTCGATTGTTTAAAAGTGTGAGGTGCCTCCACCTTCTCATTCTTGCTTCCATTCCTGCCGTGTGAGATGTCAGTTCATCCTTTGCCTTCTCTCATGGTTGGAAGCTTCCTGAGGTCCTCACCACAACCCGAGCAGATGCCAGTGCCATGTTTCCTGTGCAGATTACAAAGCCATGAGCCAATTAAAATTTTTTTCTTTATAAATTACCCAGCCTCAGGTATTTCTTTGTAGAAATACAAGAATGGACTGATGCAATACCCAAAGCAAAACATACCACAAAGCATTTTATATGCAAATGTTAAGTGGGCAGAATTCCTTCTTTTAAATTTATGGACATATAAAATTGAATGTTAGACATATATATATATATATATGTCTCCATGTAATGCCATATATATATATATATATACCCATGTAATGCCATATATATATATATATACCCATGTAATGCCATATATATATATATATATATATATATACACCCATGTAATGCCATATATATATATATATAGAGAGAGAGAGAGAGAGAGAGAGAAGAGAGAGAAAGAGAGAGAGAGAGAGAGACAGAAGGATACAACCATTGGCTAAACAAAAAAATGTTTGTGTCTATCATGGCAATTAGTTTAGTATAATTCATTATATAAAATTTAGCCATATTTAATGTTCTTAAATGGTTAACTGGAAAATATTTGCTAGCAATATAAATATATACATATTTATTTGACCTTTAAAGACATCACAGTGTCAAACAAATGGGTCCAGAACAGTGTTTGTTCTTCCAATCTATCATAGGATGATGAATTTTATATTAATATACTCACTTTTATCAGATGGAATAGTGAAAGCATGGGTCAACAAACAATGTTGATAGCTTTGGCCTGGGGGTAGGAGAAGGAGACATAGACTACAAAGTAAGTGTTAAATAAAATACTAATTGATTGCCTAAATCAGGATAACTTTTAATGAATCTTCCAAATGATTTAGGATATAAGACATGAAACTGGAAAGTGATAAATTGCCATAGGAGAGTATATGTAAAATGTAATATGACTAAATATAAAAATAGCATTGATAGTTATATACAAACTATAAATATTAAAAATAGTATACACCTAAAAGTGTGATAAGCTTGCTCCACTGTTTCCTGATAAAAAATAGTACCTGCAAATACTCTTCTAAGATTTTTTAACTGAGAGGATTGAAACCATCCAAACACTGAGCAATGACAGCATTTATCACACTCAGGCTCCCCAGATAGGAGAAAGCCAGGAAAAAGTTCAACAGCCAAATGGAGTTGTTCTCTAGTATGTGTTCAAGTCAATACTGTCAAACCTCTCCTAACTCATCCCCACTTCCTACAACACCAGAAGATCTCAAGCACATTTGAAGAAAGGTGAAAGTCCTTCTTATCTAGGTGCCGGCATAGGTGGATGTAGCTCTGACTGAAGGAGATTAGACTCTTCATAACTGGAAAGATATCCAGGGAATGACATCTCCAAAAAAATGAGTTACTCATATTTATGTTCTTAAATATCGATTTGTTAAGTATCACTCACTGAAAATCAAGTTTTTGTATTTTCTGTGAACTTCTTTAAAGTTTACAATTGCAAAGCACACATAAAAATAAATTTTTAAATTTGAAAATTAAAAAAATAAAGTGGATTTCATATGCTGTGATATATGACAAGAACAAAGCAAACAGATGGAATAAACAGTAGGCAGATAGAAGTTTAAAAATCTTATTTGATTAGCCCAAGTAATGCCATCTGACATCCAGTAGTGAAACTTTAGAACATTATATTTTCTGAATATCTCCATAGCAAAATTATTGGTAAAATAAGGCAATAACGTATTGAACAATGAGGTTTTCTTTCTGATTCTGTCAATTCTATGGCACTTTGGTTGATACCGACTTCTCTTCCTCAGAAATTAAGCCCAGTAATGTAAACAAAATGTCATACATGACAACCCCTTGTTAAAATTATGCTTAGGAAAATGAGGCTAATGTGTTGGCACAAATCAGCTGTAAAAAGAGTAAAAAGTGAAACTCCCATATGGTTACACAGACAATAGTAAAACCATATCATGTTATGAATTCTTTATAATGGTTTCAATCTGATACTAATCATTAAGAGTCCTAATTATCAAATCACTTTTGCAATTCCAACTGAATATCAAAGTTTAAAGCAAAACATGTGCATATTTCCAGTGCTGTGTTAATTGTTCTCCTTAGATTTAGTAGTAGAAACTGAAGAGATGGAATATTATATCTTAGGAGTAATTTTAATTATATGTGTTCTGTGATCTGCTAAAATAATATGGTTAATTTATTAAGGATATATGAGTTATTTTAAGGATTTCATAATGTCTAGCTCTAGATTATAATAATTCTACACTACTTAAAAAATATATCCACTGTAACTCACTTGAGTCTCCAACTTTATAAAATTCAGTCTTTAACCTGATATTCAAGGTTGATTAACATTTCATCTCACCTTCATTCTCCAAACACAGTTTAAATATTCTGTTCCTTAAATCTGGCAGTGAAAAAAACTACGAATATTAAAAAAATACTGAGCTTGCTATATATTTTTAATTAATAGAGGTTATGATTATCATAGTAGTTATAAGTGTGATCCATGGTATCTAATCTTTAGCTTCATGTGTGATATAATCTTACCAATCCATAAATAAGTAATTTATTCAGAAGTTACTTATAAGAAATCTACAAGATCTTTATCTCCTACCTGACTCCCACCTACCAAACTTGAATTTTCTGCTTTAAGTCCCTGGATTTCAGTATGACTTTTATATGTTTTCTTTATAGCATTTTAAATAGCACATTAAAATTATTTGTTCATATATCCATGCCTCAAAAGCCTATGAACTCCTTGAGATTTATACTTCTTTTAAACTCAGCATAATATAATGCTGCATTTTGCAGATTTCTAATAAATTAATTTTATTTTTCTACTTCCATATTCAGGTAGTATTGAAATGTTATATAAAATAAGAATATTAGATAAGAATCAGCCACATATCTCCTACAAGTTTTGTATAAATGTACATCTTTAGTAGCCTAATAGAAATAAATTTTAGCTTAAGCTACTATCTACCAACTCTCAGTCTGTTAGACACATTTTACTGAAATGAATTTTTGGAAAGTTTGTATCAAAAGGGCAAGAATAAATATCTTCAGAGTTAGGAAGAAAAAGAAGGAAGACTAATAAAGACAAAAATTACCTGAGCCTATTCTCTGGATACATATAATTATCCTGCAAGTCCTTTAGAGAAAGGGTTACTAATAAGTTTTTTATACTGCAGCCAATTATATATTTTAAGCACAAATTTCTTCATGTTTGTCCCTAGATAAAATCTCCCTGTTAAGAAAACCTCCTTGAAGTGGAACAGAGGTCAATAAAATAAAATTTTTAGAAAAAGAGACCAAAAAACTTTAGAGAAGAAAAAATTTACCAAAGAAATAATATAGGATAATTTTAATGAACCCAAAGATAAAATTCTATATATTGAAAGGGACCAACGAGCACATAGAACACAAAGACACATGCACACAGCCATATTAAAAAACTCTACTCATATATAGTGACGTTTCAGCACACAAATAAATGATTATAAAAGCTTTTATAAGGAAAACATTTTTAAAAATCATAACAAAATTAATGATTCTACTACTAGATTACTACAAAATTAAATGCTGACCAGATTTGAATTATACTTCTCATGAACTACACTGTATGCTACAAATCAGCAGTAAACAGGAAAAAAGAAAAAAAATCATAAAAATTTTCAGTATAGAATTATAAAATTAAACTAAATTACTGAATAATAATGAGGACAATATGAAGACATTTTATGTACATTAAAAAGTCCTCAAAGACTCAAATTTTCACAATCTGTTTCTTGGTATGTTATGCATAATATGCTTAAGCAAAATAAGGGTTTACTTATGGAATTGAGTTAATGGAAGTTTCCCAAATCAGGAAAGCAGTGTAATGTAGGTACCATGGACTCATCTCTGCTGCTCTCCTATTAAGAAGGCAGTTAAGATTACGCCAGTTTAATCAAAGATTTACAGGAGAAATATATCCAAAAGAAAGGATATTATATTCAGAATTTGAAATAGGTTAAGAAGGTTTTAAAAAATATGAGAACGAAAGAAGACATTTTAATCAGTATTTTAAATAACTTTGCATTAACCATATTTACATTGACATAATATTTATACGATTTCTATTTTCAAATGTAAGATTCAATCTACAGGTTTAATAACATCAGGAATAAGACAAAGAATATTTTATAAAATCTATGAGTTAACTCAATCATAACATACACCATTATTTCATTTACCACAAAGAAAGAACACTAACAGCTATAATATGATTAACAATCCATAGTGAAAGAATGTGTATTAGAATTGATGAATAAAAAATTAATAATAACACTAATTAAGAATGTACTACATACCAGTTCCTTCTAAGTTTTTTCTTAATTTATTAATTTTAATATTCACTCTATAAGTAATGTTCTATTCTTTATTGAGTGATTTGTGTGTAGTGAATTGTGTTAAAATAAGCTAAACTCTTATTTATTATAACAGACAGAATCTCCAATGGTTTAAGCATATTTTTTAGTAAAATGGAGGTAATGAAAAAATACTGCATAAAAAAATCTAAAATGCTTTTCTCTGAAGAGCAGAGGTAAGATAGATGGGGTAGAATACTACTGATTCTCATTATAAAGCCTTTATTAAACCTCTATTAATTTTCTAATATTTTTGGGTATCGATTTCATAACAACTAAAATATATCAATTTTAAAATATATTTATTATAATTAAACACAAAATAGTTAAAACTTTTAGAAGTCTCATTTATCATTGAAACTTAATTACCTAGCCTTCTATTATTTGATTCTTATTTCTTTTTCTTATTTATTTATTTATTTTTGGAAATAATGTTTCAACATTTCACCCAGGCTGGAGTGCAACAGCTAGGTCATAGCTCACTGCAATCATGAACTCCTGGATGTGACCAGTCTTCCCACTTCAGCCTTCCACCACCTAGTTAGGACCAGGACTACAGGCCAGCACCACCATGCCCAGTTAATTAAAAAAAAAAAAATTGTAGAGATGGGGTCACCCTATGTTGTCATTTGATATTATTAATTCTCCACCCTCATTATTTTGTTGATAATAACCCAAATTCCTAATGAATAAATGCTTAAACAAGGTTGATAAAGCTATGGTAAGAATTAGTTACAATAATATCAATTCCATCACTCCCCTAAGGAATTTTCAGATCTTGTATACTGCTCTGCTTCTTATATCTCCTTATGAAAATTCCTCACCTTGGGTCTTTAAATTTGTTACAATTATTTTATAACAGATTGCCTCCTTGATTTGATGGATGTTTATTCATCTCTAATTTAATTTCATTTTTCCTTTGCCTCTTAAACCCTCTCTCATTCTCAGCTTATGTTTTTTCCCAAGGTTAGCTGGGAATGGAGGCACATGCCTGTAATCCCAGCTACTCGGGAGGCTGAGGCAGGAGGATCACTTGAACCCAGGAGGCGAAGGTTGCAGTGAGCTGAGATCGTGCCATTGCACTCTAGCCTGGTCAACAAGAGCGAAACTCTGTGTCAAAAAAAAGAAATAGACAACAGTTATGTTTTTAAAATTGCCAACTCACCAATCATTAGGGAAATGAAAATCAAAACTATAATGAGATATCATCTCTCTCTAGTTAGCATGGCTAATATCAAATAGCCAGAAGAGCTGGTTATATAAAGTTGCTAACAAAAAACAAATGATAAGCGTCTCAGGTGATAGATATGCTAATTACCCTAATTTGATCCTTACACATTGCATGCATGTATCAAAATATCACCCTAGTCCCCATAAATATATACAATTATTATTTGTCAATTAACAATAATAAATACAATAATAAAAATAAGAAGCCTTGTATGAAATAACGCTAAATATGCTAATTGATAACTTTAAAATCTACCAAGCGATCACATTATTTCCAGCTTTAAATTCTATCTCAGTTCTTAAATCAATTTAAGAGAAAATTATTTTATTTTGTCCAATCAATAATACAATTTGAATACTCTCAGCTGTTAAAAAAATTGTGAGTGTCTGACATGAAGACATGTGGGGATGTGAGGTACTTTTATTGAAACTGAATATGTTATGTATGGTCATTATTCTTTACATGTATCACCCACTTATTTATGTGTAACTGGATAGTCCTAAATCTGCTTTGTTGAAATCATTTAAAAATATATATTTAATAAACAAGCATCGTTTTAGGGTGTAAATAAATAGCAAACACTGCTGCCTTTCCTGAGGGAAAATAGTATCTTTTCACTCCTTGTATTTAATATTAAGTATAATAGAAAACATAAGCAAAAAAAAAATTACTTTTAAAGTAAACACAGTGCATCATAACATACTTAAAATAGTTATCTTCTTATTTCTTGATTTCATCAGATATGAACTGCTTCACTTTGTCTCTATGGGCACAAAAAATAGAAATTGTTTATTATGCTCTCAGCCAAGAAAAATTATGACTTGTGGGATCTAAATAACAATTGCACTTTGTATTTTTATTTATGTCATATGAAACAAAATATGTTTCTTTTGAAGAAAGAAAAGTTTTACTAATTTATTAAAAGTTTCCACATCTATCTATAAGTCAAGTATTCAAAAATGTTGAAACATAAAATATGAAAGTGATAAACAAGCTATTGAGACTCATGACTTCATTATTTAATTTACCAATTGACAAAACTTAATCCATATTTTGAACCATGTCTAAAAAGCATGTATAATTGCTGTACAGTCTCATTTTTTAAAAATAACAACTTCAAGTTTTAACTGGTAATAAGCATAATAGTTGCAGTGCTTACTTGCTTTTTATAGCCTATATAGTTTCTATAGTCTATATAGGATAGTTTTATATGTTAATGTGTATTTGGAAGTTGTATACAGAATAATATGATGAAATCCATACTTCAAGTAACAGGAAATTTCAAATATCCATAAACCTGTCTATGACTGTAGTCCCTGGATCAGCTGATATCAGCCTATACCAAATACATTGGGAGAATTTTCCAAAGATACTTCATGTTTTGCTATAACAAATGATGTTTCCCACAAATACTGACATTACTCACATGTAATTGAATAGATTACCAGTTGTTGGTGTAAAATAATTTGTGAACTCTTTCTTACTTTTTATTATTTGTATTTTTATATGAGGTAATATACACAATGCTATAGGATAAACTATGTGAAAGAAAAGTTCTGATTTTAGTATTAGATATGTTAACAATTCTGTGTGTGGCTTTGTCAAACTCATGGCACTTTTCTGGGATTCAGTTATATAATGAACTCCAAGGACTCTTTTATATCTAAAGTTAAAATACAGCTTTAATAGAAACAAATCTTTCTTCTAAAAATTTTACTCAACTAAACTTGTTTTGTAAAACTGATTTCAAATTTTTTAGAAAGGTATGATTTAAATATAATTTGAAAATAGAAAAATAGGAAATAAATTACCTTGCAAATAATATGAATTTCACTTGTAATTGATCAGCACTTAAGAATATATTACTATAAAGAAAAAGAAGAATTTATTCAATTCAAATTCAATAGCTTTTAAGGACTGAATAACAAAATAATCTACTAAAATAACAAATGCTGGTAAGGATGGCGACAAGAGAACTCTCATGCACTGTTTAGTGGGAATGTAAGTTAGTATAACATTTATGAAAAACATTATGAATATTTCTTAAATAAGTAAATATAGAACTATCATTTAATCCAGCAATCCCACTGCTTGGTATTTATGGAAAAGAATGAAAATCAGTATATCAAAGGGACATCTGCACTCCCATGTTTATTGCGGCACTATTCATGATAATCAAGACACAGAATCAACCTTAGTGTTCATCAATGGACAGATGCATAAAAATAATAGTATGTCATTGTGTGTGTATGTATAGATAGATAGTATACAGATAGATAGATAGTATGTGTATATATATATACACACACACACACACATCTATATCTATCTATGTCTATATCTATATACATATAGTTCGTTTCTTGTCATTTGTAGCAACATGGATGGACTGGAGGTCATTATGTTAAGCAAAAGGAGCCAGGCACAGGAAGACAAATATCGCAAGTTCTTACTCATATGTGGGAGCTAAAAATGTTGGCCTCTTGAAGTCAGAGAGTAAAATGAGTCCTACTAGAGGATGGGAAGTGTGTGGGAAAGGGAATTAAAAGAGATTGGTTAATGGATATGAACAGACAGAAAGAAGGAAAAAGTTCTAGCGCTTGATAGTTTAGTAGGGTCACTATAGTTAACAACAATATATTGTACATTTTAAAATAATAGTTAACAACAATATATTGTACATTTTAAAATAACAAGGAGAGGAGATGTGAAATGTTTCCAAAATAAATGATTAATTTTTGAGGTGATAGATATCCTGTATACCCTGATTTGATCATTACATATTGTATACAGGCATCAAAATACCACAGTTACCCCATAAAATGTACAAATATTATATATTAATTAAAAAAATTAAGTGTCAATTTGATGTTGACTTTGGGAAACCCATTGATTTATTGTCAACCTAGCAGTGCAATTTAAATAAGAATATAGCAGTTTTAGGTTAGTTTCAGACATCAATTTGTTTTATGTAAACATAGAAACATGACATGAAGACTGCAGATAGTGAATATAGATCAGGCTTGTGAATAAGAGCTCTAACTCAGAGCAAATGGGTAATTCCTCCCTTGCTACCATACCTTAATTATAATTGTCACATGTGACAACAAACTGTAGTCTCACTGGCTTTGTCTTGCCTGTTTTTTAATTTAACTATCCCCAAGGTTTTTTTTGCAGCACCTGAGTTATATTAAACACTAGATAGTTTCTGATTGAATAAAATAATTAAATAGGGTTTTTTTTTTTTTTTTTTTAGACAGAGACTTGCTGTTGTCGGCCTGGCCTAGAATGCAATGGCATGATCTCGGCTCACTGCAACCTCCGCCTCCTGGGTTCTAGCAATTCTCCTGCCTCAGCCTCCTGAGTACCTGAGATTACAGGTGCCTGCCACCACTCCCAGCTAATTTTTGTATTTTTAGTAGAGATGGGATTTCGCCATGTTGGCCAGGTTGGTCTCAAACTCCTGACCTCAGGTGATCCACCCGCCTCGGCCTCCCAAAGTGCTGGGATTACAGGCGTGAGCCACCGCGCCTGGCCCACATTTTTTTTTTTAATCATGGCTAATTGGATTTATGATGCATTTAAAGTTATATCAGATTTTGGCCAAAAACAAAAAGCTAAAAAGGACAAAATCTTTATAGGTGCACCTAAATTAAGATATCTATATTTGTTCTGATAAAAAATTCAGAAAAATCTTAATCTGCTCTGAGATTTTACTATTAAATAGAAAAAAAGAAGTTTAATTGGCTTACAATCCCATAGGTTGTACAGTTAGCATGGCTGGGCAGGACTTAGGAAACTTACAATTATGGCAGAAGGCAAAGAGGAAGCAGGCACATCTTACATGGACAGAACAGGAGGAAGAGAGGGGGGTAGATGCTACACACCTTTAAATGACCAGATCTAGCGAGAACTCACTCACTATCATGAGAATAGCAAGGGGGAAATCCGCCCCCATGATCTAATCACATCCCACCAGGCCCCGCCTCCAGCATTGGGGTTTATGATTTGACGTGAGATTTGTGTGGGGAAACAAATTCAAGCCATATCATTCTGCCCTTGGTGTCTCCCAAATTTCATGTCCTTCTCACATTGTAAAATACAATCATCCCTTCTCAATAGTCTCCAAAGTCTTAACTCATTTCAGTGTTAACTCAAAGTCCATAGTCCAAAGTCTCATCTGATACAAGACAGGTCCCTTCCACCTATGAGCCTGTAAAACAAAAAACAAGTTAGTTACTTTCAAGATACAATCAGAGTCTAGGCATTGGGTAATTGCTTCCTTTCCAAAAGGGAGTATTGACCAAAATAAAGGGGCTACAGACCCCAGGCAAGTCTAAAACCCAGAAGGGCAGCCATTTAATCTTAAAGTTCCAAAATAATCTCCTTTAACTCTATGTCTCACATCCAAGCCATACTGATGCAAGTGGTGGGCTCACAGGGCCTTGAGCCTCTGCACCCCTGTGGCTCTGCAGGATATAGCCCCCATGCCTGCCTTTATGGGCTGGCATTAAGTACCTGTGGGTTTTCCAGGTGCATGGTGCAAGCTGCTGGTGCATCTACCATTCTGGGGTCTGGAGGATGATGGCTTTCTTATCAAAGCTCCATTAGGCAGTTCCCTAGGTGGGGGACTCTGTCTGGGGACTCCAACCTCATATTTTCCCTCTGTACTGCCTTAGCAGAGTTGCTCCATGAGGGCTCTGCCCTTCCAACAGACTTCTACCTAGACTCCAGAGACTTCCATACATCCTTGAAATCTGGGCAGATGCTCCCAAGCCTCAACTCTTGCACTCTGTGCACTTGCAGGCTTAAACCCATGTGGAAGCCATTAAGGCTTACAACTTGAACCCTCTGCAGCAGTGGTCTGAGATGTATCTGGGGCCCTTTTAGTCATGGCAAGAGCTTGAGCTACTGGGACGCAAGAAGCAGTGTCCTGAGGTTGCAAAGGGCAGCGGAGCCCTGGGCCCCACTTTTCCTCCTAGCCCTTTGGACCTGTGATGGGAGGGGCTGCTGCAAAGGTTTCTGAACTTTCAGAAACCTTTCAAGGCATTTTTCTAATTGTCTTCGTTGTTATCATTTGGCTCGTCTTTACTCATGCATATTTCTGTAGCCAGCTTGAATTCCTCCCCAGAAAATGGGTTTTTCATTTCTACCACAGAGCTGGGCTGCAAAATTTGCAAACATTTACACTTTGCTTCCCTTGTAAATATAAGTTCCAGTTGCTGGCCATTTCTTTGCTCATGAATATAAGAATAGGTTTTTTGAAGCAGCCAGGTCACATCTTGAATTTTTTTCTTGCTTAAAAATTTCTTCCACCAGATACTCTAAATCATCACTCTCAAATTCGAAGTTCCACAGATTTCCAGGGCAGGCGGGGGGGCAAAATGCCTCCAAGCTCTATTCTAATGTGTAACAAAAGTGACCTTTGCTTCAGTTTCCAGTAAGTTTCTCATCTCCACCTAAGACCTCCTCAGCCTGAACTTCATTGACCATATCACTATCAGCATTTTGGTCATAACAATTTAACTAGTCTCCAGGAAGTTCCAAATATTCCCTCATCTTCTTGTCTTATTCTGAGCCCTCCACACTTCCAGTCCCTGCCTGTTACCCAGTTCCAAAGTCGCTTCCACATTTTCAGGTATCTGTATAGCAATGCCCCACACCTGGTACCAATTTTCTGTATTAGTCCATTCTCGCATTGCTATGGGTAATGAATAAAGAAAAGAGGTTTAATTGGTTCATGATTCCACAGGCTGTACAGGAAGCATGGTTTGGGAGGTCTCAAGAATCTTATAATTATGGCAGAAAGGAAAGCGAAAGGAGGCACGTCTTATATTGCCAGAGCTGGAGGAAGAGAGAGAGGGGGAAAGTCCCATACACTTTTTAAACAACCAGGTCTTCTGAGAACTCATTCACTATCATGAGAACAGCAAGGGAGAAATCTGCCCCCATGATCTATTCACCTCCCTCCAGTCCCCTTTTCCAACACTGGGTATAACAACTGCACATGAAATTTGGATAGGGACACAAATCCATACTGTTTCAGGGCTCATTTTACTATAAAAAGTTATCGAAGTTAACTTGACAGCTTGATAAAACAGAAATGATTAAAATTTCATTTCTTATATTGGGAGTTAACCAAAATTAGCCAAACTGCAAAGATTGACGGCATATTACCCCATAAAATCAATCTCACTTATGAGATTTATGACACTATTTGCAAGTTTGGGGTGTTTCCAAAGCCACTCTCAGTTTTAATAATTCACTAGAAGTACTCACAGAATTTGCTGAAAGCTGTTATAATCATGATTACAGTCTATTATGGAGAAATGACAAGAATTAATTTTAGCCACGTGAATAAATGCATAGGGCAGTCCAGGAAGGGTCCAAATGCACTTTCCAGTCATCCTTTTCCTCTAGAGCGATGGAGGTGATACTTCCTCCTGGCCATGATGTGTCATAATACTCACAGAATATTGACAACCAGAAAAGCTCACCCAAATCATTTGTATTGAGATATTTTATTGGGGATCAGTCATACATCAGATGCCCGTATGAATGATCATTAGTCTCCATACCCTTCCAGAGATCAGGCAAATATATCCAGTCATTAGTTTCTTTGAGAGTCAGAACTCTCTGGTGGCCCCATGTCCCCAACATAAATCATGATCTTAGACTGTGTAGTAGCCAGCACCCCCAGGCAAACAAAGAAGCTTATATCAGAGAGATTGGAGAGGGCACTCCATGGGCCTACAGATCACTTCACAGTGACCAGTGGTAAAGACCAAATTTATCCTTGTGTAAGGCTAATTAGTCACTACACAAGAGTCAAAATTGTTTCTGTCATGATAGAATATTATTAGATTAATTACTGTTAAACAATTTTATACTTACTAGGAGCAACAAAAAAAAAATTAACGAGCATTTTAACAACATACTCCCAATAGAAAGAAAAAGAAATGTTTAGATGTGATATGTCATCAACTATTGCCAAGAAAGAAGAATTTAGAAATGGATGAAATGATCAATATAAATCAAGAAAATAGTTGAGCTGAGCTGAATTTATTTTATGAAATTTCAGGAATTTTCCCACAATCATCTGAGCACTTTTGAAATTCTAATTGTAGTTGTACACACATAACATTCCTAATATCTTGCCTAAAAATATGATAGTCAATAAAAGAAATTATCTCATGTGTAAAATGATGTGCAAACCTTGCACCGCCCAGAGCCATTCAAATTCAGGGGCAGCCTGTTCTTCAATCATTCCTTAGTACCTAAATATGCAGTTCACTTCCCTGGACGTCAGGATGCTAATTTCAGAAATATGGCATCAAATGATTTGTATATAGAAATATCAATGTCTATGATAAATGGTTATTGCATAATTCATAGTATAAATTTGAATAGCTTTCTGATAAATTTTTAAATTCATTTTTTATATAAAATCTTATTGTTTATTTAGACAATGAGTAAAAGCTACTGTAAGAAATAAATATCTAAATTTTATATAAAATTGAATTAAATTTGTTTCTGCCTAAAAAGCAAAAATGTGAATTTGAATGATCAGATATTGGTTACTGATTGCTAATAACTGAGCATACATAAGTACTTAAAACTTTCTAAGCCTCATTTATATTCATTTTTTAAACCATTACTTTAAAACTAATAACATTATTGTTGGGAAGACTAACTGAGGTTGTACTCCTCATTTATTCTATCAGAGCCTCAGTTGAGACCCTGAACATTTTTTTTTCACCAAGATTGACAAGTCTCTTAATTTGTTTTTCTTTCTCCCAACTCAGTTCTTTTCTCTGATCATTACTGATATTAGAGTAGTATTATTTCACTGTTTTCACATTGTTTTCAGGTTAAATTTCAAAACTGTTGGCTTAGTTTCCTGGTAGCTTTAATATCTTGCACTCAACTACTCTCCAATTTACAAACCAATCTGCATCTCTCATGGGAAAAATCTCACTCATGGAAACTATCTAGATCTAGTCCATGTTTATTTGTTTGACTCTTTCTCCATCTAGGTTATAGGTTTCTACAGGACTATGGTCTATTAGTCACTATGTTTTTGCACTTGGTATATAGTTATTGAAATATAAATTCTTCATATGTATTAATTAGCTTTTATGTATCTAGCATAGTTCCTAATACGTATTACAGTCTCAAAGCCTTCCTGTTTTGTAACTAGGAATATTCAAGTGGCCACTGTAAGTGGATCAAGGGGTTAGGAATTACAGTAAAGTAATTTCTCTTGTTTGATCTTTCTGGCAGTCTTGTTGGGGGGAAAAAAGATGTTTGCTCCTTTGACTCTGGACCATAGTACACACTATTCCCTTTGCTAAAGCTGCTTGTTCAACTCCATCTCTCTCTCTCTCTGTTCTTTCTTCACTACTTTTCTGTCTCTTCCTTTGTCTTTTCTTCTTCCTTCCTTTATTCCTTCATTCTTCCTTCTTTACCTTTCTTCTTTCCTTTCTCCCTTTCTTCTTTTCTTGTTTCTTTCCTTTCTTTTTTTTTTTTTTCTGTAGGGGAGAAAATATTTGTTTTCTCACCCATCACTAGGTTCATGGCTGAGACCCCTAAAACAAAAGACAGATTAACAACAACAGCCACAAAAAGCATACAAATGTATTTAATGTAAGTTTTATGTGACATAGGAGCTTTATGAAATAAAAACCCAAAGAAACAGGAGAACCTGTGTTTTGATGGAGTCTCAGGCAGTAGTATGATTATTGTAAAACAGAGTTTCATCTAATGGTAATTAATGGGGAACTTAGCAAGTCCTGTTTGTTCAGATTCTTTTTTGTGTCTCTGTGTCTCTGCCATAAGAGATAAGGACATTCCTTCCCACCTGGAAGAAGGAGGACTACTCCGCAATGAGAGTCTTACGACATACTTCAGGGGAAAGTCAGCCAGGTTTTATTACTTATTTCAGGGAAAAAGGGGTAAAGGGAATTCTTTCTATTTCCTATGTACGTTCTGTTTCAGGAGAGAAGGGCAGGAGAAGGTCAGAATAACCACCCTCCTTCTGCTATTTTCTCGGATACCAATGAGCGTATTTTGGGTTAGCATATCCTGAGTTCCATCGCTTTATTCTTTTCTTTCTTTCTTTTTTCCTTTTTCCTTCCTTCATTCAATACTTCTTTGCTTCCTTTCTTCCTTCCTGACTTCCTGTCTTTCTCTTCTTCCTCTGTTGCCAATTTTATCTTTTCTATTATACCAAAAGATGTTACCTTATCTAGGAAATTACCTGACTCTTCAAACTGGTACTGCATGCCCTTTTTATGTGGTCCTATAGTTGTCCCCAAATCACAATGGTTCATCTTACAATTTTTCAAGTTTTCAATGATGCAAAAGCAACAAGAATTTAGTAGAAACCATATTTCAAATTTTGGATTTTGACATTTTCCCAACTGTAGACTAATATGTGTGTTCTGAACACGTTTAATGTAGGCTAGCATAAGCTATAATGTTCAGTAGGTTGGTTGCATTTTCAGTTACAAGATTTTCAACTTACATTGAGTTTATCAGGATGTAATTCCATCATAAGTCAAGGAGCATCTGTATTTTTAAGTAACTTATACTTTTTCATATTTGTTTTGTATTTATTTTTCCTTATTAGAATGCAAATTTCTTCCAATATGAATTATCTACCACAAAATCCACATTCTTCCCCATGACTTCAGGAGCTACCATCAGTCTCTCCAACATCGTCTTGATCTACTAATTCCCCTGAGCTCCACACTCTAGCCACACTTACCTTCCATTTATTACTGAAAAGTGATAGGCTTGTTCTAGCCTCCAAGTCATTGGCTTTTTGGATGACTTTTTTCTTAAGTTGTCCTTTGAGCCCTCATTCTTACCTTTATTTATTTATTTTTTCCTGAGACAGAGTCTTGCTCTGCCATCCAGGCTGGAGTGCAGTGGTGCGATCTCGGTTCACTGCAACCTCTGCCTCCTGGGTTCAAGCAATTCTCCTGCTTCAGCCTCCCAAGTAGCTGGGATTACAGGTGCGTGCCACCATGCCCGGCACTTACCTTTACTTCTTACTTCAAACTTCACCTCCTCTTAGAGGCTTTGCTAGATAACTAAAGTAACAGCTTCTTTAACACTTCACCTAACTTGTTTCATATTTTTTCAAATTCCTGTGTTTTTCTTCTTTTAGTCATATATTTACTTTTTAATTTTTTCATATATTTGCAACCAGTAATTTTCCTCAGAGCATGAACTTATTTGTCTTAGTTGAAATCATAACTTCAGTGCCATGGCAATGCTTAATTACAACTTCTATTATAACAACATTTTTCTGAATACATAAATTAATCTCTGTGTAATTCTAAACAAATAATAATATGTTAGCTCATTTTCCGTTGCTATAACAGAACACAATAGGCTGGGTAATTTATAAAGACAGAAGTTTATTTTAGTGTACAGTTCTGGAGACTGGGAAGTCTAAGAACATGGCACTGGCATTTGGTGAGGGCTTTCTTGCTGTGTCATACATAACACAGAAGAAAACATCACATAATGAGAGGGTAAGAGCTTGCCAGCTGAGGTTTCTCTTTCTCTTCTTATAAAGCCACAAGTCCCATCATGAGGGCCCTAGCCTGATGACATTATCTACCTCCCAAAGACTCCACTTCTAAATAGCACAAACATATAAATTTGAAGATTAAGTTTTCAATATGTAAAATTTGGGGAGCACATTAAAACCATAGCAAATACAGGGACTAAAAGAAATGTAAGATTGAAAACAAGTTTATATGTATACCTTATTTCTATGAACATGATATCACTATTGCAGTTCTGTAGTAATGAAGTAACCTGCATTATTGGGACTTACATACTTTATTATGGAATAATGGAATTATAATTAGAAATCATTTAGAGAAATGTTCAGTATAGTTCCTAATGAAATTAATCTTGTTTATAAATCCACAATTAGCAAGGCCAACATTATAACCCAGCCTTTCTGCCTTTTATGTTTGTGATCCAACAATGATGTTTATAACACCAACTAAAAAATGGTAGAGTAAAAAATGTAGCTCTTACCATCATCTTATTTTTGTTCTCTGAAATTGAGGATGAAGAACCAAAGGGTTAGGCAGTAGCCCACCAGTTCCATATATTTTAAATTATGTTGCTGCCCTCATAATGTTTAGGCCACTTTTCTATAGTAGTATATTTTTTATTTCATTTCCATTTTTCATTCCTTTCTCTGTTGTAAACATCAAACACAAAAGGAATGCATAACCCTTAATAGAAACAGAGAGTGGGAAAGTATTACAAATTTATCTTTACAAGGATCTCTCTCTATTCTTTCCCTTCTTTGTATTGTTGGCAGTTTATAAACTGTAGAGCTGGTGATTAGCAATATACAATCTAGATTCATGTGAATGTTTTGCTCTCTTGATAGCCTATATGCCACTTTTATTTTAATTTCATTCCCTGAGAAAATCCTTTTTATCTGACCCAAGGAAATGTACTTTGTACATGTACTATAATCCTTTAAATCATATGTCAAATGCAAAATATGAACATTCACTTATCAATTGTTCATATACACAATGATTATTATGGAATCAACTGAAAAACATTTTGCGTATTATCTTTATGGTACTGCAAGTCAGTAACGTATGTGTTTTGACATTGTTGGTAGAGTAGTGAGTTACTATGAAATTCTTTGTGTATTTTACTGCATTTTGTTCTTTAACTGTTACTAAGTAGTAAAAAAAATTCGAAAAGTTTAAGCAGTGATGACAAAAATACTAGAGTAAATCCACAAACTAAAAAGATTTGTCAGAAAATATAAGTAATGAACTTTAATGATTTGGGCAATCTTTTAGTCTTAATTTAGCTTTCCTTTTAAGCTAGTCCACTGTGTGTCTTAAAGTAAAAAGGAAAAAGAAGAAGAAAAGCTAAAAACATATATGATATTCCAAAATAACATTGAAGTAAAAATGAGTATATGCTCTCTCTCTCTCTCTCTCTCTCTCTAAGAACAGAACAATGATCTGTCTCCCACCCCACTCCAACCATAGGAAAAGGCATTGTTTGGCTCATTTTTCTATCATTAGTGTTTTAGAAATGCGTTGTGCAGAGAAGTAGCAGATTGCTGGTAATCTAATCAAAAAGAAGGTTATAGCAACCTCCTAGAACTCAAAGACTGCCTGCAGGCAGCCCTCTCCTTAGATAAGGGAAAATGCAGAACTCAAAGAAAGGTATTCTCCATTACAGAGGCTTTTAACAAAGAGTACAAAGGAAAGAAAAATGTCTATTAGGCTTTAGATGTAGAAATGTTGCCTTAGGGAAAGTATTATTCATTTTAGAGGATGCTGGAAAAGAGAAAGAAGGAAAAAGAAACACTTCAAAAAGCAGGTTTGAACCCAGAAATCATCACTCCACAACAAAGTAGTTTAAATCACTTTTGACCATTTAAACTAGAAAATTGTTAATTTGGGATATAATTATCTAAAACTAACAACATATGAATATTACTTACTGTTAATATGAATCTTATTTCACTAGGAATAGTGATTGTTCTTAGTGTCATTTCAAAAAAAAGTTTTTTTCTACTTTAAGATTAATATAAAAAAGGTGTTAAAAAAAAAAGTGGACTGAGGTTCAGGCGGTAAAGAGGGCTAACAGCATACAGTGCTGAAGATGTGCCCAGAGAAGAATAGACTGAGCATTTCACACTTTCAATTCTCACAGCACTCCCATGTAGAAGGCATGTTGCTATACTATCCATGTGTAGAAACTGAGGCATAAGGAGGTTAAGTAAAACTGGTGTAAAATTATGGTAGGGAATACTTTATCCTATAAGTAGAGTCAGAATTCAAATTCCAGCAGATTGCCTCCTTGCATTCACTATACTCTGGAAATGCACTTGTGTTGGCCTTTAGCTAGCTATGCTGTCTGGCAGAAAGTCTCATCATTTTTTTGCTTGCATTTCTTCATGTATAATATTATAGGGTTTAAATTAACATATCTTTTTCTTAAATTCTGTTTCTCTCTTTTTGCTCTATTTCCTGCTCCCCTTTTTCTCTGTGTCTCTAAAACATCCCTGTGTAATTCCAATTAAATCACTCCCTCAATATACATCTATGCTATATGCATATGTATGCAAGTATATATTTATATACGTATATCCAATCCATGTCAAAAACTTACATTTATATCATCTGTATCTATATCAATCAGCATTATATATTTTGTGCTTTAGTTACAGAAATCCCTAACAAACAGATGTTATTTCATCTGATTCCTCTCTACCTTTTCCTGTTCTCCACTGAGAACAGAGGCTGAATGTTCCATCAGTGTAAATTTAATGAACACGATGTTTTATTTATTCTGCTTAAAGGCAGACTTAACTTGACCTTTGTGTTACTAAACCTTTTTAAAAAAGAAAGTTGCCATTTTAACTGTTTCCAAATGACCCCAAAAGATTCCCAGTGGTAGGGCAGAGTGAATTTGGCTTTTCAAAGGAAAAGGTATACTATGGCATGTCTTGACCTATAGGTAGGGTACCTGTGTGTGTCCCCCAGAAACATCATGTTATCCTATGTGCACCACATAAAGAAACTTAATGAACTAAGTATTTTGGAGAAAGGAACTTTAATAAATTTTATATTAATACTAATAATCAAAAGTATTAGCAGCTCTTCTCTAAAAAGTGAATATAATTCCTTGGAAATGATTAACATTATAAAATAATTTGGAAGACAAGGCTGCTAGTGACTGTAAAGCATTGTTTCATTCTTCTGAATAAAGAAGATAAAAATCTAATCCATTAATATGACTGTGGAGAGGGAACAGGAAAGGAACAGAGAAGTCTAGATATAATAAGTCATTATAGCATTTTAAATTGGAAGGTAGGAAAGGAACTCATGGGGGAAGATGAGATAGGTAGAAATAATCACCCAGGAGGCCTTAACATTCAGACTGACCAATTCAAATCTGATTTTAAGGGAGAATACAAGTCACTTTAAAAATGTGTGTAACACAGTCAGTGTGATATGCAATAATGATTAATTTACCCCTTTTGAATGGTTGGGTGGGGGGTGAAAAGCCTGCAGGGTAGAAGGCTAATGAGAGGAGAGCTGCTGGTTCACAAGTTGAGTGCCTTGGGATCAATTGGTTAGGAGTGTCACAACCTCCTGAACATCAGGAAGCAGTCACCCAGGGAGTGTGCAGAAATCAAACTCTCTGATCATTATCTGTACTACCTATAAAGCACTTTTTAGACAAAGAACAGTATATGTGAAAACACTTGTCAGTGCGTTTTCTTAAATGGCTGATTTTGTGTGTCTGTGTAATATGAAAAAAAATGTAAAAAATAACTAAGTTGTTTTTGGAATAATAAAATTGAAATCTTCTGTATTTATAAGCAAAAATCAATGTTCACTGGCACCTTTCTCAGTCAGAAACATTAACAAGTCACTTGTGAGGAAGGTGTTGATAAGACTGCCCTGGATCCATAAGACATTACTTTCCAAGGATGTTTATCTTGCATCTATCATATAACTAGTGCTTTGAAAATTTCTTGAGCTGATCTGGGCTCTTGCCCAGATTAAGAAAAAGCCCAGGAAAGGGAAAGATTGAGGTGCACAGTTAATGTAGGAATAAGCTACGTGTTCCCGGTTAACTGTCATAAATATTGTAAAGACAGAATGAAAGTAAGTTAATATCAAATGTAAATATTTATCTACCTAATAATTAAGAAGTTATAAAGTAATATATGTGTTACATATATAACCTGAATAATTTACACATATGCATATGATAAAAGTAGATAACTGATTGTACTTGGAAGAATCCAAGTATCTCTTAACTAGAATTGACTGGATGTTTGTCTTTAAGTTCTAATGTATAATTTATTTCTGGTTTCTTGCCATTTTCACCTCACTTATATTTTGCTAAAGAAGAACAAAATAACAACAACACTACCTGCACAAATAAACAAAAAACCCTGAGTTTATTTTAATATGATTTTTAAGGAAAAATATTATTACAACAACTTTATCTATTGATGCTGTGTATGAAAAGGCTAGAAGCATTGCACTTTATTTTACTCCAGGAGATAAAGGCAAAATAATAAATAACACAGAAAATGACAAAATACCCAACTTGTTATCTAAAACTGCCTAGGACTTCTAGGCATACAAAGTTCTCAAAACTAATTTTAATTCTCCACAGATGCCAAGGAAAATTGTGATCCTGAATGGATGGATTTCATTATAAAAATAAAGTGTACTAGACAAAGAAGGAAAAAAGAATAAAAGTAATGGATAGATGTTACTAAGGAAATTAAAGTTTGTTAGTAATTTTTTCAAGTCACCTATGACCTGAAAGAATATAGTATTTCTTTTCCATTATCAATGGCATTTTAAAAAGTTTGTAGAAAGATTTTGAAGCAAGGCAATTTATATATGTATTTATTGTTTTCCCAAACCTCATCACTTTTATAGAGATAAAATTAGATTAAAATGAACTGTATTATTTTTTGCCAAACCAAACAAAAACAAACTACGACATCAGAATATGTGGGCTCTAAAGGGTGTTTGTTGGAAGTAAGGAAAATAAATTTAATGCATTTTTAAAAGTCTAATAATATCTTAAAACAGAGGAGAGGTTATGAATTCAATGTTGATATTTATTTGCATTTTAGATCTTTTTGTTATTTTAATTAATTTTGTGTATTCATTCATTTATTTAGGTGCGTAGCAGGAAGTAACACAGTTGTATTACTCTCTTCTAGATGGTTGTTTTGACAGTGCAGTAAAATGAAGCATCCCAAAGTAGCTCCAGAACACAGAGCTCCTTGTGTTAACCCCTAATATCCAAGCTCCTTCTGCCTCCATTTCCCTTTGTTACTTCTTCCTCTTACCATAATTAACATGGCTATAAGTTTTATGATTGTTTTCTGAGGACACTTCCTAGAATACAGAAAAGCAGAAATACTAATCCGGAACCTTATCCACCATTGCACCATCCCAGATATTTAGTAGAAATTTGTTGGTAACAGTAATTATGATAATAACATTTTACCAAAAAGTGTAAAGGAAATACAACTAGTTTAACAATTTATAAAGTTTTTATACTAAAAATATATCATTAAATTATACTTAAAATTTTGCTTCAAATTTTTACAGAAATGTTTCATGTTTTACTCTAGCCTAATGAGTGTATATTACTGCATTGACATTTTTGATAATTTAAAGGCCGTAAAGAAGAGAGTTTAAAAAACATCATCAAATGGGCTACCGTGAATGATATGGTTTGGATTTGTGTCCCCACACAAAACTCATGTCAAATTGGAGGAGGCGTCTTGTGGGAGGTGGTTGGATCCTGGGAGAGGATTTCCCCCTTGCTTATCTTGTGATAGTGAATGAGTTCTCATGAGATCTGATGGTTTAAAAGTGTGTGACACTTCCCCCTTTGCTCTCTCTCTCCTGCTGTCATGTGAAGAAGGTGCTTGCTTCCCCTTCACTTTCTGCCATGAATGTAAGTTTCCTGATGCATTTCAGTCATGCTTCCTGTCAAACCTGTGGAACTGTGAGTCAATTAAGCCTCTTTTCTTCGTAAACTACCCAATCTCACGTAGTTCTTTATAGCAGTGTGAAAACAAACTAATACAATTATAATGCACATATTCAGTTAATTTTTAAATTTTAGTTTTCTATAATTTTTGGTATGTATTTCTTTGTTTTTGTACTGATTTCAAGAATCCTTTGTAAATTGAAGGTTTCAATATCTTATCTGTCATATTTGGTTAAACTCTGCTTCCCATGGTGATTTGTGCCTTTTAATTTTGAGTATGAATATGGTTGTCTAAGTTTCTTTCTTATACATTCTATAACTTTTCCCTTTATAATTCATCCAACAATTGGTAGTTTTAGAACATTCTGCTCCATCCCCAGTGTTACGAATATATTCCTGTATGGTTCTAATTATTTTTTTTCCCACACAATACTTTTCTGGCGTTTTTTGAGATTTTACATGATGTAACGACCTGGCTTATATTATTTTATTCTAAGGAAGGGTAACTTGCTCAATCATTTATTTCAATACTCTACACTTCTTCAGTGGTTTTAAAATCCAACTCTTTTATACTTTAAATATTATATACTATACCATGATCATGTTCTTGAGAATTTATAGCAGGCAGAATAATGTCTCTATGAAAGATGTCTATAGTCTAATCCCCAGAACTTGGGTGTATGCTAGGTTTCATGGCAAAGGAGAATTAAGACTGCAGATATAATTGAGCTTGCTAATAGGGATACTACCTTGTGTTATTCAGGTGGGCCCAATGTCATCACAAGGGAAGCAGAAAGGGAGGTGGAAAAGAGAATAAGGGAAAGTGTGACTACAGAATAGTAATAAAAGAAATGCTATGTTGCTGGACTTGAAGATGAAGAAAGAGGGCCATAATAAACCAAGGAATGTGGGTGCCCTCGAGAACCATGAAAGAACAAGGAAACAGATGCTCCCCTAAAGCCTCCAAGAAAACGTAGTAATACCTGATTTTATTTCAACGAAACCTATGCTAGACTTCTATCCTATAGAACTACAAGATTTAAATAATGTGGTCTTGAAGCTGCTAAATGTGTGATAATTTGTAATATCAGTATAGAAAACTGATACACTATTGCATTCAATTAATCTTTGTGTTGTGACAATGTCATTAGTATTATTTACTCTCATTCTCATTCACTTATTCGTTCACTGAGAAATGTGCACCAGGCTGTCTTCTAGGTCCTGTGGTACAGGGGAGGTGGGCAAACCAACACACATGCTCTGAAGAACAAAACAAAATAATTGAAAGTGCATAAAGTTATATTTACTCAATTATATATGAGTGATATATAAGCAGTAAAGGCAGGATTTTGGGGGTAGGGAATAAGGATTTCAGTTGGAGATAATAAAATGGAGATGAGATTATTCAGAAGCAAAATCTGGTCTGGAGATATATTAATACATTTTTGAATCATTAGTGTATTAGGAAGTGTCATAGGTCCTAGGGAGTAAAAAATTCCTGGGGCACTCTTGAATTTAGAGTTACAGAAAAGAAAGAATAGTTGACGAAAAGAGAAGCAAGTGAAAGCAGAGGTAGAAGGGGAACTGAGATTTTACCATAGTAGCAGTGGATAATACAAGTAAAATTGTTCATTATGATTGCTGTGAAATATATGTCCAAGTTTCTTACTTTGTTGGAGCTATTGAATGGTTGGATACAGTCATAAAAAACACAGGAACAATTGGTAATCCCTTTTCTTTCTATATCCATCTCTCAAAATTATTGGTTCATTTTTTAGAAAAAGTACTATTGCTGTTTTCATGACCCACAGAATTAATGTGATATATTTTCTTTTAAATTTATTTTTGTATAGCAATAGCTTATAGAATCCAAAATGCCAGTGTTAATTCATATCATAAAATCTAAATTAATCCTGAGGTGTGCCTTTATTTTAACAACCTATATACATCGATGTACATGTAAGCTTTATGTCCCTATATTTTAGTTCAGCTTGATATGTTAGTTTTAATAGATTAGTAATGATGATTTCATATGTACATATAAAATGTACTAATATGTCCAATGGCCCATGTGATACTATGCCTGAATTTTCCACGAATAGTTATTTTGTGTTTTCAGAACTATTCCACAATATAATTTGTTGGAAGTGTATTTTTTGCCAATATTGAATATGGTAAAATCTGACAAGCAGAATCCTTGCTGTTTACACACACACACACACACACACACACACACACACAAACACTTATGTGTGTGTATAACTAAAATACAAAATTATTTCTAGAAAATAACACCAGCCTGTGATGCTGAGACTATATTTTAGTGCCACAAAATAACTTCATAAAATTAAAGTTCTGAGCTGGGGGGTTAAATATTTATTTATTATTAATAAAAATTAAGATATTACAAAGAAACTTGCAATTTTAAGAGGGTTAAAGCAGATGGCTTATCTTTTTAAGGAAAATTGAAAAGCAAGAAGGGCGAAGGATATACTTAGTTTCATGATTTCCCATTGAGGGTCTTAATGACAGCATCTGTTAGGGCTGCTATAAAAGTGGTTGAACAGAGGAGGACAGGAAGTTACATTTGTCCAGTAATTGAGCAATGCAGACAGCATGCTGATTGGGACAAGGAGAGAGAAAGAAAATGAGAGAAAGATAGACAGAGAAGCCTTGAAGCCAGTTTTAATAATATCCAGAAGCAAAGAGTAAGAGACATCTGGCATTTTGACAGAATGGATCAACTGCTCTGCAGTAACATTTTATGTTCTTCAATATTTTTTTCTTATAATCTTTAAGGTTAACTGTTGGTTTGCCATATAGATGGTACACTTGTATGTTTAGAAAACTGACATGCATGAGAGGTCAAAAACAATGTGTGTGTGTGTGTGTGTGTGTGTGTGTGTGTGTGTGTTTGTAACATGTATTGGAGAGCTTTATTTAAAATTTATTCTGTCAGGAGACTTTCATTTAACATTCAACCAAATGCCACCTATATGCCAGGAACTAGTTTTGAAGAGAAAAATAAATGTTCTGCTTCTGGGTTGGGAAAATAATAATCCTATACAGTCATAATATACTTAGAAATTTACAAAGCACTTTCATTTATATTGTCAATTTACTTCTTAGTAAACCTTTGTGAATTAGGTATTATTTTATTCTTTTCTAGGTCAAGAAGATGAAGCTCAATGAGGTGCAAAATGTCATTAATAAGCAATAGAGATAACCCCCTTGAATTCAGATTTCCAAATTCTAACGCTATTTTTGCTCAGACTTATTTTTGAGAAATATAGGGATCTTACAATATAAAATTTACTCATTCGGATATTCTTTACATATTTCATTAAGAGCTCATAATAATCAGTGCAATGTTAGGTTTATGAAAATATAGTATATTATATGAACTGTAATCCTACCATGAATTTTCTTACATGATAGTAGAATATGTTGAGCACATATTTCAATATAAAGTCATTTTTTAATTAAAAACACACTTGACAGTTAAGTTTAAAATGGTAACCATGACAATAAATCACTGAGAAGCATTTATTTAGATTTCACTAACTGAGAAGTAAGTGATAATTTAAACAGCATCTGGCTGAAGTTTCTTTAGTTAGCTAAACAGGACTTTTGTGGTTTCAGTAAATAAAGTAAGTAAGTTTGCCAGACAAGATTCTGATATTTAAGGTAAATATATCTTGAAGATTCTAATTGTTTTGATTGTGCTTATAAAATCACTACGTGGTAATTTATTGTCAATAGTTTTTAGTTTATATCATCAAGAGGTTCTCTCAGGTATCATACTTCAAGAAAGTTACAAAAGAACATTCATGTAATTCAGATTTTATTTTTGTTATGTCAATTTATGTTTTCCTAGGCCAAATTCATTTTCTTTAATAAATAAATGGTGTAATATTTTTATAGTCCCCAAATAAATTAAATTATTAATTCATTTCTTAATTCATTAGATAGTATGGCAGTTTGAAAAAAAAAACCATTTTTTTCTTTACAGATGGAAACAAAATAATGCTTTTTTCCTTCTCTCAGTAGAATTCCAGCAATGAAAAAATAAGTAAAACTCACATTTCTGCTTTTTCCATCCAGTGTGCTAACATTTAAACTGAGTTTATTTAAACAGTTCAAACCTTACTCACCTCTATGTAAATGTTAAATGGGATTTTTATTTTTCTATATGTACTACTATCTAAATTCATGGTGATTATTTTCCAGTTCAGATTTTCAAAAGACTTGTTCTGATGCTTGTGTTGATAAAATAAAATGAGTTAAACATTTAACTGCAGAGTAAAATGAAACCATTAAATTAGCTTTGAAAAAGCAAGGTTAAGAAAACTATTTTTTAATAAGCATTGACGATTTCAAGGCAATTATTGATCAAGGCTAAATGTTCATTGTGGTAGATCCTATGTGATGCTACTGCTTGCCTTCCCTCCTCTTAACACCTGTGTGCCTTATTGCCTTTACCCTAGTTTTGGCCAATGCACTTACTATATTCCTTGCTCAAAGAACTTTGGTCCTAAGAGCCAAAGCAGTACTTAGCTCTTAGGAGCAGTTTGTATTTTTGAATAAAAGATTAAATGAATCTAGTAATATTCTACAAAACAATATATACTCTGCTTTCCTTCTCTTGGTTTATAGATAGAGAAGGCCAGAATACTACTTTTCTTCTCAGGAGGCCTCATACTGGAGAGATAGGTCAAGGAGAAAGTTTCAGGCTTCCAAACTGGGAGATCCACATTTATGTAGTCATTGAATAAACACATATTCACATACAGTATGCCAGATGAAATTATAAGCACTGAGCATACAGATTTTAGGAAGCACAGTTCTTGTTTTGAGGAACTAAAAATGTAATGTGCTATTTAGTTAAGAACATGGCATTTGGAATCAAATTAGACTGCGAATCTTCAGTCTTGCTTCTAGTAGCTACAAACTTTGGCAAGTTAATAAAACTAAGTTTCAGTCTTCCCCATTCATTACATGGGGGTAATAAAATTGATCTCATTGCGTTTCTGTTTAAAATTGGATGAGATGAAGTCTATAATATACTGGACACAGCAGAAATGCTAAAAAAAAATCAGTGAATTATAATAGTAACTGTCCTTGTTGTAAAATTTGTTGATTAGAGATTCAATGGTTGCAATAGATTACTTCTTATTTAATTTTAATTTTTTTCATACATTATCAGACCTACTTGGTCTATCAATATCTTCTGTAGGATATGGGTTTGTGATTCTCAAATATTGTCTCTTGCATTTGAAGCACTTACTTATTTACTATTTTCCCCTGGGAACCATTGCCTCAAGTGACTATGAACTCCACGAAGTTAGCATTTGCCCAAGATTTCTTCTTTTAGAGAATTCTACCTTTTCTATTTGTAGATCTGGTGGAGCATCATTCAGACTACTCTGTTTTTAAACACATTCAGTGAGTGAGCACTTAACTCATACTATCTAATAATGGTTTCATATGTATTGGATCACAGTGATTTGTTCAGATAAAGACACGTAACTATTGCCAGGCTAATGAAAATTCCTTCCAATCGGTTCTGCTGGATCCAATTAATAAGACATCAATTGCATTTGAGGACCTATTATTATAAACATGTATTGACTTCCCCTAGAGAATCTTCAAGTAACTATCTCCATTACAATGTAGATGAAGATGCTTACAACACAAAAACATGAAACTAATATGCAGAAAAAGGCAGAACCAAAAGATGACAAAAAAGCAATGGTAAGAAAGTCCGGATCATATCATTTGTTCCCTATGGTTGAACAATGCCTGAAGCCTTCCTTAGGCATCCTGTTTAATAGTTGTATGAGGCAATCTTGACGTGGATTTCTGCTACAGAGATTTCTATGACAACACTGAAATTGTCTTGAAATTTTCTAAGAAATCACTTCTCTCCAGGGTCTTGCTCTTCAGTTGATAACTCTATCAATGTTCATACTACCTCTCTTCTGCTTTAATATCAAAACAACATAGGCCTACTGAAAATACCCGCAGCTCGGGATGTCTTTTCCTCAGAAGATTACATTATAAAGATATTCAACCATTAGTCAGTCTCTCTTGAAAGTGCTCAAAAGTAGTCATTTAGTGTATTTTCCCTCAGTCACTGAGGTATTATTAAACAATGAGTTTTTATGGATGATTCTAACATTTCGCTGGGATAATTACAAAATGTAGAAACTCCTTGTAGACCATCACAAATAAAATGGAAAGTTCTTTTCCAAATTCACAGTTTGTTTTCTGCAGATAAGTTTTAAGAAAATTTTGCCCTGCTTCCCTTTTTTGCTTTGAATGCTTTTCTATTTAATATTCATTAGTAAGATATGTACTTTAATACTTATGTCAAATTCAGGAGACATTAACAAGAAAACCTATTTTCATTATATGAACTGCACACATACGTAAGCCCAGAGACACAGCTGTATATTTCTCTAATTTTGTTCAGAAAAAAAAATGCTTAAATTTTTCTTGAGCATTCTCACAATGAGAAATAATTATGCAAGTCTCTGGAAATTCTTGCAATTATGCCCATGAGATCTACTGAGTGATTCAGGACCATTTAATCATGTGCAAGATTATCTGATTGTTGCTTTTTTGTGTTTTTGTGCTCTCCTATTTTTGTTGTCAATGATCACATTCATGGTATGGTTTATTTTGTACTAGCATTTCTTACTTTTTAAAAAAATATTCCTATCATGCTTCTGTGATTGGAAATCAAATTATTAAACTTATTAGAATCCTCTTCAAATTAAAAAGAAAAACTTTCAAGTGAATGATGAAGGAATAGTGGTACAAGAAGATTGTTTATGTTGTAGTAAAGGGATATTAAAACAATTATTTTCACTGTCTAGAATTATTTTTTAAGCTAAATTCATGTGAGTAATGTGTTGCTGTATTTAATTTCTCATGTAACTATATACATTCAAATATATCCATAGACATGACTATAGACATGACTCCCTGCTTATCATCCCAGGAAATATTTCTCTCAATGCTAGTGTAAATTATTGTTTGACCTCTAGCATTAAAAAAAAATAGATGTTTGGGAATGCTGACATTTACTCATCCTTTCATTACTGAGATCAAGGATCCATTAAGAGTGCTGTCAGTATTTGGATTTATTTTTGGATGCACAGCAAAATCTGCAGGAGTATTAAAACTCAATTCTGTTGGGAAACACAGGAAAAAGCCACAGGTTCAAATCTTTTAAAGGTGTTTCCCCCTTTAGTTTCACCATCCCCTTAAAATGCGTAAAAATTATGAAGGGATGATTTGTCCATCATGAATCTTAAAGATAAGTTGTATGCTTAATGAGGGGTAGGGGAAATGAAGACTCATGGATCTCATCACGTTTGGGTATTACCATTTACATGACAGTCTGAATTCTGACAGTCATGTGTAATATTAAAAATAAAAAACAAGCACCAGCAAAAATCAAAAGTTACTGCTGCTGCAGGCATACTGCCAGTTTGCGCCAGATACTGCTGAGCCATTTGTCTCTGAGGTTTTGAATGACTGTAGTGTAAGGCATTGCTTGAAGGAAAGTACATCTAGGATAGATCTTTACTCTCCACTGATTTACTTAGAACTGAAGATATTGAAATTCAACACAGGATTATTGTCATTCACTGATACATAGGGAATTATCTAGCTGTGATGGCTCTGAGAAATGTAACAGAAACATTAGAGCATACCAGTCTGAAGAAAGACTTTCATTACAAATTAGGTTCTACAGAAAAATAAGGATTAATTTAGATACGTAACTATTAATAATTATATTTCTGACACTGATTTAAGAGATGTACTTATATCTATAATGTCTGTTTTATTTAAGCATGAATTAAATATTTCAAATCAAACTGTAGTTTAGAATGCAAACTGACAAATTAGAGAATAAGTTTAACATAGAAAGTGATACTTGAACAAGTGTTTGTAAATGATTGATTTACATTGTTAACTAGCCAAAATTTATATTTTAATAAGCTCATTTAAATTTTCTACATTTTTAGTATTTTCTTCAAAATCTAAAAATATATTTTTAAAAATTTTCAAAAAGCTGAGAGATAAATATTTATTTTAAAACAAAGCCATGATTGCTAATAATTGTTAATTTGTATAATTACGTCTTTAAAGGACGTATTACATGTATGATCATTTGATTTTTATCAAACATCATTATTTGTAAACATATATTTCAAAATAATCATGTGAGAAAGGTCTTTGTTCATGGGCAATTTTCAAGCTCATTCTTTTGCCGCTTGATGAAAGTGCTTTATACGAACAAGTTCTTATGTTTTGTCACTACATTTCTTAGCCTCGTGGGATGGAAAGCAAATACCACCTCCCACCAAAAGTATGTTCTTTTGGTACCCTAAAGTTCTCACTTTAAAAAACATAACAGTAATAACTAGCAAGTCACCGTCACTTTTTTTTTTTTTTAATTTTTTTTTTTTGTGAGATGGAGTCTCACTCTGTCGCCCAGGCTGGAGTACAATGGCATGATGTCAGCTCACGACAATCTCTGCCTCCCAGGTTCAAGAAATCCTTCTGGCTCAGCTTCCCATCTCTACTGAAAAAAAAAAAAATACTATTGTTGTTTTATCCAACCTCCTTAGATGTCACTTTAAAAATGTATAATTATCTTTTTTGAGGATATTTTGGTTATGATCAGTCTTGAAATATTATTGGTGTTTCCCACGGTTCAGATTATTGCATACTAAAAAAATCCCATTTATAACAAACATCACTGAAGATGAGATGCTACATTAGTGTACTCACTCACCACCACATTTAATCTACTGCTTTTCTCATTGTCTAAGCATTAGAGTAAGTCCTTTATATTCTCAGGAGATAAAAATAGAATATCTTCTATATAGCCACACTTGAAGTTATTGCCATGCAACAGTCTCTAAAACTTTCTTATGAGTCAGTTTTTCTTCTTTTCTTTTAGAGCACAGAGTAAGTATAATCATAATATGCCATACCTCTACCAAATTAGAGATTCCATTCTTTAATTTTTCTATCATGTGCTCATCATTTTCATGATCAACATTAATAATGGACTTTCTTTGGGAGAATATGTCTTAACTAAAAAAAACTCAATTGTGCTCACTCTAAAAAGATCAATGTGAATGTAAAAATAAATACACTTCATTGCATTATATGAGCTACATAAATAGCTGGTTACACAAAACTCACGTTCACCTCTCAGTAATATTCCAAATGACTATAAGCCATAAACATGTGGGGGCATTAAAACTGAATGTCCAATCCCAAACTGCCGAGATATCACTGTATCTTTTTTTAAAAAAATTATACTACCGTAATCATAAAAGGAAAATTATATTAGTATTAGCTCTCAAGAATCTGAATTAGATCTTATTATTCCCTATTGACTACTTACAAATTGTATTTTCTGCTGAAAGTATAATGGCTCTTGGAGAGAGCTAACAGCAAAAGAAGCCCAAGAGTGAGTGCTCATTTTAGCCGACTGTGAGACATGGACCAGTGAGTTTTGGGACTTGTGCTTTATACTGACTCTACTCTGCTTTGAGGATTATATTCTTGCCATCTTCTCAGTGGTTGCAGAAGATTAAAAGAGCTCCTGTGAGATTTGGCTCCAGTACAATAGCTGAGCTACATGAGCTGGAAAATTTGTAAAACAGCATCAATTGTAAATTTGGAACAGCCTTTGTTGGTTTTAAGGCCTTATTTTTTATAACTCAGAATAAGAAAAAAATAACAGTTCCCTATTTTATTTCCTCCCTGGTTCATGCAGCATTATAGACACGTTTATAACATATTATATAAAATAGTTAATATCTTATGTAATATTTTATAATTTAATATTTTAAACATTTACTAATAATCGATTTTAAATCACAGTAATACATTTTTAAAAAATATGTTAATAAAGGATACAGCAGACCAATCTTTACTCTCTGAATTGAAACAACCCAAAATGGATTTTTTTCATTATGCCAACCTTTTCATCAAATTGCAAAGATTAAGTCTTATTACTATTGAACAATTCTTATTGCCTAAATGTACAGAAAATATTCTCTAGGATTTGAATGTAAGAAATTTTCCCAATTGGAATATGTCCAGAAAATATATTAATAAAATTAATGAAATAAAATCTAGTCCTAATATTGTAGACACTTCCTCTCTAGAACAATCCCATTTGGAAGTAAACCTGGTTTAAGCAATAGAAGATTCTCTTGATAGGATTAAGCAACAAACTCAATTAGTTTTAATCAGTAAAGCAAGTGAAACAGATTTTAACTTAATTAAAACTAGCAGAAGTAAAATGCCTTGTAAGATAATGGGAGATAATGGAATTTGAATTCCCCTTCTTGGCAATATTATTACTAGGACTATCTATTTGGAAGAGGACCAGTACAAAGGCTTTAATAGTTACTTGGATAGTATCACTGATTAAAAGCAAATAGGTACAATGAACATGTTAAAGAAAGATATAGCTACCTTCTAGTTAGTACTTAAAAATCATCAAATTAATCTGATTTGTCACATTTTTACTAAAAAAAACCTTTTGTAACTAAAATATTATAATATTAAACATAATATACATTAAACATATCTTTACTTGTAGATATGGTTAGGTAAAACCACAGCAGTTTTGGATATGTTATCATTTTCCATAAAAAAAGTTATAAAGGCTTAATTCTCCTATACTTATTTATGAAAATAAAGTAATATATAAATAACTTACAGTCAGCAGTAATGTTTGATCATTAATGAGATAAGTAATATAAATATCTTACAGTTATTTGACAGATTACAGCTTTCAAACTTCAAGGACACAGAATTGACGTATGTGTCTTCATTTTGCATATAACAAAATGAGAGTCTTTGAGAGTTTGATTCAAATTCTATATAAAAATAGAACAAATAAGCATGGAAAATGAAATTCATAGCTTATTTTTTTTTTTTGATATTCCAACAAATGTTTAATTACTTGATGCTGATACAGTATTTTTTTAATTTAAAATGAGACAAATCCTTTGTGTCTTTTGAGGTTTCCTTTTAAGCTACATGCCTATTATTATCTAAAGAATAACTTCTTAAAAATAAAAATAAAAGAATAATTTAACAACTATACACACAGGGACAAGCCATAAGCTGCACCAACTGGATCCTAGATCCTCTTTTCCCAAGGGCAGCCCAATCATAGCTTATTTTTTACTTGCACTTTATTTATTAATTTATCTCCTCTACTCCTGCTTTGACTGCCCCCACCCCCAAAAAAGTAGGGCTGGTAAATTGAAGCAAAAAAAAAGATATTAGGCATTGATTTCATTATTTTGGTGTGTGGGTGAGATGTGGTACATAGCAATCACTTTCCTTAATCCAAAGATAAATCAAAGTAAGTATTTGAAGATTATTTTGAGAGGCTAACAGTGATTTTTTTAAATTGAACTAAGAGTATGAAAAACTATATTTTGTGAGTATGTAAGACCCAATAATTCAGTAATATGTAATGAGCTAGTTTCCTCACCTCAGGTAGAGATTTATAGCACTTAGAGAAGAATGGAATAAACTATCTCTATAGTTCAATATAATATACTAAAACGTGAATAAAAGAGTAAGTACATTTGCCCCAGTATAAATGAAACTTCTGCGTTGTTTCAAACAATTCTCTGTTCCATTATACTCAGTGACTTTGTGAATATCTATAGCATAGACTGAATCAGTCAGGGCCATTCTCTGGGACAGTTTTATTCTATCTGCATAGTGAAGTATAACAAATTTTCTCAAAGAGAGAAATAGGAAATAAACCTATCCCTTGTTGCCTCAGACAGATGGAAAGCATAATTACAAATGAAAGGTTATGTTGATTGTTTAAGAAAAAAATCTAATAGAAAAACAAGTATTCTTTTACACAACTCTTTCTTTTTTCTATCTTGGTTCTTGACTTTCTTCCCATTTCTTGTTCAGGATCCTGTGTAACTGACTGTTCCTTTTGCCACCGATTTGGGTTCTGTGAAACATCCAGGTACGTTTCCAATATAATCTTTTGTCTTTTGTTCGATTCCTTTCACCTATGTTAGTCTGGTTTAAATATGTTTCTATTTCTTGTTTCAGACTGACTACATGTCTATGTAATAAAATGGACAATAATGTAAATAAAGTCAATAATTTAATCTTTTTTTTTTTTTTTCCTGAGAGGAGGTCTTTCTCTGTCGCCCAGGCCGGAGTGCAGTGGGGAGATCTCAGCTCACTGCAACCTCTGCCTCCCTGACTCAAGCAATTCTCATGCCCCAGCCTCCAGATCAGCTGGGATTACAAGCACCACCACACATGGCTAATTTTTGTATTTCTAGTAGAGATGGGGTTTCATCATGTTGGCAGGGCTGATCTCGAACCCCTGACCTCAGGTGGTCTGCCTGCCTTAGCTCTCAAAGTGCTGGTACTACAGGCATCAGCCACTGAACCCTCTAATTACATCTTTTTTAAAAAGAAATCCCATGTCCCCATATACTATACAATACCTTTATATACTTTACTATAGTTCTATTTATTATATATGTATATTTAATGTATTTGTTTATGCATATATTATGTATATAATGTATGTATAATGCATGTACATGTATTGTCATATGTGTATAATGTATGTACATATATGTGTATGTGTATGTTTATATATATTTAATTTTACATATGTTTTTTGCAGCATTATTTATCATTAACATAATTACACAGCAGTTATTTGTCATTGAATTTTTCCCACAATGTTGAGGTATGAATTTCTCTCCCTCCCTTCCTCCCTTCCTTCCTTCCTTCCTTTTCCATCCTTTTTGCCTTCCTTCCTTCCTTCCTTCCTTCCTTCCTTCCTTCCTTCCTTCCTTCCTTCCTTCCTATCTTCCTTCCTTAAATATTTATTGAATTCCCTCTACTTGCTAGCCACTCTTAAAGTCACTGGAGGAACAGGAGGACCCATAAGCATAAGAACCAAATTATCTGCTCTCATTGACCTTTCGCTTTTAAGTTGAGGAAGGACTGATAAAATAAATAAACTCATAAATGATTATCTAATATTTCAAATGGAAAAAAGTGTTATGAAGAAAAATAAAGTGGAAAGGATTAAAAATAATGGAGTGTGATACATGGTGCAGTATTAATACTTTTAAGCAAACTTGAATGATACAATTAGAAGAGCCATGTGGGAATCACCAGAAGAGAATTCCAGAGACACCTGAAATTGAAATGCCCTAATCATAAATGGATAGCTGGTAACAAACTTATATGTGGTAATTAATAAAATGGACAATTCTAATGAATAGATTAATATTAAGTAGCTGAAGATTTGGTGTTTAAGTTAAGGATATCAACGTGTAAAAACAATGGATATTTATGACACCATGACTAAGCACAACTAACCTTAGTTTTGCAGGTTGAGGGCACCTTACATATCATACTAGGAACAACTTTAACAATAACAGTTTTAATGAATATAATTCATGTTCTTAGGTGCTATGCTTATTATTTATCTAAATAAAGATTAAAACTGAGAATCTTAAGGAAAAGACATCTCAAGGTCATAGTGGTTGGAGATGCACAGAAAATAATTTGCTACATATGGAGAAATAAGAACACAGATTACAATTTAAGCAAAAAAAAAAAAATCTTGCCACAATTCCTTTGTGAGTTAAAACTAAAATTTGATTCTGAATTGATTATTGAATTGAGCTTCTTATATAAATGTACACTTAAGTCAATGTCTACTATGTATGTAAAATTTACAACTCATTAATATGTTTTGAATTCACTATGAATTAACTTTATTTTTGTATTTCTCTTCAAACACCTAGTGAAAGGACAGTCCTAGAGACTGTTTTATTCATAAAAATTGTCTTTCCACTGAAATTAAACCCGAAATTATTATTTTCTAGTTGTTTAGAGCTGTGGGGTTCTATTTCCTGTAAGCAACTTGTGGTCTACATTTGGTTCATGGGGTAATATATTATCCTTTTTGATTGGAAAATTGCTTAGAAGACGAGTAAAGCATCCATTGAACAGAAAGTGGATGAATTGTCCTTCTATAGCCAGTAGCAAACACTATCGGCTATAGCAAGTTAAGATTTTTATAGTCTAGCTGCTGCATGCTCATCATGTAAGATATTTTTTCAAGGATTTTCTACATACAAGAAAAAGGAAAAAAAAAGTCACACACCTGTTGAGTGATTCTGATCAAAGGAATTATGCATTTTGGGAAGAGCTTTTCCTAAACAAAAAGGGAAGAAAAAATGTTATGTCTTCAGAATCTCAAAAATTTTATTACTTATATCGATAAAAATAGCATATTTTAGTACACTTAGTTAAAATATGAGAAAATCTAGGAATATGTCCCATGATCAACATTAAAAGCATTACCATATAAACAAATCTGTTGTTATTATAGGCATTTATTTTAACGGTAGAATCTCTTTTCAAATTTTCCCTTAACTGTAATCTTTATGGCTGTACCAAATACCAAATGCTCTAGTGTTCATACACATTTCAAAAAACTTTTAATATATTAATTTTTCACTTTTGTTATAAACATTTCTATTTTATAGTAATATTTGTTCTTATTAGTTTTATCATTTTTCAAATTATACTAGTGTGATATAAAATACTGCTGCTTCCCAGACAATAAATGTAGCAGATTTTATTTTCCAAAGTGCCCACTGCAATAATTTCCGGTCCCTTGTGCTCTTCCAGAACTTTGCCACCCAGTTTTCAAGAGGGGAATATGATTGCTCTTCTCTTGCCCGAGAGAGACAATTCATTTTCCGTTCAGGGGAAGCGACACAGTGTGACTTCCAAGGCTAGGTTATAAAAGGCAATGTGGATTTTATGTAGTTCTCTCCCTCTTGACATGCTTGCTTTTGAAACACAGCTACCATGTTGTAAGGAAGCTCAGGCCAAATGGAGAGACTGCATATAGGTCGCCAGCCAAGAGTCCCAGCTGACAGCCAGCATCAAACATTAAACACATGGGTAAATATATCTTCAAATAATTCCAAACCCTAATCTTCAAATCTTGCAGCTGAGGCCTCGGATATCATAGCTCAGAGACAATCTATCCCCAGAGCAGCCTGTCAGAACTCCAGACCCAAAGAATCCATGAGCATAGCAATTGATTGTTTTTACACCTATAAGTTTTAGGGTGATTTAATCAATAGCCCTAATAAAAAGAACCATAAATTTGTGTTAATTTGTAGGCATGAAGAACTTTTCACCTGCTCATATTTTTATTTCTTCTTTTGACATTAGACAACTGACAAAAACATGTAACATCCTTTGTGTTAATGGTACACTTCAGTTTCTTCCATGTGTTAATCCTTCCTGTCAATGTGTCTGCCTACTTTATATTCCCTTTATTTATGTCTCTCAAATATGTGCTGTGGGAGGCAACATTTTAAAATTCACCTGCTCCTGAATTCTATGCTCAGACCCTGAAAACCTGCCAATATGATGACATATAACTTTCATGGTTGTTATGTTAAACACTACAGTTGACCTTAAAATAGAGAGATTATCTTGGTGGGTATAATCCAGTCACATAAATCCTATGAAGCAGAAAACTTTTTATAGCTGGTGAAATGAGGAAGGCAGAAGAAGGCAGAGAGATTCAAAGCATGAGAAGGCCTTCACACAGCTCTGCTGGTTTCAAGATGGCCACATAAGAAGAGATGCAGGTGGTCACTAAGAGCAGCTTCTGGCTGACAGCGAGCAAGAAATTGGGGAACTCACTCCTGTATCAGTAAGGAACTGGATTCTCACAACCTGAGTAAACCAGGAAGTGGATTCTTACCCAGAGTATCAACATAAGAGCTTATGCAGCCAAAAGCTTGATTTTGGTCTTAGGAGATAGTGAATAAAGAATCCCGCTGAGCTGTGCCAAACTTCTTACAAACTTATTCCTTGTGAAATAATACAAGGATATGGTTTTAAACCACTAATTCTCTGGAAAATTATTATACTGCTATAGAAATATAATACATGCATTTTATTTTTTCAATTGTTAAAATTTCTGTAAATTTGCTAGAGAATTGCATCACTGGTTTTACTGATTTACTACACTTCTTGAAACAGAGTATGTAAAGTACAACCATGAGCAAACTACTGACTGCTCCCTATTTTTGTATGGTCAATGAGCTAAGGGTGATTTTTGCTTTCATATGGTTGAAAAAAATACCAAAAAAGGAATAAAATATGGTAAATGTGAAAATTATATAAATGTAAAATTTCAGGGTCTATAAACAAAATGTCATTGGAACATTGCCATGCTTATTGGTTTACAAGTCATCTATTAATTTTGTGCACGATGGCAGTATTTTGTGCTAGAACATCCCTTATAGTTTCCTGCCTCTGCACATTCTTACATTTTAAAAATTCCAGGCTTCTTTTAGATTCTACCCTTCATTTGACTCAGCTTAAATTCTAATACTGTCATATATCTTTCCTGCGCATCTTATCCATCTGAAATTGCAAGTTAAATGTCAGTCTTGATACCATCATGTACCATCACTTCATACTTACCTTATTTTTGATATTATAATTACTTTTTCTTGTCTTACCCCCTGTGATGGTTAATACTTGGTGTCAACTTGATTGGATTGAAGGATACAAAATGTTGATGCTGGGTGTGTCTGTGAGAGTGTTGCCAAAAGAGATTAACATTTGAATCAGTGGGCTGAGACAGGCAGACCCACCCTTAATCTGCATAGGCACAATCTTATCAGCTGCCGGCACAGATAGAATATAAGCAGGCAGAAAAATGTGAAAAGAGAGACTACCTAGCCTCCCAGCCTACAGCTTTCCCCCCTGCTGGATGCTTCCTGTCCTCGAACATCAGACTCCAAGTTCACGGCCTATTGTGGAATCTTGTGATCCTGTCAGTTAATACTTAGTAAACTCCCCTTTATATATATAAATAATACATGCTATATATATATAGCATACATGTATATATGCTATATATATACACATATAGAGAGCATACATGTATATATGCTATATATATACATATATATATTCCTATATATATATATACATATATATATTCCTATATATATATGTGTATATATATATATTCCTATATATATATATATATATATATATATATTCCATTAGTTCTGTCCCTCTAGAGAACCCTGACTAATACACCCCCTCAACCAAAATACAAATTTAGGGAAATCAAGGACTATGCCCCAATTATTTAGAATAATTATAGTGTCTAGCAGTGTGTTATGTACATAATGTTGCTAATGATAAAATGTTCAATTTAGTTGTTAAAACTTCTTAAATTAGCACCAAATCATTTTAATTTCTGTCTTTTTATGAAAGAGATAGTAATTTAATATCTGAGCTTTTACAAATTTTGTTTATTGAATAAGTAAAAGATAAAACATATTTTCTCCCAAATGAAGAATCTTTCTATTTTATATAAGTATGCCTGGTCTTCCTCAACAGTTCTGCAAAAATAAATTGATTATTCTCAAACAGGAACCTAGGTAAACAAATGAAATTTATTTGTCATATAACAGTTTAGATATTACTGTTCCTATATTTTAGGTGCAGTTAGCTTGTGCTATATATAAGAATATATAGTAAGGCATTAGGGTAAAATCAAGTTAAGGTTATAATTTTTAAAATGCATCATTTCTCAGTGTAAAAACTATTTTCTACCTAATTAAAGAAAAAAATGGTAATTTAAAACAGCAATATTTGGAACTGGAATAAGTTGATAGTAATACTTTGGTCACCGAAAGGTACAACACACCCTGATTCTTCGAGAATGCCAAATGTTTTCCCTCCACTATCCTCGATTTTCTCCCTAGATTTAAGCTCTTGATCCACCCTGAAATATAATGTAACAAAATGGTAAATGCAATTTTTCTCTCTTCTTCAGAGGTCTGAAAAAGGCTCCAGAAATGAAAATATCAGTACCACATGCCAACATTTTCAAAAAAAGGTAGGGGGGCTGCACCCATCTCCATCTCTGAAGGATTTGCTCACAGACAGCCTAACTGAACTTTCACCCATGCGCCTTGTGGCCTCTCCTCTTGTCCTGTCTCTACATATAAGGGGAAGCAAGTGGTTCATTTAGAAAGAAGAAACATTTTTTTTTTTTTTATTGGAAACTTGTAGAAAGAGAGAGCTCCCTGCTAGGGACAATGTGTTTCCTCTTTATTTAAGCCAGAGAACGCTGTTAGGAAAATCCTTTAAAGAAAGCAATGGGAATGATCTGCAAGAGGATCTGGCCCTTTTTTCCACAAAGCAGTCCCACTGGGGCTGGGCAGGAAGATGCCACAGAGCCAAGAAGAGACCAATTGGGAAAGTGTGAAGCTGTTTTCTGATTGTGCCCTGTATAGTGCAATCTATTCAGCAGACTAGTTATTGAAAGCAGAAATGTTAATAGGAAGTAGTAATATTTAGTAATTAACTTACAGATTCCAGATGCTTTATTTCTTCTGTTGAATAATACTTCTGTGCTTAAAGAGTGATTGACTATGTGGGTTTTATATTATGACATTAAGCCTCAAATAAGATGCAGTCATATCTTTACCAAAAGTTTATTTCTGATTACATATTTCAAGAGTGAGCCTTGATTAGTTTCCTTTTCCATCCTTGCCCAAGAATGTTGATTAGAAAACAATATATTTTCCCTCACTCTCTGAGTTAGTATCTTGGTAAATGGAGAACGGGTTTCTTATTTATAGCTGGTATAATAAGCAGTTTCTATCTTTCCATGTATGTATTGGCCAGTGCAATATGTCTGCAGGAATCGTTAATTATTTGTTGAAAAAAGAGAAAAGCACACATATACATTCTCTGTTATTTTATTTGCTTCATTCACAGTCAGTGCTATATTGGTCATTTATGAAAACATTAAAACCAAGTTTAAGATCCCCTGGTACAAAACAGGAAAAACGCTGTCATTATTGTTGACACAGAATCTATCTTATTTTTAAATAAGCCTACATCAGACTGCACATTTACAGAATAGTCAAATCAACTCAAATCCAGGTTTATGGACAGTTAGGATTTTAAGTAGAGTTTTGTTTTTTTTTTTTTAAGTAACTAAAACACTGCAGAAAAGAGAGCCTTAAGTAAATAATATTTTTAAGTTTTTCATGAGACAAATCTTATTCAAATTCCTTTTAAATGTCAATATGACAATACATGGTGTAGAAAAGGTGCATAAATGATAAAAGATGACATTATTGTGTTTAGTGCGAAAGTACAAAAATCTTGGAACTGTAAATGGCCTGTTCTTCTTCACAGTATTCAGAGGTCTGCAGAATAGTTCTACTGATTTCTTCATCCAAAGAAAAGTGTTATAATGGCTAATTAGTTTGAGTGAATTTCTAGTGGTAAATAATAAGAGTAATAATTCACACCTCTACATACTGTTCTTAGAATAAAATGGCCACTATTCTCTCAAAAAAATGTGTAGTAGTTTGTTTAGAGACCAGTAAATTTATTAGTGTAGCAGATGTTCTCTCAGTTTTACTTTTGGAAGTCTGAGAATAAGATTGGGTATAGATTTCTTGACATAATAATAGATTTAATAGCTATATTCGTATTTTTGAAAACTATGTTTGTTGGTAAAGGGAAGAGTCTTGAGAGAAAAAAATACCAATTCTTTAAAATAATAAATTCTAACAGGAAAACAAATACAAACTTAACTGTATATTATATCACTGTGTCAACTCAGATAGTGTGCATATTAAATATTCTATACATTATTATTCCATTTTATAGTTACTCTCCTAAATTAGGAGTTTGGTACTTGTCACTGGTTCTATACTTCGCACAAATAGAATGCAACTTAAAACAATTGGGTAAGCTGTTATTAGAGAGAATTTAAAAATAATTAGTAGTTTGTCAGATTTATTAATCCTTGGCCATGATTTTGGTGTCCTTTGTAGAAATTATATGGTGTATAACATTAAACAATTTGCAGATTTAATATGATTCAAATATATTTGTTTCTGGGTTCACTATTTTGCATTCTTTTAAAATATGTTTACAATAAATTTTCAAATGTGAAAGTTTATATGAAAACTATTAAATGTTTCTTTTAGTAAGGAACTACATATAAAAACCTCTGAGGAGCACATCGTATTGTCAAGATGATATAGGTTACAGATAAACTAACTCTCAAATAAAGCTAAACCAATCTTTCAAAATAAACATCAATTATACAAAAGACAAGAGAGATATTTCAATGTTTTTTCAATATAATTTTTAGAAAATTGCAATGCCTTTAAATAAAAAGAAACTTTACTTTTGCCCTAATGTTAATTCAAATGCATATAAAAAAGATCTTTGCCATTTCTAATTTTTGTTAAATCATTTGCCATTTCATTAACATTGCTTTTGTTAACATTGCTTTTTATTTCTGCAATATAATGTGTTGTTCTGGTAACAGCAATAGAAGGGAATTTTTATCAGTGTAAAATACAATAGCTTTGAAGCGAAATGATTACAAAAATATAAAATACCTAGCCATGTAAAAATTGTCTGAAAATAAGGCTGAAATTGCTTGAAAATTTTTTTCTTCCTTTTTTTTTTCTTTTTTGGGACAGGGTCTCACTCTGTCCTTCAGGCTAGAGTACAATGGAACAATCATAGCTCACTGCACCCTCAAAATCCTAAGATCAAGCAATCCCCCCACCTCAGCCTCCCAGGTAGCTAGGACAATAGGGGTGCACCACCATGTCTGGCTAATTTTTAAGGTTTGTATAAAGATGGGGTCTCGCTATGTTGCCCAGGCTGGTGTAGAATCTCTGGCCTCAGGTGATAATCCTGCCTCAGCCTCCCAAAGCCTAGGCATTCCAGATGTGAGCACCCAGCTGCTGCTTGAAAGTTTCAATAGCAATTGCCTCAGATACCTATTACAGAGTAATGAATCCTCCCATCATTTTTTTTGTTGTTGCTACATTTCAATTTCCTCAGGGTTTATTGTGCGCTGCTAGTGAGTTTCCCCTTAGTGTTTAGAAATTTAAAGTTTAGAGTCAGTGAGAGCATTATATGTTACATGTATACATACACACGTGTATACATATATACATATATGCACATAATAATATACACACACATATATGTGTAGATAAAAATGTGGCTTCTGCTTTCACTGACTCTAACTTTTAATACTGGTAAGAAGACACTTTGTACATTTTGTAAAATCCATCTACCAGATGTATTTTACATCTAAAAACAGAGATAAAATAGCAGTTTGGCAAAATGGGCCATTAAAAAAGCAGATGAGATTTCATGAAAGACAAAACTTGAAATTAATCTGCATCTTAAAGGAATTTTATATTTTAGCAAATATCAAAAGAGAGTAAAGAAAAATAAAATAAAAAGAAATGTGACCAGGATGAACTCGATGTATCCAGAGAAAATTTGCCTGCAGAATACCTTGTATGGAGTGACAGAATGTAGATTTATTTCAGTGTTTAAGAGCTGTCTTTTGAAAAGTGTTCAAATCAGGATAAGAATGTTGGAAAAAGTCTTGACAGCAGTGTGTGCCAGAAAATAAGTACCGAGAAGCAGGCAAGAGATCAGGAAGATGAAGCAGCATCTCATTAATTAAAGACATCTCCCCCCACATCCCAGCTTTGCTGACACTCACAGTACCAAAGCCACGCAAAATGAGAGCTCTCTGTAGATTTGTAAAAGGTGTTCACAGTTGTTTTTGCTGTTGCTGCTTTCTAGAGTGATAGTTCTTTCTTTAGTTGGGTTTGGTACATCTATTTCATGATGCAGATTTTCCTGAAATATTTTGTCAATCTGGACTATGTGTACAGTCAAATATTTCACATTAATTTTTTAATTTTCTCTGAATGTTTATATTTACTTCTACCAATAATCTGGGAATAAGAATGAGTAAGCAGCCGGGTCTATTATTCCAGCAGCTCACCCGCTCTTTCAGAGTATGGGGTAGGTAAGCTTAAATCTGTTTGAAAAGATATAGTCTCTTGTTTGTGTCTTAGAGATATAACAGTCAGACAATGTTTTGTGTGTTGTTTTCATCTTTAAATTTCAGTTTATCCTTCTTTATATTAGATTTACATAAAATCATTTGGTTTTCAATAGTCATTTTATTACTGAAATTCTTTTTAAAAGAACATAATCAAAAATTGATTTAATTACCTTCTTGAGATTAGCAATGTTTTGCTTTTATGTTAGAAGCCTTGAAAAACAGAGCATCAATAATAATGTTTTTCTTCAAGATACTATAGTTTTCAAGATACAGTTCAAAAGTTAATTACCATTGTTAACAAAACTGACTTTTTCATATTTAATCATTTAATCAAGCATAAATTAACCAATGAAATAAAGGAGGGTATTTTTTCGGACACTTTTGTTTTATACTTTTAATCATTCAGTAGAAAAAAAATCATCATCATTTAGCTCTCATAAAAATTAGCTCTTTTTTCAGATAAAATAAGAGGTTGTTGATATAAGATTGCCTTAGATGTAATGTTTATTAACTTTTTGATTAAGCCCTTGTTTTTTCTCTGTTATCAGATTACTCTTGTCATTATTAAGGAAATTCAACTGATTAAAAATATTAAAATCTGTCATTAATATACAAGGATAAATGAAAATGAATAAACTCTGTAGTGCCTTTGCATTCTTCTTTATCATCATTATCACCATCAGTACTTCTTGCTCCTTTTTGGCATGCTCAGAAAACATGTAGAGTTTTTAGAATACATGGGGTAAACTTCCTAGCTATCATTCATTTTGCCTTATTAATGATATAAGGATATAATTTTCTTTGTGATGCCATGAAAAATAATAATATATTTGGAATACTCATGGTGAATTCAACCAGTTCCTCTGCTCAATGCATATAATTTACTCCTTCACGGACCTTGTTTTTTCTGTTCCTTTAACCATCTTTCCTTCCAATAGGTTTGAATAACTAGATGACAGCAAGATTCATATTACTTTTGCTTGTGTAAATGAAATAGAGTGTGACTGACTATACTGACACAAAATGACACAATCATTATAAGAAAATTCAAAGCTGGGTTGGCATGACTTTTGATAAATAGTCATCTATTTTATTTATGCAATAATACAAAAATGCTATGCCTTTTTAAATAACTTTTTGTACAGCTAGAATTTTTCAAACATATTTATAATCATATAAGTTTTATGGCTGAATTTCTAAACAATTAATGTATTTAAGATTAAAAATAATTTAATAAATCATAATTAGTCTCTTCTAATTAATGCTACATATTAAGACCCCAGGAAATATTTTCTGGGTATTATCTGTGCTATTTTAAATTATTCATCAATTTCTACTTTATCCTCAACTATATAAGAAATTTTTCATAAATTCATTATTAGAATGATGGAGTTTATAATGACATTGAAGATTACTGAAGTCAATATACTTATATTACAGAGTAGGGAAAAACTCTCAAATTTAATGACGATTAAGGTAGTAGCAGTAAGTCTCAAACAGAGTCAAGTTCTTGTACCACTCTTAGTTTTTCTCTATCCCTTTGTTTGCCTGATACTTTACAGAAATACTCAGTTAGTTTGTTTTGTACAGAGGAGCTGAATAAATAAAATATTTGACAACAAGATATGCAGTCATTACTTTAGAATGACACCATTTTATATAAAACAATGTCTGTCTATCACAAATTTAAGACAAATATTTAGCTAAAGTCAGTGATTTTATTAATTAAATTTTGTCTGAAAATGGAGAAAGACAGATGTCAGAACAAAATGTAATGGCATTTTTGTAAATAAAGAAATATGGAAACATGCAAATGTCTTACAAACAGAAGATTAAATGAAGTTTTATATGTAATTGTTGAAGATTCATGGCTACAATGCATTAGAGATACCATTACATTTTTAGAATTTTAATATCTAGAAAAACTTTTGTATAATATCATTGAAATAACTCATTTTTAATCTCAAAATAGGGAATACATTTTTATAAGACATAGTACAAATGTAAATTTAACAAGGTTCCTGCTTTTCTGCTTATTGTTTAGTCCTATTATTTAAGGAAATTTGTCTTCAGTTTTATCATAAAGAATTTTAATTGCTACTCAACAGAAAGTATCTGAGTAAATAAAATTATCTTAGCAAGGAAATGTTTCCTGGATGACTGTTAGAGTTGCACAGGCTTTAACTCCAGTTCATATTTATTAGTAAACTCTAAAACAAAAGGTTATTTGTATGACAAATAAAAAGTGCTGATGAATAAAGGGATTCAGGATTACTCTTTTGATATTAAGAAAATGTGGGTAACTTTTTTCTGCTTCCACATTTGTTATTTTAGGAAAAAATTATATGGATAATATTTTTTCCCAAATGATTTTGGCTTTTTTCCCTGATATTTACATTTATTTTACTGACATAAAGTAAAAGCAAGCAAACAAACAAAACTCAGCAAGAAAAACTCTAGTTTATATAGAAAAGAAAAGGGAGAAAAGACAAACATCCAACATTTTGATGTATATTGGAATGTTTCTTTCTCTATGCCTATTTATATAACAAAATGGAACACATCCTACAATATTATATATGTGTGAAATTACAAAATTGTATGCTAGGTCTGTTTATATTTATTTACCCCCAAATATAATAGGAACCTATTCCCATATGTGGAACTTTAGAGAAAATATTTCATATTTTTACATGTTGTAGGATTTCTGAAGAAAAAATTGCTGGAACCAGGATTAACTTAAGAAAGCAACACACAGAATTAAATGAGGATTTGGATTTCTCACTATTCTGAAGGCAACAGCAGCATTATTACTTATAAAAATAGTGTGTATATTTGTTGGGAGGTGTTGGGGATAATCTCTTGTATGTAGTACCTTTTTAATTATGGAAGTTTTCATCAGTGGTAAATTGGTTTGAGGTACAGTTAGTTGGAAGGTGAAGTAGTCAGGTACGTACTGGGTATGACACTTATTTGGTAAAGGTACAATAATAATGATAAAAATTGTGATGTGAGCTTGTTGCACTGAAAATCTTTGTAATAATAAGATTAGAGGTCACTCAGGGAATTTAACCGTCAACTTGAAGCATGCTATGATAGGCAGAGATCCTATGTAGCATCTTGATAGAGATTCTTATTTCTCGAAGCCACATTGTAAACTATGCTCAAAATTAGGACTATGACATAAGTTTGATAGTGGGAAAATGATAAAGGAGAGGATATGTTTAAGCAAAACAGGTCCTAAAGAGCAAAGGCTAATGTCAGGTTCCAAGAGACAAAATGGAACACAGCAATGTGAAATAAGGAATTGTCAATTGATGAACTTCAGAATGAGAACCACTAAATTTCCTCAATCCCTCAATGTATCTCTTTCTCAGACCTCCTTGTCACCTCAATTTTGTCTGTCTAGAAAACCCATTTATCATCATTTATGAATCAGTAAAGATTCATACCACTATGTGAATAAAGCCATTCACAAAAATGGCAACCAAGAGTATTTCCCAAAGTTGTGCCCACTGAGATAGATCTCCGTTATGTCCTTTATTTATTATCTTCATGGTCATTGGTATGTGGAGCTGTAAGGTAGCCTACATTATTTTAATACCTGAGTCAAGGTCGAGGATTTTATTAACAAATATGGAGCTAATTAGTGGAAGGTTGAAGGCTATATCTAGAGGTAGACAGGTTAAGAGTCAATTTTCTATTTTCATGTATATTTCAACTCCTCAGTGAATGGGTCTTCTCTCTCGTAAGAGATGTAGTTAGGAAGAGGTGAGATAAAGTTTGTATTTAATAAATCTATTTTATCAATCTTGTTATAAATCTTTAAATTTAAATGTCTACATTTTGCCAGAAAAGTTATAGCATGTATACCTCATTAATAAGCCACTATTTTCAGGCTTTGTTCATCTGATCAAGGAATGTATGTGATCAATTTTAAGATATGCAAGGTAGCTTATATTAATTCCTGAATCAAGGATAGTGGATTTTATCAAGAAATGTGGAGCTAATTAGTGGAAGGTTGAAGACCATATCTGATGGTAGACAGGATAAAAGCCAATTTTCTGTTTTTATGTATTTTTGTCTTGTTGTCCAATTAATGGATTAGGTCAAAGAGTAAGGCCACCACTCTCCAGGTCTTCCAGTTGCAAGTTAGCCTAGTTCTATGTAAGTTCACCTTTTTTCATTTCTAAACTAGATATCATTTTTGTTATCTACTCAAACACATTATTCAAGCAATTTTCCTTTTTACCTTTCTTTTTTTTCTCTAACTTTTGCATTTTTCTCCCATTAAAGAAAATAAAAACCTTTTCATGGTCTCACAAATTCTCTTAAAATCTCTTTGCTCTTTATGTCAAAACTCTTCCAATAGGTCATTGCTTTCTCTGTCTCTAATTTATCTTATTTTTTCCTTAAGCTCACTTCGGTCTGGATCTCACTCCTTCCCGCTCAATGCCTTTAAGAGCAGCAGTCTCCTTTTTGTATATGGAACATGATATAATGGCTCTTACTAAACCAGGTTCCTTTGAATATATTTATGACTTGCATCTCATCTCTTTCATGCTTTTACTCAATGTTATCTTCTTATTAAAGGCTTCCTTGACCACCCTTTTAAAATATTAATTCATCGTTCTTTCTCCAAAAATGCTACATAATTTCCTTAATTTTTATACTGTATGTTTTTGCTTAAGAAAACATGTTCTATCAAAACAAAGGTTTTTATCAATTTTGTTTATTGCTATATCTCTAACACTTAGAATAGTTTCGGCACATGATAAATTATCAGCAAATGTTTGTTCAATCAACTTCAAAATGGTATATTTCTAATGATAAAATTTTGTTAATATATCATAAGAATGTTCTAATATTATTTTAAAAATTGTAACTATTTCAATGGCTTCACAACATTCTGTTATATATGTATCCTATTAGATATTTGACTACACAATAATTGTTTGATATTAATTTTACTATTTTATCTTATTATAAAATAATACATATTTTTTTGCCTATGGTCTGTGCTTTGACATTTAAGATTTGTAGAAATCTACGTAACCATGTATAATTATTTTAAAATTTAATAAATATTGAAAACATTGGATTAGTAACAGAATACTCAGGAAAAACTAATCAATTGAAAATAATAAAACAAAATGTTGATATAGATTTTATACCTTGAGATTTTTTTCTTACTAGTATGATCTAAAATTTTTTTAATGTTAAAAATAAACTTGTGATGTTTTGGTACAATATCTATATTAATAATTGACCAGAGTTTTCAGTTTCTTTATTTGTGTTGTTTAATGTTTGCGTCTCATAATCACACCAAGAGCTTGGAGTTCAGTAAAAATAGAAGGTAGTGGAAAAAGCCATTATATTCCACACATTTTACCATTTGTAAAGGCCTTTCAAAATCACTTTATCTAATTTGCATAATGGCACTTAAAATTAGGATTATATACTCTTTCTTGTAGTTGATCAAATAAAACTCTAAGATGATAAATAAAATTTGTACAAAACATAGTGGTCCTCCATTACAGAGTACAAATACACTGATTGTAATTCAAGTATTGTTTGAGTTCACTTTTGAGAGTAGTATTTCATATCTAGGGACCAATATTTCATATGCATGATATAATATTCTGTGCTAGAAAGAAAAACTATAATTCTTTCTGTTCACAAATATAGAAATTAGTGACTTAATTTTTCACTTTCAGTCATTTAAGTTTATGAACGTTGCTTAATTTGTGATAAGCTGTTCCCCATCAAAATATTTTGTGCTATGTGAGGTGATGCATTTGTAATTAGCTAAATTTAATCATTCTACAATGTATATGTACTTTAAAACATCATGTTGTGCATGATAAAAACATGCAATGTTTCCTGTCAATTTTTTAAAAACTAATTTTGTGTTCCAAATTTATGTTTTTATTTAGGGCTTATAGTATGATATGGCTTTGTAACAATTAGGTGTTGAATCTATTTTTGCAGTTTAAAGAGCTAGTCTGTTAAGATAGTCATAATATATTTTATTTGTATTATTTTATCTAAGAAACAATTTATCATGAATTTTAAAACTTGTTGTATAATGGAAATCACATAGTCAAAGTGTTAAAGGGGTCATTTTTGATACAAATTAGCAAAATATATAGAAAATAAAAATAGTAAGTTGTGGTGCTTTAGCTAAATGGACAACTGCTACTCTCCTCAAATGGATTCTTACTCACTGAGACTGTGAGCCTATTTTTGCCAAGTATTCTGAATTTTGGCGAGAAACAAAAAAAGCATGCTTTTATATGAAATAGCATATTTTTATGTGTGTTAATTAAGTTTCTTTTTTAAAATACTAAATGCCAAATAGATTACTTAGTGAAGTGCCAGTCTGGTTCTGTTCACTGGCAACCAACTTGCAAAACTGTCATATAAGAAATTAGAATGTTTGTTCCAGCCTATGTCATTTCTACAAGTATGATAACAACATTTAAAACATCTGCCAAATGATAAGAGCATATCTAGTAATTTTAAATTGAATGATATAGTAATTGCAATGTTATCTCAAAAAGATAGGATACTCTGTTAAGGATCTCACTAAACATGATGGAGATTTAATTATGGCCAAGTGCTATAAATACAAAGTCACAAGGCTTGACCCTGGATTTCTTCAGAAATTCAAGTAATCTTTTACTCTTCTTGAATAGTAATCTTATTTGAGGAGGGTTAAAATAAGTAATGTTTAATATTTCTAAAAGACAAATTAAACTGAGTAGTATTTTTGTAGCTCATAATTTTAAAACAATTATTTTCTTAAATATATATAAACATAGTGTAAAATGTTTTTAAAAAATATTCAAGTCTCACAAAACTGTTGTTCAGTTAATGCTCAATTCTCAGTGTTTTCTTTTTCTTTCTTTTTTTCTTTCTCTTTCTTTCTCTTTCTTTCTGCTTTCTTTCTCTCTCTTTCTTTCTTTCTTTCTTTCTTTCTTTCTTTCTTTCTTTCTTTCTTCCTTCCTTCCTTCCTTCCTTCCTTCCTTTCTTCCTTTCCTTCTCTCCTTGCTTTCTCTCTCTGTCTCTCTCTGTGTCTGTTTAATTATGTTCATTCTATAAGGGTAGTAGAAATTACACTGAAAGAATACCATTGATATTGATAGTCAAAAAAATCAAACTTTTCGGGATTAAATAATCATTCTGAAAATATAATCTCTAAAATGGAAAAATATAATTTAATATTACAGGCTTTCTTTAATTCTCAATCAGTTGTTCTGATACAGCCAAAGTTTATGCTTTACTCAAATAAGAATTATGTTTAGACTGACATCATGATGGAGTGATCATGTCCTATTGAGAGACAGCAGTAGCTGGATTTCCTAGTCCGACTAAGAATTCCTAAACCTAGCTGGGGAAGGTGACCACACCCACCTTTAAATACAGGGCTTGTAACTCAGCTCACACCCGACCAATCAGGTAGTGAAGAGGGCTCACTAAATTACAAATTAGGCTAAAACCAGAAGGTAAAGAAATAGCTAAATCATATATCACTGAGAGCACAGGGGGAGGGGCAATGATCGGGATATAAACCCAGGCATTCGAGCAGGGAGTGGTAAATCCCTTTGGGTCCCTTCCCATTGTAAGGGAGCTCTGTTTTCACTCTATTAAATCTTGCAACTGCACACTCTTCTGGTCCGTGTTTGTTATGGCTTGAGCTGAGCTTTGGCTCGCTGTCCACCATTGCTGTTTGCTGCCTTCGCAGACCCGCCGTTGACTTCTACTGCTTCGGAACCGGCAGGGTGTCCTCTGTGTTTCTTTTTATGCGCGTCCCTGTGAAGAGACCACCAAATAGGCTTTGTGTGAGCAACATGGCTGTTTATTTCACCTGGGTGCAGGCAGGCTGAGTCCAAAAAGACAGTCAGTGAAGGGAGATAAGGGTGGGGCCGTTTTATAGGATTTGGGTAGGTAAAGGAAAATTACAGTCAAAGGGGGTTTGTTCTCTGGCGGGCAGGAGTGGGGGGTCGCAAGGTGCTCAGTGGGGGTGTTTTTGAGCCAGGATGAGCCAGGAAAAGGACTTTCACAAGGTAATATCATCACTTAAGGCAAGGACCCGCCATTCACACTTCTTTTGTGGTGGAATGTCATCAGTTAAGGTGGGGCAGGGCATGTTCACTTCTTTTGTGATTCTTCAGTTACTTCAGGCCAGCTGGGCATATACGTGCAAGTCAGAGGGGATGCGATGGCTTGGCTTGGGCTCAGAGGCCTGACATTCCTGCCTTCTTGTATTAATAAGAAAAATAAAACAAAATAGTGTTGAAGTGTTGGGGCAGTGAAAATTTTGGGGTGGTGGTATGGAGAGAGAATGGACGATGTTTCTCAGGGCTGCTTCATGCGGGATTAGGGGCGATGTGGGAACCTAGAGTGGGAGAGATTAAGCTGAAGGGAGGTCTTGTGGTAAGGCGTGATATTGTGGGGATGTTAGAAGAAACATTTGTCATATAGAATGATTGGTGACGGCCTGGATACGGTTTTGTATGAATTGAAAAACTAAATGGAATAACAGAAGAAGAAAAACAGGTATAAAAGGTCTAAGAATTGGGACGACTCAGGATATCTGATTAGAGAGTGCTTAAGGAGATTCGGCATAGTCCTGCCAGCAAAGATTATTTATTTACTTCAAGAGTTAAGAATGGCAGTTTGGGGATAGCACCAGGAGATATCAGCTGTGATGGCTTGGAAAAACAGTGTAAACCGGCAGTGTAAACAAGAGCAAGGCATGTATGAGTAGTTGAGAATGGTGAATAGGAGTATGACTAGACAGAAAATAGTAGGGATGACAATTTTTTTTTTGGGGGGGTGGGGCACAATCTAAGTTGGTCTGGTGTCTGGAATGAGACTGGGGCCTAATAAAAAGGAGCGTCTATACAGGAGCTTAAATGGGCTGTACCCTGTAGCATTCCGAGGACAGGCCTGAATTCTGAGAAGGGAAAGTGGTAAAAGTATTGTCCAGTCCTTTTTAAGTTGGTGGCTGAGCTTGGTGAGGTGTGTTTTTAAAAGACCTTTAGTCCATTCTACTTTTCTTAAAGACGGAGGACCATAAGGGATATAAAGGTTTCACTGAATACTAAGAGCCTGAAAAACTGCTTGGCTGATTTGACTAATAAAGGCTCGTCTGTTATCAGACTGTATTGAGGTGGGAAGGCTAAACTGAGTAATTATGTCTGACAGAAAGGAAGAAATGACTGTGGTGGCCTTCTCAGACCCTGTAGGAAAGGCCTTTACTTATTCAGTGAAAGTGTCCATTTAGACTAAGAGGTATTTTAGTTTCCTGACTCGGGCATGTTGAGTAAAGCTAATTTGCCAGTCCTGGGTGGGGGCAAATCCTTGAGCTTGATGTGTAGGGAAGGGAGGGGGCCTGAACTATCCCTGAGGAGTAGTAGAATAGCAGATGGAACACTGAGAAGTTATTTCCTTGAGGATAGATTTCCACAATGGAAAGGAAATGAGAGGTTCTAAGATGTGGGCTAGTGGCTTGTACTATAGCATAACCTGCCTTTGCTGGTGTGTGGCGATTAGGCCTGGTGGAACCGCCATCAATAAATCAAGCGTGATCAGGCTGAGGAACAGGAAAGAGGGAAATTTGGGGAAATGGGGTGAATGTCAGGTGGATCAGAGAGATGCAGTCATGGGGCTCAGGTGTGGTATCAGGAATAATGTAGGAGGCCGGATTGAAGTCTGGGCCAGGAACAACAGTAATTGTGGGAGACTCAACAAAGAGTATAGCTGAAGGAGCCGGGAAGCAGAAAGTATATGCGTCAGGTATGAGGAAGAAAATAGATTTTGGAAGTTATGAGAACTGTAGAGAGTGAGTTGAGCATAGTTTGTGATTTTGAGGGCCTCTAAAAGTATTAAAGCAGCGGTAGCTGCTGCATGGAGACATGATGGCCAGCCTAAAACAGTAAGGTCAAGTTGTTTGGACAAAAAGGCTACAGGATGCGATCCTGGTCCTTGTGTAAGAATTCCGACTGCACAGCCCTGCACTTCAGCTGTGTGTAATGAAAAGGTTTGGGATGAGTCAGGGAGAGCTAGAGTGGGAGCAGTTTCTAAAGCTGTCTTCAAGGAACAGAAAGAGGAGTGGGGAAAGGATTTAGGATCTATGGGGTCAGCTAGGTTTCCTTTTGTGAGTTTATATAATGGTTTTGTTAGGATGGCAAAACCAGGTATCCAAAGGCGAAAGTATCTAACCATGCCCAGGAAGGAAAGGAGTTGTTGTTTTGTAGAAGGGGTTGGGGTTTGAGAGATTAGTCGGACATGGTCAGCAGGGAGAGCACGTGTGTTTTTATGGGAATTATGCCGAGATAGGTAACAGATGAGGAAGAAATTTGGGCTTGATTGAAGTAATGGGGGCTGTCTGTAAAGCTTTGCGGCAGTACAGCCTACGTAATTTGCTGAGCTTGATGCGTGTCAGGGTCAGTCCAAGTGAAAGCGAAGAGAGGCTGGGATTAAGGGGGCAAAGGAATAGTGAAAAAAGCATGTTTGAGATTTAGAACAGAATAATGGGTTGTAGAGGCAGATATTGAGGATAGGAGAGTATATGGGTTTGGCACCGTGGGTGGATAGGCAAAACAATTTGGTTGATAAGGCGCAGATCCTGAACTAACTTGTAAGGCTTGTCCGGTTTTAGGACAGGTAAAATGGGGGAGTTGTAAGGAGAGTTTATAGGCTTTAAAAGGCCATGCTGTAGCAGGTGAGTGATAACAGGCTTTAATCTTTTTAAAGCGTGCTGTGGGATGGGATATTGGCGTTTAGCGGGGTAAGAGTGATTAGGTTTTAATGAGATGGTAAGGGGTGCATGATCGGTCACTAAGGAGGGAGTAGAGGTGGGTTATACTTGTGGGTTAAGGTGGGGGAATACAAGAGGAGGACGCAAAGGAGGCTTTGGATTGGGAAGAAGGGTGGCAATGAGATATAGCTGTAGTCCAGGAATAGTCAGGGAAGCAGATAATTTAAAGTGTCTCAGCCTAATAAGGGAACTGGGCAGGTGGGGATAACTAAAAAGGAGTGCTTAAAAGAGTATTGTCTAAGTTGCCACCAGAGTTGGGGAGTTTTAAGAGGTTTAGAAGCCTAGCCGTCAATACCCACAACAGTTATGGAGGCAAGGGAAACAGGCCCTTGAAAAGAAGGTAATATGCAGTGGGTAGCCTCCATATTGATTAAGGGGATGGGCTTACCTTCCACTGTAAGAGTTACCCGAAGCTCGGCGTCCGTGATGGTCTAGGGGGCTTCCAAGGCGATCAGGCAGTGTCAGTCTTCAGCCGCTAAGCCGAGAAGACCTGGGAAGGAGTCAGTCAGAGAGCCTTGGGCCAGAGTTCCAGGGGCTCTGGGAGTGGCTGCCAGGTGAGTTGAACAGTGCGATTTTCAGTGGGGTCCCACACAGATGGGACGTGGCTTAGGAGGAATCCTGGGCTGCGGGCATTCCTTGGTCCAGTGGCCAGATTTCCGGCATGTGTAGCAAGCTCATATGGGAGGAGGTTCTGGAGGAACGCCTGGCTGCTGCGGTTCAGGCGTTTGGAAGTTCTTGTGTGCTGGAGATGTGGCTGGGGTTTGTCTCACAGTGGATGCAAGGAATTGCAACTTTTTTCTGTTATTGTACACCTTGAAGGTGAGGTTAATTAAGTCCTGTTTTGGGGTTTGAGGGCCAGATTCCAATTTTTGGAGTTTTATTTAATGTCGGGAGCAGATTGGGTAATAAAATGTATATTGAGAATAAGACGGCCTTTTGACCTTTTAGGGTCTAGGGCTGTAAAGCGTCTCAGGGTTGCTGCCAAACAAGTCATGAACTGGGCTGGGTTTTTATATTTGATGAAAAAGAGCCTAAACGCTTCTGATTTGGGATAAAGAAAAAGGAGCATTAACCTTGACTATGCCTTTGGCTCCAGCCACCTTTTTAAGAGTAAATTGCTGGGCAGGAGGGGGAGGGCTAGTCAGGGAACGAAGCTGTAAGCAGGACCAGGTGTGAGGAGGGGAGGTGATAAAAAGATTATAGGGTGGAGGAGCAGAGGCTGAGGAAGAATTGGGACCTAGCTCGGCCTGGCGAGGAGCAGCCTGGGGAGGAAGGGAGAGGTCTGATGGGTCTGTAGAAAAGGAAGATTAGAAAGACTCAGCCACACTTGGGGTTGGTACTGAGGGGACAGGCGGGAGGGAAAGAAGGAAGATTTGGGATGAGTTGCACTGGGCACAGAGACTAGGAAGGGACTGATGTGTAAAAGAATGCCTGGACGTCAGGCACCTCAGACCGTTTGCCTATTTTACGACAAGAATTATTTAGATTTTGCAGGATGGAAAAATTCAAAGTGCCATTTTCTGGCTATTTGGAACTACTGTCGAGTTTGTATTGGGGTCAAGCAGCATTGAAGAAGAAAAGTCATTTAGGTTTTAGATCAGGTGTGAGTTGAAGAGGTTTTAAGTTTTTGAGAACACAGGCCAAGGGAGTAGAAGGAGGAATGGAGGGTGGAAAGTTGCCCATAGTGAAGGAAGCAAGCCTAGAGAAAAGAGAGAGTAGAGAAATGGAGGGAAGGGGTTTGGGGGTTCTTACCTTCCAGAAAAGTGGGAAAAGGGGTTGGGGTGCAGAGATGAGAGGTCAGCGTGTGGAAATAAGGAATGGGGTGCAGAAATAAGGTGTCGGGGCATGGAAATAAGGGGTCGGGGCACAGAGATACAAGGTTGGGGTACTTGCCCCTCCTCTAGAAAAGCAGGACTTGCAGCTAAGAGTGAAGGAGAAGGGGTTGAGGGATACTTGCCCCTCTCCCAGAAAAGCAGAGAAGGGGTAGAGACAAGGAGAGAAGGGGTTGGGGTACTTGTCCTGTCCCCGGAAAAGCAGAGAAGGGGTAGAGACAAGGAGAGAAGGGATTGAGGTACTTTCCCCTTCCCCCAGAAAAGCGGAACTTGCTGCTAAGGGTGAAGGACCAAGGCAGGTGTACCTGCGTGGTCTGACACCCTTGAAACGTGGGTGTATAATCAGAGAGGCATCCCTGCAATGATTAAACACCAAGGGAAGGCTGCCTTCCCAGTCCATGACTGGCGCCGGAGTTTTGGGTCCATGGATAAAACATGTCTCCTTTGTCTCTCCCAGAAAATGAAAAGAATTGAAATTAAGAGAAGGGAGAGATTGAAGATTGGAAAGGAGAAAGTGGTTGAGGGACAGTGAGGGAGGTTGGAGAAGAGAGTAAGAAGAGGCTGCTTACCTGATTTAAAATTGGTGAGATGTTCCTTGGGCTGGTTGGTCTGAGGACCTGAGGTCATAGGTGGATCTTTCTCACGGAGCAAAGAACAGGAATACAGGGGATTGATCTCCCAAGGGAGGTCCCCCAATCTGAGTCATGGCACCAAATTTCATGCGCGTCTGTGTGAAGAGACCACCAAACAGGCTTTGTGTGAGCAATGTGGCTGTTTATTTCACCTGGGTGCAGGCGGGCTGAGTCCGAAAAGAGAGTCAGTGAAGGGAGATAAGGGTGGGGCCGTTTTATAGGATTTGGGTAGGTAAAGGAAAATTACAGTCAAAGAGGGTTTGTTCTCTGGCAGGCAGGAGTGGGGGTCGCAAGGTGCTCAGTGGGGGTGCTTTTTGAGGCAGGATGAGCTAGGAAAAGGACTTTCACAAGGTAATGTCATCAGTTAAGGCAAGGACCCGCCATTCACACTTCTTTTGTGGTGGAATGTCATCAGTTAAGGTGGGGCAGGGCATGTTCACTTCTTTTGTGATTCTTCAGTTACTTCAGGCCATCTGGGTGTATATGTGCAAGTCACAGTGGATGCGATGGCTTGGCTTGGGCTCAGAGGCCTGACATTTCTGATCCAGCAAGGCGCCCATTGCTGCTCCCAAACCGGCTGGAGGCTTGCAGTTGTTCCTGCGTGGCTAAGTGCCCAGATTCATTCTAATAGAGCTGAACACTAGTTGCTGGGTTCCACGGTTCTCTGCCGTGACCCAAGGCTTCTAATAGAGCTGTAACACTCACCGCATAGACCAAGGTTCCATTCCTTCGAATCCATGAGGCCAAGAACATCAGGTGAGAGAACAAAAGGCTTGCTGCCATCTTGGGAGCAGCCTGCCCCATCTTGGGAGCTCTAAGAACAAAGACCCACCTGTAACACTATTTATTTATTTATTTATTTATTTATTTATTTATTTATTCTGAAACAGGATCTCACTCTGTCTCCCAGACTGAAGTGCAGTGACATGCTCTCAGCTCAATTGATCTACCTCCTGGACTCAAGTGATCCTCCCACCTCAACTTCCCAAAGTGCTGGGATTACAGACATGAGCCACCACACCCAGACCATATATATATATGTATATAATATTTTTATAATTCAAACAGTTCTTTTAGATCACACAATGGAAATACTTTGAATGTTTTCTATTGACTCAATAGCTTGATTCTAAACCTACTGTTCACTACAAGCCTCGTCTTTATTTCTAGCATTATAATAAGAAATTAATACATAAACAAGCACTTTGTTCTATAGAGTAGCTATAAATCCTAATTTTTTATAATTATCTTCAACATTTTCAAGTTATAGCTACATAAATACCAGGCATGTCAAGTGTCACTTAACAGTCTACACACCAGACATACGAGAGCAGTGCAAGCTAGGGTATACCATATAAGAGCTTTAGCGCATTTCTAAATATCTGAAATATTATCATATATTGATTTGACAGTTGTTTATATAGTTAAGACATACCAGAACATTTTTAATTTCGTACATAGAATATATTATTTATTATGTGAAAGCATAGACTAGAATATAACCGTTATAAAAAATAATCCAAAATTATGGTTGCAATTTTATTAACTAGCTAATTCAAAGGATGTCTAGTACATAATGAAATATGCTATATACTTCATGTAAATGATCCCCCTTTTAAAAGTTGCAAATCATTTGTACAAAATGGCATTTGCATGATCATTTACTTTAAGCTTAAAATTCCAAGTGAAAACAGCTTGTGCATACAAGAGAATTCACTGACCCATAGTCAGAGATTACCATAGGTTACCCCAATGTTGTGTGTTTAACCCAATACACACACAGGATTGACATCAAGAATCTCCCTCTTCTTTCTCTTTTAATGCTTCTTTTCTGAATGTTGGTTTCCATCCCAGCCAGATTTTATCTTTTAACCAATGACAGTCTTTGAGGTGTGAATCTAACATATAGCAAATATAGATAAAATTTTTTTTCTCCTAATTCCAGTTTAACGAAAATAATTTCTAAGACTGGAAACTGACATGAGTCAGTTTGAGCAGGATAAAATTTATGAGTTACCAGGCCACTGGTTTTATCCATCTTATACTTTATGATGCTTCAAGATATGAGATTTAGTATTTCCGGGAAGTCCCACTTGTTGTCATGAATATACCTGCCCATTTCACTGAGAGATACAACAGTATTTTCTCTCTTAGGAATAAGTGACCTAATATGCTAACCACACTGGCCTCCTCTACACATGAACCTGTTGTTCCTGAAATCACTATAAAAAGCATATTTGAAAGAGAAAAAAGGAGAAAATACCTCCAGATTTCCACTGAATAACTAGAGCTGCTTTGTTAAAATGAATACAGGTTGGTTTGCAATATGTGATATTTCAATCAGATGCAGTTGGATAAAAACATTGAATATATTTTGAATCTATAAGAAACATGTAGAAATCATAATAACCTATCTGCTAATTCACACTTAAGTGTGAATCATGGAGCAATCTTCATGTAGCCTCTTTTCCTTACTACCAACATCCCTCAACAGTTCCATTGTTTTGCTTCCTAAATCTCTCCTAATATAGTTAATATTATTCAATTTTCATTGAAATAATCACTTTTATTTTTCATGAATATAGTAAATATTTAATTTGTCTTTCTATGTCTCTTTCAACTTAGTCTCCATGTTGCTACTAAGGTGATCTTTGCAGAAAGGAAATTTGATCAGGACAGCTTGTTGATATATTTTCTTTAAATTAGACCACACTCTAATGATGACCAAATTAATAATCCCAGCCTAGTTGTTTTTGGGGGCCTCAGATTAAATATACTCTACTTCTAATATTTCTCTCCCTTTAAACATCATTTTGGCATTTCTGAGTTAACACAAACTTTCTAACACACTTTTGTAGAAGATTTCCCTTTGGAATAATTTGGAACATGCCTAATTTTCAAAATACTTCAAAACATATAATGTAGGTGTTTATTCCAATTACATAGGATCTTGCACTTGTCAATAATAAATTGGAACATACAGATCTGCTGTTGTATTAATGTAGGAGAAAAAGTTATTAGCTACAATAAAAATGATTATGGAAGATTCTACCTTCAAATGATAAATACATGATTTTGTTTGTGGGAAAATAAATATTTTTTTTGCTCACTTTCATCTACCAGAATCTAAAAGGGGAGGAAATATTTATATTGCCAAATTTTACTGTTCTTTTACACATGAAGTGATGACTCTGATTAACTGATTCTGTTCAGCAGATCCCAATATAATGTCTGTAAACAGAAATCCACAGTTGAAGAGTACAGGGGTATTTTATTTTATTTTTCTAACTTTTAAGTTCAGGGATACATGTACAAGTTTGTTACATAGGTAAGCGTGTGTCATGGAGGTTTGTTGAAAAGATTTTTTCATCAGCAGGTATTAAGCCTGGTATCCATTAGTTATTTTTCCAGATCCTCTCCCTCCTCCCACCCTCTACCCTCCAACAGGGCCCAATGTGAGTTATTCTCCCTCATGAGTCCATGTGTTCTCATCATTCACTCCCACTTATAAGTGAGAACATGCAGTATTTGATTTTCTGTTCCTGCATTAGTTTGCTAAAGACAATGTCCCCAGGCTCTACCTATATCCCTGCAAAGGACATGATTGCATTCGTTTTATGGCTGTATAGTATTCTATGGTGTATATGTACCACATTTTCTTTATCCAATCTATCACTGGTGGACATTTAGGTTGATTCCATGTCTTTGCTATTGTGATTAGTGCTGCAATAAACATATGCGTGCATATATCTTTAAAATAGAATAATTTATATTCCTTTGGGTGTATAACCAGTAATGAAATTGCTGGATTGAATGGTGTTTCTGTCTTTTGGTCTTTATGGAATTGCCACAATGTCTTCTACAATGGTTGAACTAATTTACACTCCCCCCAACAATGTATAAGCATTCCTTTTTCTCCACAGCCTCACCAGCATTTGTTATTTTTTGACTTTTTAGTAATGCCCATTCTGACTGGTGTGAGATGGTATCTCACTGTGGCTTTGGTTCGCATTTCTCTAATGGTCAGTGATTTTAAGCTTTTTTTGCATGCGTTTGTTGGCTGCATGTATGTCTTCTTTTGAGAAGTGTCTGTTCATATCCTTTACCCAAAATTTAATGGGGTTGTTTGTATATATATATAAATTTGTTTAAGTTCCTTGTAGATGTTGGATATTAGACCTTTTTCAGGTGCATAGTTCACAAAATTTTTCTCCCATTCTGTAGGTTGTCTGTTTATTCCATTGATAGTTTATTTTGTTGTACAGAAGCTCTTTAGTTCAATTAGATCACATTTGTCAATCTTTGCTTTTGTTGCAATTGCTTTTGGCATCTTCATTGTGAAATCTTTACTCATACTTATGTCTTCAGTGGTATTACCTAGGTTGTCTTCTAGATTTTTAAATTCACCTATATGATAAATTAGGAAGAGGAATGAAAGCCACAGAGGAATGGAGAATGTAGAAGCAGATTAATTTCTTGTTCAATGGCAGAGCCACTTCAGAAGGGAAAGCACTAGGAAAATAGATAATGAGAACTTCATGGTAAGATGGCTGAAAGACTTGACAATAGTTTCACTTTTAAGAATTTTGATATTGGAAACCATTATGATCCTGTATATTTCCCCCAAACCTTCAGTAATATCTAATACATACAAATAAATATTTTGTATGAGTGTTGTGTGGGAAAACACAATTACAGGGGTTATGATCTTTGCCTAGTTTTGAGTGGTTAGTTCAATTAGTACAATTAATTACTGGCATAAAATTACTGATTAAAAACAACCACAGAATCCAGTGGCATACATAATTTAATATTTGCTTCTTGTGCATAAGCAGTGCTTAGTTGATGCAGACTTACTTGTTTGTATTTGAAGTGTGTTTCATCTTTCTGGATCAGTGAGCTAGCTTGGGCACATGTTTTTAAAGAGGTAGTGAAAATGTGAAAAAGGGAGGAAAAACATGTCATAATTCTTAAGGTGTAGGGTTGAAACTGGCATACCATCACTATTACCTATTCATTATTTTAGGGTCCAAAGCAAGTAAAAAGCATGATCCCAGATTTAATAGGCAGATATCTTCACCATTTTAGGAAAAACTACAATGTCCTATGGAAAAAGCCATAGGGAAAAGGATATTAGAAAGAAAGATTATATAATCTGTTTCACATTCAACTCTCTTGTTTCCACATGGGGATGAAAGTGAATATACTTTGTTCCAAGTTCTTCTCCCTTGTCTCCCCTAGAATGTGCAGTGGCCCTGGAAAAGGACCAGGCTTCAGAGCAAGGGATAATGAGGAGTCTAGATGGTTTTAAAGTAAATCTCAAAGATGAAAGTGACCAGGAATTTCATTTTAAATTACATCTGAAGAATAGATTTCAAGTGCTTATGAGTTTATGTGCAGCCCAATCTGTGTCTTGAAGCAATCATTATCTTAATAATTGAAGCAGCCATGCATGCACCTTCAAAATACCTATTTGTAAAAGAATGGTACAGGGTATTAAAACATGGCTCTTGATTTATCATTACATTATATTCATAGATAGCTATCTGAAATCATTTTGAGTCTGAGATTGCATTTTCAACCTTTATCTTTTAGACAAGAAGAGAATACCAAAATTATGGCATAAACTTTTAATAGTACATATATTCATTTTTTTAATATTACAGGCAAATAAATGGTCTACATGTTTTTATGTAATTCAATATCAAAAATATATGCCCAAATATATGAGTGGTTACAAGCTTGTTTTAGCTAAGAGTGATTCTGAAAGAGAGCAGTCTCATATGTTGGGACATTTCAGTATAGTAGAGACTACATCTAAAAAAATTACTGGAAGTAGCTTCAACAAATGCCAGGGAGTGAATGGGAACTGTAGATTTACAATAGTAGTCAGTTTACCATAGCAAGATGTAGAAATTTTTAAAAAGAACATGAAAGGTGTCAGATGCATAGAAATCAAGTATGTTATTTGAAATTTCTGAGGCTATCCTCTAAAAGTCATTAATAGTTTGCAATTTCAAGTGTTTCAGAGTATGTTACCATTTGTATAACAGCTCTTAAATATGTATGAGCCTATAGGTTGAGTAAAGGAGAATCAGATTTCAGATTTCTAAATGTTTAACTAAGCAGTAAGAAGAAGGCACAGATGTTGCTTCATGGATATTAATATAATGTGTACTGCAAAAAAAAAAAAAAAGAAAAAGAATGGAGATGCATACCACTAAATGAAGAAAGGAAAAACAGGAAGGATCTGAATAAGTTACCACAGAAGCTCTGAAGAGTGTCATTTTGGGAAAAGCATAATATAATAAAGCGCTTTCTTTCAGGAAGTTAATTGAGGAAGAAGAGAGACTGTAAGCCATCATCGTTCTCCTTAAGAAACAGCACAGGAATGAAGTATGCTGGAAATTGCTGCTCAGAATAGGAGAGCTCATGAAAGATGTCTCAACTATATAAGGTAGTGTCCCTGAATCTCAAGGAAAAGGCGTTTACTTACCCCTAATTAAGTTATCTTTAAGTCAGGTGGCTAGTTGATGAATATGTTCACTTATTTGCTACTACTTTCCAGGGACTGTCACAAGTAAGAGATTTGTAAGCAATACCCGCACCTCTAACATTTAGATAAATTTAGCATATACTAGGTGAATCTAAGGCACAATACCTTTGAGTCACATACTGCCAGAAATTCAAATCTCTGGTTCAGAGACGGCAAAGAATTTTCGACGCCATGAAAACGATAATGTAGAATTCCAGGTAAATTAATCCACACGGCAGGAAGCTGGAGCCTTCAGAAAGCTTCCCAGTGAGAAACTCTGGATGGCAGAGTGCAAGACAACTTTAAGAGGAGAGATGTCTAATAAGACACTTTTGCTTTATTTGTCAGTTATTTTGAAAAGCTTAAAGAAAATGAGTTTGGCTTTTGTCTGATTCAAAGCCTGAGTAAGGAGATTAAAAGCCATGGGATATTAGATACTAGTAGGTGGACTGGGAACAGGAAATTGGATGGAGAGGTGACCATGATTTTGTAAATTTGTGGCAATTAACAAATATCTTGCAGAAGACATCCATTTCATTCTGATTGTGAGATAATGGGAATTGAGCCAACTATGTTCCTACCTTGAAAGTCAGGGCAAACTCAGCTAATATTTGCTTTACAGAGCTTAATGTAATATATGTTAACTCCTTAAATATTAATGCAAAGAAGAAGTATATTATGTGTTAAATTACATCTTAATAACATAGTGCTTGAAATATATTTTTAAAACTGCAGTAGTTTTTTTTTAATATATACCTTGTTTAGTATTGTTTTTGAGTACTCAAACAGCACTCAGTAACCAGAGTTTTACAGCTAAAGACACTCTCAGTATTCTAAATGCCTATGATTCATTTCATAAATAAGAAAATGCTTATAGACATTTAGAGCTTTTTCAACCATCATGTTGAAGATTTTATAATGTTTTTGAATTCAAAACCACTAAAAATGAATAAAAAAAAATTATGGAATTGGTGAATTCAGGTGGAAAGATTAAAAATTATATATATTGTATTTGCACTTGACTGCTTGTTTGATGAGGTTCTCACTTGAAAAAGATAATTGTTTAGACGTAAGCTAGCAGTCATCTCTGTTATACCAGATTCAGATAGTATTTAGTGTAGAAAGGCCAAATGGGCAGCAAAGGAATTTTTTTTTCTTTTCTTTCTTTTTTTTTTTTTTTTTTGAGACGGAGTCTTGCTCTGTCGCCCAGGCTGGAGTGCAGTGGCGTGATCTCGGCTCACTGCAAGCTCCGCCTCCTGGGTTCACGCCATTCTTTTGCCTCAGCCTCTGGAGTAGCTGGGACTACAGGTGCCCGCCACCACGCCCTGCTATTTTTTTGTATTTTTAGTGGAGACGGGGTTTTACCATGTTAGCCAGGATGGTCTGGATCTCCTGACCTCGTGATCCGCCCACCTTGGCTTCCCAAAGTTGCTGGGATTACAGGCGTGAGCTACCGCGCCCGGCCAAGGTGATATTTTTAAAATGATGTATTATGAAGTTCTCTGCATTTTTATATTTAAGAGTAATAATGTGCTTATAATCCATAATTTCTGATTATCCATGTTGTTCTGTCAGTATAGTAATATTCTAATTGACAAGCATAATGGTTGAATTAGACCCTCATTTTAAAAAGAAAAATTATTAACATACACTACACACATTTAAAATGTACAATCTGATATGTTTTGACAAATGTGTGTATGCCTGAAACCAGCTAGCTACAAAGTTAGATAATAAACACATCCATTACTCGCCAAAATTTTCATGTTCCTTTCCAATCTCTCCCCCCATTTACTACCGCTTCCACCCAAACTGCCCTCAGTAAACTAATTTTCTTTCTGCTATTACATATTAATTTAAATTTCCTAGAACATAAAAAAATATAATTATACAGTGCATGCTCTTTTTTGTCTTGTTACTTTCACATATAAATATACTAATTTTGAGAATTCATCAGTGTTCCCATGTATTTGAATAGTTTATTCCGTTCTATTACTGAATAGCATTCTACTGTGTAAATATAACAAGCTTGTTGATAAACCTGTTCTGGACTACGTCTTGGCTATTGATGGGCATTTAGGTAGTTTTTTCTTTTGTTTTTTTTTTTTTTTTTTTTTTTTGCTATGATAAATTAAGATGTTATGAACATTGGTACACAGCTCATTGTATGGATAAATAGGTTTCATTTCTTTTGGATAAATGTCTGGGGTAGAATGGTTAGACCATATAGTACATTTGTTTAACTTTTTCAGAAACTGAAAAGTTGGCTTTCAAAGTTGATGTTCTAATTTACAGTCCCTGCAGCACTGTAAAAAGTTTGAGTCCCCCTTCAGTCTCACCAGGTCTATCTAACTTTACACGTTTTAATGGATAGGTAGTGATATTTCATTGTGGTCTTAATTTGCATTTCCCTAATGACTAATGATATTGAACATCATATCATGTGCTTACTTGCTATATCTGTATCTTCTTTGGTTATGTGCCTGTTACTTCTTTGGCTATGTGCCTGTTAAAATGTTTTGCCAGACATTTACTGGTTTATTTTCTTTTTGGTGAGTTTCTTTTAATATAACAGCTGTTTTGAGATATAATTCACATATCACACAACCCACCCTCTTAAGCTGTACGATTGAATTTTTTGTTTGTATATTCACTGAGTTGGGCAACCATCACTATAGCTGACTTTAGAATATTTTCATCACCCCCAAAACAAACCCCATATTCATTGGTAGTCACTTCCAAAAACTAGTTAAATCATTATTAAATAATAAATTTTTGAGACAGGGTCTTGCTTTGTCATCCAGGCTAGACTACAGTAAAACGATCATAGCTCACTGTGCCCTTAAAATCCTAAGCTAAAGTAATCCCCCCATCTCAGCCTCCCAGGTAAATCGTTATGAAAATAATGATCACTATGTATCATCACTTCTTTTCATTTTATAATTGAAAATATTCCATTGTAACGATATACCACATTTTATTAATCCATTAGTCAATTGATAAACATTTATATTGTTTCCACATTGGTGCTATTATGACTAGAGCTACTATGAACTTCCATATACAAGTTTTTAAGTGAACATATGTTTTCACTTCTCTTGGGCCTAAATTGCTAGAACATATGATAGCTCTACAAGTTTTTGAGAAACTGTCAGACTGTTTTCCAAATTAGCTCCACCAATATATATTTCCAGTAGCAGTTGATGAGGAGTTCAAGTGTTCCTCATATTCACCAATACTCATTTTAACTGTCTTTTTTATTTTAGCCATTCTAGTGAGACTAAAGTGATATCTCACTGTGGTTTTGAGTTGTATTTCACTAAAGGCAAATTGTGTAGAAAATATTTTATTTGTTACAGAACAGTCCAATTTTATATCTGCTTTGGAGAAATATCTAACCCCTTTTTGTTCATTTTACTGGATTATTTGTGTTTTTATTATTGAGTTGTGAGAATCTTACACATTCTAGATAAAATCCCTTTCTATGGACAGAAAGTTTGTGTCTCTCAAAAGTCATGTGTTAATATTCTAACCACCAATGGTATTGAATGATATTAGAAAGTAGAGTCTTTGGGAGGTAATTAGGTCATAAAGTTTGTAAATGGGATTTTGGATCATATAAGTAGACATGAGAGAGCTCTCTCACTATGCCATGTAAAGGTTCATGGAGAAAAGAACCATCTACACATTAGGAAACAGAAGTGCAGGCACTTAAACCTTGGACTTCCAGCTTCCAGAATTGTGAAAAATAAAATGTTGTTGTTTAAGTCACTCAGTCTATGGCATTTTCATTATAATAGGTCCAATTGACTAAAGCATACCATTTGCTTATATAATGTGCAAATACTTTCTCCCATTCTATGTGTTGTCTCCTTTTCCTGATAGTGTGTATTGAAGCAAAATACTTTTTAATTCTAATGAAGTCCAACTTATTTTTCCTTTTATTACTGTGCTTTTGGTGTCATATCGAAGAAACCATTGTGTAACCCAAGTTAAGAAAGTTACTCAAATGTGTTTTTCAAAGATTTTTATAATGTTACTTCTTACAATTATGTCTATGATTTACTTTGAATTAATTTTCTGTGTAATGTGAGGAATAGGCCTAACTTTACTCTTTGGCATGTGAATATTAATGGAGTTGTCTCTACCCAGTTTTGTGTAAGACATTTGCATCTATATGCATAAGATATATTAGTTTATAGTTTCCTTATGACGTCTGTTTCTTTATTCGTATTTTCTTTTGTTGTTGTTGCTGTTGTTTTGAGAAATGGGGACTGTGTTCATCTGCCAATATTTTTGAAAGGTAACTTTGGTTGACTTGTTGCTTTTTCTTTTTGTTTTTCACTACTTTGAGTATGTCAAATTACTGCCTTCTTGCCTCTATTTTTTTTATGAGAACTTTGTTATTAATCTTACTAGGTTTTTCTCATCTATAAAGTGTTTTTCTCTAATGAATTCAAGATTTTCTCTTTTGTCCATGTCTTCAACATTTTTACTGCAGTGTGGCTGGGTGTGAATCTACTGGTGTTTATCCTATGACAAGTTTATTGAAGTTTTTGGATTCTTAATATTTTTTATTAAATTTGGGAAGTTTTCAGCTATTATTTCTTCAATTATGTTTTCCAATCCTCTTTTTCTATTTTCTCTTCATATACTCCTTTTTCACTTTGTTGGAGTGATCAATGATGCCTCATATATTACTGAGGATTTCTTCATTATTAGTTTTTTCTCTCTGTTCTTTGGCTACCATAATTTCTATTTTCATGTTTGTTGATTCTTCTGCTAATGTAATTTACTGTTGATACTCTTTATTGAAAATTTAAATTTTAGCTAATATAGTTTTAATTCAAAATTTCCATGTGTTTCCTTTTTTAATAATCATTTTTTGTTAATATTCTACATTTAATGAGATATTTTCATCACACCCTCCTTTAATTCTTTAAGTATGGTTTGCTTTAGTTCTTTGAAAATATTTAAACTGGCTGTTTAAAGACCTTTGATAAGTCTGATAATTAGCCTCTGTCACCAAAAAAATTTCTGTTACCTGCTTTAATTCCTGGCTATAGATTCCACTTTTCTATTTCTTTGCATGCCTAATAATTTGTGAAAAATTGACATTTAATTAAATATTGTAGCACCTCTGAGTACTGATTCCACTCTTTCTTCCATGAGTTGTTGCTGTGTTACTTGCATGCCTATTTCTTTAGTGACTTTGCTGGTATTTTAGTAACATCTAAATCCTAAACAGTGTGAAGCCTCTGATAGTTATTCCTCAGAAGATTCAGTTTCTGAGATTTTGAGAATTATCTTAGGCTCGAATTTCCTCACATGCTGTTTTAAATAAATTCAGTTCCTGGTCAGGCTTGGTGGCTCAAGCCTGTAATCCCAGCACTTTTGGAGGCTGAGGTGAGTGGATTACTGGAGGTCAGGAGTTCAAGACCAGCCTGGCCAACATGATGAAACCCCATCTCTACTAAAAATATGAAATTAGTCAGTTGTGGTGGTGTGTGCCTATAATCCCAGCTACTTGGGAGGCTGTAGCAAGAGAATCACTTGAACCCCGGAGGAGGAGGTTGTGATAAGCAGAGATCATGCCATTTCACTCCAGCCTGGGCAAAAAGAGTGAAACTCCATCTCAAACAAACAAACAAACAAACTCAGTTACTGTGGGGATAGTTTTGGAGGTGTCTGGTCTTAAAGTTTGCCTTTTCTCTAGGACAAAATTTTTTAGTAGATGCTCTAGAACTGAGTACACAGACAGTGGATCACTTCTCTTTGACTGACACCCATATTTTACAAGCAGGGTCTTGGGAGCACATAACCGATGGCCTCCTTGATTGGCCTCTCCTGGCATTGAGCCTCCACCCCTCCAGTGAGCTGGGGCAAGCACAATCAGGACCCAAGTATACTCTGCCTGTCACACCCGACAAAAGGGAACTGAATGGATCCCTTGATGTTTTGTCTGCACTATTCCAGACATTGGCCTTTGCAGCATGGAGCTGGGGGAAGGAGGGTGAGAACAATTTGTGGTCTACCACCCTTAAGGAGATATCATGGCATTGGACAGAAATCTAAGCAGAAAGGGAATCCTGTCTTCCCAATCACATCCACCTATAATAGAGTTTACTCCACACTGAGCTTGGTGATGGGGGTAAAAGGAGCACGTCATGGCTTGAATGCCACATTCTAGATATTCTTACTGAGTTTTAAAATGTTTTGTTGAATAAATGTTTCCTCATTTGGTGTTTGCCCTTATGACAATTTCCAGTGATTATTAAATGATTGGGTTTTTTAATATAATATATCTCAGTCATGGTTGTTTTATTGGGGAATAGATCCTCAGAGTTCCTCTCAGCACACTTCCAGTAGTTATCCATTGTTGAGAGTTCTTCATCCTTCTCTGCATAAATTGATAATCAGATAATGATTTCACTTTTTTTTTCTCAGATTGTGGCTTATCTTTTCCATCTCCTAATAGTATTTTTAAAGACTACGTTTTAAAAATGTTAATAAAACCCCATTTGTCACATATTGTTTTTATAAATTGTGCTTTTGATGTAATATGGAAGAATCATTGTCTAATTTAAGTTGAAGAAAAGAAGATTTTCTGTGTTTTCCTCTAACATTTTTATAGTTTGAATTTTTATAATCAGGTCTATGATTTATTATGAGTTAACTGTTTTTGTTTGTTTGTTTTTTAGTAGAATTTGACAAAATATACTGTTCTAAAACTATTTGGTAAAAGCTGTCTTTCTTTATGAAATTTTCTTTGCACATGGTTTGCAAAACATGTGTCCATATATGTGTAGGTCTATTTTGGGCATTACTCCTTTTCATTAATCTGTATTCTCAAGTTAGCTCTGATATCTTGTTTTCTCAATTACTGGAGCTTTATAATAAAAGCTAAAATCAGGAATTTTGATGTTGACTTTATTGAATCTATCAAACACACACACACACACACACACACACACAAGCAACATTTAATCTTTAACCCTTTAACATGATTTTTTCCATTTAATTGTATCTTAATTGCTATTAACATTGTTGTATAGATGGCAATGTCCTAGTCTTTCATATTTTTTTGTTAAATTTATTTCTAAGTAATTTATACTTTACATCATTAAAAATGGCATTATAGGTTGGGCACAGTGGCTCACGCCTGTAATCTTAGCACTTTGGGAAGCCAAGGCAGGAAGATCACCTGAGGCCAGGCATTCAAGACCAGCCAGGCCAACATGGCGACACCCCATCTCTACTAAAAATACAAAAATTAGCCTGTCATGGTGGCACATGCCTGTAGTCCCAGCTACTTGGGAGGCTGAGGCAGGAGAATCACTTGAACCCAGGAGGCAGAGGTTGTAGTGAGCTGAGATCGCCCCACTGTGCTCCAGCTTGGGTGACAGAGTGAGACCCCATCTCAAAAAAAAAAAAAAAGCATTGTATCTTTAATTTGAATTGTTCATCTTTGTTACTACCGTATCGATGTTACTAAACACTAGTTCTTGAAGCTTTGTATATTTTTATTTTTCTACATTGCTAAATATTTTCTTCAAAAAAAGAAAGTATTAGACTTTCCTTTCCCATTTGGATGCATTACTGTAGATAGGTGTTATGCTTTCTTTCTAGTGCACTGGATAGAATCTCTGATGCAACATTAAACAGTGAGAGCTGACATCCTGAAGTTATTCTTGACCTTATGAAGAAGCTTATAGATTTGTATCTTTAAGTATAATGTTAGACCAAATGTTTCAGTGGCCCATTTTCATCTCTGAGGGAATATTATTTTATTCGTACTTCCCAACAGAAGAAGATACTGGATTTTTTCGAATGCTTTCTCGGGATTATTGAGACAATTATAATGATTTTCTTTTGCACTTTGTTAATATAACAAATTCCTCTGATTATTTTTGAAAGTTAATGCAACTTACATTCGTGGGATAAACCCTGCTGTGTTGAGATTATATATATAAAAATAATATTATATATATAATATTACATATCAAAAGATAGATAATATTACATATAGAAAGATAGATAATATTACATATATAATATATAGAGATAATATTATATATAGATATATAATATATAGAGATATATATTATATATAGATATACAATATATAGAGATATATATTATATTATATATAGAGAGATAATATTATATATGATATAGAGAGATTCTTAGAATTTTGTTTACATTATTTGCATCTATGCTCATGTGGGATAATAAGTTGCACTTTTCTTATAATGTCTTTGGTATCACATCATGGTAATTCTGGCGTCAGAGAATAATTTGTATTATATTCTCTTTAATTTTCTGGAAGAGTTTGTATAAATTTATATTATTCCTCCCTAAATGTTAGGTAGTATTCACCAGTAAAGCCATCTTGACCTACAATTTTCCTCGTGGGAAGGCTTTCAATGAAATGTTTTAGTCTTTTTTTATGCTGCTATAACAAAATAGCACAGACTGGATAATTTATAATTAGCATACATTTATTTCTCACAGTTCTGGAGTGCAGGAAGTCCAAGACCAAGAGGATGGAATCTGCAAGGGCCACTTTGCTACATCAAAATATGACAGAAGGCATCACATAATAAAAAAAATAGAGAGGGAAAGACAGACAGAGTAAGAGTGTGCAAACCCACTTTTGCAATAACTGTATCAACCTACTCATGAAGGTGAAACCCTCATCACCTAAACTCCTCTTAGAGGTCCCACCTCATAATACCATCACAATGGCAATTAAATTTCAACATAAGTTTTGGAGGAGACAAACCATGGCACCATGAATTTGATGTCTGAATAGATACATTTGTATTCAGGTTATCTACTTATTGATTGAGTTTAGTAGTTTGTGTCTTTAAGAATTTATCAATTTAAGGTAAGTTTTCTGTTTTTTATATAAAATTAATTATGATCATTATATATTATCCTCTTAATATCCATAGAATGTGTAGTAATGTAAATTCTTTCATTTCCAATATTGTTAAATTGTGTATACTCTATTTTATTAGCCTGGTTAGATTATTTTATTTTTTTTTAAACCTCAAAAACTAGGTTTTGGTCTTATTGATTTTTCCCAGTAATTCTCTTTGGTTTTTCCAACTGACGGGTAAAGTCTACTGTTTTATTTTCCTTTATTCTGTTTACTTGGGAACTAATTTATCCTTCCTTTTAATTTATACTTACTTTATAGTTTCTTGAAATGGAATTCGAGTTTGAGACCTTTCTTTTATTTCAAGATATGTGTTTATATCTACAAAATTTCCCCCTAGTGTTGCATTAGCAGCATCTCACAACTTTTCATACACTTTATTTTAATTTTCATTAATTTCATTTCTAATTTTTTGGTTAGATTTCTGTTTTGATGTTTCAGTCATTTGGAAGTCTGTAAATTTACTTTCACATATTTCAGGATTTTTCGGAGATATTTCTCTTATTGATTTCTAATTTAATGCCATTATATTTGATAATAGACTTTGTATGATAAGAATACATTTAAATCTAATGACTTATATTATTACCCCAAATATGTATGTCCACAAATTATATTTTGAGGTGACTTAAATGAGTTATCATTTTGAATTGCATTATTTTTAAATTATCTGATCGAAATTTATATGAAATTTAAAAGGTGTTATTATATGTCACAATCTTTATAAAGGTACTAATTTTATTTATTTATTGTGAAAATTGTCTATGGAAATAACATTGCATGTTTTCATTATTCCTGTAATACAGATTTGTTATTCCCATTTACTTAAAGAAACACATGAATACATTTCCTAAATAAAGCCTTCATTCTAGAAGAAAATCCTGACTATATCCCTTTTCTTTTAAGGTACTTGCTGCAAGCGAAGTTATCTTTCCGTCTTTCAAAGAATTTCTTTTTTTTTTTTTTTTTTTGAGACAGAGTCTTGCTCTTTTGCCCAGGCTGGAGTGCAGTGGCGCGATCTCGGCTCACTGCAAGCTCTGACTCCCGGGTTCACGCCATTCTCCTGGCTCAGCCTCCCGAGTAGCTGGGACTACAGGTGCCCGCCACCACGCCCGGCTAATTTTTTTTTTTTTTTTTTTTTCTGTATTTTTTAGTAGAGATGGGGTTTCACCGTGTTAGCCACAGTGGTCTCGATCTCCTCACCTTGTGATCCGCCTGCCTCGGCCTCCCAAAGTGCTGGGATTACAGGCGTTAGCCACTGCGCCCGGCCTCAGAGAATTTCTTGAATGTTATTCACGAGGGAGTAGAAAAATTTTTGTTGTCAACCAATATACTTCTGGTAGTTGAGTACAGTTTTATCTCTCTCAATTGCTACCAAGCTGATCCTGGTTTACTGCAAAAACTGTCTGTACGCTCTCCCTACTTACGTTCTTGGCCTTACAATGTATCCTGTATACAGCAGACAGACTAATCATTTAATAACACAACTCACATTACGTTATTCCTCCGCTTTAAACTCTTTATTGGCTTCCCTTGCCCTCAGAGTAAAATATAAATTTTTAACCTGAATGTGCAATCAAAAAAGCCAATTTATGTCACTCTACATTCAAATATATTATTTTACTTACTTTATATCATTTGTCACGATCAGAACTTATTTATATACATGCATGTTATTTACTCATTCGAACATTTTTCTATCACTATACACAAGAACATATCTCTTTGTCTAGCTTCTTTACTTGTGTGTCATGTGCACCCACCACTGTCACATAGTATAATATGATTTATGTATGCTGAATGAGTGAGTGAATGAAGAATGATGGACACAAGACAAGAGAGAAAATACACTGAGGAGATAGTAAGAAATTGACCCAAGACATGAGATAACAGAGTTTTATTTCTACTGCCTTGAGATTATTACAGGAATTAAAGTTGTAATTTTTCTACTTAAACATAAAATTCATATGTAGTAGAGATTAGGTAATTAGATTATATATTGGGTTAGATGATTAATTAGATTTTATAATTAGATTTGATTGGTCTATATTTATCTGATATATAAATAGATTATATTGCATTATTGGATTATTAGATAATAGGATTTATATAAAATTATTCCGTCAACGAACTGCCATTTTACAATTATTCCTAACATATAAAAATGCACTTCTGGCTGCACATGATGGCTCACGCCTGTCATTCCTGCTATTTGGGAGGCTGAGGGAGGAGGATTATTTAAGGCCAGAAGTTTGAGGTGAGATTAGCCTTAGTAACAGTGCAAGACTCTGTTTCTAAAAAAAAAAAAAAGGAAAAATACATTTCATCCAAGTTTTGGAAAATCATATTAAATATAATTTAAGTAAAATCCTTTGGAACATAAATTGGAACTTGTCAGATGACTCTACAGTGTTCAATTTCTGTTTCCTATTATTTCCTAACACATTTCCTAGTACTTAATAAAACATGAACGCTGACTAATGAAGAAAAAAAAAGAGATTTGTGTATTATGTCTGACAAAAATTTTAAACATTCCACTAAAAAACAATAAACATGATAGTTTGTGACTGTTTCTTTTTTAGGTGGTTAACATGTATTATGAAAGTGAATGTATCCAATCTTAACTTTTTAGGAGTCAATAATGTATAGAATATTCTCACATGTTGTCTTAAATGACTTTTAGGTGCAAAATGAAGTCAGCAATGCTCTGGCTAAGAAGTTCAAAAGCTATCTGTTACAAATAAAACAATGCGGTTGCTTCCTTTGCATTTAACTTTTAAAAAATACTTTGGAAAATTTCAACTAACAATACTCTGTACACTCAATCTTAGCCACTTAAATTTTCTTTGGTCCTGTAAAAAAATTAGTTGCAAACATACACATATACACAAACACGTATACACTTATTCCAGCAGTTTCAGTAGTGAAGACTTATCTGTTCCTCTTCAGTGTTTCAAACAGCATATAGCACATCACTTTTGAGACTACCCTATAACTTAGGCTGAATATTCAGTAATATTGTGTGGAATCCCTCTAACTTACTGTTTACAGTGCTTCATAGATCCTTTCTTTTTAACATAAAGTGGATGATACAGAACTGTCACCTTTCACTTAAAGAGTCATACATTTACAATATTTCTAAAACCTCCCAGTTTAACTGTGAACATGAATTTTAATAATTTCAATCTAAAATGTTAATTTTGTTTGTTTACAACATTGTAATTTACTGTAATGGGTATCCACTTCTCTTGTGTTCCTTGGCAAAGTATATATATATTTTTTAAGGCAAAGGCTTCTGTCCTGTTGAATCTCATATTTTTTTTATAAAGAGATGACATTTTTTAACCTCAAACTATTATGCTGTTAAATGGAACTTTAAAAATTGCCTTTTGAACTTTCAATTTTTTATATAGTTTCATTTTACTTTGCATGGTGTGCGATAAGTAACATATTTTCTGAGATCAGAGCTAAAGAGAAGTCAAACTGAGATTATAATGCATATTAAAAATGACAACCTGTGTTGACTTAGTACTAGCATAAAGCAGTAAACTAATCAAATATTAATTCCATCCAACAAATCTTTACATCTATATTTTAGTAATTTTGAAAAGGTATCTGATGATGTTTAGCCTTATTGTCTATTTATAGACACAAAAATGTAAATCGTTAATGAAAATATTAGTAATATTGGCATGAGTCCATAACATAAATAAAATCAAATAGATATAAATTCAAATAAATTAGATTAATTTTTAATATCAGTTTTGGAAAAAAGGTATCACAGGTGAAGAAGCATTTAAGTTAGCACATAAAGTAGGGGCAGAATGTTGATAAATCAGGGAGTGGAAGAAAAGAACTTCAACCAAGCAGATCGCATGATCAAAGAGGTGGTGTCCAGTTTTAAATGATAATTAAAGTTTTGATAATTATATTTTCGAGGACTTTGAATGTGATGCTAAGATACTGACACATTTTGACTTGCTTCTTTTATTGCTTCTCATAATTATTTTGTTAGAGGAAAGATATTTGAGAGATTATATGATTAGAGTTGAGCTTTTTGCAGCTATTCCTTGTTGCAATGTGAAAGATGGAATGGAAAGAAAAGAGGTTGGTGCAGGGAGGACAACTCTAATGTTACTATTATTATTAATGATAGAAATCATGAAGCCATATTTTGAACTAAGAATAACAGATTTATTAATGCTATTATATTTGTATTCAGAATAGAGAGCAAAATAATGTATCTATAAGTCATGTAAGGTATGGAAAATTTGATAAAGAATTACAATAGTATTTATTTCCAGTGATAGATACTATTTCTTCACTTACTATATTTATACATGTTTTGGTTGCAAGTGACATAAATGCAAATCTAACTAACCAACAGGCCAATGAGAAGTGTGTTAGCTGATATATACCAATTGCAGGAAGGACAAGAATGGGGTTAAACTTGGATATGGTTGATCAGGGATTGAATCTCATCAATACTTTTTATTTGTAATTTTTCACTTTTGCTCATTTCTGTGCTTTAGACTCATCTTTTCAAACTACAATGCTAAAACTATAGCTATTAGCTAGTTTAGTTTAATGATGTCATTGTTTCAAATTAATAAGAAAAGAGCGCACCACCACATATCGCATTTTAAACTAGAATGGCTGCCTCAGCATGGGTCACAGTCACGTGACCAGGGACATGGAGTAATGTATAAGGAAAGAAGCTCTCATATGATCATACATATAAAGCAAGGGAGACAGTATTTTCATAAAGAAAGATGTATTTCTTCTCTATTATTGTTGTAACAGACTTTCAAGGTTTTCTTTAAGAAATTTATGTCAGGTATATGGACATAAGAAAAATATTGGAGTAGGACTCTCCATACAGACACCACCACAGAAACATCAATTTGAATAACTATCCATGCATGAGAGTACCTTCATAAAGTCTAAGGAAACCAAATGAGAGATCACAGTACCATACCTGAGTGTAGCACAGAAATAAAAAAAGATGCATTGAAGAGGATAGAAAGGGCAGGTTTACATTACCCATGTCACACCTCTGCTAACCCAGGCAGTACAGTGTAAAGAGAGATACCCTACACATGTGGGAAGAAAAAGGAAATAAACATAGAACTTCATTTCAAATCCCCAAACTGAGACACCCACAGTAAAACCCAGCACTAAGCAGGTCCTCATGACCCCAACTCCAGTTTAGTACTCATAGTCTGATCCCCTGGACCTGCCCTAAAATGAGGTCAAATTTTGAAGCCCCATGCTCCAGGACTGCTTGGCAGTTAGTCTCTGTGCTGACCCACTGCCAGGCTGACCTCAGTAGTGCAAAGCTCAGGACCGCGTTCAGCTTCAGGCTAGTCCTAGTGCCTTCTGCCTCCCTTTGCCTTCTGCCTCCCTTTGCCTTCTGCCTCAGTCTCTGGAATGCCCCCACTGCCTGCCCAAACTCAGTGACTCTAGGCTCAAGACTGCTCCTAGTACCCAGTTGGACCCCATGGTCTCAGGATCCAGGCCAGCATCGGTGATTTCAGGTATCAGGCCAGTACCCATGACCTTAAGCTCCATACTAGATTCAGAGGCCAACGTTCTATGTTACCCCAGCACTGGGCTGGCCCCAGGCACCAGAGAGGTCCCCATGGCCCCAGGCTGCAGAGGACCCAGGTTACGACTTGCTCAAGTAGACCCAGGGTCTAGACCTTGGTACCAGGCCAGCCTCTGTGACCTGAGACTCCAAGACCACCATTGCAGACCTAGGCTCTAAGCTAGACTCTGCAAACTCAGGAGATATATACATATGCAGATTCAGGCTCCAGGCCTGCTCCAGTGTCAGGTCAGTGTCCATGGACTCAGGCTCCGGGCACATGCCAGTAGACCTACAAACCAGGCTCACTCCAATGCTTGGCCAGTCCCTACAGACTCATGTTCAAGAGCAGTCCCAGCACCACCTCAGCCCCTGTGATTGTAAACTTCGGGCTAACCTCATGGGCTGATATAGTTTGCATATGTGTCCCCACCCAAATTTCATGTTTAACTGTAATCCCTAATATTGGGATTACCCGGTAGGAGGTGATTGGATTATGAGGGTGGATTTCTCATGAATGGTTTAGCACCATCTCTGTGATGCTATTCTTGTGATAGTGAGTTCTCATGAGATCTGGCTATTTAAAAGTGTGTGATACCTCCCCACCCCCACTACTCTTGCTTCTGCTTTTGCTATGTGATGTCTCTGCCTCTCTTTGCCTTCTGCCAAGATTGCGAACTTCCTGAAACCTCCCGAGAACTCAAGCAGACATCAGCACAATGCTTCCTGTAAATCATGCAGAACGATGAGCCAGTGAAACCTCTTTTCATTATAAAATACCCAATCTCAGTTATTTCTTTATAGGAATCAAAGAATGGCCTAATACATGGACACAGGCTCCAGCTCCAACCTTGTGCACCCAGACTCAAGGGCCATGACTCAAGGGCCATCCTGTAGACCCAATCAAAGGTCTAAACCAGTGGACCAGGCTCCAGGCCCAATGCCATGGAATTAGCATCAGACCTACTGTTCTGCTGACTCAGGGACCAGGCCAACCTGCCCAAGGACCCCAGCAGCAAAACTGTCCTTGTACCACAACAAACAGCCTTCCCAGAATCTCTGGATCATCTGACTGGTTAAGAGTTTTCCCAGCAAAAACTAGTTTACAAACATTTGAATAAGTCCCTTCTGCAAATATGCACACATCAAAATAAGGCAATAAGGAATACAAAAAGAAAAAAACTAATGAGACATAGTACCACCAAAAGAACACAATAATCTCCCACTAGCTAACAGCAAATACACAGATATGTTAGAACTGCCAAAGAATTTAAAATAATTTGTGTATGTAAGCTCAGCAAATGTGAAGAAAATACAGAAAAAAAATTCAATGTAATCAGACAAACAATAAATTATAAAAACTAGAAATTAAATAGAGATTGAAATTATATTTTAAAAAATTGAACAGAAATTCTGGAGCAAAAAATATAAAAATGAAATATAAAATGCAATAAAGAATATCAACAAAAATTGATCAAGCAAAAGAAAGACAATTAAGACAGATTATGAGAGGAGAAAAGAAAAAAGAATCAAAATGAATGAAGAGAATGTACTGGCTTGATGAAACGGCATCAAAAGAACAAATGTTCCAGTTATAGAACTTCCTGAGGAAAAACAGAAAGATATAGGAGTAGAACACATTTAAAGAAATAATGGAAAACGTTCCAAATTTGGGGAAATATATAAATAAATATGAAGATACAGGAAGGTCAAAATTCTCCAATCAGAATCAATCCAAACAAGACTACACTAAGACATAATAGAATCAAACTGTCAAAAATCAAAGACAAAGAGAGGATCTTGAAAGCAGCAAGATACAAGAAACCAATAACATAAGAGAGTTCCCATATGGCTAGCAGTAGATTTCTCAGCAGAAATCTTACAGGGCAGAAGAAAGTGATATGATATATTTAAAGCAAACTTGTCCATCCTGTGGCCCTTAGACCACCTGTGGCCCGTGGCCCAGGTTGGTTTTGAATGCCGTGCAACACAAATTTGTAAACTTTCTTAAAACATTATGATTTTTTTGGGGGGGCAATTTTTTTTTTTTTTTTTTTTTTTTTTTTTTTTAGCGCATCAGCTATTGTTAGTGTTTGTTAACGTATTTTATGTGTGGCCTAAGACAATTCTTCTTCTTCCAGTGCGGCCCAGGGAAGCCAAAAATTGGACACCTCTGATTTAAAGTGTTGAAGGAAAAACACCAGCAACAACTGCTGACCAAGTATACTGTCCTTGGTAACCTAGCAAAGCTGTCCTTCAGAAACAAAGGAGTGTTGAAGACTTTATCTGACAAACAAAGCTGAAGGAGTTTGTCACCATCATACCTCTCTAAAAAGAAATGGTAAAGAGAGTTCTTCAATCTCAAAGAAAAGAATGCTAATTAGTAACACAAAAACATATAAAAGTATAAAACACACTGGTAAAGGTAGTACACAGTCAAATCTTTCGTTTTTTTCCTTTTTGATATTTACAGTAGCTTGGCTGCAACCACGTTGTCTTTTATTAGGTGAATAAATAAACTGTGATACATACAGTAAATGGAATATTATTCAGCATTAAAAAGAAATGAGCTGTCAGTCTCTGAAAAGACATGGCAAAACCATAAATGCATATTACTAAGTAAAAGAAGCACATATAAAAAGACCACATTTTGTATGAACTAAACTATATGGCATTCTGCATAAATGCAAAACTAAAGGGACAATAAACAGATCAGTAGTTGCCAGGGTGAGGCTGAGAGAGGAGGAATAAATAGGCAGAGCACAGAGAATTTGTAGGGTAGTAAAAATACTTTATATAATACTATAAGGGTGAATACAGGTCAATGATGAATGTAGGTCTTGAATGTATATATTTATGTCTCTCAGCAAATTTGAAGTCTTCAGCCGTTACTTCTTCAAACATTCTCTTTGACACTTTCTGTCTTTCCCCTCCTTCAGTTTCTCTTGCAAATCTGCTATCAGACTTTTTGAAAGACATTTTCTCTTGATTTATTTTTATCCTTTGACTAGACCATATGTTCCTGTTTCTTTATATTTCTTGCTATTTTGTGGTTGTTGTTTTGCTGAAAACCAGACAATGGAATCCAATAATGTGATAATTAGATTCTGAAAATTCAGTTCTCCTTCTTCCCCTGAGTTTTCTGGTTTTTATTATTGTTTCTGTTTTTAATTGTTTTAGGCTGTCTGTGTACAAAGGATCAGACTGAGATGTAAACTTATGGTTTTCTCCTATCTTTTCTGAGACATTGGGCATGAATGCTCACTTTCAATTTTCCAGTATATGTAATTGTTTTTGAACATTTTATTGCTTAATGTCTGGCACCCAAAAGGGAAAAAATAATGAAATGGAAGAGGACATCTGGCATTTAAATCTCTTGGAAGTCACATTAGCCAGAGAGGAGGCTTGCAACAATGGGAGGAGGTGCATCAATGGTTGCCTGATTTTGTGTCTGTGACTTTGTGATCAGAAGCAGCAATCAGCAATCAGACCACAGTTCTCAATATTTGAAGGACAGAGTTCTTTTTTGCCTACTCTGGCTCCCACAAGCTGTGTTCAAGCTGTTAGAGAAATAGGGGTATAGCTGTCTACCCTGTGGTTGAAGACTGGGGGATGGGTGGCTCTTAGTCACTGTGCTAACAGCTGAAACTGACTAAAAATAATGACAATTTATCATCTAAGTCTTCACCTGGAAGTTGCAAGCCTTCATTAGCCTCTAGCGTTCAAAATAGTTTCATCAGACAAATTATGCGGTGGAATTGTTGCCTATGTGAGAAACAAATTCCTGGTGCTTCTTATTCTTCGCATCTTCCCAGAAACCTCAGTGATTTACATATTTTGAAGCTACATCCTTTTCTAGATGTATGCTTTTATTTTTGTCATTTTAAATGGTGTTATGTTAAATTTTTATGTTTCAGTTGTTTAGTGTCAATACATAGAAACATAACTGAAAAGGTCAAAATATATTGACCTTTTATCCTAAAACTTGTCAAAGTTATTCAGTTTGAGTAGCTTCTTTGCACATATCTTGAGATTCTTAAATGTATTTGAATATGTCAACTCTGAATAATGGGAGTTTCACATTTTTTGTTTCTAACATGACACATAAAGATTTTATTTTCTTGACTTAAGAGACTGACCATTCTTGCCTTACCCTCAATTTAGGGAGAGGAAATTAATACTTCAACCTACTGCTTGATATTAACTATACATTTTTTGTGGCTGCTTCTTTTTCTTGCTCAAGTTTCCTTCTATTTCTAATTTAATGAGAATTTTTACCATGAATGGGGTTGATTATTTTTGCAATTGTTTTCATGTATTTTTGAGATAATCATATGTTTCTCTCCTTTATTCTGTTGTTAATTATATTGGATCATTTAAGTATGAACCTGCCTTTCATTGCCAGTATAATACTCCCTTGGTCATAGTGTGTTTTCATTTTTATATACTGAATTAGATTTGCTGATATTGTTAATGATTTCACCTGTGTTCATGAGGGATGTTGATATATTGTATTTCTATTTGAAAGATCTTTGATCTTGGCATAAAATAATTTTGACCTTACAAATGTGTTGGAAAGTATGCCCTCTTACTCTCATTTTGTGCAGTATTGGTTGTATTTAATTAAAAGCATTTCATAAAATTCCCTGGTGAGGCCATCTTTAGCTGAAGGCTAGTATGACAGCCTGTTTGGGGAGTTATATGCACTTGTGGGTTCTGAGCTCTTGTCCGGTGTCCAGGAAAAATGAAGTGAATGAGGAGGATTTTATTGAACAATGAAAGTGGCTGTTAGCAGGAAGAAGAGCTAGAAAAGGGGATAGAACAGGCAGGTAATCTTCCCCTCCAGTCCAGCCATCTCTGGCCGGACTCTTCTCCGAAGTCAAGCCATTGATCTGTCCCTCTGAAGTCACATTGCTTCTCTCTGATGTCCAGCTGCTTCTCCTCTTCTCTCCGACTGAGTCTGAGGTCTTCATAGGTACAGGAATAGGGGTGGGGTGGGCCATGGGTAGTTTAGAAAAAGGCAACATTCAAGAGGGAAAACAGGGATAGAGGTTGCCGCATTGGTCCGCAGGTTTCAGGCTTTTTGGCTTGAAGGTGAGGTTTTGTCAGGGACCTACCCTTGTCTGCCTAGAATTTCTTTGCCTCCTGCCTCTAACATTGTATCAAAATAATCTGCTAGTTTTTTTTCTTTGTTGAAAATTTGATTAGTAGTATATAGTTATTTAAGTTTTTACGGGGAGCCTTTTTTAGATGCATCTAATTATGTGTTTTTTATGGGTTATATTTTATTTACTTTGATCAAGATGCATTGTACTTCAGTATCTGAGAATTCTTGTCTTTCATCAATACGGGGAATTCAAAAATAATTGTCATTTGCACATGGCCTCCTTCACCAATTCTTGTTTTATGAAAATTGTACTAGCTGTGACTGTATATGTGTTTTTTCTCTCATTTATACTTTTTCTTTGTTAATGGTCCCTAGAAATTCCTTTATTTTATATCTGTGTCTTTAAATATGTGTTTATTGTATTTTAGTAGTTGTTTGCTTTGGGAAAGTTTTTATGTCATCTAGACTGCCATTTGGGCAAGGATGCTATTCAAAATTTTATGTTCATGTATATTTTTGTTTGAAAAAATACAATATTTTCATAATAGACAAATGTTTGATTATATTCAAATATTTTTGTGTTCTTGTCGTTTTCTTAAAAAAAGTAAATATAATAAAAATATTCTAGAGGTATAAAAAGTTTGAAAGTTTGAAAGTGAGCAATTGTTTCAATCAATCCATGTATGGAATCTTTAACCATATAGTTAAGAAATTAGAAGAAAATTAAAATTTATTAATCAGTTTGCAATTACTCAGAAACACTTTTCCATCTACTATGTATAATACACTTTGGTTATTGATATAAATATTTCAAATGTTTTAACACTAAATCCTTGCCCTCTTTCTCAGTGAGATAATGATTAAAATGAATTAATAAAGTAAATACATACCTACTCCCCTCCCACACTTATGCACACAAACAGCAATCTGTGAATGGCAGTCAAATAAAAAAAAACTGATCGTAAAATATATTCAGTAATAATTTATAAACATTTTCTTAATATTTGCTCTATATATTAATACACATTTAGGAAATTAAAGATTACTTGATTTGCATTTCTACAGTCATACTTCTTTATCACAAGAAAATAGTTTTTAGTTCACTTAGCAAATATGTAGGGAATGACATCTTTGCATGAATTTCTAATATAAGATTGTAATAGTAAGGAGAAAAACAACAAGCATAATAACTATATATTTTCTTTCTTTTTCAAAACTAGTAAATTAGGCCAGATTTTACCAAAAGTAAAGAGACACAAATGATTTTATCATATTCAATTACATTATAGAAATTTAATATCATGCTACATAATTTTACTTTTAATTGTAGATGGCATAAACTTTTGCTAGATTTTAAACTAAATACAATATAAACCTTTATTCCGACAAAAGACCTTTAAAAAGGACAAAAAAATTTCTATATAGAGCTTTAGGCTTGTCAGGAAAAGATTTTAACATTGTAACAAATCAGATAACAGGTAGAGATTTATTGTCCCGGGGTACCTACAGCCTTTTTAGGTGACTTTTAAAGGTCTTTTTTGAGTGGAAGATGTAGAAGACTAAGAAATAAAGGAACAACTGACTGCTCATGATTCATAATAATAAAATAGTAGAGTTGGAATACATACACGCATTACAAATGCACAAAAAGCAGCTCAGCTAATTCCTCCAAGGTGAAATTTACACATTTCTTTGCTGCAGAATTACAGCTAAGGGAGTGATAAATTGCCATGCTCCTGGAAATGAGAATAGAGTCCTGGTTCCACAGTCTACTGCCAGATCTTTTAAGATGTGTAGGGATTAGTGAAGGCCCCTGAGCGTTTTTCTGTGAGTGGATTTCCCCTTTATAATGATTAACTATAAATCTCAGAAACAGGCAGTGCTGTAGTTGGATGTTCTGTATAGATCCCTATAACTGACAACTAAAACCTAAGCAGAATCTTGCATTTTGGAGGATAGGTATGAATGGATGTTCAATCCCCTCACCACATCCTCAGACCTCATGCACACATCCTAACTGACAAGAAGCAAATTGAGTAGCCCAAAGAAGAAATTACACAAATGTCATTAGGTCCCTAATTTTTAGGTTATTGGTTGAGGTATTGACTAATATGAGTTGATACTGTCAAATATGGGGCTAAAATAATTTTTATATAAGCATTTTCAGTTTAATAATCTAATGTTTAATAAATTTACCTGAGAACAACAAAAACAGTGTACAGAAAATTATTGCTATAACTTTGCTTCAAATGATAATTAAGTGCAGGGAAATTAAATAGATCAGTAATTCTCAAAATTCTCAAAATTTTGAATGCAGGGATATTTAACTTCTTTTAATAGTTGGAAATGATAAATAGATGCTGTTTCTTTGGGTTTCAGTTCTTGAAAAGATGGTCAAAATTCCAGAAAAGTGCATTTAAGGAATTAATAATTTTAAGTCCTCAAAATATAATCTAGGGTTAAGTAAGTTCAGAAAAAGGACATTGCAGTTTTGCATTTATCTGCCAGTTTAGGTCAGTCAATGAAAAATGCATTCTCTTGTGTCTTTGTTACATGACGGTTGCAAAAAGGTCTTAGCTCTTTCCACTCATAAATTTTAGTTTTTGCCCATTATTTCTACAACTTTTTTTCTATACCAGTGTTTTTCTTCTTTCCTTGTGGTAATCAAATGACCAGACTAGTAGATCTTTTTGATATTTTTCCACTGTTTCCAAGACTCTGTTTATTTTTTAAAATATTTTATTTTTTCTCTCTGTTTTTCAGGTAGGATAATTCCTACTGTCAAAGTTTAGTGACTAATTTCTCTGTCATCTTCATTATTCAATTGAGCCCACCCAGTGAATTTTTAAGTCAGACGTTACAGTTTTCAGTTTTGAAATTCATTTTTTTTTTTTAACAGCAGTTGGATTATCCTCTTCCCAGAGAGGATTTATTTACCTTCTCAAATCAAGGTTTGTTTATTTGTTTGCTTATTTTCCCTCTCCATCTCCCTGAAAGGGATGATGGACAGATGGGCAGCTGCCCTATGTAAACTCTGGGTCTGAATTTCAGTGTTCCTCCCTGTAATGCTAACTCTGCTGCACACACAGGCACGTCTGGCCTTCATTACATTGCCTCATGAGGAATCCGCATATGGGAAGCTGGCACTGCTAAGATGTTCCGTAAGAAAATACAAGTTCTGTTATCTTCTCTAGAGAGCTCCTGTTTCTTGTCCCAATAAATAAATACGGATGTAAAAACTTAGCAAGAGGTTCTAACCCATGAATCTAGGTTACTATTGTAGGAATTGCCAAATGTTAGCTTCAAAAACAATATTCTCTGCCAAAACTCTAAATTTGAAGTGAGAAGGGTGGATATTAGAGAATGCCTATGGAATTATTTTAAACCCAACCTGGTAGACATTAAAGTGCATTATTATTCTACCCAGCTTCTGGCATCTCCTTGAGCAAATTTTGTTTGTTTACTTGTTTTTTGTTGTTGTTATTGTTGTTTTTTAATCTGCCACGGTGTTTCCATAAAATTACTGGTAGTGTTCTTTTATCAGTAGCAGTGTAACTCATCTGTCTTATATCAGGGCCATGTCAACTCTCTGACTCTCTCCTCATGTAGTTTGCAAAGATTTTCATAAATGGACTTCCTACGAGTCCCCTACATTGATGATATTTTGGTAAACCAGAGATGGAAATTTCTGTAAATCTTCACTTCTCAGAGTTTGGCCACTGACCAGAAGCCTCAGCCTCTCTTGAAAGGTTGTTAGAAATGCAGACTTTGAGGCCCCACCACAGAATTTCTGAATCAGAATCTGTATTTCAATAAAATCATCACATTACTAATATGCCTATAAGATTTGAAAAAGCATTGACTTAGATGACCCAAATGTCAGAGTGTAAAGATAATTTAAAGTTATAAATCATTACGTTTTAACAATAGGAATGCACAAATCAGATGTATGATTACCCTATCTATGGCCAAATGGCCAATTAAAGGAAAACAAAAAGTATATGGGTGATGGTTACACTAAAAGCCCAGACTTCACCACCACACACTGTGTCAATGTTACAAAACTTCACTTGTACCACCTAAATCTATAGAAATACAATAAAATAAAGATAAAACATGATTTACGTATAGTTCTACTTGATATGTTTCTTTCACCTGGAAGCAGATGGGCATTGCATTACAGCCCAACTCAGGGTTAGCTCAGAAAGAAATTGAAATATAGGTAAAATTTCAAGAAGCACATTTGATTATCTTCCTTGTGTAAAGAAAAAAGTCACCTGAGATAAAGATCTACATTTCCTGGATTAGAGATTAGGAAAGAACAAGATTAAAATATCTGTCACATGGAGCTCTGGGGAAGAGTTATGTGTATGGAACCGTAAGCGTAGGCACAGGATGTGAGGATATGTTTTTCATGTAACTTCTCATCTACTACCAAGGAGACTTTCAATAATCAAGTGGACAAAATGACACATCCTATGGATATTATTCCTCCTTTGTGCTCATCTTCCTCAATCCTTTGATCATTTGGCCCATGTACAAAATTACTCAGTGACAGGGTTTGAATGTTGAGGCCTTTAATGTCTTTAAAATAAGATTAATTTATTATTTAATTTTCTAGTTATTCTTGGGGTTGTTCTGCCATGCCATCCTACTCAGTAGCCAAAGTCTTACCCACCTCTACTATTTATTATATAAATATTAGGAGCGCATTTTCTTATCTGATGAAAAGTCTGATTACCATCTGGAGATCCTGAACTTTGAAATGGTTAATAATTGATTGAGAACGTGTGTCTTCTCTTTCTGAAGAAGATATGAATGTCTTTGTTTGTTGAATAGTTGTTTCATGTTAGATGGAGGGATGAAAGATAATTTTATTTGCATATATAGGGAAATTGTTATATCAATGATAAATAACAATATAGGTGGATTGACCTAGTAATGTCCCGGTATCTATTCCTTGCCTCCCTAAGGCACTGTACCAGAATATGCTAACAGTGCAAATTACATTTCCCAGGATTTCTTGTGAATATGCTTCCAGCTAGATTCAGTCACAGGGAAATCTTACCAGAAAATTAGAGTATATTAAAAGAAAAAGTATAGCATATTTCTTTGCTTATTATGCTTTGGATGGTGTTTCTAAGCAAGGCTGTACTTCTTCCAAAGTATCGAATAGTGATTTTCAAGGGCACTATGCACTTTTGCTTCTGTGCACCCCTTTGTCCATAAGAAAAATAAATAAATAACGATTATATTTTCTGGCCAGGTTTGTTGGCTCACACCCATAATTCCCGCACTTTGGGGGGCCAAGGCAGGAAGATTGCTTCATGCCAGGAGTTCAAGGACAGCCTGGGCAACATAGCAAGACTCTGTCTCTACAGAAAATAAAATAGAATAAAGAATTAGCTGGGCATGGTGCCATACACCTGTGGACCCATCCACTCCAGATGCTGAGGCAGGAAGATTGTTGGAGCCCAGAAGGTTGTCTCTCTCTATAAAGGTATCTCTCTCTCTTTGAGAGAGAGAGAGCTCTATATATCTCTATCTATCTATCTATCTATCTATCTATCTATCTATCTATCTATCTATCCATCCATCCATCTATCTACAATGAACATGTTGGTATAAAAATGATTATAATTCAGATTGCATTTATTATTATATATTTGCAAATATTGTATTCATTTTTTTCTTTCAATTTTAAAGAAATTAAAATTAAAACTTTTTTTGTACCTCTAAGTGATCCCAAAACCAAGACGTGGTACCTAATGAACAAAATGAATAAGGTGACCCTATTTCTTTATAATTCCACTTTCCACCAAACCATACTTTCTGAAGAACAGCCCTGTCATAATTCCAGCATCTATACTATGGTCATAGCTTCCAGGATCTAGTAATGCAATTTTCTCTCCAGCCTTGAGTTAATTAGTGCTATTTTAAAAATGACAGACACAAGAAATGAACAAACATAAGAAAAAATTTAAAACAATCGTAAAAATTAATTTAGAAGGATCTTTTTTTGGAACTTGAGCCAAATCTTTTCAGATATACTAACTGAAGAAAAACATATAAAACTTTAAATACAGCATAGTCCTTGTTTTAGTTTATCTACCAAACACATCTACCAGTGTGGGATTGAGGTTAAGTATTTTTTTCTAAAAAGTATTTACAAATTTTTAAACATTTATTTTAAATATTCCACTATTCAGTTAAATACATTAAATGAACCAAGATTTGTGGAACTGCAGGTCACTTAGTTAAAGGTATGACACCCTGCAATTTTATTCAGATTATTGACTTACTCTTTGAATGATCTTAAGACTGCCACTATCCTCTATAAAAGCATTTTCATCTGGGAAATCTAGGCAAATGATACTTTCGCTTCTAATTGTGATCATTTGTTAGTGTTTGCCAAAGTACTTTATAATGTAAAATTTCATTTATTATTATAAGAAGAAGACAGACCTATAAGTAAATTTTAAATATAATTCTTCACCCCAATGGTAGATTTAAAAAACTCAGAGATCAAATTTTCTGATGTCACACAAATAATGCTACTAGCTTTTAATTTGGATCCATGTCACCAATATTTGTTGTATTTAAAGGATAAATTTTATTTAACTGTAATATTATATTTCATTTGGAAACGAAAGCAAATTGTGGGAGAGCACTATGTTCCAGTGCCTAGATGAATGATCCCTAGTAGGAAAGAATAATTATTCTGTGATAGGCACTCAGTAATAAATTTGAATTAGCAATTGAGTATATATATCCACTTATAATCTATGAATAACTAGAAATTCTCTTGAGTGATGCCATCTATTATGTTAACTTCCTGATTGTTTTAGCCTTATCCAAACCTAGATTCCTGTCACACACAAAAATTTATTTTTTATAAATTTTAGTTGGTATTCCAACAACTAGCTGCACTGCAACTGGATCCAATAATTCTTAAAAATATAAAGAATTCCAGTGCTCAATTGAGCTGTGCAAGTGTTATGGACTTTCTATATATTTGGTTGATTGGTTGTTAGGAACTCTCTATATTTGGTTGGTTGATTGTCAAATTATTGGCTCTTCTTTATTTTCCTTGCAATTTCATGTTCAATAAAATTACTTTAATGGCTTTGGTATAACTTAGATGATGCTGGAGTGTCTAGAGGTGGTATTATAAATGACCACCTCTCACTTCTACTGTTTATTGCTAACTGAAGTCTTTCATTCATCACTTGTATTAATTAAGATCATAATTGCCAGGTTTTAAAACCTTTTCATCTGATAAAGGGATAACAATTTTTTCTTCATGTTTTTAGAGAGGAAACATTGGTTGTACTTTAACTTTAGTATATATTTTCAGTTTATTTTTTAATAAAAAGCTGAAATCAAAAACTTAGATTAACTTATTGATAATGTGTGCATTAGTTGTTGACATTGTTGTTTGTTTCCTATAAATAGATAATAGATATCCTGATGAATTTTTAAAGTTTGTACTAAAATGTGGATTTCTATCTGGGGAATTTATATTGCCACCAGCCTCCACACAGTCTCCTTCTTTCTCTCTCTCTTTAATTAATTCTTTCTCCCTATTTTCCTGTGTTCATCTTTCTTTTTATATCTCAGTACTGGAACTTCTGCTCAAACTTGTCTGTCAGCTAAGGAATTTTCTTCTTTGTTATCTAGAATTATTATTATATATACTGTATCTTAATAGATTTATCCTATCAAATATTCAAATTATTCTGTATGTATATAGAGTATGAAATGTCTATCATATTTTTCATATTTGGTGAACTAAAAAGAAAAATAAAATTATAAAATTATTGAACATGTTCAAATTAGTTTCTTATGAAAAATGAACAACCAAAATATGAAAATTTGCTCATGAAAATAATATGTAAAATTTTTCATTAGAATGAATAAGAGAAAATAAAATACATACTTAATACCAGTTAATTACCCCCAGCCAGCAAACCCGTCATAAAATTAATAGCATTGTGTTTGGGGCTTTTAGTTTTAGGTAATTCATGAGAGAAATTGCCATTTTATAGAATAATGTTTTATCTTCTATCAGGTCTTTGTTCCTTAGAATAGCCCTTGTCCTTGAAATAAATGTTCTAAGACCCCCATTGGATGCATGAAACCACAGATGGTAATGAACCTGATTGCCATCAATCAGAACACTTTTCTGTTCATATCTTCCATTCCCAAATTTACTGCCTTTTCCTTCTTAACTAAGCACTTGTCACACATTGTGGCTGTAACTTTTGCAGTTTGAGGTGTGACAGAAAAACTAACATAATTTTTTCCTCCTTCTCAATTTTACAAATAGAATATTTATTTTTACCCTACATCTTAGCAAAAGGTACAACCTTTTTTCTTTTTTTATTAAGTTGAGAACTTTCACTTTCAACTTTATGTACTCTAAGCACCTTTTGGCCTCTCTTTGGCATAGCCAAATTTCTGGCATCATTGTTCTTGCACTTTGGAGCTATTGTGAAGTAAAATAGGAACTACTTGAATGCAAGCACTGTGATACTGCCACAGTTGACCTGATAATCGAGATGGCTAAGTGACTCATGGGCAGGTAGCATATATACCATGGATGCATTGGACAAAGGAAAGATTCACATCCCAGGGTATGAGATTTCATCATGCTACTCAGAATGGTGCCCAATTTAAAACTTATACAGTTTACTTCTGGAATTTTCCATTTAATATTTTCACACCATATTTGACTGTGGGTGACTGAAACTGAGGAAAGCAAAAATGTGATGAAGGGGTCTTCTGTACTTACATTTCATAGCATTACACCAGTTAACTGGATGAGGATATTTATGAAATAAGGAATCTTCTCCTTAAGTTTGAATGATTGAAGATGAAAAAATTTCATCTATTCTAGTGCCTTTTTAACATTTAATTATATCTGTAACGATAGAGACTTTTGGGCTTATATCATTTAGAGGCTTTTCACTTATTTGCAGCTAGAATACTATAAACTTAAATAGGAGATGTGATTGCTGTAGTTTTAGTAAAGTACCTATGGTTTAGGTGATATCATTAGTAATGGCCTTTGCATGCATTTGTTCATTGCTTCATAAGATCAAAAATAGTGTGTCCATGATTATTTATCCTTTCTCCATAATATGGATTAAATAGATTAATGAGTGCTCCAGAAATATGTTTATTACAGAATTATTACAAAAATGACCAGGCGTCACATTTTCAAATTCAATTGTTCTCCATTACTTGGAAATTAATTTACTTTCTATTTATAGTAAACACACACTTGCTTTTGCTTTTGTGTTTGATTGTGTGTGTGTTTTAATCATTAGGAAGGGTACAGGGCTGAAAGCAATCATATTTGCTCTCAGTGGTTAATCAACCTCTGAAAATTTTTAAAGATTTGATGTTTTATTCTCCTCACTCATTACACATTTGATTATGCACATTTTCTTTGGCTTTCCATTCAGTCCAGGCTCATCTTGTGTAAATCCTGCCCTGGGTCTAGAATCAGCAACTTTGCCAAGCAGCACTGGTTCCTTTTAATGAAAAATGGTAGTCAAAACCAAGAACTAAGAGCCACTTCTGCTGATTTCTTTTATTCATTCTCAGCTCTCAGAGCAACAAAATAGCTTATACACATCTGTGTATAAGCTAACACAAGTATATACTCATGTCTATAAACATTTCTACATGTAGACATATGTATCTATATTAACATAATTTTTTTATGTCTTCAACTTTAATTTATTGCCACATGGATCACTTTAAATTTCTTGTCGTGCTAAGCTGTAAATTTCCACACCATTGGTAAGAAACAAGCTTCCCATCATATGTCACATCCATTTATTGTTTTCAATTCCATACATATTTTAAGTATTTCATACTGATATATATTATAGTATTTCATACTGATATATATAATATATATCAGAATTGTTTACCCACACTCCCATAGGAAACAATTTTATCAACTATAGTACAGTGTTTATGTGCACTTCCTTTTGTATTTTGTCTTATAGGCCTCACTCATTTTGAAGTTACTTAGGTCAGCAGCTTTTTCTCCCACTCCATCACTAAGGTTTTTTCATACATTTGCAATACAGTTAGATTCTGTTGTTACAGTCTGCATTCCTTCTTGGGATCTGTGGGTCTCCTAAATGATTTTTTAAAATTTGCATACATTATTGTTTATTTTCTGTGATGTAAAGTTTTAGGGGTATTGTCAAATACACAGTGCCAGGTATCTACAATTATAGGACCATATACACTATTTTTACTGCCTTAAAAATCCTTATACATCTTAATCAATCCTACTGTCATCCTCATAATCCCTGATAACTACCAATCTTTTAACTGTATATAGATTTGCTTTTTCCACAATATCATGTAATTGAAATCAAAAAGTATGCAAGATTTTCAGACTAGATTCTGTCCCTTAGTGATATGGTTTGACTGTGTCCCCATCCAAATCTCATCTTGAACTGTAGCTCCCATAATTCCCACATGTTGTGGGAGAGACCCAGTGGGAGATAATTAAATCATGGGGACAGTTTCCTCCATACTCTTCTAGTGGTAGTAAATAAGTCTCATGAGATCTGACGTTTTTATAAGAGATTTCCCCTTTTGCTTGGCTCTCTCATTCTCTCTTGCCTGCTGCCAGGTAAGATGTGACTTTCACCTTCCACCATGATTGTGAGGCCTCCCCAGCCACGTGGAACTGTGTGTCCATTAAACCTCTTTTATAAATTACCCAGTCTCAAGTATATCTTTATCATCAGTGTGAAAACAGACTAATACAGTAAATTGATATCAGGAGTGGGGTGCTACTGTAAAGACACCCAAAAATGTGAAAGTGACTTTGGAACTGGGTAACAGGCAGAGGTTGGAACAGTTTGGAGGGATCTGAAGAAAACAGGATAATGTGGAAAAGTTTGGAACTTGCTAGAGACTTGTAAAATTGCTTTGACCAAAATGCCGATAATGATATGGACAATGAAATCCAGGCTGAGGCGATTTCAGATGGAGATGAGGAACTTGTTGCAGATGAAGTAAAGTTGATTCTTGCTATTTTTTAGCAAAGAGAATGGCAGCATTTTGCCCCTGCCTTAGAGATTTGTGAAACTTTGAACTTGAAGGAGATGATTTAGGGCATATGATGGAAGAAATTTCTAACCAGCAAAGCATTGAAGAGGTGAGTTGGGTGTTGCTGAAAACATTCAGTTTTAAAAGGGAAATGGAGCATAAAAGTTTAGAAAATTTTCAGCCTGAGAATACAATAGGAAACAAAAACCCATTTTCTAAGGGGAAATTCAAGCTGGCTGAAGAAATTTGCACAAGCAACAAGTAGCCAAATGTTAATCCCCAAAACAATGGGGAAAATGTCTGCAGGGTATGTCAGAGACTTTTCTGGCAGCTCCTCACATGACAGGCCCAGAGGCCTAAGGAGAAAAAAGTGGCTTCATGGGCAGGGCCCAGGGTCCCCCTGCTCTGTGCAGTGGCTGCTTAGTGCCCTGTATCTCAGCTGCTTCAGCCATGGCCAAAAGAGGGTAAGGTACAGCTTGGACCATGGCTCCAGAGGGTGCAATCCTCAAGCCTTAGCAGCTTCTACGTGGTGTTGAGCCCGTGGGTGCACAACAGTCAAGAACTGAGTTCTGGGAACCTCCACCTAGATTTCAGAAGATGTATGGAAAAGCCTGGATGTCCAGGCAAAATTTTGCTGTAAGGGCAGGACCATCATGGAGAACCTCTGCTAGGGCAGTGCTGAAGGGAAATGTAAGGTTGAAGCCCCCACACAGAATCCCCACTGGGGCACTGCCTAGTGGAGCTGTGAGAAGAGGGCCACCATCCTCCAGACCCCAGAATGGTAAATCCATCTATAACTTGCACTGTGTGCCTGGAAAAGCCACAGACAATGCAAGCCTGAAAGGAGCCAGGAAAGGAGCCTGCGAAGCTACAGAGGCACAGCTGCCCAAAACCATGGGAACCCACATCTTGCCTGGATGTGAGACATGGAGTCAAAGCATAAACATTTTACTGCCCCTTTGGATTTCAGACTTGCATGGGGCTTTTAGGCCCTTCGTTTTGGCCAATTTCTCCTATTTGGAATGGGTGTATTTATCCAACCAATGCCTGTACCTCATTGTATCTTGAAAGTAACTAACTTGCTTTTGATTTCACAGGGTCGTAGTTGGAAGGGAATTGCCTTATCTCAGATGAGACTTTGGATTGTGGACTTTTGAGTTTATGGTGAAATGAATTAAGACTTTGGGGGACTGTTAGGAAGGCACGATTGATTTCAAAATGTGAGGACATGAGATTTGGGAGGGGTCAGGGGCAGAATGATATGGTTTGGCTATGTGCCTACCCAAATCTCATCTTGAATGGTAGCTCCCATAACTCCCACGTGTTGTGGGAGGGACTCAGTGGGAGATAACTGTATCATGGGGGTGATTTCCTGCATACTGTTCTCATGGTAGTGATAAGTCTTATGAGATCTGATGTTTTCTGAGGGGTTTCCCCTTCTGCTTGGGCCTCTCCTTTTCTCTTATCTTGCTGCCACGTAAGATGTGCCTTTTGCCTTCTGCCACGATTATGTGCCTTCCTCAGCCACGTGGAACTGTGGAGTCCATTAAACCTTTTTTTCTTTATAAATTACCCAGTCTTGGATATGTCTTTATCAGCAGCGTGAAAACAGACTAATACATTTAGCAATGTACATTTTCATTTCCTTTATATTTATCAAGCCATAAAAAATATAAAGGAAATGTAAATTACTTATTTTGATCACTGAATGATATTTCAGTGAATGGATATTCTGGAGTCTGACTATTTATTCACCTATTGTAGATTTTAATTACTTGCAGTTTTTTGGGATTATGAATAAAGCTTCTACAAGCATTTATGTGCAGGTTTTTGTTTGAACATAAGTTTTGAACTTAATTTGGCTAATATCTATGAGCACAATTACAGGATCTTATGGTAAGACTATATCTAGCTTTGTAAGAAACGGCCAAATTGTCTTCCAAGATGACTGTACCATTTGCATTCTTATTAGTAATGAAAGAGATTTCCTATTGCTTTGATTTATTCCCAGAATTTGGTATCATCAAATTTTTGGGTTACAGCCATCATAATAGATATGTAGTGCTATCTTATTATTGGAGTTTTAATATGCAATTCCATCATGGCATGTGATGTGGAGTAGTTTCATATACCTGTTTGCTATCTGTATATATTAATTTGTGAAGTGTCTGATTAGATGTTTTGTCTATTTCTCAATTGGATTATTTATTTTTATTATTGAGTTATAAAAGTATTTTGTATATTTTTATACAAATCCTTTATATGTGTTTGCAATTTTTTTTCTACCAGGGTGTGACTAGCCTCTTAATTGTCATTACAGTGTCTATCACAGAGCAGAATATTTCAACTTCAACAACTCTTCACATCATCGCTTTTTCTTTCATAGACTGTGACTTCAGTTTTGTATTTAACATCACATTAGCTAAACAAAAATCATATGTTTTTGCCTAGGTTTTCTTCTGGGAGTTTTATAGTGTTATGTTTTACAATTAGTTCTATGATGTACTTTGGACTATTGTTTCTGAAAGGTATGAGATCTTTCATCTATCCCTAGGTTTACTTTTTGGCAGGTGATGTCTAATTTTTCCTGACCACTTGGTAAAATGACATTCATTTCTCCACTGGATTGCCCTTGCTTCTTTGCCAATGACCAGTTCACTACGTTTGTGTGATTCTAGTTAAGGGCTTGCTTCCATTAATCTATGTGTCTATTCCTTGCATCAAAACCATAGTATCTCGATTACAATAGATTTACAGTAATTCTAGAAATCAGGTAGTGTCAGTTCTACAGCTTTGCTTTTTTTTTTTATTTTTTATTTTTTGGTTTGTTGTGGATTATTCTGGGGCTCCTGTCTTTTCATGTAAACATTTGAACCAGTTTGTCAATATGCACAGGATAACTCACTTGGATTTCTACTGGAATTATATTAAATCTGTAAATCAATTGAAAAATAATTGTCAAAAGTGTGGCGCCAGATACCGCGGTTGAGGTGGATGGAAGGGACCTGCTGCAGGGAGATGAGGAGGCTGCAGGGCAGTGACTGCAGCTCCAGAGCTCCCGGAGTGGCTCTGCGCAGGTACTTCTGCCCCAGAGAGGACAAATATGAATACCCAGACAACAGTCTCATCTGTCTTTTTGCTATATGTGAGTCAAGGCAACAGGAAAACACTGTGGGGCATCGAGCTGTGGTGGGTGCAAGGGCTTCTTCAGATGCAGCATATGCAAGAGTAACGTTTATTCTTGCAGGTTCCGTCGGCAATGTTTTGTTGACAAGGCCAAAAGAAATCAATGTAGATACAGTCAATTAAGAAAGTGTTTTAGAGCAGGAATGGAAAAAGAAGTTGTGCATAATGAATGCAATAGAACAAGCACCAGAAGAAGCACATGTGATGGCAGCAATATCCCCTCCATTAACACACTGGCACAAGCTGAAGTTCTGTCTTGCCAGATCTCAGTCTCAAGCCTTGGGGCAAGTACTGATATACATGTTAAAAAAAATAAAATAAAAGTGTTGGTGATGTCTGTGAATTTCTGAAACAGCAGCTCTTAGTCTTGGTGGAATGGGCTAAATATATTCCTGCCTTCTGTCAGTTACCATTGGATGACAAGGTGGCGCTGTTGAGATATCATGCAGGAGAACACTTAACTGCCTGGAGCTATAAAGAGATCCATGATGTATAAAGATATTTTGCTTTTGGGAAACAACTATATTATTCACTGCAACAGCTGTGAATTTGAGATTAGCAGTGTAATCAGTCGGGTTCTAGTTGAGCTGGTTCAACCATTTCAAGAAATCCAAAAGGCAATTGTATTTTTTGGCCCAGATGTGAAAGGGCTACACTTAAATGGGCTACATAGATCCAATAAACATTAAGAACATGCAATTCCAAGGGCGGATGGGTTTGGAGAACTCCGTCAATGATCCGCACGCAGTATGGCTCCCTGGGGGAGGTTTGGAGAGTTGCTTCTGCTGCTGCCCACACTGCTGCGCATCATTTGGCAAATGATTGAGCAAATATAGTTTGTTTAAAAAACTTTTGCGGTTGACTTAAATTGGCCACCTACTTCAGGAAATGTTAAATGGGGCTTCCAATGATAGTAGTCATCTCCATCATCCAATACATCCACATTCATCTCAAGATCCATTAACTGGACAAACTGTACTTTTAGGTCCCATGTACACACTGGTTCTTATGAAGACCACATCTGAACTCCTGAAACCCCACTCCCTTCCCCACCACAAGGCTTTGCACAAGAAGATTACAGAACAGCTACAAATCAAGCTTCAGTCATTTCACCAGCCTCTCTTCAAACAAAAACAATTGTGAAAATGTGTTTATTTCTGAACAGCACTGCATAAATGTGAAAAGCTGTTTGTCTTGAAACATCTCAAGATAGTACTTTTGGCAAACTCTGATCCAAGGCTTCTTCATGGAACTGTTATAAGACAGTATCCTATGTTCATTCTGTTTGTTGTTGCTACTGTGTGAAACTTTCACATGAAACCAATGTATATTTGAGTTTGAAGATGTTTATATAGTGTATTTGTTCCATCTTCCCTTGCATTCTGCCTGCATCTGTTAAGCCTAATAACACCTTTGATTTGTTTCCTTAATATTGATTGAAATGCATAAGTAATTGCTTTATTGTGATGTGATGCAGAACTAAATGTACTTTTTAAAATTAGAACTGTGGATCAGAAATCTCAGTTTAATATAAACTGAAGGTTTTTTTTCAATAAATTACGAACTTGTTGATTAGAAAAATAAAGCAATTGCTGTAGAATAAGGTATATCTTTTTGAAGAATCTCCTATGGGAGTTCTGTGGCAAAGAAGCATCTCTTTTGTCTACAGTTAAATATGCCTATCCTAAGTTTAGGAAATTATAAAAAGCCATTCCAAGAAAGCATGGATATTTTTTTAAATGTGACTGTCTTTGAAGATTTATGTTAAGCTAAGATATGTTAGTTAAGATACAGGCTAACCAGTAACAAAGAAACTCCTAAAAGATTGACTCCAATTAGACAGACATTTATTTCTTTCTCCTGAAACAATCTAGAAATAATTCTCCATTGACTAGAAATCAGCACATGCCTGCAGCTGGGTCCCAGGGCGGCCAGGAGAATCATCTATAGGTGCAATTTCTGTGTCAGCCAAAGCCATGACACTCCAAGAAAGCTGATCCTGGGGACAAATTAGCTGTCTACCACCAATGTGCCTTATTTAGTCCTTACAACAACACTTTAGGAGAGAGAGTATTATCTCTCTTTTATAAATAAAATAAACGTAAATTGAGGGTTTAAGAACATAACCGAAGTTCATAAATGTAAATCTAGGTCCGGTTGACTTTAATGATTGTGAATTTTTTTTGTGGAATAAAAAATGCAAACTTCTTATTCACAGTGTGTTTTTTAAATATATGCAATTGAGTGGTTATTGGATATTATCTATCATGTTGCCTATAATATATTTACATGTAAGCAATGAGTGTAAATTGTTGCAGTTTTAATAAGAAACAACTTTTGTAGTTTTAACAAGACTTTCTTCTAAAAAAATTAAAAAAATAAAATATTCACCAAGTAGATTTGATGAAAACAAAAACAGATTCAAATAATTGACTTAGAAGACTTTTTGAAATCCAGCAGCTGAGGGATGTACCAATTGTTTAATTCCAGACAGAGGAATATTCTTCACTGAAGCCTTAAACTACTTGATATCATCTCCAAGCTAGAGCTTATTTTAAAACAAATTAATCATGGGCTACCTCATGAGTCAGTGGTTCCTCTCTGGTTGATAGGGAAGACTGGCTGTGTAATTATTAATATCAATGATGTATTTTAGAAAAACTATTCCAAGATGTAAAAGATTGAATTAAATTATCTTTCTCAAGGTCTTTAAGCAGTACTAAGATTATGATGTCATAAATCCCACTTACACTACAAGTAAAAAGATTATATTAATGTTAACTTATTGGCTGCTGAGGTAAAATTAAACTCAATGTAGAAAAATGGTTACTTAAAAGCTATAATTGGTTTAATGAAACCAGTAAAATTTCTTCAAGACCTGCTACCCTTGTGAAACCATAAAAAATATCATTGTTTGATGGGGGTTAACTCTTATTTTTTGAAAACTTACTGTAGTGTCTGCTTCATGAATAATATTTTTTTTTATTTTTATACATACAAATATCCTTTTGCAGGTTTTTGTTGAGTTTGCTGGGCTTTCTCTTAGAAGATATAAAAAATGCCATCTTGTTCCATGCAGACTGCTATAACAAAATACCATAACTTGGGAAGCTTATAAACAACCAAAATGTATTTCTTATTGTTGTCAAAGCTGGGAAGTCCAAGATCAAGGAATTAGAGGAATTGGCAAATTTGATCTCTGACTCATACCTGCCATTTTCTAGCTTTGCCCTGATACATGCAAGAAACAAGGCAGCTTTGCTGGGGTGTCTATTATGAAGACACTAATCCTCATGACTTAATCACTTCCCAAAGGCCCCTAATCACCTTCCAAAGACCTCCTAATAGCATCACCCCAAGGAATAGATTTCAACATATGAAATTTAAAAAACACAAACATTCAGAACATAGCAAATAACTTTAAAATACAAAACATAAAGTTCATTTTTAATGAAACCTCTAATTTATCCATACATGTTTAGCAAACAGCTATGTTTTAGAAATTATTAGTAATGATTTGGCTTCAATAACTATAATTAGGAAATTTGTAATATAATATTTTGTATACTGAACTGTCAAAAATGCTGGATAAAAAGGAACTAATTTTTTGACATATTTTCAAAATATTGATAAGGAAATTTATTCCTTTTATGTAGCATACAACTGTTTTCAGGTAATATGAATGACTAATGTGTTGTGAAATAATGATTCATTTTATAAATGTAAAATTATTTTTATAATTTTGTTGTTGAATATCAAAAATTAGATTTTTAAATGTTAAATTATAGTGAGATTAAAGTATTTCTAAATTGTGATGCCATATTGCTTCACTAAACTTTGTAAATAAAAACAGAAAAAAATTAAAAATAATAATTTTCTTATAGTTAATATTTTTATCTATAAACATAGAATTAATGTCTATTTAGATTCTCTTTGGTTTATTTTATGGTTCTAAAATATTCTACATATATATTCTTTACCTATTTCATTAAAGACATACCTACATTTTTTTGTGCTGTGTATTGCTATACCATGATACACCACGGTAATGATAATACAAGTCTAAAATTGCTATATTAATTTCAGATAGAGTAAACCTCAGAACCAAAAATAATTATGAGGAATGCAGAGGGGAATTACTAAATGATAAAGGAGTCAAGTCGATGATTTGCAGTGTGGCATAATATTTTAAGGACATAATATTTTAACCTATATTTTCTTGGAGGCTATCTTTTCCAGTTTAAACTATTACAGATTGTATTCTGGAACACTAACATGGTATATGAAGATTACCAAAGGATGAGTATATTGATAATTTAATCTAATTTATTATCTATATCATATTATTAATCAAATAATTAACATATAGTCTTAATAGTGTGGGGAGCTACGCTTACTGAACAGAATTTTAGTGTAATATTAATAAATAGGAGACATTAGATAGAAGCCTTGAAACTTATTAAATTGCCCATTGAATAAGTAAAAAATTCAGAAAATCACTTCATTTTAAATGTTATAGAGCCACCAATATAGTAATTTTGAAAATGTGTGTTGTATTCTACCTAATTCAATTGTAGTTAAAAATGTGTCAAGATATATCTATATTCATATGAAAATTATTTTTGTGAAAATTTGGTGGGATAATAATAAAAATTACTTAGCAGAGTGCCTGATGCTACAGAAGCAAAAAAAAATTTAAAAAAATAAAAGATGTGATTTTTTTTCTTAAGATGCCAGTTGATGTACAGTTACAACTGTAACTGTATTCACAGTATTATTTATCAGTATTAAGTTTATTTGGACCACTCTCTGAATTATGCATGGGTACAACCAGGCTCATTGAGAAACACACTTAGTTGTTTCTACACTTCCCTTTCTCTGGTTCTAGATGTTTTTTTCAGATTGTTGGTTAAATAAAAAATAAGTGGAAAACTAAAATAATAGTGACAGGAGTTATTAGTACAGGTTGCCTTCAAACCAGGAAAGGTATATAAAGCTTAATATTCAAGTTGAAAATCACAGTACAAATCCAGTTATATCATAAGAGTAAAGAACACATTTTACTTAAAAAAATTGGAACATAACATAGTTATGAAAATAGAGTAGCTGTTGTGCCCAAAGTTACCTCCTACAATTGCAATTAAATTGAGCTGTAGTGACATTTGTGATCCCAAATGAACATATAAACATTTTACAATTTCCTACTATGTCTGCTGATATTTCACAATGTACGTTTTAGAAATGTCAGGGAAACCTTCTAAGTTTGAAAACTAGGAAGTACACATTGACCAGCTCCATCTAAAAGAAAGCAAACATATTGTCAAATTGAGTTACTATCTTGTATGTAACGTTTCTGCGGAGTGAGTCTTTGATGAAAGGCTTGAATTTTTTCCTGCATACCTACTACAGAATAATGCATTAAAATCACAAAAGGATGCACACAACGAAGGCTCCATTGCCCTACACACAACAGGTACAGACAGTCCTGTGTGAGATTAAGATTATAATGAAATAATGAAAAACGCTATAAAATGTAGCTCTAATTGTACTCTTTACTTTTGTATAAATGAATTTGGAAAACTTCCCAGACTATTATTGCTTTTATAAGGCAACTTCTGTTTGAAGGGAGTGGCTGAATAAAATAGCTTAGTCTCGTCATCAACACAAAGGCTGAGGACGATGATTTTTTTCTAGGGTTGCCGAAGTATTTTCAAATTTTTTGCACATTTTGTTAGTCCACCTGAAAAACTCTTTGCCTGATATCTTACTCAAAATGGACACCTAAAGGATTCATGATTTCAAAATAGTTTATTAAAAAAGTAATCTGTCATTCAAATCTAAAAATAATGAAATAAATGTTGTGACATAGAGTTAAATAATTCTTCAAAACTTTTTAATTACGTAAATTAAAGGGAACATTATCACTAGTCTTTGACCCTAAATTAGACTTCATTTTTTTTGCCTTGATTCTCGAACATTAGCAAGAAAATGATCAAATCATCTGATAATGTGTTTTGTAGTTCGTATCATCCACATAAAATTTAATTTATACATAAAAATAAGCATAAAAGTTTAGGAACAAATGCATTTGTTTGGCATATTTAAATTTAGCCTAAGTGTTATAAAACAAAACCCTAAGACCATGATAATACTTTCTGGTCAGTTTTGCATTTTTGGCTAGGTTACATTACAAATATTGGATGATCCTCGTTGTAAATATTGGTGAGTAGTTTTTTTTAAATTATCAAATTTAGCCCCATATAATTCCTAGATAAGAAAAAAATATTTACTGTGCCAAAAATATGGAATGCGTTTGTTTTTTTTGCTTAAAAATATTGGTCATAGTTGCCTGAATTTTCTTCACTTTTAAGTATTAAAAGAAGTTTTTTCCTTCCTACAGTGGTTCAGAGACCTGAAAATGAAATGTCGGTTATTTTACACTACTAAGTGAGACTCAAGAATTATGCTGGCTCCAGGTAAGTCAGAGAATAAGAGGTTCGCCTTGAGCATACGTAATAATTTAGGCTTAGCTCCTATGGTCAGTGGTTTACTCCCTCTTGACAGAAAATCTATGAGAAGCTTCCAGGAAGACAAACTCTTTGGATTAAGATCAGAATCCAGACTTTTCACTGAAGACCAGATATACAATTAAATTAAAATGAAAGATACATCAGACCCATAGATATAAAAGATATTAAAAGATATATATATATTAAAGATATATGGAGAGAGAAAGCTTTAGAATCATGGCACAGAGTGACTAATTTATTTAAATAAATTGCTCAGTATATACCTCTAATAAAGTAATTTATGAAATATTATTTTAATTTACAAAGTTCAAATTTATTTCTAAATTGTTTAAAACTTAAAGTGTTATTTTTATGGTACTCAGAAATAGATGTTACTGAAACTAACTGTTATTTCAAATTTTGAAAGAAAACATAAATTTTCCAAAGTGAAACTTTTAGGGAAAAATGTTACATGAGAAATGTATTATGTTACAGTTATGGAAAGAAATGTTGCCAACAATATATAATTTTGCATTATCCACCTATAGAAAAATGCAATGAAGTTTGTATTAAAAATAAATGTTATTGTGTATATTTAATATATACAACATGATGTTATAAAACACACACATATATATATAGTAAAATGGTTACTACATTGTTACAAATTAAATTATCCATCATCTCACAGTTACTAATTAATTTCCCATCCTTTGGCAAAAGCAGCTATAGTCTACTAATTCAGCAAAAATTCTGAATACAACTCTCCATTATTAATTATAGTCCTCATTTTGTACATTAGATCTTTTGACTTGGTCACACTAAGTATTTACTGCTTTTTGTCCTTTGACCCCATTCTTGACACCTCAGCTTAAATGGCAGTCTTTTCTGATCAACCTAAAACACACTCAAAAACACATAGAAAATATTGAGTAGCGCTTCTCCTCTACATGTACTCTCATGATATTCCCTACCACCCCATCACTAGCTCAAATTGCTTCATTATTATTTCCTGCTTACTCATCTGGAACCTTCTCTAGTATCTGAATGTAATGAGGCAAGGAGAGTTTTGACCCTGTTCATCATAATACATAATGTATGCAGCATTAGTGGTTAGCACATAGTAGAACAAAATGTATTTTTTAAACTTTTAAGTTCAGGGGTACTTGTGCAGATTTGTTACATAGGTAAATGTGAATCATGGGGGTCTGTGTTGCAGAAAAAATAATTTGATTGAAAAATAATAGCATTTCAAATTTGAAAGTAAATACTAAATATCTATTTCTACTAAGTATTTTTAAAGAACCCTGGTGTTTAGTCTTGCTTATTTTTGGTATCACATTTTGGTAATCATGATAAATATGTGAATGTTTAACCTTATTCTCTTTTAAAATCACCATATTTGGAAGAATGATGTTCTAAGTAATGATATCATTGTGTCAGCTAATAATGATTAACCAACATTTTGACATTATTCCCAGAAATTCTATTTTTAGTGTTAATTCTTCCAGGAAATACGAAGATAATGTTCACATATTTATTGAAATAAAACATTTTGTAAGTATTTCAAGGTCACAGCCAACAAAAGCAGGAAATCAAAAACAGAGTATCCTACTTACAACCTCCAAACAATTATATCTTATTATTTTGCAGTAAACAAAATAAAACTATAAGAAAGAAAATAAGCTCACTGAAAACATCAAATACCTGTATTTTATAATAAAATTTTGAGCATTCTATTTTTGGGATAACATAATTTAAGTTGCATTATGGAATTCCATTTTCCAACGCATGCAATATCATCTTTACCTTAAATATGTCTAAATAATACAGATAGTTTGAAAGAACAGGGAAATAAGCAAATGAAGGAAAGGAAATATATTAAAAATTATAATAACATTTTGGAGAAATCCCCAAAACAGGCTCCATATGTTACCAGCTGGGAAACTACTTATCTCTTATGTGTTTGTGAATGAGAACATTTTAGCCTTAAATCTATGCAGGCTGGGGAAAAAGACCGAATCTATTTAACAACAACAACAAAAAATCCATCACATTGTTGCTCAATTATATTTTTATCTTAATAGGACTCCATTACTTATTGCCAATGGCTTGAGTATTAGACTTTAACAATATGCCTTCAGCTTTCCATTGCATTTTTTCTTTTTTCTTTCATTCTTCATTTATGTATTTATTTTATACATATATATATTTTATTATACTTTAAGTTCTAGGGTACTTAATCTAAAAATTACCATTTCATTATTTAACTTTTAATTTTCTCATAAAGATTTTTGTTTTAAACTTTCTGAAATTAAACCTAAACTTCCCTTCCTCAATTTATTATCTGTTAGTATATACCAAGCTTGGAGTTTTACAACAGATTCATTTATATTTGGTTTTTCACTCTATAACAACCCTTCATTACTAAAGACACATTTCTTATTAATGATTTTGTATTATTCATCTTGTATCTAGAACCAGAAATACCATTTTACCCAGCAATCCTATTACTGGGTATATACCCAAAGGATTATAAATCATTCTACTATAAAGACACATGCACATGTATGTTTATTGCAGCACTATTTACAATAGCAAAGACTTGGAACTAACCCAAATGCCCATCAGTGATAGAATGGATAAAGAAAATGTGGCAAATATACACCATGGAATACTATGCAGCCATAAGAAAGAATGAGTTCATATCTTTTGCAGGGACATGGATGAAGCTGGAAACCATCATCTTCAGCAAACTAACACAGGAACAGAAAACCAAACACCGCACGTTCTCTCTCATAAGTGAGAGTTGAACGATGAGAACACACGGACACAGGGAGGAGAACATCACACACCATGGCCTGTCAAGGGGTGGGGCCAAGGGGAAGGAGAGCATTAGGACAAATACCTAATGCATGCAGGGTTTAAAACCTAGATGACTGGTTGATGGGTGCAACAAACCACCATGACACATGTATACCTATGTAACAAACCTGCACACTCAGCACATTTCCCAGAACTTAAAGTAAAAAAAAAAAAAAAAAAAAAGGAGACGCATAATAAAAGGCAAAACTGCTGTGTAAAGGCACTTCCAATGTACTGTGTAGATATAGAATTGTAGAATAGATGAGTGAGATACTAAAAGGGAAATTAGTAAATCATGAGAAAGATTTGAACTACATATAATTCCATATAGAAGGAATAAAAAGCAATGTGAAAGAAAAGGTAGACTGCCCATTTAAATGAAGTATTATGAAGAAAGGCTTGAGATAATGAGAAAAATGTTGTATTTAAAGAGAACTTGACAAAGACTTCTCTAGAAAAATCAGAAGTTCTGGTGTCTCAGATGATTAAAATTCAATAAGTTAAGGATAGGATGAATAAAAATAAAACCTTAAATAGACACTTTGTAAAAATCTTGCATTAAAGAGCAAAATAAATAATAAAAAAAACTGCAGAGAAAAGACAGAATAAGTATGAAGTATATACACTGATATTTACAGCAAACTAGAAAACAGAAAAGTAGAAGTTAGGAGGTAATGGAATGAGGGAATATAACCATCAAACAAGAAAATAAGCAAAATAGTTTTTAAAAATTAATGGTATATTCTTGCTGAAAGAACTGCTATAGGGCTGTCTCCAGGAATAAAATTAATTCCCAACACAAAGAATTGATAAATGCTTGAGGTGACAGATACCCCACTTACTCTGATTTGAACATTATACATTATACTCTTATATCAAAACATCATGCATACCTTACAAATACATACAATTATTATGTACCTATAGAAATTTAAAAATAAAAAATAAAAAATAGAACCTAGTAGAAAACAATGTGGTGTGGAAAAAAATTCTGAGCAATTAAATTGATGAGCATATGTATGAACCTGACTAAATATCATTTTTAAAAACAATAATAATATCTACATTTCTGGTTATAAGAATTCTAAAGTGCTACATGGTTCTGCATAATAGTATATATATTGAATAATGATCTGTTTAGTTTAATCAAGTATATATTGTAAATATTGATAAATAGTACTATCCATAAATAACACTAAACATTTATAAATGATTATAGAAATGTCAAGTTGACAAAGAAATAAAGGCAACTTTAAAAATTCAATAGAGTGTGTAAAAGATAGAAAGTAACTTGGTAAGTAGAAAGCACAAAAAGATGGGAAAAATAAATCACAATGCATTAGTTTATTATAAATGTTAAGAGCTTACACAGGATTAAAAACAAAAATTATCAAATCAGTTTACAAAATACAAAAATGAAGTTTTTAAAATAAATTCATGAATATAATGTTTAGATAGATTGAAAGTAAAAATGAAGGCAGGAAATATATATCAGAAAAATTTGAATCAAAATAGTTTTCAAAGATTTAGTATATAGTATTAAAAGACAAAATTGGCCTTAAGCAAAACAGATATTATAGATAAAGAAAGATATTGAACAAGGATAAAATACAGGATTTCTTCAAGTAGATGGGCCTCAACTTGGGAAAAAGATAAAAAGTCTACAATCCCTGAAGTTGATTCTATTTCAACTATATCAGTAGTTGGTAGCCTAGAACAAGCAAAAATAATTATAAGTAAACTCATTACTTATGTAATGAAATTAGTATCCATAATAATCAGTCTAGTTGCAGTACAAGTGTATAAAACACTTGACAAATAATTGATCAATTCTAGCTTATTATATAGATTATATACACACTGAAGAAAAGAATATCCATTCCATTTTTCCAGCTTTATTTAGGTATATGTGACAAAGATTGTCTATACTGAAAGTATACAGGTGACATTTTGGTTTAAATACACATTGTGAAATGATTACCACAATGAAGCCCATTAACGTATCTATGACTTCACACAGTTATCTGTTTTTGTATGTGTGTGTAAGAACACTTAAGGTGTAATGCATTAGTAAATTTCAAGTATAGAATGCATTATTGTTAAGTATAGTCATCATGCTGTATATTAAGTTCCCAGAATCTGTTCATCCTATAAGCAAAAATTTATGCACTTTGACCAGTTTCTTCCCATTTCCACCAATCTTCAGCCTCCGGTTATCACCATTCTAATCTCTATTTGTATGAGTTCAACTTTTTTAGGTGGTGCATGTAAATGAGACCATCCAGTATGTGTTTTTCTGCATCTGGCTTATTCCATTTATCATAATATTTTCCAGGATCATCGATTTTTTTGTAAATGGTATTTTTAAGGCTATATGCTATTCTATTTTATATCTAATATAAATGTATTTTTGCATTTTCTTTATTCATCTTTCTGCAGATACTTGGCTGTTTCTATATCTTGGATAATGTGAATAGTGCTGCAATACGTCTTACAAATGGTTACTTTATTTCTTTGGATATGTACCCAGAAGTAGGATTATTGAATTATATGGTAGTATTTCTTTTAATTTTTTGAGGAACTTCCATACTGTTTTCTGTAGTGCTACACCAATTTACCTTATCACCAACAGTGAATAAGACTTCTCTTTTTTCTACATCCTCACCATACCTCTACATCTTGGGCATTTTGATAATAGCCATTCTAACAGATGTGAGGCAATATCTCATATTTCATTGTAGGTTTGATTTGCATTTCCCTGATGATTAGTGGTACTGTACATATACCTGATGGCCATTTGTATGTCTTCTTTGAGTAATATATTCAGGTTCTTAACCCATTTTTAAAAACTAGATCCCTTGGGCCGGGCATGGTGGCTCACGCCTATAATCCCAGCACTTTGGGAGGCCAAAGCGGATGGATCACAAGGTCAGGAGATCGAGACCATCCTAGCTAACACAGTGAAACCCCGTCTCTACTAAAAATACAAAAAAATTAGCCAGGTGTGGTGGTGGGCAGCTGTAATCCCCAGCTGCTTGGGAGGCTGAGGCAGGAGAATGGAGTGAACCTGGGAGGCAGAGCTTGCAGTGAGCCCAGATTGTGCCACTGCACTCCAGCCTGGGCGAAGAGCAAGACTCCATCTAAAATAAATAAATAAATAAATAAATAAAACTAGATTTTTTTTTTTAGCTTCTGAGTTGTTTGATTTCCTTATGTATTTCTGATATTTATACCTTAAAGCATTTGACAAAATTAAATGTCCATTTGTGACTAAAGCTCTCAGCAAATTAGGTATACAAAGAATGTACCTCAACACAATAAATGGCACCTATGACAAGTCCACAGTTAAAATCACATTTAATTTAGGAAAGATAAAAGCATTTTCTCAAGGATCAGAAATAAAATATGAATGCCCCCTTTCACTACTTCCATGCAACATAGTATGTAAAATCTTAGCTGGAAAAAATTAGGCAAGAGAAAAAAATTAAAGGCATCCAAATCAGAAAGAAAAAACAAATACTGTCTCTGTCTCCAGATGACATAACCTTATATGTAGAAAAATCCTAAAGACTCCACCAAAAAACTGTTAGAATAAAGAAACTCAATAAAGTTGCTATATACATGACCAATGCAAAAAAAAAAAAAAAGTTACATTTCTATACACTAACAAATAATCTGAAAATAATTTTAAAAATATTATTTTTTAAAAAATATTTAGGAATGAATTTAAGCAAGGCAGTGAATAATTTGCACACTGAAGATGATAAAACACTGATGAAAGAAATTGGCCATGTGTGGTGGCTCACGCCTGTAATCCCAGAACTTTGGGAAGCTGAGGTGGGTGGATCACGTGGTCAGGAGATTGAGACCATCCTGGCTAACACGGTGAAACCCCATCTCTACTAAAAATACAAAAAAATTAGCCGGGCGTGGTGGCGGGTCCCTGTAGTCCCAGCTACTCGGGAGGCTGAGGCAGGAGAATGGCGTGAACCTGGGAGGTGGAGCTTGCAGTGAACCAAGATGGAGTCACTGCACTCCAGCCTGGGCGACACAGCGAGACCCCGTCTCAAAAAAAAAAAAAACAACAACAAAGAAATTGCAGAAGACACAAATAAATGGAAAGATATCTTATGTTCATAAACTGGAAAAATTAATATGTCAAAATGTCCCTACTACCAAAAGCAATCTACAGATTCAATACAATCCTCATCAAAATTTCAATATGTTTGCTAAAAAAATTACAAAAGACCACAAATAACTCAAGCAATTTTGAGCAAGAAGAATAAAGATGATGGCATCACACTTTGATTTCAAATTATAATACAAAGCTATTGTAACTAAAACAATATGGCAAAAGCATAAAAGCAGACACATAAGCTACTGGAACAGAATAATGAACTCAGAAACAAATATGACACTTACATGATCATCTATTTATTGACAGATTTTCCAAGAATACACAATGAGAAAACAGTAGTCTCTTTCACACATGGTACTGAAAAAAACTGGACATCTACATGCGAACAAATACTAATTTTTCCATTATTTTCTGACACATATTTAGCATTTATAGAGCATGTTCACTTTTTATTTGTATTTATGTAAAAATAAAAATTGCATGATATCAGAGATATCTATTCCGAATAAAATACAACAATAATGAAATTTTTAAAATAGAATAATGTTAGTTTCTAAAAAACTATTAATTGAGAGGTTAAGTCCCTAATAAAAATTAGAGAATTTTTAGATCAGAGTGACTAAAATGTCACTAAATATTAAAACTTCCGATTGTCACTAAGAAAATAATTACTTTGAGTGTTTAGGGATCAAATCATATAAAAAGAAATAAAAAACTGAAAGTTAATAATTCACACATAAAGCTCAAGAATATTAAGAAAAATATATTAATCCCAAATAAAGACAAAGTATGAGAAAAAAAGTTGAAGAAAACAAAACAAAAATAAAGCCAAAAGCATATGCTTTAAACAGATTAATACAATAGGAAACTCATCAATTAAGAAACAATGCCAAAACAAATATTTTTTAAAAGTTTATACTGGAAAATGATAATAACACATGATATAAAAATATGAATATCTTTCTGTATATTCAGGAATACTTTATATACATACATATATATGTATTTACAAAATATATATAACTACATTTACAAAATGTGAAAATGTGAATGCTTTGAAGAAATAGAAAATTTTCTAGTAAGATATAACTATAGTCATATTTAGTTCATTGAAATTTGAACACATAACCTTTCATTGACAGTAATTAGAATTTACCTACCCTCCAAAATACAAAAACAAACTAATATACTACTTTTTGATATGTTTAAAATAGTCTTTTATTGCAAGAAAAGGTAATCATAATTTTTACAACATTCTAAGGAATTCTAAGGAATGTTTAAAAACACTAAAAATCACATCAATGTCACAGTGTCTATATAACAAATCAAAATCTAAGTATTTGCACAGTGCTTAGTGTAAAAACACAGTGCAAACAATTTGCGATTGTTTCAGAAGTACAAATGTTATTAAACTTTAGAACAACTTTTAATATAGTTATCAATTTAATACCTTAAGAAAATAAAAGTTTTAAAACATCTCAATGCACAAAGATTATTTTACAAAACTCCACTTCAATTTATGATTATATCTCTGGGAAAACAAAGAATATATAGTAAATCTACCCAAACTTTTATAATGTGGTATCATGAATGGTAAATTCTTAAAATTTTCTTTATATTTAAAGCAAATGCCAAAAATGTGCTCCATAATGATTCCAATTGAAATGTAGTTTCTTACTAGCACTATATAAGAGAGAATAGTAATCAACTTTTAAATGTGTGTTGTTTTTTTTTTACTATGTGGAGAGGGATAAAACTTAATATTCATAAATTTATTATATTGTACATTGACTATCAAACAAATATAGATTTAAGGATTAGAATGTCTAAGAGAATCCAGCAGGGTTTCTAGGTACAGTATGAATGAACAACATTTAATGAATTCTATACATGAATAAATAATCAAATACTTATATTTTATGGGATCCAATTAACAAAATAGCACATAACAAGACACACTGTATGGTAGAAGTAAGTACAGAACGTTCTATATTTGTAAAAAGAAATTCAATATATTCAATATGGCAGCTTCATTCATATGTTTTTAGAATAACAACATAATCTTTCATAAAGATTCTACAGGGTTCTTCGCAAACTTTTTTTAATCAACATGAGTACATTTTCCAAAAAGGCTAAGATAATTTTGAAAATTAAAGGCAATAAATGTGTGATGTGCACACAGGTAATAACATGCTATAATGATGTAGTAACTTGTATGTGTTCTATTGGTTTAGTGATACAGCCTATACCAAAGACATAGAAGACAGAGGCAGGGGACAGACCCTTATTAATTTGGTACATAAGGTATCAGTGGAGAAAGGTTGACTCTTAATAAACGGTTCTTAATAAATAGTTTCAGGTCAAATAGCAATCATAATAAGAATATATATAGAGAGAGACCACATGTCAGTTGGGTAAAAATGCTAATATATTAAAATGTAAATATAAACAATAAAATCAATTCAACAGAAATAGAGACCATGTACTCCATTCATTGAAAATATATATGCCCTAAACCATACACAAATATCAGGCAGTTAAAGGAAAATGTACATCTTAATTCATTCTATATAGCAATATTATTTATTTATTCTTATTTTTATATTTTTATTTTATTTTATTTTATTTTATTTTATTATTTTATTTTATTTTTGAGACAGAGTCTCCCTCTGTCACCCAAGCTGGAGTGCAGTGGCACAAGCTCAGTTCATTGCAACCTCCACCTCCCAGGTTCAAGCAATTCTCCTGCCTCAGCCTCCCAAGCAGCTGGGATTATAGGTGCCCGCCACCATGCCCGGCTAATTTTTGTATTTTTAGTAGAGACGGGGTTTCACCATGTTGGCCAGGCTTGTATCGAACTCCTGACCTCAGGCGATCCACCTGCCGTGGCCTCCCAAAGTGCTGGGATTACAGGTGTGAGCCACCTTGTCTGGCCCTATACAGCAATACTATAAAGAATGTTCAAGACAAACCTTTGACTAAGTCAATGTGTTTGAAAAAATTTCAATCACAAAAATAGTAACTATGGTATAGACTGTAGCATTTTGAATAATCAAGAAAACCTGCTGGACATAGTGGCATGTGCCTCTAATCCCAACTACTCGGAAGGCTGAGGCCTGAGCATCACTAGAACCTCAAAGGTGGAGGTTGCAGTGAGCCAAGATTGCGCTACTGCCCTCCACCCTGCGCAGCAGAGCAAGACTGTATCTCAAAAAAGAAAAAAAAGAAAAAAAACCACAACCATTTGAAATACAGACACTAAATTGGAGGAGGTGATTTTAAAAGTTGAATTCCAAAGTACTAATACAGTTATGAAATCATGCCTAAAATAATAAAATCTCAAATAATTAGGGAAATGGAAATTCTAAAAGAATAAAATTCAAGTTTTACATCCAAGAGACTGGAAAAAGTAATGAATTGTGACATTAATTGTTGGTGATTACTGTTGAGAATGTCAACTGTTATACCTACTTAGCCATCTGGCAATTCCTAGAAAATGTGAAGATAGTTATCTTACACGATCTATTAATTTTACATCTGATAACTGCACAATGGAGAAACTCTCATGCATATATAAGGATACACATAAAAGTGCTTTCTGTATTGTTAAAAGAAAAAGTGCGCCGGGCGCGGTGGCTCACGCCTGTAATCCCAGCACTCTGGGAGGCCGAGGCGGGTGGATCACGAGGTCAGGAGATCGAGACCATCCTAGCTACACAGTGAAACCCTGTCTCTACTAAAAATGCAAAAAAAAAAAAAAAAAAAAACAACAATTAGCCGGGCGCGGTGGTGGGAACCTGTAGTCCCAGCTACTCAGGAGGCTGAGGCAGGAGAATGGCGTGAACCCGGGAGGCGGAGTTTGCAGTGAGCCAAGATCGTGCCACTGCACTCCAATCTGGGTGACAGAGCGAGACTCCATCTCAAAAAAAAAAAAAAAAAAGAAAGAAAGAAAAAAGAAAAAGTGCTAGGAAAACAAGTCCTTAGTATATGATGAAACACAGCAGTTATTAATATGTTCATTGTATGATACGTAATGTTTAAATCAGTGGTGTATATATACATGTATCAATATGAGTTTTATTTCATAATAATTTTGAGCAATAAATGAAATTTATAAAAAGGCTATAAAATATAATACAGTATAATAGAAGTGTTATAAATTTTATGACACAGGAAACAGTAGGACATACTGGAGACATAATTTTTGTATTTATAAAGAACTAATGTTAATTAGAAGGAAAAACTTACACTTCAGAATAATAGTAACTTGTATTGGAAAAATAAAGGGGAGTGATAGGTCTGTTCATAGCTGTATCTGTTACAACTTATTCTTTGAAAATTACAGTACTGTAGCAAATGTGGCAAAATGTTAACATCAACTATATATCTATACATATATACATATATATATAAAGAGAATACATTTATCTGTTACATATCTTTTGAGCTTTCCACATATTCAGTACATTTCACAACTTGAAAAAAGTGGAATATGATGGCACACATCTTCATGTTGTTGTATTCCTTGAATATAATCTTGTGTATTGTTCAACTAAAATAAAAGAAAGAAATATCCTATAAAATCCAACCCATCAATGAACTTATTCCACAATATTAAATTTGATACTGAGAGCATAAATTCCTAGACCCCAGAAAAATTAATGTGAAAAGTCCAAACATATTAATTTTAAAAATTAATTTGAAACTCATGCCCGTTCCCCAGTTCAAAGACATTCTCAGAGCATTGAAATCACCTTAATTGCAATTTTCAAATAAGAACTAAATGAATTACAGTATATCAAAATGATATAATACTATGCAGCTTCCTCACCCTGAATAGAAAAAAACCTTCTCACGTTGTAGTAATTCTCACAATATACTGAAATTTTGTTTTAAAAAAGGCAAGGTGCAAAATAATATTTTGTATATGTTATCACTTTAAGTAATTTCATATTAACTGAGAAATAAACTATAAAAATAGGTATGCAACTTGGTTTATTTTATTAACATTTTATTGAAGCCTGACTACTTGAGTATGAAAAAAATATGAGATATGTTGAAGCATGCAACCATCTGCTATTGAAAATCTATCTTTGCTTGGTAATTTCCTGGTGTCAAAGTCTCTGGTGATATACTAAATTATAGGAGATCTGAAGTATGGAGATTTAACAACTCTCTAATTAAAACTGCAGCATTTGTGCAACAGATGAAGACTATTTCAGAATAAATTAATATCAATAAAAACCAAGAAACTAGCCGGGGTGTTTTGTGGGAAGCTGCCAGAGCAGTCATGAGGGGTGGAATAATTTGTTTCATGGCAATAGCAACACAAAAAGTATACATTGACTACCAGTGGCAAATTAGAAGAAGTTAATGAGATGTAAAAAGCAACATAAAAAAACAGGTATACTAGGACTCTCCAACTTCTGCTTAAACAGAGAAACTAAATTCTTTGTGGTGAATAACACAGACAATGTGTTAAAGCTTAATGAACAAATGCACTATCAAAGGGAAAGAAATGTAACAACTTATTTGCATATGATTAGAATGCAAACAGCAGGGAAAATGTATCTAATAAGTAGAGCCTTTTTACTTCTTAAATGCTGAATATCGATAAATATTTTGGAAATTTGGCATATAGTAAATCCATGCATGCTGAAAATTATTCACAAAGAAAGTTCATGTATGAATGCACATAGATTAAAAGATAATTTGTTTCATCTCAGACTTTGTGAAATATAATGAAATACTGAATTACGTACTTTGTTTCAAAAACATTACTATGAATTGAATATGTAGATTTAAAAAAATTGCTTGTAGTAAAGTGATACCTTGGAAACTAAACATGAATCTTGCACTATAAAAAATTTAAAATTGATGATGGGCTGATAAATTTAATTTTCTCAGTGCTTTGTTTCCTGACTGACATTTCATGAATAAATATATTTAAGTGAATACGTGCACTTAAAATAAGCAATTAATACATTAGTTAACAGCAGAATTTTAAAGATTGCCTATGAAAACTGTCATAGAGAAGCATTACGACAAGGAATTTAACATAGCTTCTTTTCATAATGTAACTGAAAAACCTCTTAGTGTTTATAAAAAGTGGTGAAACAACGTGGATGGAACTGAAGAATATGGTGTTTAACGAATAAGCCAGGCCCAGAAAGGCAAACTTTGCATGTTCTCATTAATTTGTGAGCTCTAAAAATAAAAACAATTGAATTAATAGAGATGGAGAATAGAATGATGACTACAAGAGGCTGAGAAGGGTAGTGGGGGATGGAGGTTGGGGGAGTGGGGATTGTGAATGGATACAAAAATACATTAGACAGAATGAGTAGGATCTCAACAGGGTAACTACAGTCAACAAAAATTTATTGTACATTTAAAAATAACTAAATGGGACAGGCACGGTGGCTCATGCCTGCAATCTCAGCAGTTTGGGAGGCCGAAGCAGGAGGATTGCTTGAGACCAGGAGTTGAAAACCAGCCTGGCCAACATGCTGAAACCCCATCTCTACTAAAAATACAAAAAAATTAGCCTGGGTGTGGTGGTGCAGGCCTATAATCCCAGCTACTCAAGAGGCTGAGGCAGGAGAATCACTTGAACTTGAAGGCAAAGTTTGCAGTGAGCTGAGATCACACCACTGCAGTCCAGCCTAGGTGACAGAGTGAGACTCTGTCTCAAAATAATAATAATAATAATAATAATAATAATAGTAAAATAAGGGTATAATTGAAATGTTTGTAACACAAAGAAAGGCTAAATGCTTGATGCCGCATTTATCCAGATGTGATTATTACATATTATATGTCTATATCAAAATATCTTATATACCTCATAAATATATATGCCTACTATGTACCTACAAAAATTAAAAATTAAATTTAAAAAATATTAGATATAATATGGAGGATCTAGTGCTCTTTCACATTCTTTAACTAAAAGGTAAATTCCTTTAAAATAGCACTCAAGAGACTTTGTCTTTTGGCAACAGTAGGCAAAGGCACAGAGAGTTATCATGGCAGTGAATAATTATGAGGCCAGTCAACTGAGTAAAAATGGACAACTAATTGGTTGAAATATTCTAATATGTGAGACAGTGGCATTTATATTTAAACATTGCTTGCAAGTTATCAAGTTTTGCAAAAATGTATATCCTTCACATTAGCAGATATGAAATAGTTGAAAAATTACATAAAACACATGCAAAATAAAATAATCTATAACCCGTGGGAATTAAGCACAGCTAAAAGACCAGAAAAGTTTTATTAGAAATTAGAATGAGCAAAAATAATAAGACATTAGAAACTTTATGAAGCAAAAGAGTTCCATTTTTGTTTTCTTTTTCTTATTTGTATTTTTACAGGGGATGGCGGACATCTTATGCATTCAGTACATGATTTTGGACTAATAAATTAATGAAAAGCAAATTGGTATAGTAACAAAGAAAACAAGCTCACTGCACAAAGCAATTGCATGACCTTGGAAAGATTACTTAATTTCTCTATGACTCCATGAATTGGGCTCACCAACAAAAGAATAAAGCAAACATGGACAAATGCTTTTAGTTTTTTTTTTGATAATTAAAGGAATAACTCATTTCAGGAAGTTTAGTTTACCGGATAAAATATATTGTTTAATATTAATTTTTTTTTGACTCTATCTGTTTTCCATTCTTACTTCCAGCATATTAAAATTATATCTTTGGGATAGAAATTTTCTGAATGCTGCTTCTGTCAAAATTCATTGTTTTAAATTACAGTCATTTTTTTCTTCTTACCTCTAACAGCACCTATTGCCATACAGAGTCTGGAACTGAGATTTGGTTCTGAGTGATATAGAGAATTAAGAGAGATAGGGCTTTAGTGATGATAAAAGTTTCAAGTAAATTATTGAATTTTAAATAAATAGTTTAACACAAATTGTTTTTAGCAGTAATTCTTATCAATTTTATATAAAAAAACAAAAACCACCACTCTAGTTTGTCTTATTACAAATTATCCGATGATTTTGTTCTTCTCTCTTTTTATAAAGAGAGTAAATTTTATAGCTGTTTTTCTAAACCACTTACAGGTTTTTAACAAGTCTTATAATTTTGTGCTTAATCTTTAGAACATTTAATTAGTAAAAAGAAAATCTGCTTTTTGAGTTTAAGACTAAAATCTTTTGACTTCGCGTTAAAAAAAATTTCCCTGAATTTCCAATTTGTTTATACTTTTAAAAGTCAACTTGCTTTTCATTATAAAATGCTTATTTTTTATGTATCTTACAAGTGTGTTTTAAAATTATTACCTTGTTGAAAACCAGATTAAGTATATTTTTAAATAAACCTTTAAAAAATTTTGGAAGGCTTATATATACAGAGAATTTATGAAGAGAGTTTCCATAACTCCCACACCCATTTTCCCTTATTATAAACATCTTCCATTAGTTTGGTACATTTATCACAATTGACAACTAATTAGCTAAAATATATAACCAGTTTTCCATAGTTTCTACATACCTTTGTTGGTTTGTTTGTTTATTTCGAAATTTCATCTGGGATATCACATTACATTTTATTTTATTTATTTATTATTTTTTATTTTTTGAGAAAGAGTCTCGCTCTGTCGCCCAGGTTGGAGTGCAGTGGCGCAATCTCGGCTCACTGCAAGCTCCGCCTCCCGGGTTCACGCCATCCTCCTGGCTCAGCCTCCTGAGTAGCTGGGACTACAGGCGCCCGCCACCGCGCCCGGCTAATTTTTTGTATTTGTAGTAGAGACAGGGTTTTACCGTGTTAGCCAGGATGGTTTCGATCTCCTGACCTCGTGATCCGCCCACCTCGGCCTCCCAAAGTGCTGGGATTACAGGCGTGAGCCACCGCGCCCGGCCCACATTACATTTTAGATGTCATGTGTGCTTAGGATTCTCTTGGCTGTGACAGTTTCTCGACTTTCATTGGTTTTGTTAAACTTAACACTTTTGATGAGTACTGGCCACTATTTTATAGGATATTCTTTAACTGAAATTTTTTCGGATGTGTTTTTGACACAGGATATGTTTGGTGCCTCTTTGCCAGCCAGAAATCTCTGCGGCCCCCAGGACCTCTTCTGGGGCTTTGCTCAGGCCCACTGGGCTTGCTCTGCACACTCTGCTGGGCAGGCTGTGCTCAGCTCGTGCTATCTGCCTGGATCCCTTGCCCATCAGGCCTCTGTTCTCAGGCCCAGTCCAGGTGTGCCGCCTTGAACATCTTCTGTCTACCTTGAGTGTTGGCGTCTGGACTGGGGGGACACAGTGGTGCCCAAAAACTCGGAGATGCCAGTAACTGCAGGGCCCCAAGGGGTGTTACAGCTTTTGTTCAGGGAGTCCCAAGATCTGAGCCCCAGAGAAGTGTTACAGCTTATGTTCATTCCTTCTGCCTGCAGCTTCAGAGGACAGGGATATGTCATAACTCCTTTAGTCCCACCGCCCAAAGCTTGGTGAATGGGAGCATGTGGCACCCAGTGGCTTTTTCTCCCAAGTTGCTCATTGAGTGGGAGGGAGGATTACAGTGTTACAGCTCTTTTTGCACAGGCTGTTCAGAGGGTTCCAGGTTCTTGTCCCACGTCCAAGAGGAATGAGGTACTTGGACACCAGAGAGGGAGCAAAGTGAAGAAGTGTTTTATTGAGTGACAGACATAAGAGCTCTCCACATGAGAAGGGACCCAAAGTGGATAGCCCTCTGTGAGAGAGGGGGATCAGAAAGCGGGTAACCCAAGATGTGGCTGAGTCAAGGTTTTTATGGGCTCAGAATGGGAGAGTTTATGCTGATCGGTCCATGGGCAGGCTTGGAAAAAGCACTAATTGATTGGTTAAAAGGCGTCAAGGAAGTTCTCATTCTAGTGGTGGACTCTACAGAGAAGGGGCAGTTCAGTTTTCAGGCTTCAGGCTTTAAATTGTCTTTGGTTTGAAGGTCAGGTCTCACTGGGGACCAGCCCTTGTCTGCCTAGGAATTTGTCTCCTGCTGCTATCATTTTCACATGATTGAACTGGAATTACAGATATTTGGAAGGAAGGCTGCAGACAAAAAGTGTCATTCTCATCACATCATATTATCTCAAGGGTATATACAATCAACATAATTTATTATATTTATCAGGTTTCTCCACTAGAAAGCTGTATTTCCCCCTCTTCCTATATGGCACTGTTTACAAAGAAGATAACAACTGCAGGCCACACTTAAGAGTGGTAGTTATGCACCACCTTCTTGAGAGCAGAATACCTGCATATGTTATTCAGAAATCTTCTGCAAGAGAGATTTGTCTCACGTCCTCTATTTATTTATTTAATCAGCTATTGATATCAGTTTGGACATGGACGCATGGGTATTTTGTACATTAGGCTATTACCGTGTTCCGCAAAATATTTCAACTTTGTAAATTCTCTCAGTTGGCTCCTGTGTTCCTTTGCTGTAACCCTCATCTCTGAGAGTTGTTTGGTTTGTTTGATTGTTTTTAACACTTCTTTCTGGCAGCATGTGATGCCTCAGATTTCTGCTGTATATATCCTGCTCCAGAACTATAATCATTTATTTATCTAAGGAGCTTTGGTTGTTTATATTGAGAAAAGGTATTAAAAACCAAGATTTGTACACAAAGTGTAATTTTATTATCTTACCCGAGTTAATTTCTTTTGCCTCTAGTGACCTTTTTCATTCTCTGTTCTCTGTGACTTCAATTATTTAATATTCAACTGTTATTATCTATTGAGATTATAAACATTTGAATCAGTAAAACAATAATCTTATATTTACTAAGTACTGCTGCATACAATTGAAGAAACTGTGCTTTATTTAAATGAGCTTCAAGTACAATTAAGAGCTTAAGACAAATTCCTTCTCTTCATTTTAATAGATTCAATGTTTTAGAGTGAGCCTCTATTTTCTTACTTACACATGTATATCAAAAGACTTTAAGAGCTAGTATTTCTGTTCCCAAATTTTCTGCACTGAATGCAAGCAGAACTCTATTGTTGAGTCCAGATTCCTAAAGTATTATGATTAATGTGTAACATTAATCAAAGTTTAAAAGTGACTTCTAGTTTAAGTAGTATCTTCTTAACACCTGTTGCTTTAACTTCTACCAATTTCCTACTAAAATAAAAAATAAATTGCTGAAATATAAGCAATATAAAAACTCACAGATAAACCTGAATAATTAAAATATACATACAATGTTAAAATACAAGATGAATCTTCACTAAGTATTAAGGCATGGAAGAGAAGTTAAAAATAAAACAATTTTTTATTTTGTATTCAAATAAAAGATATATAATAACTTTACAATTCTCTCCCTCCTTAATAAGACAAAAATTATGATGTGTTGTCCATGGAAGTTCTATTGTTTCTTCATCAGTTGTGCTCATATTTCTTTCTAAACCTTTTTTTCATTTTATCTACTTTCATTCATTTATTGTTTCTATTTTAATTAACAGCTCAAATTGCGTTTCCTTGAGATTTGCCAGAGTATTTTCCCTAAAAGAATAAGCTAAATATTTTGTACTATATTATTCTAAATATTTCCTTAAATGTATATAATACAATCCAAAATTATCATGCTTACTTAGTACCTTTATTCTTCTACTAGATTGCAAATTCACTGAAGAAAGAGCGTCTATCTTATTCACTATGATATTCCTCATATATCAATGTATACCTGGTATAACTAATAAGTGAATAAACAAAGTAAAAGATAAGAATCTAAATATTAAACAGCATTCAAAAATAATTAAAATTATTTATGCATTAATATCAGGGACCAGTTATAAGGTACTCACTGTGATCAGTTTAATGTGTGCAAATTTACCCTTAGTAGGATCTCTTTGACTAAAAATGTCAATCACTTTCTACACTTCCAGCAATGGTTAAGCTTTGAAACAAAAAAATTGATCCCAGAAAATCCTTCATTGTAAAAGGTAGATTTCATACTTCAAATGATTTTTAACTTTTACTTAATGTCATTCCCCTATATAGATTTACAGTTGATATTATCAAAAGTAAATTTGAGACTTCATTTAATAAGTACATTTATTTAATTTTGTGTTTCCTAAGAATTCTCAAATATATTCAATCATGAACTGTTTTTCTTGCTTTAAGTATTGACTGTAATTCTCACCAAGAAAATGTATTCCAGAATATGAAGGAGACTTCTTAAGATGAAGGCTTCGTACTTATGTATTGATTTTTTAATTCAATGTAATTTTTTGCACCTGTTTCTTTTGAAATTTACCTTATAGTTTCAAGTAGTCCTGTTTATTAGCATTTTTAATTTTGTAATCCATCACACATTGCTATCCTTCTCAAATCTATACATCTAGCAAAATTGAGCAGTATATTGTATTTAGCTTATTGAGAATATTATTTAGTGGGAAGCTACAAACGACAACAACAAAACAACGGTCAAATGGCATACCAATAGAGAGTTTCCTCCAGGCCTAATTAATTTATTAATCATGAGGAAACTATTTTCTCAGGTCCAGAAACAGCTTTTTTTTTTTTTCTGTAATAAGGCCCTGGTTTCCAATCAATGGACCCTGTCATAAAAATGGCAATAGCTTTTTTCTTTGACGTATTTTTCATGAACCATAGTAATTTTTTTTTTTTTTTTTTTTTTTTTTTTTGAGACGGAGTCTCGCTCTGTCGCCCAGGCTGGAGTTCAGTGGCGCAGTCTTGGCTCACTGAAAGCTCTGCCTCCTGTATTCACGCCATTCTCCTCTCTCAGCCTCCTGAGTAGCTGGGACTACAGGCGCCCACCACCATGCCCGACTAATTTTTCTTGTATTTTTAGTAAAGATGGGGTTTCACCGTGTTAGCCAGGATGGTCTCAATCTCCTGACCTCGTGATCCGCCTGCCTCGGCCTCCCAAAGTGCTGGGATTACAGGCGTGAGCCACCGTGCCCGGCCAAACCATAGTAAGTTTTAACCCTAGTGATATTGTCTTTTTCTAGATACCCAATTACCATCGTTTTAGAAAAAATATAGTTAAAACTTTTCTGTTCACAAATATCAGTTTCAAGGCCACACTCACCAGATGTCTACTTGAGTGCAGCATTTAATTGAGAATTTCATTTCTGTAAATAGCACCGTCATTCACTTAGTTAGAAACTGTGCTTCATTATACCTTATTCCCTTTAAATTATGTTCTATATGATTTTGCTTTTTTCTCCATTTGTCCAAGTCATGATTTTTCTTCAAGTTTCTGCTTAAGTATCACCTCCTTGCTGATTTTCCAACATTATCTAGATAAGTAAGTAAACACTACTCTGTATCTCATTGCATCTTTGCCTATCTTTATCTGAACTGATAATATTGTATTTCAAAGATTTACATATCTTCTTTCTTATTAAACCATGAATTCCTTTTGGGTCAAGCTTGGGATCTCATTTTTATGAGAACTGACTTTATGCAAACTATTTTACTCAGCATTTTATCTAGTTTACATTATTTGACACAATGATAAATGACATTTTACCTCCATTCAGTTGAGGTACAGGATTATCGGGGTAATAAATTTGCTCAAAGACTTGGTGCCTTGGCAGTTCTATTTGACCCACAACATGTGGCTCTAGAGATCACATTTTTTATCATTCAGCTGCAATATTTTACATATAAGGCAAAAAGTATTTACATAGGAAATTAGAAGAGAACTTAAAGTATTGAATCAAATGATATGAGGCCAAGAATTGTTATTCTACTTTATCCAAAATAATTCTACTTCATCCAAAAGATAATATGTTCTAGGTCTTTTGTAGGCTCTGTTATTTTTAGACCAAAGGAATAAAGAAAATGTTAGAAGACAGTGTAGAAATGTATACAGGTAGTAGGCAATACTTTTAAGATTTAACAATATATGCATTTGATCCAAAGAAATGTTATTTTACACTTAATTTATTCAGTTTATCAGGTGTGAAGCATATACTTTTGTCAATCCCACCTGTTCCAAAAACATTAGATTTATCACTAGTTCTGTCTACTGACCCTACATGCTATTAATTACTCTATGAATAATCTGATTTGCATATCTGTTAACAGTAACAAATATTGAATTCACAAGGTCCTGAACAAATAATTCTTTAGTCATTTTTACAAATTAAGCCAGATTATTTATTTAACAATACTTAATTATTGCTTACCCTGTATTAGATCTCTATAGGTAGTGATGAAATAGTGGTGAACAAAGAGTTAGGATGGTATCTGGCTGCCTGAAGCCTGTATTTTAATAAAACTTAAAGATATTAAATATACAAAAATAAATAGTATAAGGCTAAAGAGGTATAAGGTATTATTTTTCTTTTTATAAATAATTTTAACTTTTATTTAGATTCAGGGGGTACATGTGTGGGATTTTTTACCTAGTATGTTAGGCTATTCTTGTATTGCTGTAAAGAATTACTTGAGACTGAGTAATTTATAAAGAAAAGAGGTTTAATTGGCTCCTGGTTCTGCAGGCAACACAAGCATGACACTCACAACTGCTTGGCTTCTGGGAAGGCCTCAGGGAGCTTTTACTCATGTTGGAAGTCAAAGCAGGAGGATGCAAGTCACATGTCAGGAGCAAGAAGAGAGTGTAGGGGAAGTGCCACATACTTTTCAATAACCAGATCTTGCAAGAACTCACTCACTTTTAGGAGGACAGCAAGCAATGAGGGATCTGACCCCATCACTCAAACCCTCTCACCAGACCCAATTTCAACAATGGGACTACGATTCAATAGGAGATTTGGTGGGGACACAGATCCAAATCATATCACTTGAGTATATTTTGTGATGCTGAGGTTTGGAGTATGATTAATTGGATCACCTGTGTACTGAGCATAGTACCCAGTAGGTAATTTTCTTTTTATTTTTGTAACCCTTGCCCCCCTCCCATTCTCTTCCCAAGTATTTTTCATTGATGGCATGTGTAGATTGATGATTCATACATGATACATAAGGTTATGCCATGATAATATCAATAATAAAAACAAACTTATTAACTTAAAAAATAAAGGTTCAATTTTTATATAAACATCTGTCAATTTCAAGCTGGCTGGGCATTCTGCTTTGTATTACCGCATTTCTATTACTCAACTTAAACTCCAGCACCACAACCTTGCTACTATCTCGCACCTGAAACAAGCTAACATGGTTGACACCTCTAATTCCATCCACCCTCCTCTCCCTAGGAGGCCTACTATTCCCTTTACTCTCAGACCCAGGCAGATGGAGCAGCCACTATTGAGAACTTGTCTGTTCTCTTCGGCTGATTAAAAACAGAGAGAGAGATTGGTGGAGGATGATAAATTGAGTACTGGCCATTATCACTCATATTCCATTGTCCAAAGTAAGTCTCATGACAACACCTAACATGAAATCAATTGAAAAGAAAATTTTAAGATGTGCATCAAAGAGAATCAGACCATTCTTGAAGAGTATTAATGCCTACCACTAAGATTTTTAATCTGAGCACATGTAAATCATGGGATAGATGAAGTTACAGAGACATTCTAAATGAGAACAAGCTTTGGAACTCAGATAGAAGTTCTGATTCATTTTTCTGGTGAAATTTTGAAAATTTTCAATTTCCCATAACCACTTACAGATAGTAGTTTGCAAAAATAAATCAATAAAATAGAGAAAAGAACTTAAGTTTTCTTTGGAGTATTTTTTTTCTCCTATCTTTTATTTTAGTCCAGGAGTCCCAGATATCTCAGTCATGATATTGAACACTAAATATGTTCTGAGTCACCAAATGTTCTTGGCCACATGTGAGAAACTTATAGCCAATTAATTGTAGAAGATAAGTTTATAGAAGATATAGGAAGTGTTTCCAAGAGATCTTCTGTGAAAAACTAATATATTTTACTATTTAATTTTTCAAACATTTATGACTTTGATTCATCATCTATGCTGTGATTACAAAAATTTTTGGGAAATAAAAATTATATTACTGGGATACAAATAAGACACACTTAAAAATATTTTGTAAGAAAAGAAATAATGAACACACCCATTCCTAGTGGATGGATTTGCCTTCTAAATAGGGGTAAACTGTTATTACAGAACCCAAACATGAATTAAAATTAACAAACAAAACAAAAAATAACCTTACAAACAAAAAATACATAAGCTTCTGAGGGAAACAGTAGACTTAATGTAATTAAGAATCATTAATCTGATTCAGAAATAGGTTAGAAGAGCAATTTTATATGCAAACATACACAGAAAAATAACTACATGGCATTCTCCCCTTTATTGTGATTTATATCATTTCACAAGTTAGTTTCATCTCTATTATTAAGGACTTACCATAATCTGTATGGGAAAGTACTATTCTCCCATTTTATTACTGAGATTGTTACAAATATTTGCATATTGTAAGGACAGAGTTATAGAGATGTGCAATTTTAGTTTAATTAGTTGAGTTTCATTTTAATTCAGTTTTGTTAAAGAACAAAATTAATGTTTTCCTACTTTTATGTGGAATGGCATGTGTGGGCTTTCAGATTGTGGTGATATTTCCCTTGGAATTATTTTTTTCTTTTTTGTTTGTTTTTGACACTCCCCCATTTGGACTAAATCTCCTTGGAATTCTTTACGTATAGATTAGTGAAAAGGTCCTGAGGCTGCTTTTGATTTGAGACAGGTTTTGTTGACTGATATATTTATATGACTAGATCTATAAACTTTTCAAAATTTGTATAAATGTAAGGGTCTCAAGTGCAATTTTGTTGCATGGATATATTGTGCAGTGGTGATGTCTAGGCATTTAGTGTATCCATCACCCAAATAATGTGCCTTGTACCCATTAAATAATTTCCATCACTCATCTCTCTCTCACCTCCCCTAACCCTTTGAGTCTTCATTGTCTATCATTCCACAGTCTATGTTCATGTATACACATTATTTAGCTCCCACTTATAAGTGAAAGCATGCAGTATTTGTCTTCCTGTGTTTGAGTCTCACTTAAGACAAAGGCCTCCAGTTCCAAATGTATTGCTGCAAAATACATGATTCTATTGTTTTTTATGGCTTAATATCATTCCATTGTGTATATACACCATATTTTATCTAATTATCTGTTGATGGACACTTAGCTTGCTTTCGCATCTTTGCTTCTGTGAGTAGTGCTACAATAAACATATGAGTGCAGTTATCTTTTAGTTGGAATGACTTATTTTCTTATGGGTAGATACCCACTAGATTGAGTGGTAGGTCTCTTACAGTGGAGCAAAAGTAATTTCAGTTTTTGCTATTATTTTCGATGGCAAAAACCGCAATTACTTTTGCAGCAACCTAATATTTTGAGTTCTCTGAGAAATCTCCATTCTATTTTCCATAGAGGTTATCTTAATTTACATTCTCACCAATAGTGGATTAGAGTTCCTTTTTCTCCACATTCTGGCAATATCTTTTATTTTTTCACTTTTTACTAATAGCCATTCTGACGGGTAGGATACTATCTCATTGTGCTTTTAATTTGCATTTCTCTAATGATAGTGATGTCGAATATTATTTCATATGCTTGGCCATTTGTCTTCTTTTGAAGATTTAAGCAAAAATTGTGCATATTATGTACAATATGTCACTTTGAAATATATATATATTGTGAAATGGCTAAACTGAGCTAAATAACATAAACATAACCTCACATACTATTATTTGTGGGAAGAACACTTATCTATCCTCTTAAAGGTTTTCAAGTACACAAGACATTGTTATTACATATAGTCACTATATTTATGCTGTATCTTAACCAGTCTGTACATTACTGATTCTTACTTGCCTTATACAATGTGATATTAATCCTGAGTCACAGTTCTACCCATACACACAAACACTCACACTCCAACACACACACTCACATTCTAACACAAACACGGAGTTAAAAACTGCAGCAAATGTAATTTATATGTTAAAGGATTTATAAATAGACTGACCATATAATTTATTCTCTAAGTTGAGACATTTTAAAGAATAAAAGAGCACCAGAGAAGCAATAATTCCAAGACCACAGGCCTAAACCAGGATTACTGCTAAGGGAGGAGTCAAAAACAAAATAAATGTCTTTGGTATAGTGTTCTTTTGGTTTCTATTTTAATCTTAGTATATTCACTCTAAACCTTTCAGGTTCAGTTCTGTGTCAATACAGAATTGAAATTGCAACTTAAAACGTAGTGTCTTTCACTCAAATATATTCTCTCCCTTTTTTGGGTTTAGCAAATATATGAAAAAAGCTACAACAAATCAACAATATCTTATCACATAAAGTCATTTAAATAGAAAATATAAAGAAGATAGAAAATGGTAAAGAGTTTCTATCAGCTTATAAAAAAAGAAAATAAGTCTATATCTTAAAAATGCTAGGTGAAACCCCGTCTCTACTAAAAATACAAAAAATTAGCCAGCCGTTGTGGCGGGCGCCTGTAGTCCCAGCTACTCGGGAGGCTGAGGCAGGAGAATGGCGTGAACCCGGGAGGCAGAGCTTGCAGTGAGCTGAGATCGTGCCACTACACTCCAGCCTGGGCAACAGAGGAAGACTCCATCTCAAAAAAAAAGAGAAAAATTCTATATCTGTTTTCTCCTCATTTCTTCTCTACATTCATAGAATAATTTCCTATTCATGGGAAATTTATTTAAATTTAGGTGTTCCATTTGGTTTTATTTTATTCAGCGTCTTGCCATCTTTCAAGATAAATTTTTGTCAATTGTTCCTATTCTAAAATAAATAAAATTTATTTTAGTCTAGTTTTATTTGGTAAAGATAGTACATCATATTACTATTAGCAATACTGATACCATCTTTTAAATTAGTATCACCTCCAAACTCAATGAAATTACTGTTCATAGCTATTCTAGGGAATAATATGGCAGCTGAAATCACAATGCCAAACTTTATAAGAATGCTGTTTAATTAAATACACTTTCTGTTTAAATAAATTTAACCTATATTTGCAGAATATTTTATTTTTCAGTACACATTTAAGTACATTTATGACTGATTTTTACGTGTTCAATGAAATCTGGTAAGCTAAAATTGTTGGCATATATAGCAAAATATATTCCATGATTCATAAAAATCACGCACAAACGTTTTATAATTTTGAATACAATTCACAATTTCAGTCTATATAATTAAGAACAATCTGAAGGGAACTGTTCTGTTCTTTTTTATCTTGCAGTACTGAGACTCTCTATATACTCAACGACAACTCCCCTTTAAAAATTCTCCCAGCCTGTTTCTAAGAGTTTGATGGTTTTAGATACAATATAGAAGTATAACATGCAGTATTTGTCTTTTTTGTTACTAGCTTATTTCATACAGCATAATATCCTCAAGTTTCAGCCACGTTGTAGCGTATAACGGGAATGAGTTCTCTTGGAAGGCTAAATAATATTGCATAGTATATGTATATTACATTTTCTTTATCCATTCATCTGTTGATGGGCATTTTGGTTGTCTATCTCTTGGCTATCATGAATAATGCTACAATGAATATGGGTTTGCAAACATTTCTTTGAGATTCTGCTTTCAATTCTTTTGGATATATACTTAAAAGTGGGATTGCGAAATTATGTGGTAATTCTATTTCTAAATTTTTGCTGAATGTTTGTACTGTTTTCCATAGTGGTTGTACTGTTTTATATTCTCACCAAAAGTGCCCACATATTCCAAATTCTCCACATCCTTGCCAACACTTGTAAGTTTTTGTTTTTTAGATAGTGCCCGTCATAAGGAGCATGAAGTAATATTTTGTGGTTTGTTTCGTATTGCTATAGTAATTACTTATGTTGGCCATTTTTTTTCGTATAATGTATGCCATTTGTATATCTTTTTTTTTTTCTTTGAGATGAAGTCTTGCTCTTGTTCCCCAGGCTGGAGTACAATAGCATGATCTCAGCTCACTGCAACCTCCGCCTCCTGGGTTCAAGTGATTCTCCTGACTCAGCCTCTTGAGTAGCTCGGATTACAGGTGCCTGCCACCATGCCCGGCTAATTTTTGTATTTTTAGTAGAGACGGGGTTTCACCATGTTGGCCAGGCTGGTCTCGAACTCCTGACCTCAGGTGATCCACCTGCCTCGGCCTCCCAAAGTGCTGGGATTACAGGCGTGAGCTACCATGCTCAGCCTTGTATATCTTTAAAGGGAATGTCTTTTCAAGTTCTCCTTTTTTTATTTGAATTTTTGTTGTTCTTGAGTTGTAGAATATATGTAGTTATTAACTAGGTATCAACTCTTTATCAGATATACAGTTTTCAAGCAATTTTTCCCATTCTGTGAGTCACTTTTTCACTGTGTTAATGGTTTTATTCACTGTAAAAAATTGGTTTAGCTTGATGTAAATCCATTTGTCTATGTTTGGTTTTGTTGTCTGTGCTTTTGGTATCATATGCAGGAAATCATGCCAAATCCAATGTCGTGAGGCTTTTACCTTATGCTTTTTCTAAGAGTTTTACAGGACTGGGTCACTTGTTTACTTCTTTAATCTATTTTGTATTAATTCTTACGTATAATCTAAGGCAAAGGTCCAATTTATTTTATATGTAGAAATACAGTTCTTCCAACATCATTAATTGTATATGTTATACATTATTTTATTTTATATGTAGAAATACATACATTATTTTATATGTAGAAATACATTCATTATTTTATATGTAGAAATACAGTTCTTCCAACATCATTTGTTGAAGAGAGATGATCATTTTCCCATTATGTAATGTTGGCATTTTAGCTGAAGACCATTTGACCATACACACAAAAGTTTATTTTGGGGCTCTCTGTTCTGTATGGCATTGGTCCATAAGCCTGTCTTTATGTCATTACCAAACTATTTGGTAAATATAGCTTTGTAATATTTTTTGAAGTCACAAAGTATAACGCCTTCAACTTTGTTTTTGCTCAAGATTTTTTTTTTTTTTTGGCTCTTTCTAGCTGTTTGGGGTCCTTTGTGGTTTTATATGAATTTTAGGATTTTAAAAATTTCTAAAATAAATGCATTAGGAATTTGCTAGAAATTGTATTACATCTCTGGTTGGGTATGGACATTTGACAATATTAGATCTTCCAATCTGTGGACACAAGATTTCTTTCCATTTATTTGTGTCTTTAATTTCTTTCAGCAATGCTTTGTAGCTTTATGTATAGAAGTCTTTCACCTCCTTTGATACATTTGTTTTTAATTTTTTTGATGCTATGGTAAACATCAAATTTTCTTCTTGGCTTATTCATTCTAAGTGTATGTACATGCAACTAATGTACACATATTGACTTTGTATACTGAAACTGCTACATTTATTAGCTCTTGTAGTATTCCACTGAAAGGGGGTTGTCTACACACAGAATTATGTAATTAGCAAATAGAGATAATTCTACTTCTTTCTTTCTTATTTAGATGACTTTTATTTCTTTTTCTTGCATGATTGCTGTGGTTGAGACTTCTACTACTATGTTGAATAGAAATGGTGATATTAGACATACATTTATTGTTTCTGATCTTAGAGGTAAATAGTTTTTACCATTGAGAATAATGTTAAAGATGTGAATATATTTTGGCCTTGATTATATTGACGTAATTTCCTTCTGTTTCTACTTCATTGAGTGTTTTATTATGAAACATATTTGAATTTTGCCAAATGCTTTTTCTGAATCAATTGAAAGTATAATGTGGTTATATTCTTCATTATTTTAATGTGTATTTTATTGATTGGTTTCAGTATACTGAAACATCTTTGCATTTTATAAATAAATCTCACTTGGTTATAATGAATAATCCTTTTAATGTGTTGTTAAATTTGGTTTGCTAGTGTTTGGTGAGGATTTTTGCATTAATATTTATCTAGGGATATCAATCTTTAGTATTCTTTTCTTGTGAAATCATCTAATTTAAAAAATATTTTAATTTTGTTTTAGGTTCAGGGGTACATGTGCAGATTTCTTATATAGGTAAACTTCTGACTCAGGAGTTTGGTGTGCAGATTATATCATCACCCAGTTACTAAGCATAACACCCAGCAGTTTTTTTTTTGTTTCTGAACCTCTTTCTCCTCTCACCTATCATCCTCAAGTAGGCCCCAGTGTCCGTTGTTCCCGTCTGTCCATGTGTTCTCTTTATTTAGCTCCCACTTATAAGTGAGAACCTGTGGTATTAGGTTTCCTGCTTCTATGTTAGTTTGCTAAGGATGGTGGCCTCTAGTTCCATCCATTTTCCTGCAAAGGACCTTCCAGCTCTGAGATGCTCTCCTCAGCTTTGTCTATTCTGCTGTTAATACTTGAAAGTGTGTTATGAAATACTTGTACTGTGTTTGTCAGCTTTATGAGGTTAATTATGGAAAACAACCTGGGGGTCTGGTTGGGTGAGACTGCCATGTCTGTCCTCTGAGTGTTTCCAGGGAAAGAGTAGGCTGCACCCCTTGGCAAATTCAGGCACACATAAGACCACTGGGCTGGGAGCTCTAGCAGGTTTTGCCTGCCTGGCTATTAGGTCATACACCCTGCCATCCTGGTGTTTCCTGGGACAACAGGACTCTCTACCCTCCAGCTGGATTTGTGTAGAAGAAAAGCTGCTGGGCTAGAAGCTCCAGCAGGCATTGCCTGCCTGGATACCAGTGGTGGAGGTGGGTGTGGTCTCTTGCTCTGCTGTCTGGGTGTTTCCTGTGTCAACAGGAAGCTACACCCTCCTGCTGAGTTCACACAGAAGTTGGGCCATTGGGTCAGAGGCTCTAGCAGGCACCTACCACCTGACTGCCAGTGGCAGGGGTGAGTGGGGTCTCTTGCTCTGACATCAGGATATTTCCCATTACTACAGGAGACTGCGCCCTCCAGATGAGTTTTCACAAAAGTGGGACTGCTGGGCCAATAGCTCTAGGTAGAGTTTCCTGTTGGTTACCAGTGGCAGGGGTGGAAGGGATGGCAGGCCAGGTTTGGGCCAAAGCAAGATGGCTGGTCTGGAAGCTCGTGCAGAGCCCTGGCTAACAAGTGGTGGTGGAGCAATGTTAGTTTTCCCGAGTACTGCAACTGCAGCCTCTATTGGGGCTGTGACACCAGTGCTGGTCTGCTCTGGGACCCAAGCTTTGTGGAGGTCTGCTTGGACTCAGGATTTGCCCTGCAAAATGTCCAGGTGGCTCTCTGCCTCAGTCTAAAAGTGTGGTGGGGGGGCCGGGTTGATTCTCCCATTCTCTATAGAAAGCGTTAATCCCTGGGGGCTCTCACTCACTCACCCTTTCCCATGTTAGAGAGGTTTTTCTGGCTCTGTGCTGAGTACAGACAGGCTGGTGTCCAACTTTGCTCCTCTCTTCTCTGTGTTCCCTGGCTGCCTTGATGGATCCTAACATGGTTTCTCAGATCTTTCCTCTCTACAAGAGTGGTGTACATTAGCTGCCTCTAGTCTGCCATCTCCGGCCCCCTTCCATTGTCTGAATTTGGTATCAAAGTAAGACTGGCCTCACAGAATAAATGTAAAGCATTCTTATTTATTTATTTACTTATTTATTTATTTATTTACTTTGGTGGACGTGATGATTAATATTAAGTATCAACTTTATTGGATGGAAGAATGCAAAGTATTGTTTCTGGGTGTATCTGCCAGAAGAGATTAACATTTGAGTCAGTGGACTGGGAAAGGAAGACCGACCCTCAGGAAGACCCACTCACAGTGTGGTTGGGCACCGTCCAATTTGCCAGAGCAGCTAGGAAAAGCAGACAAAAGAAGGTGGAAGAATCTGACTTGCTGAGTCTTCCCACCTTCGTCTTTCTCCCATACTGATTCTTCCTGCCCACGAACATCAAACTTCAAGCTCTTTAGCTTTTGGACTGTTGGACTTACACCGGCGGTTTGCCAGGGGCTCTCAAGCCTTCCACCACAGACTGAAGGCTCTACTGTCGGCTTCCCTACTTTTGAGGTTTTGGGTCTCAGACTGAGCCACTACTGGCTTCCTTGCTCCTCAACTTGTAGTCAGCTTATCATGGGACTTCGCCTTGTGACCGTGTGAGTCAATTCTCCTTAATAAACTCCCTTTTACATATACATAGATCCCGTTAGTTCCATCCTTCTAGAGAACCCTAACACAGAGGACTTTAAATATTGGCGTTAATTCTTCTTCAAATGTTTGGTAGAATTATCCCTTGTCTTGGGCTTTTCTTTGATGAGAGGTTTTTGTTTTTACCGATTTAGTCTCATTATTATTTAGGTTTGTTCAATTTTTTTTTTATTTTTTCATGATTGAGGATTGATATGTTGTACGTTTCTATAAATTTATGCATTTCTTCTAGGTTATCAAATTTAGCATCTAATTGTCCCTAGCAGTCTCTTATAATGCTTTTTCTTTCTGTGAGATCTAGTGTAATGTTTGTTCTTTCCTATCTGGTTTTTGTTGTTTAAATTTTTTCTCCTTTTTTCCCTAGTCAATTTAGATAAGGATATTGTTAATTTTGTTGATCTTTTCAAAACCAAATTTATATTTCTGTTAATTTTTTATACTTGGTTTTCGTTTGCTTCATTATTTCCTAATTTGTATCACCCTCTTACTTCTGCTTACTTTGGTTTAGTCTATTCTTATTTTTCTAGCTCCTTGAATTATAAACATAGGTTTTTGACTTTAGTTCTTTCCACTTATTATTTTTTTCTTTCCAACTTTTAAGTTCAGGGGATACATGTGCAGGTTTGTTACATGAGTAAATTGCATGTTGCTGAGGTTTGGTGAACAATTGATCACATCACCTAGGTGATGAGCTTAGCACCTGATAGGTAGCTTTTTAAACTTCACCCCACCCTCCTTCTCTCCCTCTCTAATAGTCCCCAACGTCTATTGTCCTTATCTTTATGTTCAGGTGTACTCAATGTTTAGTTCCCACTTATAATGGATAACATGTGGTATTTGGTTTCCTGTTACTGCATTAATTTAGTTAGGATAGTGGCCTTAACCTTCATGTATGTGGCTGCAAAGAACATAATTTCATTCTTTTTTATGGCTGTGTAGTATTCCATGGTGTATATGAGCTATATTATCTTTATCTAGTCCACCATTGATGGACATCTAGGTTGATTTCATCTCTTAGCTATTGTAAATAGTGCTGCAATAAACATTTGAGTTCATTTGTCATTTTGGTAGAGCAATTTATTTTTCTTTGGGTATATACCCAGTAATGGGATTGCTGGGTCAAATAGTAGTTCTGTTATTAGTTCTTTGAGAAATCTCAAAACTGCTTTCCACAGTGGCTGAACTAATTTATATTCCCATCAACGGTGTATACACATTTCATATTCTTTGCAACCTCGCAAACATCTGTTGTGTTTTGGCATTTAATATTAATCATCTTGACTTGTATGAGATAGTATCTCAAACTATTCTAAAATTCATTTGGAAACCCACAAAAAAAGTGAAATAACCAAAACAATCATCTTAAGAAAAAAGAACAATGCCTGAGGCATTACCCTACCTGAATTCAAATTATACTGCAAGATTACAGTAACAAGAACAGCATAGTACTGGGTACAAAAATGAAAACATAAACTAATGAAACAGGGTAGAGGACCTGGAAATAAAGCCATACACCTACAATCATCTGATCTTTGGCAAAGCTGACAATAATTAATGGGGAAATGACTCTGTATTTAATAAATGATGCTGGAATAACTAGCTAGCTTTATGCAGAAGAATGAAACTGCACCCCATTTGTCACCATATACAAAAATTAATGCATGATGGATTAAAGGCTTAAATATAAGTTCTAAAACTATAAAAATTCTAGAAGAAAACCTAGGAAATACCACTCCAGACATGGGTCCTGGGAAATAACTTATGACTAAGTTCCCAAAAGCAATGGCAACCAAAACAAAATTGACCAGTGGGACCTAATTAAACTAAAGAGCTGCTGCACAGCAAAATAAACTATCAACAGAGTAAACAGACAACTGGGAAGAAATATTCACAAACTGTGCATATGAGGGAGGTCTAATATATATAATCTATAAGGAACTTAAAAAAATTCAACAAGCAAAAAACAAATAACGTCACTAAAAATGCGCAAAGGACGTAAGTAGACAATTCTGGAAATAAGACATACGTGTGTCCAGCAAGCGTATTAAAAAAATGCTCATCAAAACTACAATGGTATACCATCTCATACCAGCCTTATTTTTAAATATTGGCATTTATCACTACCAACTCCTCCATTAGTACTACTTTTGCTGCATCCCATAAGTGTGTTATATTTTTATTTTCAGTTCTCATCTGTTACTTCCCTTGTTATTTCTCCTATGTCCATTGTTTTTTCAATAATGTTTTGCTTAATTTTGACATATTTGTACATTTTAAAGTTTTCATTTTGCTATTGTTCTTCTAATTTGAGTTACTTATGGTCACAAAGTATACTTAAGATGATTTCAAACTTCTTAAATTTGTTAAGCTTTGTGATGTGGTTAACGTGTAATTTTTCTTCAGGATGTTTTATGAGCACTTTAGAATAATGTGTATTCGGCTGTAGTGGGGTAGAGTGTTCTGTATACGTCTATTGGGTCTGGTTGGTCTATAGCGTTGTTCAAGTCTTCTACTTAACTGATTTTTTTTTGGTCCAGTGAATCTATCCATTATAGAAAGTGTTGGAATTGTCTATTATTTCTGTGTTACCACTTATTTCTCCTTTCGGTGGTGTAAATGTTTGTTTTATATATTTGACTGCTCTCTGTTATGCACATGTATATTTATAATCATTATATCTTTTTATTGACTTGACCTTGTATACTATATAATGACCTTCTTTGTCTAATGTGACAGGTCTTGACTTAAAGTCTATCTTTTCTAGCATAAGTATCACCACTTCTGCTCTCTTTTGGTTAGTATTTCCATGGAACATCTTTTTCCATCTTTCTATCCTCAGCCTATGTATATTCTTATATCTAAAGCTAGTATCTTGTAGACAGCATATATTTAGATCTTATTTTTTAATTTATTCAGCAATCATGTCTTTTGAATGAAGAGTTTAGTTATTTTTTTAAACAGTAATTACTAATAAGAGAATGTACGATTGCAATTTCTTTATTGTTTTCTCTACATCTTGTGGCTATTTTGTCTGTCTTTTCCTCTTTCGCTGATTTGTGTTTCATTAATTTTTTTCTTAGTGACATCCTTTGATACCTTTCCAATTTTCTCTCAGGCATTTCTATAGGTATTTTCCTATTGATTACCATGAAGATTAAATAAATCATCTTATAAATATTTATTTTAAACTGATAATAAATTGAATTACATATAAAAACTCAATTGCTTTACATCTCTCCTCTATTTTATGTTTTGATGCCACAAATTACATCTTTTTAATTTTTGTATGATTAATATACATTTATAGTTACAGTTATTCTTATGCTTTTATCCTTTATACTTGAATTACAAGTGTTTTATGCATCATTATTGTAGAAATATAGAAAATTGTATTTGTATGTATATTTACTTTTGCCAGAGACCCATATATTATTGTATGCTTTCATGTTACTGTCTATCATTCTTTGATGCTTCAACTTGAAGCACTCTTTTCAGCTATTCTTATAAGGCAATTCTAGTGGGGATGAACTCCCTCAACTTTTGGAATGTGTTTATTTCTCCTTTATTTTTGAAAGTTTTACAGGATAAAGTGTTCTTGGTTTAAAGTTTTTTTTTTCTTTTAGTGCTTTAAGGATATCACCACACATTCCACTTATGGAAGCTCCTTTGTACCTGACAAGTCACTTTTCTATTGCTACTGACAAAATTCTTAGTTTGGTAATAAATCTGTTTGACAGTTTGATCATAATAGGTCTTGTGAGCCTCTTTGATTTCACTTTAGTCTCAGTCCTTTGAGGTTCTTGAATTCAGGTTCACATTTCCTTACTCAGATTTGGAAAGTTTTTGGCCATTATTTCTTCAAATAAGCTCTTTGCCTCATTCTCTCCCTCTTTTTTTTTTTTTTTTTTTTGTCCTGAGGCTCTTGCTGGTGTCTCATAAAATCCTTAGCCTTCCGTCACTTTCCTTTGTTATTTTTTCATTTTGTTCCTCTGAGTTGATTACTTCAAATGATCTGACTTTGAACTTTCTAATTCTTTCTTTTGCTTGGAAGTCTGCTGTTGATTCCTTCTAGTTAATTTATAAATTTAGTTATTGTGTCCTTGCGTGCCAGAATTTGTTTGGTTTTATTTTAAATATAGTTTATATGTCCTAGTTGATGCTGTCATTGTGTTCTTTCATTGTTTTCCTGGTTCGATTTAGTTGTCTATCTGTATTCTTTTCTAGTACATTGAGCTTCTTTGAGTTGATTATTTTGAATTCTTTGTCAAATAATTCATAGACCTATGCTTCCTTGAGATGGGCTTTTAGAGATTCATATTTTTTCCTTTGGGCCATGTTTTTCTGTTTCTTTACATGCTTTGTCATTTTTTGGATATGATTTGTGTATTTGAAAAAAAAAACAAACAAAAAGCAACCTCTTTTAATCTTTGCAGACTGATTTTGTACAGGGGGAAGACTTTCTTCAATCAGACTGCCTAGAGAGATTGTTGGCCTTACAAACCTTGTATAGAGGTACATCTTCTCTGGGCTTCTGTGTGTAATTTACCGCTTAGAGAGGTTTTGTAGTTTCTTCTCAGGAACTTGTATTCTCTTATATTATTTACTATCTATTAAACTACAGGTTTTCTAGTACTGCAATAAGTCACTGAGCTTTCTTTTGCTTTCTGTGACCCCAAGATATCCAAGGTAACTCACTTCTGAGTTAAAGTATTTATACACAAAAATGATGAGCTCCACTTTAGGTCATGTTGAGTTTGATATCATTGTGGTTATTCACATGTAGGTACACATTTTTCATTTTAGAGATATAACAAGGAGATGAATCCATCTGAAGATAAAAATGGCTTCAAATCAGAAAAATTTCTTCATTTCATTATTTGATAATTCTTCAGTCTCTAATTGTTTCTATTCTTTTGTTGGAATGGGATAATGGAATTCTTTTATTTTATCCAGAAATGATAGATCTCTTAGATCTATCTTTTATTGCTGCTGTTTTAAAAATAACATATTCAATATTTTTATCCTTTTTCTACATTTTTAATTTCTTCAAGTTATCTTATAAATAACAAATGTTATCTTTAAGTCTATATTTTACATCAGTCAGAACACATTTTTCTTTTATTTTTATTAAATCATATTTCATATTCTGATTTTTTATTTTTAATAGAAAAGTGCTCCGGTTTTATGGACACAAACTCTTCTCAATGTTTAGGCCATTTGCTCTCCTAATTCTCAGACATTAGGACGTGGACTGGAGCTACACTGTTAGCGTTCCTGGGTCTACAGTTTTCCAACTGCATATTGTGGAACTGCTCAGTTTATATGATCACATGAGTCAGTTTCCTCTTATATAACATGCTGAAGAGGCTCTAGTTTGATGCACTAAGAAGGACACAACATCAGTTTGAAAAGAATCTTTATCAGAGAAACACAAATTCTGCTACCATTGGAACAAGAAGCAAACATCAAATTTATGGTGAAGCTTGAGTGGAAAAATAGTGCAATCATTGATAAAAGTTCACAAAAAGTTTATTAATAAAATGCCACAATAAAGCAGCAGTTTACAAATGGATAACTCATTTTAAGAAGTAAAAAGATGATTTTTGACATGAAGCCCACAGTGGCAGACAGTCCACATCAATTTGTGAGAAAAAATTAAAATAGTTCCTGCCTTTTAGTCCGTTCTGGCATTGCTCTGAAGAAATACCTGTGGCTGGGTAATTTATTTTAAAAAGAGTTTTATTTTGGTTTATAGATCTGTAGAGTAAACAGGAAGTATGGACTTCTTTTTGTTTTCTAACCTTAAAAAATCATTAAAGAGCACCCATTTTTCTTCAGTTCATAATGTAAAAAAGACTGCATTGATGTTGCTAAACTCTCTGAACCTTCAATTTTTTAGGAATAAACTAAATGGCTGGTATCATCACTTATAAAAGTGTTTTGAACTTGATTAAACTTATGTTGTGAAATAAAGTTTATACTTTTAATTTTTTTCTTAATTATATGTTTATGAACTTTTTGAAGTTTCCTCATGTGAGTGTGTGTATATAATATTCATATGTGTTTGTGTGTGTGTGTGTGCGCGTGTGTGCATGTGTGTGCCATTAAATCTGTTTCTCTGGAAAACCCCGAGTAACACATCTGGCTTAGCAATTATTCCTTTCATAGATTATGCCTTAGGTATTTCATCTAAAAAGTGTTTGCTATACCCAAGGTCATCTAGATTTTTTTTCTATGTTATATTCCAGGAGTTTTATAGTTTTAGAGTTTACATGTTGGTTTATGATTCATTTCGAGATAATGTTTGCAAAGCATGTAAAATTAGCACACGCATTTTTTTTTGCATATAAATTTCTAGTTGTTCCAGAACCATTTGCTAAAATGGCTACCTTTGCTTCTTTGTATTACCTTTGCTTCTTTATCAAAGATCAGTTGGCTAAATTAATGTGGGTCTATTTCTGAAATCTTCATTCTGTAGCAATGATAGATTTGACTATTCTTTTGCCAAACCACACTGTCTTGATTACTGTAGCTTTATAGTAATTCTTTAAGTTGGATAGTATCAGCCCTCCACCTTTGTTCTTCTTATTTTTTTAATGCATTGACTGTTCTGGGTCTTTTGACTCTACATGTAAACTTGAAAATGAGCTTGTCAATATTCATAAAATAACTTGCTAGGATTCTGGTTGGTATTGTGTTGAATCTGTGAATTAACTCGGGAAGAAAAGACATCTAGCCAATATTGAGCTTTGAGCTTTCTTACTCAAAAACATGGAATATATCTTAACTTATTTAATTCTCTAATTTTTTATCAGAATTTTATAATTTTTTATATGTATCTTGTGCATATACTTTAAGATCTGTATGTAAGTATTTTATCTGGAGAGGTGCTAATGTAAATGGTATGATATTTTCAATTTCGAGTTTTAATTGTTATTTGTTGGTATATATGGAAGTGTTTGATTTTTATATATTAGTTTAGTATCCTGCAAACTTGCTAAAATCATTTTATTGGTTAAGGAGGTTTTTTGTTGATTCTTTTGAATTTTCTGCATACATAATCATGCTATCTGTAAAGAAGGCAGCTCTATTTCTTACTTCTTGATCCACATAATTTTTATTTCCTTTTCTTTTTTCATTGTATGAAATACAAATTCCTGTATAATATTGAAAAAAGTGAATGATTGCAGTACTTTTGATGACTCTTTTGCTCTATTTTATGATTATACTCCAGATTCGTCTTTAAAATATTCTGTTTCAGTTTATGTATCAGTCACCTCTACTAAAACTCCTGATCTCTTTTAGTTGGAAGTGGTATTTAGACACCACAATTTCAACATTGCCATTGGGTTACTAGGCCTTTTCAGTACATAGTAAAGAGTTAATCCTTTTTTAAAGAAATATGCTGCAATTTTATTCTAATATTCTTATTCAAACTTAGAATTATGTGGGTTCAATTAATACATCCTAAATTGACACTTTCATTTTATAATAAAGCACTAATACAGTAAAGCATGCAGAGCAAATGCATAGGTAAATTGGAAAACAACTTTATGCAAATAAAGAAATGTAGCTTTTTTATGAAGTAGAATAAAATATGTGAGAGAGTAGATTTTGAAAAGTAGATAAGAAGTTTCATTGAGTTAGAGTTGTCAATGAGATACACACTTTGAGACCTCTCTTAACAGCAGGATTATGTAGTCATCAGAACAAAGATGCTACAAACAGAGACATATATAGGGCTGAAAATATCCCTGAAGATTTGTAGAGTAATAGAAAAGAGGGTAAAAGGTGAGTTTCTGTGAGTTTGGAATATTTTATGATTTGAAATTTGTAAATAAATAAAAGAGAACCAACCATAAAGATTAAAGCTGGCAAAAAGGAGGTATAAATCAGGAACTTGTAGTGTCATGGAAATATAAAAATATATAAAATGTAACAAGTCACACATTTCCTATACATAATTATTAATCTAAATACTAATTTCTCCTAAAATTAAAGCTACTTTTACTTTTCTCACTTATAAGAAGCATATTTTCCTTCAGTCTTCCAAATGCTAAAATATAATAATATTGAAAATTTCTCAGTTGCACCAATAGTATTTGCTAAATTTAGTTACTTTCAGTCAATGAAAACAGATGGTATAATTCTCTGTCATTTCCTCTCACCTTTCATGTATTCTTTATTCTTTCAATTAAAAACAAGAAAGCAGTGAGTTTATGTTAAAAAATAAGGCAAAATAAATTGATAAAAATAAAAATATCATTTAGTTAATAAAAATTATTACCATAAAATATTAATTTTAGTGATATGTTTAGATAAGAATATCATACAATAGCATCCTCAAATGTATTCAATATTTGAAAAAAAGCTTTCTGTAAATCTGACATTGATACGTTGACTTAATTTTCTACCAATATAAAATTTTTCCCCAATCACTATTTAAAAATTAGGTCATTGCTTTGCAAATTATTCTGATGACAGTTATTTTCATTTCTTTGTGCTAAATGTAGCAGTTTCCTGAACACTTTTTCCTCTGTTTAGTTTTTTTAAAGTGTTTGTTAAACAAATATGATACCACTCCCTTCCCTCAACAGATGGTCATCAGCAGATGGCGCAGATGATTGTTCATATTTTTTCCAGAACGGAATCAAGAAAAAAAAAATCCAGTTGTGTGCATTTGTTAGCAATAAACCCAAATTTAACCCATTAACAACATTTAAGAGTTTCTCTGAATTTAACTCCTCTTCTATTACCTTAAGAAACATACTTATTTGCAGTCTCCTCTTAATTAGTTCAGCAAGTTTCTTGTTATTTTCATTCTTAGCAATCTATGACTTCTCTTTGATAATTTTAAATATTTCCACTTTTAAAAATTGACATAGTTTTAACTGAAAAAAAAAAAAACTACAAAAAAGACCCCAGTACTTTGGAATATACAATTAAACTTTCAATTTTCTCCCTCTTTTTTTTCTCTTTCTTTCTTTTTTTTTTTTTTTTTTGGTTTACTTTAAGTTCTGGGATACAAGTGCAGAACGTTCAGGTTTGTTATATAGGTATACATGTGCCATGGTGATTTGCTGCACCCATCAACCTGTCATTTACGTCTTAAGCCCTGCATGCATTAGGTGTTTGTCCTAATGCTCTCCCTCCCCTTATCCCCCCACACTCCGAGAGGCCCCAGTGTGTGATCTTCCCCTCCCTGTGTCCATGTGTTCTCATTGTTCAGCTCCCACTTATGAATGAGAACATGCGTTGTTTTGTTTTCTGTTCCTGTATTAGTTTGCTGAGAATGATGGCTTCCAGCTTCATCCATGTCCCTAAAAAGGACATGAACTCATTATTTTTAATGGCTTCATAGTATTCCATGGTATATGTGTGCCACATTTTCTTTATCCAGTCTACCATTGATGGGCATTTGGGTTGGTTCCAAGTCTTTGCTATCGTAAATAGTGCTTCAATACTGTATCTTTATAGTAGAATGACTTATAGTCCTTTGGGTATACACACAGTAATGGGATTGCTGGATCAAATGGTATTTCTGTTCCTAGATCCTTGAGGAATCATCACACAGTCTTCTGCAATGGTTGAACTAATTTGCACTCCCACCAATACTGTAAAAGCATTCTATTTCTCCACATCCTCACCAGCATCTTTTGTTTTCTGACTTTTTAATAATCACCATTCTAACTGGTATGAGATGGTATCTTATTGTGGTTTTGATGTGCATTGCTTTAATGAGCAGTGATGATGAGCTTTTTTTTCATGTTTGTTGGCTGCATAATGTCTTCTTTTGAGAAGTGTCTGTTTATATCCTTTGCCCACTTTTTAATGGGGTTGTTTGCTTGTTTTTTCCTGTAAATTTGTTATGTTCCTTGTAGATTCTGGATATTAGACCTTTGTCAGATGGGTGGCTTGCAAAAATTTTCTCCCATTCTGTAGGTTTCCTGTTAACTCTGATGACAGTTTCTTTCACTGTGCAGAAGCTCTTTAGTTTAATTAGATCCCATTTGTCAATTTTGGCTTTTGTTGCAATTGCTTTTGGTGTTTTCATCATGAAGTCTTTGCCTCTGCCTATGTCCTGAATTTTATTGCCTAGGTTTTCCTCTAGGGTTTTTATGGTTTTAGGTTTTATGTTTAAGTCTTTAATCCATCTTGAGTTAATTTTTGTATAAGGTGTAAGGAAGGAGTCCAGTTTCTGTTTTCAACATATGGATAGCCAGTTTTCCCAACACCATTTATTAAATAAGGAATCGTTTCCCCATTGCTTGGTTTTGTCAGGTTTGCAAAGATCAGATGGTTGTAGTTGTGTGGTGTTATTTCTGAGCCTCTATTCTGTTCCATTGGTTTATATATCTGTTTTGGTACCAGTACCATGCTGTTTTGGTTACTGTAGCCTTGTAATATTGTTTGAAGTCAGGTAGCATGATGCCTCCAGCTTTGTTCTTTTTGCTTAGGATTGTCTTGGCTATATGGGCTCTTTTGTTGTTCCATATGAAATGTAAAGCAGTTTCTTCTAATTCTGCAAAGAAAGCCACTGGTAGCTTGATGGGAATAGCATTAAGTCTATGAGTTATTTTGGGCAGTATGGCCATTTTCATAATATTGATTCTTCCTATCAAGGAGCATGGGATAATTTTCAATTTGTTTGTGTTCTCTCTTATTTCCTTGAGTAGCGATTTGTAGTTCTCCTTAAAGAGGTCCTTCACGTCCCTTGTAAGTTTTATTCCTAGGTACTTTATTATCTTTGTAGCAATTGTGAATGGGAGTTCACTCATGATTTCACTCTCTGCTTGTCTATTGTTGGTGTACAGGAATGCCTGTGTTTTTTTGCACGTTGATTTTGTCTCCTGAGACTGCTGAATTTACTTATCAGTTTAAGGAGTTTTTGTGATAAGACAATGGGGTTTTGTAAATATACAATCATGTCGTCTGCAAACAGAAACAATTTGACTTCGTCTCTTCCTATTTGACACCCTTTATTTCTTTCTTTGGCCTGATTGCCCTGGCCAGAACTTCCAATACTATGGTGAATAGGAATGGTAAGAGAGGGCATCCTTGTCTTGTGCCAGTTTTCAAAGGGAATGCTTACAGCTTTTGCCCATTCAGTATGTTATTGGCTATGGGTTTGTCATGAATAGCTCTTATTATTTTGGGATATGTTTCATCAACACCTGGTTTATTGAGAGTTTTTAGCATGAAGAGATGTTGAATTTTATCAAAAGCCTTTTCTGCATCTGTTGAGATAATCGTGTGGTTTTTGTCATTGATTCTGTTTATATGATGAATTACGTTTATTGATTTGCATACGTTGAACTAGACTTACATCCCAGGGATGAAGCCGACTGGATCGTTGGTGGATAAGCTTTTTGATATGCTGCTGGATTTGGTATACCTGTATTTTACTGAGGATTTTCACATCAATGTTTATCGGAGATATTGGCCTGAAATTTTCTTTCTTTGTTGTGTCTCTGCCAGGTTTTGGTATCAGGATGATGCTGGCCTTATATATGAGTTAAGGAGGAGTCTTTCTTTTTCTATTGTTTCTAATAGATTCAGAGGCAATGGTGTCAGATCCTTTTTGTACCTCTGATAGAATTTGACTGTGATTCCATCTGGTCCTGGGCTTTTGTTGGTTGATAGGCTATTAAGTAGCTCCTCAATTTCAGAACTTGTTATTAGTCTATTCAAGGATCTGACTTCTTCCTGTTTTAGTCTTGGAAGGGTGTATGTGTCCAGGAATTTATCCATTTTTTCTAGATATTCTAGTTTATTTGCGTAGAGGTGTTTATAGTATTCTCTGATGGTAGTTTGTATTTCTGTGAGATTGGTGGTGATATTCCCTTTATCATTTTTTATTGTGTCTATTTGATTCTTCTCTCTTTTCTTCTTTATTAGTCTAGCTAGTGGTCCATCTATTTTGTAAATCTTTTCAAAAAACCAGCTCCTGGATTTTTTTTTTTCAGGGGTTTTTCATGTCTCTGTCTACTTCAGTTCTGCTTTGATCTTAGTTATTTCTGTCTTCTGCTAGCTTTTGAATTTGTCTGCTCTTGCTTCTCTAGTTCTTTTAATTGTGATATTAGGGTGTCGATTTTAGATCTTTCCAGCTTTCTGTTGTGGGTATTTAGTGCAATAAATTTCCCTCTTAACACTGCTGTAGCTTTGTCCCAGAGATTCTGGTTCATTGTTTCTTTGTTCTCATTGGTTTCAAAGAACTTCTTTATTTCTGCCTTAATTTCGTTATTTACCAAGGAGTCATTCAGGAGCAGGTTGTTCAATTTCCATGTAGTTGTGCGGTTTTGAGTAAGTTTCCTAATCCTGAGTTCTAATTTGATTGTACTGTGGTCTGAGAGACTGTTTGTTATGATTTCCCATATTTTCCTTTTGCTGAGGAGTGTTTTACTTCCAATTATGTGGTCAATTTTAGAATAAGTGCCATGTGGCACTGAGAAGAATGTATATTCTGTTAATTTGGGGTGGAGAGTTCTGTAGATGTCTATTAGGTCCACTTGGTCTAGAGCTAAGTTCAAGTCCTGAATATGCTTGTTAATTTTCTGTCTCATTGGTCTTTCTAATATTGACAATTGGGTGTTAATGTCTCCCACTATTATTGTTTGGGAGTCTAAGTTTCTTCGTAGGTCTCTAAGAACTTGTTTTATGAATCTGGGTGCTCCTGTATTGGGTACATATGTATTTAAGATAGTTAGCTCTTCTTGTTGATCCCTTTACCATTATGTAACGCCCTTCTTTGTCTTTTTTAATCTTTGTTGGTTTAAAGTCTGTTTTATCAGAGACTAGAATTGCAACCCCTGCTTTTTTTTCACTTTCCATTTGCTTGATAAATATTTCCCCATCCCTTTATTTTGAGCTTATGTGTGTCTTTGCATGTGAGATGGGTCTGCTGAATACAGTACACCAATGAGTCTTGACTCTTTGTATAATTGCCGGTCTGTGTCTTTTAATTGGCACATGTAGCCCATTTACATTTAAGGTTAATATTATGTGTGAATTTCATCCTGTCATCATGATACTAGCTGGTTATTTTGGGCATTAGTTGATGCAGTCTCTTCATAGAGTCATTGGTCTTTATATTTTGGTGTTTTTGCAGTGGCTGGGACCAGTTTTTTCCTTTCTATATTTAGTGCTTCCTTCAGGAGCTCTTGTAAAGCACGCGTGGTGGTTACAAAATCCCTCAGCATTTGCTTGTCTATAAAGGATTTTATTTCTCCTTCATTTATGAAGCTTGGTTTGGCTGGATATGAAATTCTGGGTTGAAATTTATTTTCTCTAAGAAAGTTGAATATTGGCCCCCACTGTCTTCTGGCTTGTAGGGTTTCTGCAGAGATGTCCACTGTTAGTCTGATGGGCTTCCCTTTGTGGGTAACCTGACCTTTCTTTCTTGATGCCCTTAACATTTTTTCCTTTGTTACATCCTTGGAGAATCTGATAATTATGTGTCTTTGGGTTGCTCTTCTTGAGGAGTATCTTAGTGGTGTTCTCTGTATTTCCTGAATTTGAATGTTGGCCTGTGTTGATAGATTGGGGAAGTTCTCCTGGATAGTATCCAGAGTTGTGTTTTCCAACTTGGTTCTGTTCTCCCTGTCACTTTCAGGTACACAGTCAATCATAGGTTTGGTCTTTTCACATAGTCCCATATTTCTTGGAGGCTTTGTTCATTCCTTTTCATTATTTTTTCTCTAATCTTGTCTTCACACCTTATTTCAGTAGGTTGATCTTCAATCTCTGATATCCTTTCTTCCACTTGATCGATTTGGCTGTTGATACTTGTGTATGCTTCACAAAGTCCTCATGCTGTGTTTTTCAGCTCCATAAGGTCATTCATGTTCCTCTCTAAACAGTTTATTCTAGTTAGCATTTCTTGTAAACTTTTATCAAGGTTTTAGCTTCCTTGCATTGAGTTAGAACATGCTCCTTTAGCTCAGAAGAATTTGTTATTACCCACCTTCTGAAGCCTACTTCTGTCAGTTCGTCAATCTCGTTGTCTGTCCAGTTTTGTGCCCTTGCTGGAGAAGAGTTGCAGTAATTTGGAGGAGAAGAGGCATTCTGGGTTTTGGAATTTTCAGCCCTTTTGCGCTGGTTTTTTCTCATCTTTGTGCATTTATCTACCTTTGATCTTTCAGGCTGATGACCTTTGGAGGGGGTTTTTGCGTGGGGGTCCTTTATGTTGATGTTGATATTGTTGCTTTCTGTTTGTTAGTTTTTCTTCTAACAATCTGGCCCCTCTTCTGCAGGTCTGCTGCAGTTTGCTGCAGGTCCACTCCAGACCCTGTTCTCCTGGTTATCACCAGTGGAGGCTGCAGAACAGCAAAGATTGTTGCTTGTTCCTTCCCCTGGAAGCTTTGTCCCAGAGGGCCACCGGCCTGATGCCTGCCAGAGCCCTCCTGTATGAGGTGTCTGTCAACCCCTGCTGGGAGGTTTCTCCCAGTCCAGGAGGCATGGGGATCACGGACCCTCTTGAGGAAGTAGTCTGTCTCTTAGCAGAGCTGGTGCACTGTGCTGGGAGAATCCCTCTTGTCAGGATCAGTTGCTCTCTTCAGAGCCAGCAGGCAGAAACGAGTAAATCCGGTAAAGCTGGGCGCCCAGCCACCCCTTCCCTCAGGTGCTTTGTCCCAGATAGATGGGGGTTTTGCCTGTAAGTCCCTGACTGGGGCTTGTATCTTCTCTTCAGAGATGCCCTGCCCAGTGAGGAGGAGTCTAGAAAAGCAGTCTGGCCACATCTGCTTTGCTGCCTACAGTCCCAATCTCCCAGCCTCCTTAGCACTGTCAGGGGAAAATCACCTACTAAAGCCTCAGTAACGGCAGACATCCCTCCCCACGCGAAGCTGGATCATCCCAGATCAACTTCAGCCGGCTGTGCTGGCAGTGAGAATTTTAAGCCAGTGGTTCTTAGCTTAATGGGTTCCATGTGAGTGGGACCCATGGAGTGAGATCACTTGGCTCCCTCTCTTCAGCCTTTTTCTCAGGGGAGTTAACAGTTCTGTCTTGCTGGGTTCTAAGCACCACTGGGGTACAAAAAAATACTCTTGCAGCTAGCTCAGTGTCTGCCCAAACAGCTGCCCAGTTTTGTGCTTGAAACCCAGGGCCCTGGTGGTATAGGCACATGAGGGAATCTCCTGATTTGAAGATTACAAAATGCATGTGAAAAGCGTAGTAACCCGGCTGGTTAGCACAGTCCCTCATGGCTTACCTAGGCTCAGGGAGGGAGGTCCCTCACTCCTTGCACTTCTGGGGTAAAGTGACGCCCCACCCTGCTTCTGCTCACCCTCTGTGGGTGGAACCAGTGCCTAACCAGTCCCAGGGAGATGAACTGGGTACCTCAGCTGGGAATGCAGAAATCAGCTCCTTCTGCCTTGGTCTTGCTGGGAACTGCAGACTGGATCTGTTCCTATTCAGACATCTTGGCCCCTCTCTTCAATTTTCTCTTTCTCACATATATCAAGAAAATTTGTTGTGTGTCAGCATATATGAACACACACACATATTTGTGTGTATCATAAATAGTACATCATATATCTTTTACTAATTATTACCAAAACATCTGCCTCATAACTTAATTTTATGATATGGATAATTTTAATATTAACTGTTATTTCCAATCAAAATTAACATATGAGAGTTTTATGCTGCTTTTGCGTGATCTGTGTTTTGTAGAATTTATCAACTTTCATTTCAGTGGCAGATAATTGTTCTATTTAATTTAGTTGGTCTCCTTTTGATGAAGGATTTTTGCTCCTTAGCTCAGCCAAAACCCTGGTTCTTGTCCCATGACCAGGAAAAAATTAGGCATGTGGACACATTGAAAGGTGAGGAGAACAGAATTTATTAAAAGAAAGCTCTCAGCAACAAAAAAGAAGTCCTGCCAACACTCTCCCATCTCACAGACAGAATACCAGACCACCACATATAGGCTAAAGAGGCCAAGCTCCTCCCTACTACACAACGTGCAAATTCCCAGTGGCTCCACCCCACTCTCCCAGTGCATAGGCAGGTCCCCAGTTCGATGTGGGCACACCCAGTTAAGGCCCTGGGCAGGTTCCTTTATCTGCACAAAAGCATCTGATGTAAACTCTTGTGGGGCGAGTGAGAGATTCTCTGGATACCTTCCTTCATCTGTCTCCTGCATCTATCACTTTGACGTCAGTGGTCTATATTTTATGAGGATACATGCGTTTGAATAAACCAACATATTCATATACAGTACTCTTATGAAGCTGATGTTGAATTATGCCTTTTTAATTTTTAGAAAACAAAACGTTATGTTTCATACACAGCGCTTTTCTAGAAGCAAAAAATCCTAATTTTTGTCTATTTTTATAAATTACATTTTATAAATTATATTGATATGTCTCCATAAATTACATACAATAAGACAATACATATTGCTATTAGTAGAACTGCTTCCTTTATTTTAACTATTAGATTAATCCCTTTTATCCTATCTCTTGTATAATATCACAAAAAATCTACACTCATATTTTATTTCATACTTTATTAATAATTTTTTATTTCACTTTTACTTATTCTTTATTTTGATCTCCACTTTGTTATATTTTTGCTAAGTTGGTATTTATAATGCTTTACATACTTATTTAATATAGCCTTACCTAGAAAAGTAATTTATCAAAGCATTGCTTTATTCTATGTTTTGACACATGACTTGTTTAATCATATGTATTTTGTAGATATTTTGAAATATTGAAATTTTGGTTTTGATTTTTATGATATGATATTTGTATTTAACATTTAATTTTATGTTTTATTATAATTTAGAGGAATTAGATTTTCCTTTCTGTTTTATGATTAATATTCATATTGCTACACTGAGATTAGAAACTGATCTCCATGGTCTTTTTTAGTCAATATTTCTTTAAATTAAGATAATGTATTTGAAAAATTACTGCATATATTTTCTAGAAATAAAATATGTCAGACATTTTGTTACATATATATCGCATACATATCATTTATTTATTCTAATTTATAATTATATAATTTATAGTTTATTTCAATGTACAGACAGTTCCAGAATTATGGTTTTACTTCTCATTTTTTAACTTTGCTATGGTAGAGTCAAAGTATTACATATTCAATGAAAACTAAACTTTGAATTTTAAATTTTACTTTTTTCAACACTTTATTACAAAATACGATTCACGTTGGATGATTTTGCCCAAATGTATGCTACTATAAGTGTTCCAAGCATGTTTACAGTAAGCTAGGCTAAGCTATGACGTTTGATAGGTTAGGTGTATTACATGAATTTTTGGCTTATATTTTCACCTTATGATGGAGTTACCAAAATGTAACCCCATAATAAGTAAAGGAGCATCTCTATAATATTGAAAGAATGCAACTCTATAGGATGAAAATAGAAAACATTTATATTTTTATCTTAATGTTTATTCAAATTCATTCAATGCAGCTAGTTTACGGTTCCTTAGATAAAACTTTAGGTAGGTCTCATAATTTTTCAGTCTCTCTCAAATAACATAATAGCTCCTACACTGTTGTTTTAAATATCCACTTTATTCTAATAGTGAAGATTTCAAACTTTATTTATAAAAACAATTTATTATCTCCCAACTTGGCCATGCTTCAAGCCACACAACTTTCAGTGAAAGAAGAGGGCATGATTGGCTTCTTTTTTACATTTTCCTCTTTATGTTTTTACCTCTACTTACCTCCCATCTGGACTAACTCTAGTTCCTGTAGGGATCTAGGTAGGAGAAGGAAGATCAGGAAATAAATACTTGACTAATATTGTTTTGATTTGTAATTAGTAGTTTAAGGGTTTGAGTCATGTTCTAATTGATTCTCTCAGGGTGCTTCCTTACAATTTCCTTAGAGATTTCTTCCTGCAGACATCTGATTGAAGTAGCTTTGATAAAGACAAAGCTATCCTAATTGTGCCTCCACTTCAGCATCTCTACCTACCAACATTTCTGTAGTATGTCCAGACTGGCATCACTCCTGGGAGGAAACACTTTGGTTCAGGTACTTTAAAATAATTTCAAGCCAAGGGGATCCTGAGTAGACAAAATTTAGTCCAAAATAAGTGTCTAACTGTGGTTAAGAAAATGCAGACTAAAGTAGGGTCTTATGAACCTATGTATTTCCCCCTTTCTTTTATTCTTTGTGTGTGTGTGTGATGGAGTTTTGCTGTTTTTGCCCAGGCTGGAGTGCAATGGCACGATTTTGGCTCACTGAAACCTCTGCCTCCTGGGTTCAACCAATACTACTGCCTCAGCCTCCCGAGTAGCTGAGATTACAGGTGCCCACCACCATGCCTGGCTAATTTTTTGTATTTTTAGTAGAGAAGGCATTTCACCATGTTGGCCAGGCTGGTCTCAAACTCCTGACCTCGGGTGATCTTCCCGCCTCCACCTCCCAAAGTGCTGGGATTACAGGCATGAGCCACCACACCTGGACCCCTCTTTCTATATCTGTAAAGCTTCAAGTGCATTCTTTCTCAGTCCCTGAAAATTTTAATTATCTGGCCACATTTGGTTGTGAAAATGGTTTTAGTCTGGTAATTAATAAGTCTTTGGTCCTAAAAGGCAGTATCACATGGTAATTTTATACCAAGGATTCTCTAGTTTGCTTGCAAGCACTCAAATCTCAGTGTCAATGTTTAGTAACTCTATTACTTTGAGAAAGTCCTTAACATACCTATATTTCAATTTTCTCATTTGTAAAATGAGAAGAAAAATAGCACTCACATCACAAGATCTTGTTTAAGTGTTTGTAATTTTCATAGTACAAGGCTTGCATAGAATAACTGTCATAGAGGTGACTGTTAATAATACTTGAAAAACCTAAAATATCTTTTTATTCCCATTTGGGCTAATTCAAATCTGAATCCTTAATTGGAAAGGTATGGGACTGCCTTGATAGCTTAATTTACATTCCCATACATTCTATTTCTTTCTCTTATTCTAGTATATGGCTGTGGTTTTTGCCATGTTCTTGAATCATGATGAAAAAGAAGTAAGCAAATTGAAATATCCTACCTGTCTGTCTCTGGCACTAGCATGTGCCTATTTTGCTCTTTTTAAAACTATATAAATAACTGTAATTCCCTTGATCTTTCTTCACCGATTGCTTAAGAAAATGAGGCTTCATTGATTATTTGAGTGTTTATTGGTTACATCATTTTGGAAGGAATTTAATTATATCAGAAAGTTAAAATTCATGTACTCTGTGACATTTAAATTTCATTTCTAAGTGTCTAACCTAGAGAAACTTTCATACATGTACAAAGAGCCTAATATGAGAATACTTTATTGAAGCACTTTCAGTAATAATAAAAAAGTAGGAACTACCTAACTAGACTTCATTTGACATTTAAGCTAGATTATTCACAGATGTTACTCGAATTTTCAATATAGCTGGTCAAAATTCATCCACTAATCTTTACATACCTTCTTTCTATAGTTCTATACTATTTTATTTGGAAACATTAACCTCTTCAAGTTGTAATCACTTTTCCACATCTGCCTTACTTATGCAGAATGTGTCTGTAATTTTTTTTTTCTTTTAAGATGGAGTTTTGCTCTTGTCACCCAGGCTGGAGTGCAATGGCGCAATCTCAGCTCATTACACCTCCTGGGTTGAAGTGATTCTCCTGCCTCAGCCTCCTGAGTAGTTGGGAGTACAGGCACCTGCCACCATGCCCAGATAATTTTTGTAATTTTAGTAGAGAGGGGGTTTCACCATGTTGGCCAGGCTGATCTTGAACTCTCAGCCTCAGGTGATCTGCCTGCCTCAGCCTTGTGTCTGTAATTTTTAAGGGAGCATGGAAATCCAACTAACTAGTTTTAAAGGCCACAATATTTAATAATGATCATTTCATGTGACTATTACAACAGAAATTTCTGGATTAGCATGTCCAATAGAAAATTTAAATCATATTATCCTTTCCCATATATACACAACATTAAAAGTATTTAATACCTTCTTAATGATTTCAACATGGCAATGAGGTAAGGTCCTATATGTTTTGGCTCAAGACTATATTCTTTATTCTTACATAACATAATGCCTATTTTCCTTATGGTTTTCTGATTAGATCAATAGTTTTTCATGTCATAACCTAAAAATATTTTTATATGACAAAGTCAGCATCTGCATATTCTTTCATCAAATTACCCACTTACACACCTTATATACATACAAGCAAACTTAATATAGTCTATACCTACATAAATTTTATGTCAGTGTTTAAATATTACTTATTTAGGGAAGTCTCCCTTGGTGACATACATCAACCACAAGCTCTCAGTGCAAACTACAATCTGTTTCATAGCTATCATTAGAACTACAATTGGATAATTATGTTTCAATTACTTTGTTTTATATCTGTTTCTCCCACTAGACCATGCACATATTGTTAAATAAAAGGATGAATGAGTCCAAGCATGAATGACTGAATGGATGGAAATCAGGCCAACCTAAATTAGAATTTCTAATTAATGTCAATAAGCCACAGATTTTTTTTTTAAAAACTAGACTAATACAATGTATTTTACAGGGTAGCAAGGATTAAAGTAAATTATATATAGTAAAGTATATGAAGAATACATACTACATTTGATAAATCCCCATCATCTATAAGTATTAATGTTCTTTTCCCTATTTAGAACTCATTAAATGTCAAAAAAGGAACTGTAAATTTCCAAGAAAGGGAAATATGTGAGATTAAGTAATCTCAAAGCTCTCTTACTACAAGCATTTAAAAATGCTTCAAAAATTTCATTAAATGACTAGATAATTTACAAAGACATTAATTAAAATTTTTGGAGGTCAAAATTTGAAGAAAAAAAGGTTACACTGATTATTTCATGGTGCAGGTTGTTAGTTTTAGAAATCTAGAACCTGACATTTTAATACCTTACTGGGGACAGGAATTGAGACTTTGAAGTAAGAAGTCAGTGGTGAGAACTAAGACACCTACCAATATTCAGCATCTTTGAAAGTCTTCATAGTAAGGTTTGGCTAGAAAATAAAAGAATCAGCAGAGAGAGAAAATAAAACATATGAAAGAAGAGTCAAACTTTGTAAGATATTTAAAGAGATTTATTCTTAGACAAATATGAGTGACCATTGCTGGAAAACATGTGCCCAAGGTGGTTAGACTACAGCTTGGTTTTACACACCTTAGGGAGACATAAAACACCAATGGATACATGTAAGGTGTATATTAGTTTGGTCCAGAAAGATGGGAAACTGGATGCTGGGGTGAGGTGAGGTAGGGTGGGTTGTTGGGGGTGGTATTCCAAGTCTTAGTTGAATTCAAATATTTTATGGTTGGCAATTGGTTGAAAGAGTTTATCTATAGACCTGGAATCAATAGAAGGGAATTTCTCCATTATATTAAAGGGTTGTAGGAACAAGGGTTCTTCTTATGCAGGTGAAGCCTCCAGGTAGCAGGCTTTCAAGAGAATGGAATGTAAATGTTTCTTATCAGACTTAAAAAGGTGCCAGACTCTTTGTTAATTTTTTCCTAGTTCAGGAAAAAGACCTGGGAAGGGGGGTTCTCTACAGAATGTAGTTTTTCTCCACAAGAAACAGCTTTATAGGGACGTTTCAAAATATATCAAAGAAATATATTTTGGAATAAAATGCTTTGATTTCTTTCAGGGCCTGACATCTGTTGTGTTGCTCTTATTGCTACAAAGAGTCTGCTTTGTCAGTCTTAAGGTCTCTGTCTTAATGCTAATGTTGGTCAGTTGTGCCTGAATTCTAAAAGGAGGAGGATATAATGAGGTGTGCCAGATTACCCATTCCCATCATGGCCTGAGCTAGACTTTCAGGTTTGCTTTGGAATACCCTTGGCTGAGAGGAGGGATCCATTCAGTTGATTGGGGAGCTTATAATTTTATTTTTGGTTTACAAATTGACTACCAAAAAAAAAGAAAAAAAAACTATCATCTGAGAGGAAGGAGAAGAAACATTTTTTTTTTCCAGGATGAGGTCCTAAATAATGAGTTCACAATCTAAAATTATAAAACACAAAAGGAAAAAATCAACACTGGGTTAGAGTTAACACATACTTCACATAAATTAATGGATAGTATACAAGCATTTATTTAACAATATTAATCATATAGGAAAGCTTTTAGTAATATTCATAAATGGAATAGAGACAATACAAAGCAATGGTAAGAAGTAAAAAAAAAAAATACTGTAAAATACATTCCCTTATACCCATAGCCAGTCAGTTTATTACATGGCTAGGTAAAATTAAGTTTCCACGTGGAAATAAGGTAATTAATATAGATTTTAGTGCTGGAAATGGGGTGCTGCTATAACGGACAACTAAAACTGTACATGTGCCTATGGAATTGGGCAATGGTCCGAGGCTGGAAGAATTTTAAGAAGCATGTAGAAAAGTATTATCTTGAACTTACTGTGAATAGAAATATGGATGTTGACAACTCTTCCAATGAGGTCTGAGAAGGATGTGAGGAGCATGGTAGATAAAATATATTATCTTCTTTTAGGGAACACCTACACGTTTATAGAGACTTTTGGTAGAAATATTGACATTAAAGTTGCTGCTGGCATGTGCTTAGAAAGAAATTGGGAACTTGTTATTGAAAACCTGAGGATAGGGGCTCATATTAAATAGTGGCAGAACATTGTACTGAATTACATGCTACAGTTATATGGAAAGCAGAACTTGTATATAATGAACTTAGATATGTATCTTAGGCTATTGTCTAAGAAATATGTTGAAGATTCTTATGGTCTAATCTTGATGCTTATGAAAATGCAAGAGGAAAGCGATTGATTGAGAGATCTCTTATACCAAAAGGATAGGGAAGTTAATGATTTGAATAATTTGTAGCCTATCCAGATTGCAAAAGAACTTAGAATTAGTACACTAATGATCACAAATGTATGTTCTGGACAGAAAGCCTAGGGTGTGGCTGAAAAACCTTTTGCTCATGGCCTTAAAACGATCAGGGGTCAGTTATACTGAAGGTACTTTGAAGAAGTTAGATGTCTGATTCGTGTCCGCCTTTCGTCATCACAGAGGACAGGAATAGATACAGGATTAAGTAGAAAAGATCTGGAGAGGAGCATTCCATTTAGAGGAGATGAATGAAGTGAATCTGTCACAAAAACAGGAGATCTATAAAATTCTTGAGATTTTTTTTTTTTTGCTGGCAGAAACATGGCCAGCTTGAATCCAAAAGGGGGAAGAGAGAGTACAAAACAGTAAAGAATATTAGTTCCCAAGACAAGCAATAGACTGATGAAACTACTCAATTGCAAACATATGCTACTTTTAATGAAAAAGAAAGTCAAGGATGAAGCTAAGAGCCCAGAAAGTAGAGTCTTAGGCTATACAGGATTACTCCTAGACCTTGAATGCAAATGGAGTTTACCTGGCTGGATTTTGAAATTGTTTGGGATAGATGACTTTTTTTTTTTTTTTTTTTTTTTTTTTGAGACAGAGTCTGGTTCTCTCGCCCAGGCTGGAGTGCAGTGGCGATCTCGGCTCACTGCAAGCTCCGCCTCCTGGGTTCATGCCATTCTCCTGCCTCAGCCTCCCGAGTAGCTGGGACTACAGGCGCCCACCACCACGCCTGGCTAATTATTTGTATTTTTAGTAGAGACGAGGTTTCTTCACTGTGTTAGCCAGGTTGGCCTGGATCTCCTGACCTTGTGATCCTCCCGGCTCGGCCTACCAAAGTGCTGGGATTACAGGCGTAAACCACCGCGCCCGGCCTTAGATGACTTTTTTAATCCTCATGTTTTCTCCTTTTTGTGAACTGTAATGTCTATAGCTATGCCTGTACCTGTCCCACCATTATATTTTTGGAGCAGATAACTTGTGTTCTAATCTCTCAGATACACAGGTGAAGAGGGATTTGGGCAAAAGATGGATTATTTCCAGAGCCTCATTCATATCTGATTTACGTAATAATATTTGAGATATTTGAGCTAATGAGATATTTGTCATTCATTTTATAATGTAATGTGATGAGCTCTTTGGGGACCTTCGGGTGGGGTGAATGTATTTGCATGTAGAATAAACAAATATTTAGAGAGACTAAAAGGTGAACTATGGCAGAAGGAACAATAGGCCACCAAAGATGTTCTTGCCCTAATCCTTGCAACCAGTAAATATGTTATGTTATATAAAAATGGGGGATTACGTTTGCAGATAGAATTAAGATTTGCAATCATTTTACCTTAAAATATAGAGATTATCCTGATTTATTCTGTTGGGTCCCATTTTCTGTCTGCAGAATTTTCATTATGTGAGTGATAGGTCTGTTCATGTCCTCTTGATGTTCAGGATCATCATTCTGACATTTGAATCAAATTGTAAGAAAAAAACACAAAATTAGGCTTTGGGAGATGATCACAAAACAGTTGGTGTTGCAGGTAAGATGTCTATACTATGTCCATTACCACTAGCAGTCTTTCTTTCCTTGCTTTGTTTTACTAGATGATTTTGCTGCCTGCTTGCAAGCATGCCCTTTGAGCTGCTGCCTTCCAGCCAAGCCTGCCCTTTGAGCTGTGTTTCTTTATGCTGCATTTGTTAAATCCAAGGGAGGTTCTGTTACATATTTAACAAACTTAAGTTAGATGTTTCTATAACTGACTTTTAGAAAAAGAAATACTACACTGAAGCACTCCTAAAAATGCCCTGGATTGCAATTCTTAGCTTGGATCTATCTGGATATCTCAAAACGAATCATATGTCTTGATTCCAGCAAAAGCCATGACTAAGAGTAAGTTCAGGTGAGCAACGTTTACCCTATGTCCATTGGTTTTATGTCTCAATCAGTTTTGGTCTTTATTCTCTAGAGCACTCAGAAGAAATACTAATAACATGGGCAACATACAAACCCATTTAGTGGTCACCCATGTAGAAAAGGAACATTTAACATGTGGCCTTCTGAGATCGCACTCTGAAAAATAGATGGCTCGCTTTCTGACCCTACAAAATGCCTTTGCTGCTGTTACTGCTAAAAATCATCCTGATCATCAAGGTAATAGGGAAAAACACACACAGCATCCCTGTGGTAGAACCAAGTGATTAATTCAAACATTGCCATGTTGGAGGCCCCAACATGGTGATGCTGATTTGAGATGCACTGGAGGAAAAAACTTAAATATGAATAGAATAGAAAACAACCTCACATTCCAAAATATATCCAACAACAACTTTAAAAAAAATAGAAAAGAAAAAGACAGAAGGAAGGAAGGTGCCTGCATGGTAAGATTAGTGCTTTTATAAAAAGGAAAGTGAGAATTTGCTTAGTTAGGTAACACAGCTAGGAAATATTGCCTGCTGGCAGCTCACAGCCAGTCTATCTCCAGGAATTGCTCTCAGCCTAAAGCCTCGCTGTACTCTCCACCATATGAAGACGCAGTAAGAAAAGCTATCCACAAACCACAAAGCAGGTCGTCACCAGACACTGGATCTGCCAGCAACTTGATCCTGGACTTCCCAGCTTCCAGAGCTGTGAGAAATAAATTTCTGTTGTTTAAGCCGTCCCACGAAATGTAAACAAGGTAACTGTATTAGTTTTCTGAGGTTGTTGTAACCACATTGTCACAAACAGCATAACTTAAAACAACAGAAATTAATTTTCTCATGATTCTGGAAGCTAAAGTCAGAATTTAGGGTGTCAGCAGGGCCACCCTATCTTTAAAGGCTCCAGGGAAGATCTTTTGATCTTTTCTTGTCTCTTCTAGCTTGTGGTTGCCCACAATCCTTGGTGTTCCTCAGCTTATAGAAGCATCACTCTAACCTCTGCCTCTATATTCACAAGGCTATGCCATCTCTGCTGTTTGTCTATGTGTCCGTGTCCAAATTCACCTTTTCATAAAGACGGAAGTTATTAGATTGGGGCCCATCGTAATCCACTGTGACCCCATGTTAACTTGATTACATCTGAAAAGACTCTATTTGCAAATGAAGTCACATTTACAAATATAAAAAGTTAGGAATTGAATGTGTCTTTCTGAGAGACACAATTCTATCCACCACAAGTATGGGTCATAGTTTTAGGGGAATTACTCAAACTAAAATATGTGTCCCTCACCTGACTATTGAAATTATTGTGTTGGTCATAGCACTTATTTCCCTAGCATATCCCAAAGCAGACATGAACACTTTAAATATATGAGAAATAAATTAAATTAAATCTTTGGCACTTACAAGTTGGCTTGACAAAATGGGAAGCATGGACCTTTCCATTCTCAGTTAAAATATTGAGTATAGCCCCATTTAAATTAAAACAAGATCTTTAAGATTTGAAATCCATTATACAAGACCGATTTACAGAAAGAGTGATTATCTTCACTTTCCCTCTATTTAACAGTGCAGTCTGACCTGTTATTAAACCTAGAAAGTATAAATGGCACCTCAAAATGGAGCACTGAAACCTTAATACTGTGGTGCTACCCAGTGACCATGATGCTCAATTTTATTGAAATTACTCATTTTATTTAATCAGAAAGTGGTAAATATTTTGCTATTAAATATTTGACTATGTTCTGTTCAGTGCTTAATTTAACAGTAGCATTTTTCCTTCACCTCCAAAGGGACACAATATATTTTAATCCAGCTATGCATGGGACACTTCAACAACCTTGCCATCATGCATAGTATTTGCAGGCAAGGTCTTAACCACATTTAACTTTCACAATGAGCACAAATATGATGTCAACTAATGTCCTCTTCTCTTTTGAGGAGAATTGTTTGACACACTAATGGATCATTGCCCTACACATAATTCATGGCCACACCCCTCTAGTTAAATTCCTAAAAATTTCTGGGAAAATCCAGGGCTGCTCCATCCCTGACACTGTCAAGAAACAGCCCCTGACATTGACTGCACCTACAACATTCATACAAGTGTGACGTTTTAGTTCTTTTTGAGTTGCAGAGGCAGCATGCTCCTCACTGACAAGTTTAACTTATACTCATTTTCTGTTGCTCATGAATTGGTACAACTTTAATGGGGCCCCTCCAGCAGAAGACTATAAAATCTGTTCAAACTGCAATACAAGAAAGTACTACCATAAGTGCCACCAGAGACGTCTTTCCTTTAGAGGCTTTGGACACCTCTCCTCATGCATGGTGGAGTCTCAGGTCCAACTATAGTATCCACTAGTTGCCATTTGCTTCTGATAGAAGAAATTGCCCTTCTCAGGCCCATTTTATATCTTACTTGGAGTGACAGCTGAAGGACACATTCTGAGCTACCCTGAAGTCAGAGTCTCTTATAAGCCTCTGACCTCTGTACGAAGGTGCCCTTTATCCTTTGGATTATGGAAACAGTACCTTACATGCTAGGCATGGCTACAGAATAGAGCCCAAACTGGGCCCTCTGGCATATCGCACAACCGTGTCTTCAGTCTCTTGCCAGTCCCCGTATGGGGAATGTCATCCTTCGCCCAGTGCCTTGTCACCTGGGGAGTCATTGGAAATCAACTGAGTAAAGATCAGAGGAAGTTCATATACTTTGTAGATGGCATTGCCATAATTTAACATGATGAAGCTCAGGTGATAGTTTCTGCTTTTTCATCTCTTAAGCAGGACCCCTCTAGCTAAGGACAGGACTCGGGGTGAGCACTATTAGCCAAACATTGAGTAGCCATCTTGGCAATGGATGCCCTCACCAGAATTAAGCAGCATCTGCACATTTACACTGATGTTATTGGACATTGCCAACGGTCTAGTCATCTGTTGGGCAAGGGTAGCAACAATTCCTTCTTTAAGGAAATACTTTTGAAGTACTTAATCTCTTGCCTCCCAGATACCCCAAACAGAAATCATGGCCTTGCATATAAAGCAATGAATAAAGGCCTTACCAAGACACTATCTGCTTCATAGTAGTCCCGACGTTATTGATAATGGCCAAGGCACTAATCTGGCTAATTATTAATTTATTTCAAAATAATAATGAAGCTAAAATAAACATGGCAAGATATAGCTTATTTGTCATTATGTTTTGTTTTTAGCCTAAAATATCTGATGCTAACTGATAATTGAATATATATGTATTTGTCTTTCTTACACACTATGTAAGAGAGACAAAATAACATAGAGATAGAATGGGCAAAATGCCTTGTTCACTACAGTGAGATTTTCTTTGGATCTAATATCTTGTGTGATAGAATTAGAAAAGAAATGGTGTTTCTCAAGGTAGGGTTTTGGTTAGAGTATTTCACCTGAATGTAGTTCAGTTGAGGAGCATGTATTTTATGTAAATGTATATGCAAATAAATACAGAACATTCTATCATTGTTAGTTTTAAAATTATACTCATTAAATCTCACATATTCATATTTATCTTGCTTTGCCCTGTAGTGTTTGACTTATATGATTTTCCACGGCCATGTAATACATTCTACAGTTAGTGTTCTGTTTACACATCTCTAATTATTCTGTTTACTTTTTCTGAAGACATTTTACTACATGATTATCATGGCCTTTTCCCTATATTTCAATGCAACTGAGTTGCTTACTGGGTAAATGAGAAATATAAATATAAACCATGCCAAAGAGATTTATCCATTTTCATTATTTCTCATTCTATAAACAATTACACATTTTACATTAAATGTATGTTAAGTGGAAACTGCACAAAATTTTATTTCCTTATTGGGTAAATTTCCATATCACTATCATGCTGATAAATATCATCAGCTATTTCATCGATCTTATCTAAATTAATAAAAAATAATGCTCTATTAGCATACAAAATAGGAAATAAATTAAATAATCATTTGATTCAAATGCTTCCAAATTTATTCTTTTTACTCTAAGGCTTTGATTTGCAGAACTGGAAGCATAAATGTTCTGTATGAGTTTACAGGATTCTACTCTTTCCTTTAATAATATCAGTTTAATATCAGTGATTCAATATCACTAATGTAGAAACATTCTTCCCTACATATTGAAGAATATCATAGTTATTAATACTTAGCATTTGTACCCACTTTCTGAATATATGCTGGGTAAAAATTAGCATTTCATTTTCATCAGTTTTTAGTCCCTTGAATATACATTTTCTTAAAAAGCAGGAAATTTATATAAATCTAAATGCATTCCATTTAGTTTAATTCTGCTAACTTTATTTGATATGAACCTAAATTTAATATTTATAATATAATTATATATTATATATGTTTGTATTAAAATGTTATATATAACATTTGTATACAAATAAAATGTTATATATATAACATTTGTTATATGTTATATATATAACATTTGTTATATGTTTTATATATATATAACATTTCCTAGATACTAGTATTTTCATCAAACTCCTAATTTCCTTATTCCTAACTTATATATAATAAACAAGTCAAGAAATTTGGAATATTTATATTTTTCAAAATGAAAACACTGTATTCGTATAAATGTAATATATAATTAACAAATTGGATTACATTTATATATGTAGATAAGTGAATACAGGCAGACAGAAAGATGATAGGTAAATGACAGGTAGTTATCTCAGGCCCCTGGGAATATTTGTTATGGCTGATATTTGATTGTTAATTATCCATATTTGTTAATTATCTACATGTTTGCAAACAGTGAGACTATTTTCGTAAAGAACAAAACTGGCCTGGTGAGGTGGCTCACGCCTGTAATTCTAACACTTGAGGGCGGCCGAGGCGGGCAGATCACGAGGTCAGGAGATCGAGACCTTCCTGGCTAACACAGTGAAAACCCGTCTCTACTAAAAATACAAAAAAATTAGCCGTGCGTGGTGGTGGACACCTGTAGTCCCAGCTACTCGGGAGACTGAGACAGGAGAATGTCGTGAACCCGGGAGGTGGAGCTTGCAGTGAGTCGAGATTGCGCCACTGCATTCTAGCGTGGGCGACAGAGCGAGACTCCGTCTCAAAAAAAAAAAAAAGAACAAAATTGTGATTGTGTTTAGTTAATGAGAAGATTTTTGTTTAATCTATGAATTGAAGTAATATGTTAGGGTTGAAAAATAATAAGGAAAGAAAAGTTAAAAGATGCAGAAATGTATATTCTTGCAATCAAACATAAAGGGACTTAATTTTGAGTCAAGCCAATAGGAGTGATCCAATAATGATTAGATTGTGAAGGTACCACTTTTAGCAGATGTTTTAAGGATATATTCCCCATGTTAATGGTATAATAAATAAACAAACTAATGTCCCATTGAAATAATCTACAATTAGAAGAAGAGAAACAAAGAATTAGAAAGCTCCAACACATAGGAATAAAGTTTGGGATAGCACTTGGGAGGGATTCATGAAATGATTAAAGGGTAAAACAATGAGAAAGTGACTTTTATATGAATAGGATTTTATGGAAAGTAAAAATACTAAAATACCCTACATATCACACATATGTTGCAATTTCTGTTGTTTTGGTAATAAACATGAATGTTAAAGAAGCCATATTGTCCCACTTGTTTTTTTGATGTCATCCTTTTGGAGAAGAAAATCTTAGTATGGGGAAATGGTTAATCCCCTTCTCTTTGGGTTCGTGGAATGTTAGATTACGTGGCCATGGTTGGTTTTCCTTACTTTTTTGCTGTGGTTGAGCAAAGGAGTATGTCAACCAATATTATAATATTTATTTATTTTCACATTTACCAGGCTGATGGGTGGACGATTATTTTCTGTTTTAATTTGCCTTTATGTAGCCATAATTTAAAACAGCACCAGAGAGAGAGACAGAGAGAGAGACACACAGAGAGATTTGATACACATACAAATATTATCAATTTGTTGATTTTCTATCATTGCTAAGCTGCATATTAATTTGCATTGTCTATGTGTTGATTAGATTATCGTATTTTACAAGTTTTGTAGGAGCATTTCTTGTTATAAGTTAATTCAACTTTGTCATGTTTCAATATGATCTGAAGTGTGTGTTTAGACTTTATATCATTCCCCTTCAGACATAAATTACATTCTATATGATCAAAGCTACTACTGTTTTACTTATGAATTTTGTTTTATAGCTTTCTTAGAATTTCCTTTCACAAATTATGATTGTTTTAAAAATTCTGTCATGTTTTCTAATATACAGTGTATCTATGTCATATTTCCTTAGAGACAATTTTTATTTAGTTTTTATTTATGATATTATAAGATATAAATTTAAATCATTTTGTGCAATTGATCTTTTTCGCCTAAATATTTATATAGGCAGTAGTTTATTCATTTAATCCTAGTTTTAATATGTACTATTAGTAATTTGAATGATCACTAATGGTCTTGATACATTAAATTTTCTAATTGTTTTTGTTATTATGAGGAAATTTATAAAATTTAAAAAATTAATTATCAAAACAGTACCTTATACTTTGGCACTTTACTGAGAACACTACATATGCAAAAAATGATTTTGTGTCCATCTGATGTTCTTCTTACTTCTGCTTTCTTTTTTTTTTTTTTTGGCAATGACTGGAGCACATAGAGCAGCAATGAGCAAATTAATAACAATGAGTATTATTAATATCTTGATTTTAATTTTAATAGGAAAAGTATTAGAATATTTTCTGTTAGTCTCTAAAATGTTATTTAATATATTGAACAAGCAAGATATCTGGTTATTTTATTTTCAGATATAATATGGTTTATTGACCTTTATTAAATGTTTTTAAACTATGTATTAATATGATATTATTTAATCACTTAGTATCTTATTGTAGAGAGATATTTTTATAGATTCCTAATTTTTATTATCCTCAAATTGTTGGCTGTAAGTTATTACACATGTTCTTCAATAAATGTGTAATAATGTCTCATACAATGTCAAAAGTTAACAAATTTTTAAATTTCGAATTTTTAGAGTTTTCATGTATATTTTTACAAATTTTGGTTTATAGTATATCATTGGCTTCACAATTTTTCAATTTTAGTGTCAGGGTAATATTATCATACTAAAAAGCACTGGATGGCTTTCTTCTCTTTTTCTTTTGTTTGGCATGTGTTTGTGACAACATATGGACTATCAATTCCATGAGGTTAGGTAAAACAAAGTCATCTGGAGGTTTTTAATTTATTTTTTGTATTTGCATATTTAAAAATATTCCTTCATCATGATATGTTGGTTTACACAGTACCACATTTTGCTCCAATGTTTAATTATTAAACATATTTTATTATTAAATTATCTTTCTCATAATCTTGTATCTTAAACAAAATGTTTATTAAGAATATTTACTGTCATTCATATCTGTTGGACATTTAGTTCCTCAATTTCAATCTTTCTTTCATTTTTTTCTTATTTAGGTGACTAAAATGATTGTTTCTACATTCTTAAAGAAATACCTTTTCAGTTTACTGTTCATTTCAATATAAATTTTTGTTTTTTTCATGAAGATATGTATTGTGACCAGGTATATATTTTATTTTTGTAAATGTTACATGGCTTTATATCAGTGTGTTTATTAATGTCATTATAGCACATAATTTCATTTATTCTGGTTTTATTTATTTAACTTATTGAACTTTAGGAGTGATCTTCTGAAGTTTTGATTTTGTAATGTACATATGAGCCTTTGGTAAGCAATGTATATATTTATCAAAACTTAAGAAAATTAAAAACTTTGAGAGTGAAGTGTAATTTAAATTTCTAAACATTAAAAGTGTTTCTAAAATTATCATACCCTAATAGAATGTGATTCTTGTTTATCAATAAGGAAGAATAAAATCATAGTAGTCTGTAAATCTAGGCATGTATTATACTGGATTTTAGCATTTTGAGACTTACGGCATTCAAAATCATTGGCAAAATTAAGAATAACTAAGAATAGCCCTGTTATATTGGGTGAAAAATATCAAACATTTGAAGCTATACCTCAGGAGTGGCATTAAGTAATCTATTTTACAAGCTCTGAATTTTCATAATTTCATATTAACAAACTATATCATTTTGTTGTGTTTTGTAAAAGCTCAATTGTGATATAATTCATATACTTAATTTGCTCACTTAAAGTGTACACATCAATGTTTTTAGTATAGTCACAGGATTAAAAGCATCATCACATCTATGATTGAACACTATAGTCCCTGAAAGGAATTTTATACCCTTTAGCAGAAATTCCCATTTCCCCTCCTTCATTCTTGCCCCAGCAGTAGGCAACCACTGATTTACTTCCCATTTATATCTATTTGCTAACATAGATATTTCATACAAATAAAATAATATGTTATTTCATGATTGGTTTCTTTAATTTAACAACGATTTTAAGGTTTATCCATGTTGTAACGTGTATTAACCAATACTTCATTCCTTACTACTGCTGAATAATATTCCCATTGTATGGATATACATTTTATTTATCCATTCATCTATGGCCATTCGAGTGGCTTCCACTTTTTAGCTATTATGAATAACAATTCCACAAACATTTGTGTACAAGTTTTATATGGATATATGTTTTTCTTTCTCTTGGATGTGTATGTAGGTTTGAAGTTGCTAGGCTATATGAGTTTTTATCTAATTTCTCTGGCTAAAATCTCTTTCCAATAATAAATACAAGCAGCAAAAATTGACATATTAACTTTGTCTTGATCTTAGGTAAAAAGCATTCAGGTTTTCTTTAACATGTTAGCTTTGGACTTTTCACAAATGTCGTTTATTAATCAAGTTGAGGATGTCCATTATCCCAAATTTTTGAGAAATTTTAATCATGAAATGTTATTGGATTTATTCAATGCTTTTCTGCAACTGTTGAGATGATCATATGGTTTTTATACTTTATTCTATTATGGTATTTTACAGTACTTGATTTTTAGATGTTATATCAACCTTGCATTCCTCAGATAAATCACACTTGATTATTGATGTATAATCTGTTTTATATGTTGCTCAACACAGTTTGCTAGAATCTTGAAGGTTTTTGCTGCTGCATTTAAAAGAGATATACATCTGTAGATTTTTTATGTGAATAATGCTAGAATCATAGAATGAATTTGGAAGTTTTTCCTCCTAATCTGTTTTCTAGGGGGATATGGGAGATCTGTGAGGGAGTACTATTTGTTATTCTTTTTACGTTTCGTAGAATTTACCAGAGAAGCCATCTCAACCAGGGCTTTCTTTATGGGAAGGTGTATTATTATTCATCAAAATTCTTTTTTAATGAGTCTATTCAAATTTTCTACTTCAGGAGTCAGATTTGTTAGTTTGTGTCCTTTGTAAAATGTATCACTTTTATCTAGGTTACTGAATCTGTTGCAATACAGTTAAACATGAATTTACACACACACACACACACACACACACACACACACGTTATATATATGTTAGATCAGCAATGATGTCAGCTTTTGCATTGATTGTTTTGATAATTTTTTCTTCTCTCTTTTTTTCTTAATCAGTCTGCTAAAATTTGGTAAAATTTACTGATTTCTTCAAATAACATCTTGATTTTATTGATTTTTGTCTATTTTTTCTTCTATATCATTTATGTTCAATCTTGATCAATTTTTTTTTATTATAGTTTTTCTACTTTTTAAAAATTCTTAAGGAGAAATTAAATTATTTTGATACTTCCTCTTACTTAAAAAAGGTGTTTGCAGTTATAAATTTACCTCTAAGCAGTGTAAAGCTGCTTCCTATAAGATTTGCTATATTTATTGTTCAATTAATCTTTTGATTTCTTGTTATAAAATAGTCCTCCTTATAACTAGTTTGTGTGTGTTTTTTTAAAGTCTATTATGTCTGGTATTTGTATATCCACTCCACCTTTTTTATGGTTTTATGATATATTTTTTTCAATCTTTAGTTTCCACCTATTTTAAACTTTATTTTACCCAATATTCAAAATAAATACTGAATTAAAAGTCAACAAGATAATTGGATGTTGTTTTAATGTCCAACTTGATAATGTTGAACTTCTGATTAATCTCTTCACATTTAATGTTAATATTGATGTGATTGTGTTTACATCTTCCATTTTGCTTTTTTTCTATATGTCATAACTTTTTTCTCTTTTATTTCTTTCTGTGTTTACTTATTCTATATGGCTTATTTTCTAATTTTAATTCATTTAATTATCTGTATTTTTGAATTAGTTTATTAATTGTTACTAAGGCTTGCAATAATATATCTCAATATATCAAAATCAACTTTAGGTTTATACTTCGTTTTAATTAAATATAGAAAATTTTGTTTAATGTGGATATCCTACCTTTTTTTTAAGTCTGACTGTTATCCATATTGCACTTCTATATTTTATAATTCAGAAATATATTGTTATAGTTTTTACTTTATGTGTTTCCTTTACTAAATATGAGATTAAAAATGAGAATGTCTATATCTATATCATCTATATCTATGTTTATGTATCTGTGATGAATTTCTGATTTTAATTTTTTTTATTTACCCTTCCTGGATAGATTAATATATTTCATGGATTTGAGTTACCATTGAATGACATTTTCTTACTCCAATACATCTTTGTTTCTACTCCTCTTCATTTTCTGTTACTCTTGATAATATTATCATTATGTTCATTGCTCAAGAATGCAATAATATTCATACTATTTTATGCAATTAATTTTTAAATAAATTAAGGGAAAAAAGAGACACAACGTGCAATATAGAGGCTTTTGTAAAAAGCCTCTATTATCTTTACAACTTTGCTTTCTTCATGTGGATTCAAACTACCATCTGTTATTACTAGCTTTCAGTCTAAGAACTTTTTAAATATTCTTGTAAGTAGGTCTAGCAGCAAATTTTCTTACTTTTTGTTTATGTGGATATGCCTTTATTTTGCAATCATTTTTGAAACAATTTAACTAAATATAAGAACTGGATATAAGATTCTTGGTTAACAGATTTTTTAATTTTCTTCCTGTGTTTTGAATATATTGTCCCACTGCCTTCAGGACTCTATTTTACTAATGAAAAGTCAGGTATTTTTATTAGGTTTTTCTAGTAATGATGTATTATTTTTTCTCTTGCAGCTCTGAAAAATTATTCAAGAATTTTGACTGTCAACATTTTGTGTTTAGGTTGGATCCCTTCCCATTTATCCTTCTTGACATTTTCAGAGCTTTTCTTTTGACACTTGTTTATTGTTTTTATTATATTATGGGAAGTTTTCAGTTACTGCCTTTATTTCTTTGCATATTATTTTCAGTCATTTTCTCTCTCATCTCCCCTTATAATACTTTTATTGCTTATATAGTGGAATTAATAGTGTCTCACATTTCTCTAAGGCTGTGTTCATTTTTCTTTTTTCTCTATGTTTCTCTAAATGTATAATCGCCATTGATTCATCTTTAAGTTCACTAACTCTTCTGCCAGCCAAAATATACTGTTGAGACACTTTTGTGAATTATTCATTTCACTTATGTACTTTTTAGCCAGATGTATACTCTGTTTGACGTGACTTTTTTGTATTTTATTTTTAAATTTTAAAATATTGTTTACTTTGGTTCTTTGAACATATTTTAAAAGGGTGGTTTGAAATCATTAGAGCCTAAGTTTATACCCTTTGGACTTCTTCAAAGTCACTTTCTATTGCCTGTTCTTTTTGTCTTGTGTGTGGATTGTGCTTTCCTGTTTTGTTTTGTTTATGTTAGTTTATTTTGATCTCTCAATTATTGGTTTTAATAATATAATGTAGCAATTCTGGATGATGCTCCTCTTCATTGCTCCCCTACTCCTCATAGGGGTTGGTGACATCGTCATTTTCTTTAGTCATTTCTGTTGTTTGTCTGAGTAACTTAGCTCAATTTATTCTCATACAGTGTGCAGTCTGGTGTAACTGCTCAGATTTTACTTTCCATGGTTTTATTTTTCAGACTATCACCCCTGGATTATCATAAGCCATATATTGATCAAAAATTGTGATAAAATCCTCTAGCCAGTTAAATTTTTATGCTCTGCCTTTGGATAGGCATGTGATTTAGAGGCTGCTGTCACAGTTCACAGAGCTTACTTTTCTGTCTCACATTCAGCCAGGGACAAGTAGCTTAAAGTTTTCCTCATTCACTGTTCATGAGAATGTTCAGCCGTGGACATATATACAACCTTCTAGACTACTAAGAATGAATAAGTATGATTTTATTTTTAGCCTGGCTTCCTAGGATTTGCTCCTGGGTTGTTTTAGTCAGGGTTTACTCAGAGGATCTGTTTAATCTACTTGTGCCAGTGAGGTTTCTGCCTTGTCTTGATTAGTTTGTGTGCAGTTTGGGGAATCCTTTAAGGTTTATCCCCTTGTCCTGTTTGATTGCTTCTGAGTGGGCACAGCCTCATGTGCCTGTACAGCCTTTCTTATCCTCTGAAATGACTGTGCACATAGGTCTATTCTTGACTATCATTTTCCTTGTTTCTTTCTACTAAAGCTTTAGCTTAAATCACTGAAGACCTTGGAGGAGAGCAATTATGGAGAAGCAGAACTACCAGCTTATTTGTAATTGCTTTCCTCCAAGATCTTCAGTGATTTAAGCAATGCCTTTAGGCATATACTTCTCTGCATTGTGTTCCAAATAAAGTCAGTCCATTCAGGCAAAGCTGCAAAGCTTTTTGTCTTTTTGACGGTGCTTCCCCCATACAGAAACACTGCTCTGCTGCCCAGAGAAAAGGACAAAACCGCCAAATTACAAGAGCGACACTATCACTTTATGAATATAAACTGTGGAGTCTGGTGATCCTTGGTCTTTTCAGCTTTTCTATTCTTTTGCAGAAAATACACCCTACAAACAAGCTGGGAGCCAGAATGACTGAGTGTCATCTGCTCTAGCTAAGGTGTAGCTTCTTCTATATGAGTGGAGACAGAATGAGGGACTGGACACTCCATCCTCATGGCTGCACCTGCTTGCAGTAGAGCTTCTGCTTCACATTGCTGAGGCAGTAAGAATGTCAGAAACCTCTCCTCACATTGAAATTATAGTACCAGATTAGAAGCTTGGGGAAGAGACCCCAGCTTTTCAGTCATACCCACCCACAGTACAGTGCCTTGTGTAGAGCTTCCAGAACAGAGTTAGAGTAGAAATAACAAAGTAGGTCTCATGTCTCACATGGCACAAACTTTCTTATTGTAGACTCAATGAATGATTCTCCACTACTCTTTTCTCTTAGAATGATTTCAAGAGGCTTTCAATGATTTTCTTTTCATAATTTTCACTAGTGAAATTGTTGTTTTACCAAGCAGAGGGTCTTCTGAGCTCTTTACCTTGCAATACTGGAAGTCCCACACCAAAATACATCACTTTAATTATCACAAAATAAATATTATATACAAAGTCCCACCTTATCCACAAAGGATACAATCCAAGTGGATGTCTGAAACAGCAGATATTACCAGACTCTCCCTTCTCTCTCTCTCTCTCTATATATATATATATATGTATGTATGTATGTATGTATGCATATATACATATATATTCATTTCATTACATACATATTTATTTTATCATGTTGATTATGATATATATCTATATAGAAAGAGACATATATGATATATATTATGTTTTTCCCATGAACACATGCCTATAATAAAATAATTTTAAATCAGGCGTTGTAAGAGATTAACAGCAATAACAAGTAATAAAATAAAACACAAAATGCTATAATGAAAGTTATGTTAATGCGTTCTCTTTTTTCTTTCTCAGTCTCTCAAAATATCATATTATACTGTACTCATCTTCTTGTGATGATGTAACATGATAAAATAAATATGTATGTAATGAGATGAAGCAAGGTGAAGGCCCTAGACATTGTGACATAGTGTTAGGCTACTATTAACCTGATGATGATATGTTGGAAAGATCATATTTTATGGGTGATTCTGGATCATCAAGCAGTGACAATGTTGATGGCTGACTGTGCAGAACAGATGATGTCCATGACTACTGGATGGGTAGCATAAACATTTGAATCCTAGGAGGAATGAGCAGAAAATGTGAGATTTTATCACACTACTAAGCATGGCAAGTGATTTAAAACATCAGAATATTTTACCTGGGGAATTTTCCATTTAATATTTTCATACTGCATTTGCCAGGGTACAACTGAAACTGTAGGAAGTAAACTGAAAAGATGGTACCAGTGTAGTACATACTTGTTATTAGTATCTGCTATTTATTTGATGAACTTATATAACTTATATATCATGTTACCTCAGTAAGCATCTCCACATATACAATCTAATTGTGCCCAACGCACTTCCATACTAACACATTAGTTATTTCCTCTAATACCACCTGTTTTGACTTTTATAGAAATTATTACAAATTATTACAACCTGTCTTAATCTGTAACATTTTATAATGTACTTGTGACTCACATGAGGACTATATAATTTATTTATTACTTATTCAGAACATACAATGTATGCAAATTGACTGTATCTTAAGTGAATAAAAGAATTAATAATTTTATTATAAATCCAAATTACCCAGATTTGTATTCTATATGATAAAATTTCACAAATATAGTTTTGCTTCATTTTGATTTAATTTAAATAATATGATATTTTATCAATGTGGTATCACTATTTGTGAGAAAATTGTTTGTGACAGACTTAACTTGAAGGTAATGAAACGTAAGCTTTAGGGCTGGTCACTTGCAAGGATCCCTTCAATATATATATAGTATAGGAGTGTGTACATAATGGGAGTACATATACTATATGAGTCAATATATAATATGAGTGAATGTAATACCTAAATATTCAGCTCTCCACAATATTTTGTCAATAATCAAAGGAGTCTGAATTACTCTTCCATACATCATATTATTTGATTAAATTTGTTTGTTTTATAGGAATAATGACAAAATATGTATAAAGAAACTATTCTAGTTGAAAGCCAAAGCATAAACTGATGGAAGACTCACACACATTTTAAACTGTTAAAATTCAGGCTGGGCACAGTGGCTCACGTCCTTAATCCCAGTGCTTTGGCAGGCTGAGGCAGTGGGGATCACTTGAGGCTAGGAGCTGGAGAACAGCCTGGGCAACCTACTGCAACCCCATCTCTAAAAGTTGTCCATGGTGGTACACACCTGTGGTCCTAGCTACTTGAGAGCCTGAGGTGGGAGGATTCTTGAGCCCAGGAGTTTGAGGTTGCAGTGAGCTATGATCACACCACTGCAATCCTAGCTGGGTGATAGAATGAGATCCTGTCTCTAAAACAAACAAATAAATAGCATCAACTTATTTGAAGTTATTTATTTATTTATTTATAAAGTGCAACTGAAAATTTGATGGTCAATTTATACAGGTAAGGGATGGAATCACTATAGTCTCTAAACTTTAAATAATGAAAATTACAACAAAAGAGATGAACATCATGAGGATTAGAACACTGCTAAAGTGCAAAATTAGAAGGAATATGCAAATAACAAGTAATACACATTTTGTAGTGTCACTCAGTACACAAAAATATACCAGCAATATATTTGTTTTCAGAAATTATTCAACTTTAGTAAGCACGGTGAACTTTTATATTTTTTATTGGAAGAATTTATATTAGTATAATTTAAAATTCATAACCAATCTGAAGAGGATGCTAAGAAAAAAAACCAGTGAATAAGTGTCAGGAATTTAAATTAATATATATAATTACTACATAAGAATAGTTAAAGAATCAAGAATTTTTATTAGTTCATATACTAAAGACACACAAAGAAGGTTTTCTGCACTCGACAAGTTTAAAATATATATGAAATATATATATTACCAGCAGAGTTCAAAGGTGGAAGAAATTTCTCTAAAACATCAGTATTAATAAACAATCTTAGTCAGCTATGATAAAGAGAAGATTGAGTTTTCTTTCTGCTCTCTCTGTAGAATATTATTTTACAGTTCATTTTCATGTACAGTGAAGGTAAAAAAAATTAGGCAACTGAATATAGGTATTTAGAGTTATTTAAGAACGTTAAACAGTATTGTTCTTTCCTTCCTGATTTTGTTGTGTTAATGGTAGAGGCATACTTCGGAAATATTGCAGGTCTGCTTCCAGACCACTGCAATAAAGTGAATATTACAATCGAGGGAGTTAACACATTTCTTTTTGGCTTTCCACTTCATATAAAAGTTATGTTTATATTAGAATCTATTAAGTGTGCAACAGCATTATTAAAAAATGTTCATACCTTATTATATATAATATATTAAAATATATATTTTAATATATATAAATATATATAATATATTAAAATATATATTTTAATATATATAAATATATATATAATTTTTTTTTTTTTTGAGATGGAGTCTCGCTCTGTCACCCAGGCTGGAGTGCAGTGGCGCGATCTCCACTCACTGCAAGCTCCACTTCCCGGGTTCACACCATTCTCCTGCCTCAGTCTCCCGAGTAGCTGGGACTACAGGCGCCCGCCACCATGCCTGGCTAATTTTTCTGTATTTTTAGTAGAGACAGGTTTTCACCGTGTTAGCCAGATGGTCTCGATCTCCTGATCTCGTGATCTGCCCACCTCGGCCTCCCAAAGTGCTAGGATTACAGAAAAATATTTTGTCAATAAAAATGATAATGATCATCTGAGACTTCAGCGCATCATAATCTTTTTACTGGTAGAGAGTCTTTCCTCAATGTATCAGAGTGGCGGTTTCTGAACACTGGAGTGGCTGTGGAAATAACTTAGGATAACAATGGAGTTTTCCACATCAATCGACTCTCCCTTTAACAAAAGATTCATCTGTAGCATTCAATGCTGTTTAATAACATTTTATCCACAATGGAACTTCTTTCAAAATTGGAGCCAATTCTTTCAAACTCTGCCACTGCTTTATCAATTAAGCTTATGTAATATTCTAAATCCTTTGTTGTCATTACAATTTTCACAGCATCTTCACCAGGAGTAGGTTCCAACTCAAGAAACGACTTCACATGCTCAGCCATAAGGAGCAACTCCTTATCCATTCAAGTTTTATCATGAGATTATAGCCATCTCATGCCATGCACATCTTTGAGGTCCATTTCTAATTCTATTTCTCTTGTTACTTCTACCACATCTTCAGTTTCTTCCTCCATTGAAGTCCTGAAACCCTTAGTGGGATACATGAGGATTGGAATCAACATCTTTTACACTCTTGTTAATGTTGATATTTTGACTTTTCCAGTGATTCATAAATGTTCTTAATGGCATTTACAATGGTGGATTTTTTTCCAGATAGTTTTTAACTTACTTTGTACTATGCTTGACTATTTTTCTCCTCCAAAATTCATGTTGAAACTTAGTCCCCAGTGTAGTAGTTTTGGTAGATGGAGTCTTTAAAAGGTGATTGGGTCAGAAGGATTCAGCCCCATGATTAAATTAGGAGCTGAATTTAATCCAAGTTGATAGGATTAATGGATTAATGAGATAATGAACTAATGAGTTACCATGGTAATGTAACTGGTGCCTTTATTAGAGGAGAAAGAGAGACCTGAGCCACCATGTTCAGGACTGTTATCATATGATGCCATGCACCTCATTGCAACTTTGCTGAGAATTCCCACCAGCAAGAAAGTTCTCACTGGATACACCCCCTTGACCTTGAATTTTCCAGCCTCCAGAGCAGTAAAAAATAAATTTTGTTTCTTATAAATTATCCGATTTCAGATATTCTGTTATGAGCAACAGAAAACAGACCAAGACACATTGTCCAGATACAACAGAGGAATCAATATCTATGGCAGCTATTGCCTCATGAAATGTGTTTTTTAAATAAAGAGAATTAAAAGTCCATATTACTCCTTAATCCCTGGGCTACTGAAAGGATGTTGTGTTAAGATAAATGAAAACAATATTCACCTTGCACATTTCCCTCAGAGTTCTTGAGTGACCAGGTGAATTGTCAATGAGCAGCAATATTTTGAAAGGAATTTTCTTTTTTTTTCTGAACAGTAAGTCTCAACAGTGGGCTTAAAATATTCAGTAAGCCATGCTGTAAACAGACGTGCTGTCATCCAGGCTTTGTTCTTACATTTATAGAGCACAGGCAGAGTGAATTTAATACAATTCTTAAGGGCCATAGGATATTTAGAAGGGTAAATAAGCATTGACTTCAACTTATAGTCACTAGCTGCATTATCCTCTAACAAGAGAATTAAAGAGTCCTTTAAAGTTTTGAAACAAGATATTGACTTCTCTCTAGCTATGAAAGTTCTATGTTGCATTTACTGCCAATATAAACTTGTTTTGCCTACATTGGAAATCTGTTTAGTGTAGCCACCTTTATCAGTCATCTTAGCTACATCTTTTGGATAACTTTCTGCAGCTTCTACACAAACACTTGCTGTTTCACCTTTACTTTTCTGTAATGGAGATGGCTTCCTCACCTCTCTCTGCCTTCATAAAATTAAAGAGAGTTAGGACCTTACTCTGAATTACTCTTTGGTTTAAGGGAATGTTGTTGGTGATTTTATCTTCTGTCTAGACCACTGAAACTTTATGTCAGAGTGTGGCTGTTTTACATTCTTATCGTTCGTGTGTTCACTGAAATGTTACTTTTAATTTCCTTCAGTAACTTTCCCTTTGAATTCAAAACTTGGCTGTTTGACACTAGAGGCCTTGCTTTCACAGAACTCAAACATGTATTGATTAAATGTATCCTCTTATAGGGGTACAGTTCATGGCCTAGAACATTGCTAATCAGACATCACCATAATAAATATAATAATAGTGAAAATGTTTACAATATTGCAGGAATTACCAAAATATCATACAAACATGAAGTGGCACAGAGATGCTATTGGAAAAATGGCACCAACTGACTTGCTCTATGCAGGATTTCCACAAACCTTCAATTTATAAAAAAAATGCAATTACCTGTTAAGTATGATAAAGTGAAATTCAGTAAAATGGAGTATGCCTGTATCTAATATCTTTTTTTGTAATTTGCAGTTTGTTTTGATTTACTTTAGGTGTTTTAAATGTTCACTTTCTTATCTAACTTAACATTCATAATTGTGTGGGCTGCCAAGCTGTGTATAATGTTTCACAAACTCTGAATATGGCTCTGAGTGATGTTAGAAATTTAATAGAGTATCACCTTTCACTCATGTAACATATAATAAAAACAGGCACATGTATTTATAAAGTACTGAGAGGGTACATTCCTTGCATCTGTAAGCAATGGAATATTCTTGAGTCTACAGCTGATTACAAGTCACTAAATTCTCAAAAGCCTATGTCAAAGATTATATTAAGCAAATTTATGAGATCTTGTAATCAGAGAAGTTTTGGGGATGTGACATTGCCAGTAAAAGCAAAAAAAAAAAAAAAACAAAAAAAAAAACACTTGATTGACTATTAAGGACAAGTTGCGTCAATTTTGATAAATACCATTATAAGAAAATATTGATGATGACAAGAATGCCAAATATTCATAGGACACTAATACTACTTTTATCCAACAAGACTTGGGGCTCTCTCGTTTTACCAAAAGCCTCTGATTGTGCCTTTAATAGGACCACAAAATCCCATTTTCAGATATGATACAGCCGCTCACAGAAAGAGGTCCTCTCTTCTTTTTAGATGACGTGTCTGCTGGCCAGAAGTAGTGTGTCTTCATTATTAGAATCATGTTGAAGGCAAGAAGAAGAAGCTATGAGAGAGAAATAAGGGCATGAAAAGTGAAGAATATGAGCATGTCCTTCTTAAATTTTATGTCAGCAAAATACAAAGAGCTACAATGGTTGATTATCAAATGTAAAAGCAATGTTCTTTCCTAAGATAAACTCAGCTCAATCTGAATTTTTTTTTAGAATATCTTTGGGGTTGATGTAGTAAAATATTTCATTTATATCTATGGTTAATATTAGTGTGCACTTCTTTTTTCTCTTTTACTTTATTTTTTCTTCTTAGAGACAGGATCTTACTCTGTTGCCCAAGTTGGAGTGCAGTGGTGCGACCCTGACTCACAGAAGCCTGAAGCACCTGAAGTCAAATGATCCTCCTGCCTCAGTTTCCTGAGTTGCTAGGACTACAGGCATATGCCACCACATCCAGCTAATTTTTTTTTTTAGGAGATGTGGTCTTACTATGTTGCTCAGGCTGGTCTCGAACTCCTTACCTTAAGCAGTCTTTTAAGACCTGCCAAAGTGTTGAGATTAAAAGCTTGAACCACTGTGCCCAACTCTGACATATTTTTCTGATTTAAATATGAGTATTATGCTGGCCTAATAAAATGAGTTGAACAGAGTTTCCTCCACTTTAAATTTTTTGAAGGAGTTTTGGTAAAATTGTTATGAGTTCTTTCACAAATATTTGATAGAATTGACTAGTGAAGCCATCTGATACTAGATTATAAAGAAAGTTTATTATAAATTCAACTTCTTTATAAGATGTAGGTTTATTTGAGTCATATAATTCATTTTTGAAGTGATCCGGGAGCTTTTGTCTTTTACGACTTCATCAATTTCAACTAGATTGTCAAATATTTTGGCATAACATTGTTCAGAATATTATCTTGGAATATAGGTAGGATCAGTAGAAATGCACATTTTCTTATGCTGGATATTGGTTATTTGTACCTTGCCTCTTTTTGTCCTGATCAATTTGGAGCTAGATTTTCTCTAAAAATCAGTATTTTGTTTCATACTTTTTTTCAGATTTATGTTTTACTTATTGCTGCTATCTTTTTCTATTTTCTTTGTGCTTCTTACATTGAGTGATTATCTATTTTCTTTGTAGTCTTAAGATTAGGCTGAGATTATTGGTTTGAGACCTTTCTTCATTCCTAAGAATGGCTATTTCTCTCTAACTTTGACTTTATTGCTAACCCACAAATTTTGACACGCTGTGTTTTATTTACATTTAATTTTCTTATTAATTTCTCCTATGTTCTTTGTCACATGAGTCATATAGGAGTGCACTCTTGTAAATTTTTCTATTGTCCCTCCCAATTTCAATTTTTTTGGCTTCATGTGTCTTTAATATTTGCTATTATGTGCATATATATTTAAGAATGTTATATTATTTTGATAAACTGGTTTCTTTTTAATGATAAATTTACCTTCTTTTTCCATCTTAATAATATTTGCTCTGATATCTATCTTTTCTGATATTAATATAGTCAATTTGGTTTACTTTTGGCCAGTGTTGGCATAATATACGTTTTTGTGTACTTTTCTCTTATTTGTGTGTCTAAATATATGTCACCAACATAGACTTCAATCTTGCCCTTTCATGTAATTTAACAATCTCTGCCTCTCAGTTAAGGTGTTTAGACCATTTGCATCTAAGATGATTATATCATTACAGTTTAATCTATTATCTTTCTATCTTACTTATATTCATTCTATGTGTTTTTCATTCCCCTTTTTCTTGTTTTCTTCTTTTTTCCCAAATAATAGAATATTTTTTATTATTTCATTCTATCTTGTTTTTTGCCTGTTAGATATAACTCTTTTTTGCGTATTTAGTGATTTGTTTAATGTTGAGAATATACATCTTTAATTAATCACAATCTACTTTTGTCATTAAATTTCAGACATTGTATATTTTCTGTTTGGGTTATAGTTTTGGTAATGCTTAATTTTCCTTTATAGCATCCCCACTTCCAGTATGAAGATATCCTGTTACTCCAAATGACACACTGATGTTTTTATTAGGGCCCTTTCTCAGAGGCTCATAAACTCCATTTTTTGATCTTTTAACACCATAAGACTGAGAAATATATCCACACTGGTCTTTATCATCTTCATACCATCTCATTTTTCTGCTTTGTGCCATTGAATAATTCATGTCTTCAGGGAGAAAGCCTGATACTTCTCAGAATTATGTCCTTGCTCCTCTTTTCTCACCAGGAGCTTGGCAATACATGCCCTGGCTTTCTTGATAGCTTGTCATGAATTTCTCTTTTTCTCATTCTAACACCATTGATAACCAAATCTGTTGGCATTTCTGACTTTCACTATTATCCCTCTTCCCAGATCCCCAACCTTTCACCATGAGCCTGGTATTGTTCAGGCTGGTCTCAAACTCCTGACCTTAAGCAGTCTTTTAAGACCTGCCAAAGTGTTGAGATTAAAGGCGTAAACCACTGTGCCCAACTCTGGCATATTTTTCTGGTTTAGATATGCGTGTTATGCTAGCCTAATAAAATGAGTTGAAAAGAGTTTCAATTCATATAGGGAGAAAAGGTGGCTTAAAAGTATTGGCTTACTTCTCTGCTCCATCCTTCCCACTGGGGTCTTTTTCTCTTCAGTTTCTATTTGCCTCAGCAATACTCCAAAACCTATGCTCAGAATTGTTGTTTTTTGTTTCTATTTTGTTTGGTTTCGTTTTGATTTATATATTAACTGGCTTTTATAGTGTTTCTTGGAAGAAACGTTGTTCTTCCTCAAGTTACTCCATCATAATAAAAGTGGAAAATTGTGAATATATCTGAACACTTCCAGCTTCCAGTAAGCTATTTGTCTTTGTATAGACTATTTTAAGTGACTAAATACATTTTTTACCTTATAATATTCGTATTTCAATTTGGCTTCTATATGTGTAAAAACTTTTGCCACAAATTAGTCCTGTAGTAGGTTTGCTCCATATTGAAAAATGAACTGCTGAGAATAATTAGACAAAATCGTATTTATGTGAATTTGTATCTCTCCACATATACTGTGATCGATCACTCAAGAACATTCCTAGCTAGTTTTCATCATTTACTTCATTCTTCTAAGAGTCTACTTCGGATGTTTAACTTTTGAAATTTGTTTTCAATATTCTTTCTTGGTTCTGGTATCAATCATTTTTATCCAAGTTGCCTCAAAGAGACAAAAAGCATCAATTCCCTAGATTATTGCTGTTATGGAAACACTTTTAAATTTTTAAAATTTTAGGCCAGGCGCGGTGACTCACGCCTGTAATCCCAGCACTTTGGGAGGCCAAGGCAGGCCGGTCACCTGAGCTCAGGAGTTTGAGACCAGCCTGGCCAACATGGAGAAACCCTATCTCTACTAAAAATACAAAAAATTAGCTGGGCGTGGTGGCACATGCCTGTAATTCCAGCTACTCGGGAGGCTGAGTCAGGAGAATCGCTTGTACCCAGGAGGCGGAGGCTGTGGTGAGCCGAGATTGCGCCACTACATTTCCAGCCTGGGCAGCATGAGTGAAACTCCCTCTCAAAAATAAAAAATAATAATAATAATAATAAAATAAAATAATTTTTAAAATTTTATATATTTGAGGGGTACAAATACAGATTTCTTACATGCATAGATTGCATAGAGGTGAAGCCTGGGCTTTCAGTGTACTCATCACTTAATAGTGAAATTATACTCAATTAGTAATTTTTCAACTTTTTATATTCTTACAGTCTTCAAGTATAGTGAACAATTAGTCTGTCTTTTAGGTTAAGATTTCTAGTTTCCTCTGAATACTCTACATTTTCTCTTCCCCAGCTTGGTCACCTCTTGTTTATCTTCAGCCCTTCTCTAATGGCACTGCCACACCCATTCGGTCTTCACATCCTCTTCACTCTTTTACACTCTGTCACACTCTTCTGTCCATCATTCCAATTGAAGGACAATATCTACCTCAACAACTGTGTTCCAGTAAGCCATTAGATGCATTCTGATACATGAAATAGTGAATTCATAAACACTGACCCTTTTGATAATTTTATTTGCATTCTGAAGTCCTTTTCTCTCTTCACTTCCCTTTTTCTTCTCCCTGGTGGTTCTGCACAGCCTTCACCTATTAACTGCATTGCGAAGTCCGCTTGTGTTTCTGCTCCCCAGCTCCACAGTACTCCCCTTGAGGCATATAAATTTTTTTTTTGTATTACTGAATCTATACTAATCCTTGACATATAATTTCATAATAAATATATGTTAAATGAAAAATTGGTGGATTGATAGGTATATAAATATGTTAAATGATTACCTTTTCATCTCTATGGCCCAGTCTTCTCTTTTCTATTGTTTCCTTTATTTGCCTATTGATTTTTATACCATCCAGAATTTCACTGTGCAAATGCTACTTTAGCCATTTTATCTTAAGGCATGGCTTTGGGGTGTGTGTGTGTGTGTGTGTGTGTGTGTGTGTGTGTGTGTGTGTGGTTTCTCAGTTTCTAGACCTCACTGTAATGTTTTTCTGGTGTCCCTTTAAAGTTTTCATAGCCTCCTTGATTCAGAAATCCAAATTTATGCACAATTTTTCCTTCAGAATATAATCTGCTTCATAGTATTTATGTCAAGACAGAAAGCCAGAAATCTGGTAGAAGTTATTACTATCAATTTTAATTTTATTTCTTACCACTATAGAAAATGGGTCACCACATTCTAAGAATGATAATTTCATTAATCTCTGGTTATAAGCAGAATACATGTTTACATTAAAATATCTTGAAAATGAAGAAAAATATAAAATAATCGTATCATTTAGGATTAAAAACATGCTTCTGATAGTCCTGTTTTTCCTACATATATTTTCACTAAGTATAATCCTTAGTGACGCTTAGTTCATAGGACACTTAATTTCATGTTAGATTTATGTTATTTAACGTGTAAGATTTTTAAACTCCACATAATAATTTATTTAACTACCTCCCTTGCACTGAATATGTAGACAGCTTTCATTTATTTTATGATTATAAATAATGTTTTATTGAACTTCTTTATGCAAGACACTTTTCTTTTATTCTCATTTATTTCTATATGTTAGATTCCCAAAAGTAGAATAACTGTCAAGAGCATGAGTAATTCGAGAACTCTTCATACATATTACCAGCTTGTTTCCCAAAAGAGATGTGACAATTTCTACAGCCTCCAGCAGTGTCCATTTCTCTCTACCCGGGATAGTGTTGACTGCTTTCATTTTAAACAAAGCCAAGCACATCAAAAATAAAATCTATGCTACCTTGATATAAGTTACATTAATTCTACTTCTAAACACTGTCTCAAATCAGTCCACTCCTCTTTGTCACTACTGCAAGTGGCTTGGATTTGGTCTTTTTAACTTGTCTATTGTGTAGCGTTTTCTCCTAAATGGTGTTTTTACCTTTGTTCTAATTGTTCTCCATGCTTTTGTTACCACCACCTTTTTAAAAATGACTTTCTAAACTTTTAATTCTACATCTCTCATGTGTATCATGCACCTCTGAGCAACTCTGTATATACAATAAGTACACAATAGACTCCCAAGCACAATATATAGAATTTAAAGGTATCTCATCTCATCCAAAAAAAGAAAAAAGCAACATTTTGGCCTTCGAACTGCTACCAAAATGCCAACTTATCTTTGTATATCAGAGTTTTATGTACTTGCATCACATTTTTATGATTAACTGTTTAATACCTGTCATGTGCCTATATTCCCATCCTTTGCTACTTTGATGGTAAACTCAATGAGGACAGGAACATGTCTATCAGGTTTGCTCACATGTTCTTAGTAGAGGCACAGTGTGTGACACAGACATGATATAATCAATGTTGATGAAAATGAATTATCTTTATTGCCCCTTGCTTACAATTTGAGTCACATTCCCACAGATTTCTAAAAGAAATAATAACAATTAGTAATTGACTGATATGTGACAGCTTCTTGAGTATTTTATGCTGTGTCACTGTGTTGTTCCACTCTCTGAATATCCTTTTTTGCTATGCTATGTCTAAGAAATCACCTAAGATGAAGTCTTAAATTAATTCTTTATAATTTTTTCCTTTGTGACCACACATATCAGGATGATTTGAAGGATTCCCCTCTATAGTCTCTATAATCCCTTTTGAGAACCTCTAGCAACCATGTAGATTTCCTCCTTCTCTGTACTTGCCAGTTTGCTGAGATTTCCTTGCGGAAAAAAAAAGGATTGTCTTATATATAACTGAGTCAGTTGTATTTGTGATACTTTTTGCTTCATTAAGCAAAAGAAAGAAAAGGAACAAACTACTTCAAGCGTTACAAAATGCATACAAAAGAGGAGTAAGCAGCTTAAAAAAACATGATGTCTCCTATAGGAACAGAGAAGCTGGCATAAAGACTTACTAAATAAAGCCCTAAGAAGCTAGGACATAAATTGGATAAACTATAAGCCCTATTTTTTCATAAAATAAGGTTATGAAACAGAGACTGTGTTTGTTAACTTCACAAGGTTTTGGTGAATGAAAAGGAGAATATGTGACAGATGATTTATTCATGATTGTAATTTACTGCTTCCTTATTTATTTAGTTTTGTAGAGCCAGGGTCTCACCGTCCTGCCCAGGCTGGCCTCGAACTCCTGAGCTCAAGTGATCCTCCCAGCTCGGCCTGCCAAAGTGCTGGGATTACAGGCATGAGCCACCGCGCCCATTCATGATTGTAATTTAAATGTGCCTGCTGCACCGCCAATCACTGGCAATTATTTCAATATTTTGTGCCAGTAGGAGCAACCGATATTTAGGTCCCTCAAGTGAATGTTAAACATACACTTAACCCTTACAAAATTCTGTTTTCAATTATTTCTTAACTTGTATGAAGTATATAAGCACTTCATGTAAGTTAAGAAATAATTGAAGTTTATAGCACTTCAAAACTAAGGTGCTTATAAGAACTACTCCAGCACTACATCTTTAACTGACTCCATGAATTATGCCTGTGACCTTGCTGTCTAGATCATTCCATTGTAGTTATGGTTTTGGGTGACCAGATGATCCTGAATGCTTAGGACATTTTCGGTGTTAGTCCTTTTTTAGGTCATTTACTCCACTTATGGTTAACAATTTGGATCATTCTTCCAAAATTCATGCCTCAGGACATACTACTAGTTAATTATAAAACTCCATTCAGCCCAAATAAGCTCAGTTTTATATAATTCTTTACTTGATACCGTAAAAGGAGTGGGGAGGAGGAGTAGAAAGAGGGGGCGACTGTTTCTAACATCAACTTAACCTTTAATTAATACCCAAATCAAGGGCTATAACTTGGTGTGTCAGGACAGAGAAAAGTGTGAATATTTTTGATAGGAAATTGAATATCTTTTAAGGCTATTTTGAGGTTTCAGAGATAATAGAATATGTAAACCTAAACCAATAACGATGATTTACAAATTTTAAGGATTTTTTACTTGAATAGTACTAAAACCTATGTTGTTTTTAATTTGAAAACAGATCCATAAGAGTCTTTAGCAACTGTAGAAGAAGATTAAAATAATGTTTTTTTTTAATGATGGGGAATAGGCAGATGCAGGATACGAGAAAATAGAAAATAAATGATGCTTGCTTCCCAGCAGAGATATTGATATGCACATTAATGTGTTACTGGAATAGGACCAAAAGCAACAAAAGAATCAATGCAAGTCTGGTCCTACATTTGAAACATCTTTTTTCTTTTCAAATCATGCATCAAAAACCACTCTTGAACTCTTATTGGTTTCAAGTTCATTTTTTCCAGATCTTTATCTAAAATACACCGGATTCAACTAGTTTTATCTCAGAGTATTTGTTTATCATGATCTTAATTTATTCTCAATATGTAGAACTATGCATTGTATAAAATAATGATTTTTTTTGGCCAAAGTATTAGTTTCAGGAGACACATGAGAGTGCTAACTCCCATTGATATGGGAGTGCTGGGAAGGGAAGAAAGTGGTCCCTTTGAATGATATGGAATGGGGGATGGGAAGTGCTGGGTAGAGGAGGGCATGGTGTCTGGCTAGGTCTTCACCCTCACGGACCTAGGTGAGAACAGGCATTTTTGTTTTCCTGCCCAAATACTGCATTTCCCAAAATTTCAGAAAATATTTATTTTTAAAATTATCTCAGAAATTCTAATTTGTTTTGTTTAAAATATTTATGTATAATAAATACATTTATTATAAGTTAAATGTATTTATTATAAATATTTATTTATAAATACTGCACTTACGTATTTACACTTATCACATTCCTCATTTTCTGTTGAATGAAAGCTTTACTTCCAACTTGTATTCATTTAGTCTATTGAAAATTAAAATTCAGTCAAGTCTACTGGAGATGATGTCTCTTAAATTAGTTTGCCAAATGATGTCTGTAATTCACTTTAATTACTTTAAATCAGATTTACCAAGGTGTAATGTACATACAGTAAACTTCACCCTTTATAGGTGCATAGATCACTGTGTTTTTGCAAATATTTATAGACACGAAACTACCACCACCATTGGGATATACAGTATTTTTATCAATCCAGAAAGTTATCTCATGCATCTTTGTAACAAATTTCTTTTCCCATTTCTAATTCATGGCAACCATATGTATGATTTTGTACCTATAATTTTTTATTTCCCATATTGTAAAACAAATGGAATCATATGGTATAGACTTCTCCATACTTAGTTCCTTTCACTTAGAGTAATATTTTTAAGATTAATCTAAGTTGCTTGATATAGTAGTTTCTTCCTCTATAGTCCTGCAACATATTTCATCTCTCTCTCTCTCTCTCTGTCTCTCTCTCTCTATATATATATATATGTTCCAGAATGTTTTCATCAATTCCCAGTTGATGGAAATTTTTATCGTTTCTATGTTTTATTATTATAAATAGGGATGCCACTCATATACAGTTCTTTGTTTTGGAAACATACACTCAGTTTTCTTGGAAAGAAATACCTTGCAGTCACATTTCATGTTCTTACGTTATATGTGGGTTAACTTTATAAGAAACAACCAATTTTCTTCTAAGAAGCTATTTTCCTACCAGCAACATATGACATTTTACTTAGTTTTGCTTTTTCATTAGTATTTTGTATTGTTAGACTTTGTTGTAATTTTTGCTGTTGTCCTTGTTCTTGTTAATCTTACCCTAGTGGATGCATGATGGTGTCTCATTATAATTTAAATTTTTATTTAGCTAATATCTAAGTGTTTTCCACATCTATTCATGTGCTATTTGACACCTATTTTTCTTTGGTGAATTGTCTGTTTAAATCTTTTGCCTAATTTTTAAAAACTGGGTTTTTTGTCTTATTTTATTGTAAGAACTTATAAAATCCTGCATATGAATCCTATATGAGGTATATGTTTTAGAAATATGTTCACTCTGTCAGCTTTTTATCTTTTTTTCCTAAAAGTGGTTTCAAAGAACAGACTTTTTAAAATTTGATGAGGTTAATATATTGTTTTGTTATTTTACCTATTGTACTTTGTCTTATCTAAAAAATCCTTATATGACTCAATGTCACAATAATTATCACCTCTTTTTTCTTTCAATTATTTTTATTTTATGTTTTTTATTTAAGTCTATAATTTGGCTATTTTTTAGCAATCTGTGGTAAAAGCTGATATGTATTCATTATTTTCGCTCAAGACGTCATTTTTCTACAAGTCTTGAAAAAATCATATTTTTCCCAGTTGCTTTACCTGTGTACTTTTGCTCAATAAATCAATCAGTTATATGTGTGACAGTATTTTTAAACTATTCTGTTCAATTTTCTACACATTTATCTTTATGCCAATACTAAACTGCCTTGATTATTCTCTTGTTTTATATACAAGTAAATCATAATGTTAAGTTTGTGAGTTCTTCAATTTTTTTCTTTTTCAAAACTCTTTGGTTAATCTACCTCTTTGAATTTTACCTATAAATATTAGAATTTGCCAATTTCTATTTAAAAATAAAACTATTATAACTTTTACTGGAATGGCATGGAAACTAAATCAATTTGAGGAAAATTAACATCTTGAAAAATACTGAGTTTAAAAATGTTTGAGTCTTCTGTTTTATGAAAACAGTTTGGCTCCTCCGTTGTCTTTTTGAATTTCTTTC